>NC_000010.11:120995784-121620867 GCF_000001405.40 Homo sapiens | reverse complement strand
GACCAAATCTCTTTTTTGTTCATTCCAGCTTGGTTGTAAGTTGGTTTTGGGAACACGTTGCACAAGAAAGTAGAAAAATATGCAGAGAGCAGACTGCTGCACTAGTGGAGACGCGCGGGGGCTGTGGCCCTCCAGAGCTGCTAAGCTTTGCCCTCACGTCCTCTGAAATTGCCTTGTAGGTGAGAAATCACTTTCTGGAAATCTGGTGTGGTTTTCACCTTCCTCATTGGGAAGGCATTTAAAGCTGTTTCTGACGTCCACACCCATCCTCCCAGCTTGCTCAAGGAATTGATAGAAGTGGCCTCCTGGGTATGCAGGGGTCTCCTCAGGGGTCCAGCTCGGAGATCCATGCTGGGCTAAAGATGTGATATCTGCAGTCTATGTATGTGAAATCAGAGAGGGATGGGTGAAAAACAAGGTTTCTTTCTTTTTTTAAAAAAAGGTTTTTAAAAGAGGAGTTAAAAAAAAAAGAGCAAGTATGTGCCCCTCTCTTTCATGTGCACTTTCTATGTAATTTTTTTTTTTTTATTTTTTGAGATGGAGTCTCACTCTATTACTCAGGCTGGAGTGCAGTGGCACAATCTCGGCTCACTGCAGCCTCTGCTTCTCAGGTTCAAACAATTCTCGTGCCTCAGCCTCCCGAGTAGCTGGGACTACAGGCATGTGCCACCACACCCAGCTAATTTTTGTATTTTTAGTAAAGATGGGTTTCACCATGTTGGCCAGGCTGGTCTCAAACTCCTGACCTCAGGTGATCTGCCTGCCTCCGCCTCCCAAAGTGCTGGGATTACAGGCGTGAGCCACCTCGCCCGGCCTACCTATGTAGTCTTAACTTACCACACATGAATTAAGCCCTAGGATGAAGTTCCACTTTATTTAGTTCACAGCGTTGTCACTTCTTGTGGAAAACAAGTGTTGAATGATAGGTTTGGAGCTCAGAACTGAAGGGTGCAGAGAGGAAGTAGGTTTCCTAGTCTGATCTCACCAGGAGACTTGAAGCAGGAGTTTGCAGTTAAAGAAGACTTCCTGTTTGCCTGAGGAACATCCTATCCAGACTCAAAAGAAGGAAAGAAAAAGGTGGCTAGACCAGGTCAATGGACTTCAAAACACCAGGTTTCCACTCCTGTCATCATTGCTCACACAGGGAGTGAAAGAGGAAGAGGTTTCTCTTGTTTCTATAGCTTTGTGCCCTCAGGTTGTTGGTCTCCCTGCCAGTTGTGATGTGACTGCTCTCCTTCACTCCGTTTGTTGTGACTCCTTACTCCATGAACTGGGGTCTTTAGCACTATAATAATGTCACCAAAGTTGGGTGTCATTCTCCATTTCCCTAACAGTGACCACCTGCAGTGGGTTAAAAGGTGGCTGCAAAGTTTTTGCCACCTCTCCCATCAAGGGGTAAAGATTCTTTCCACTCCTCTTGCATCTTGGCTGGCATATGACTTGGTTTGCTCAATAGAATGTGACAAAAGCAATGTTGTGTAACTTCCAAAGTCAGGACTTAAGAGATTTGCAACTTTTGCTTTCCCTTTCTTGGAACACTCCTGCTTGGAATTCAGTGCTATGCTGTGATAAGCTCCAGCCTAGTAGAGAGCCCATATGGAAGGAAAATGAGGTGCTTCTATCGACAGCTCACCTGAGCCCCTGACTGACAGCCAGCAGGAACTGCCAACTAGGTGAGTGAATGAGAGAGTGCTCACTCCAGCCCAGTTGAGCTTCTGGATGAGAGTGGCCCCTGATGACATCACTATAGAACAGAAGAACCACCCAGCTGAGCCCAGTCAACCTACAGAATTGCAAGTAATGATAAATGGTTGTTGTTTTAAGCGACTATATTTTAGGATCATTTGTTATGCAACAATGCACAAATGAAACTTATAGCAGGGTTTGTGAAAATTTCTGAAGGCAGAGAATGTCTTTTCCTAATTTCTTACAAAGTGCAGTGTTTGGCTAGGGTGTAAATTTCCAATGAAAACTGGACCTGGGTGGTGATTTTTTCAATATTAGAACCAAAGGGGCCCTTGCAAAGTGCCTTACCCACTCATTTTTTACTCATAGGCGGGTGACCTTCCTTGTCAGCTGGAAAGCCCTGTCCTCATTCTGGCATCAGGAAGCCTCTCCTTCCCTGGATGATCTCAAACTATTTTCGTCATGTGGATTGCATGTTATTTACTTATCTTCTCTGCCTCTACCTCCAACCTGCCAGCAATATCTGGATGCTTTCTAAAGTCAAGTCTTGGTCCCTGTGGACAAAATGCCAAAGGCTGTCTTTACTCATCTTTCACATGAGTGAAAGTCAAGGAAGGCTTGGAGTACCCGACACTTCAGGGTGCCTCCCATTGCTGGACTCCCTGTGGCTGCTCCAAGCCTCACCTCGGGGAGCCCATTTTAGCAGCACCCCGGGCATCTTTGCCAATTCCAGGGATGCCATAGAGGCTTCAGAACTAAATGGATGTGAATCCATTTTATTTCAAACAATATTCCATGAGTGGGGCAAGTGAAAATCACGGAGGGCAGAATGAGAGCCTCTCGGGAGGGGACCAGGTGGGCATGGGACTCTCACCCTCCTGCAGTCCCCAGATGCCCCTTGCTGTGGTGTCTGTTGACAACCTCAAGATGCCAGAAGCTGCCAAACCACGATTCCACTTGTGGTCCTGCCTGAGGTCAGGTTCCCCATGAGCTAGACTCTGAGGTCAAGATTTGTACACAGGAAGCTTCCTGAGGTGCTGGCCTTGGGATCCCCAGCCACGGAGGAGTGAAGGAGGTGGAACTTGGTGCCAGTGAACCTGCCTTGGTCAAGGCAAAAGCGCCTGGAGCTACTGTGGTCTTTCAGAGTTGTCTCCCGTTGGGTGAGGGGCCAGGCCTTTCTGTGCTCCCACCCTACCTCACCCCAACAACTAGGGTGACCACCTGTCCCTCACCCCAACAGCTAGGGTGACCACCCATCCCAGGACTAAGGGGGATCCTGGGATGTGGGCCTTTCAGTGTCAAACCTGAGACAGTCCCTGCAAACTGGGATGAGTTGGTCACCCTAAAACAAGTTGGGGAGGGAGGGGCGTCTCTTCCACACAGGGCAATTCCCCACAAGGGACTGGGCAGAGAGTCGCTGCCAACTCTCACGGCAGTGGCTCAGCCCTGAGGGAGGATCTGGGCACCTCTGTGTCATCCGCCACAGCAATTTATTCGTGTCCTCTGAGTGTTTCTGGCTGTGTTCACGTGAGAGCTGTGACAGGCCCAGACCTCTTTTGGGGTGTTGGGGGCATGGTGGCCCCTTCTGCCTGAGCTGTTGTGGGGAGGGGTTAGGGTCTAAGGTTAGTACTGAAGGCGAAAACCTTGTTTAGTCAGAATTCCCCTTGGAACTCTCTGGAGAGATGCTTGGAGACTATGTGCTGTTTCCCATAAGCCCTGCACCACCAGTTTTTCTTCCGGGACTGGAGCTGCTCTCTGGTTTTCTGAGCAGCCGCACAGTGGTTGGTTTGTCTGTGGGAGCCAGGCTGTCACCTCGGTGCTGGGAGGTGCTGACACCATGGCAGTCACTCAGACGCCTGACAAAGGGGACAGTGATTCCTGACTTTGGAGTCCTGTCACTGCTGCTGGACAAGCCCATGAACTAGGATGGCCATTCGGACACCCTCCCCCGCTCTCCCTCCTCCTCTCTCTTCCTCTCCCCTCTCCTCTTTCACTCTTCCTCCCTCCCTTCCTCCTTCTCCTTTTCCAAGCACAAAACCCTTAACTCGAGGTTAAAGCAACCCACTGAATGGTAGAAAGACCTTCCAGCAATGAATCAGACCCACCTCTGGGTCCCTTTCTGTTACTTAGTAGAGGAGGCCTTGGCCAAATCCCCAAGACATCTCTGGGTGTCTGTTTCCCAAAACCTGGCCTCTGTGTCCCCTGGACTATAAGACGCTTGAAGGCAGCCACTGTCTCACTCGCCGTTGTGTGGCCAATGAGCACTCAAAGCAGGACCCAGCTCCAAATGCGCTACCAGTTAATGAATACATGAATTAATGAATGAATTAATGAATTGATGAAGCCTTAGAGGGCTTCACGAGGCCCCTCTTTGTGGACCAAAAGCACATGCATAAATGCCCTTCATGATGGCGCAGATGAATGGAGGAGGTGATGAAGCCCCTGGTACCTTCTGCCAGCCTCAGCTTGAGAAGGGGTGAAGCCCAGAACCGAATTTTCTCCTGATCTGTCTGCATGCCCCACAAGGGGACGTAGGCATGGGATGTGGCAGATGTTTGCCCATCTAAGGTGCCTCAGAGTCACAATTAAGAGGTAATCCCTACTTAAATGTCTCAGGTCGCCTCTCACCTGGCTCACCTAACCTCACTTGCTCTTGGCTGGGCTGCACCTGGCAGGTGCTTGTGGCCGCCTCCGGGATCAGTTGAAGATGATCATGTACGTGGCTTGCACCGTGGGCCTCCTGGGTTCTGCTGGCGACTGTACTAGAAGGATCTGCTGCTTGGACTCTCCCTCCCCCACATCCTAACAGAGAACATTCCTCGGAGCAGAACTTTTACACGCAGGCCCATAGGTGGGGATCCATAAACGAGGTTTATTAACCAGCTGAACGGTGAGTCGTCAGGACCAGGGCTGTGAGGCTAGGAAGATTCGGTCAAACACCACCACATTTGTTTATTTTTTTTAAAGTTTCTGAGCGAATGTATATTTCGGCATGTTTAGAGATTGGCAGCCCTGGAAAATGAAGTTTATTTATCCTCTAGATACACATTACATAAACAGCTGCAACAGCCTTCCTGCCCCATGTGGTGTTGGCTCTCAGCTCTGACCTGCGGGCCGCGCTCTGAGCCCAAAGGTGGCCCCATTTAATCACATACTCTTCCCTTAGTGGGGCCTGGGCTGAGCCTGTGGGAGGTGAACAGCCTCCTTCTGGGACCAGGGTGAGGTTGAGACCAAGCCTCGACTGCAAGTGGTGGTGGCTTCCAGAATCTTCTCTGGTGGCCTCAATTCACGTCCAGGTTTCCATTTATGTATTCATGTAATAAACAGTTATTGGTCTTTTCCAGGCCTTGGGTTACACTCTGATGATGCCAGGATAATCAGACCAGCCTCTGGGAGACCCTCCCCACCAGGGTGAGAGCCTCGGGGGGGGCAGTGTCCTGCGACGGAGGATGATTTCCCTTAGGGACATCTTTCAGCCCAAAACGAGCCTGCCTGTCTCTTCCATTCCCCCTGCAGCAACAGCTGTCCCTCATCCTCCCAGCTCTGTTCCCATCTGGCCTGGGGAAGTGAGCTTAAGGATTTTTCCGGAAACGAGGAGAGGTCAGCATGCTGAAGTGTTTGGAAGGCATCCGACGGAATGACGGCTGAGGCCCTCACTCTCCACTGAACTCTGCTTGCGGCTGGGGACTGCTCTGTGTCTGCACGTGTTCGCATTTATTAAATGTGGAGGTGCAAAACAAAACAAAACAAAACAAAACCAGTGAGATTTCTGGACTGCTGATGGAATCTATCAAATCTCTCCTCCTCCTCATTATAAGGCAGGCCCCCACATAGTAAATGCGCAAGGGTGGTAAGCTGCCAGTACCTAGGGGCTTGTATGTCACGCAGATCCCAAAGAATTATGGCCCCTGGAAGGCCAACTTGGCAAGAGTGCTTGGATGTTATTGTTGTTCTTTCTAGGAAGAGCAGTTCATGTTTACAAGAAGGATTGTTATTGGACCAAGATAGGCAGGGGGTGCAATTTTTTGCCTGAAAATTGCTCTTCTTCCGAACCTTTCAGCCACTGAGTCAGCACCTTGCTTTATCTTCCTTTCTCTCTGACAGAGTTGAGTCTTCCTTCTGCATTTCCTCATAGACAGGCTCTGTTTCCAGCCAGCTGAGCAGTACAGTCCATTCCTATCTTTAATCACCTACCTTGCCGATGGGTGCAGCACGTGAGGGCGGCCTCTCCCAGAGCAGGTGGGACTTGAAGGATGGCCAGGATGCAGATTTGGATTGGCTGGGAAAAGGGAACGGGCACTGCAGGCTGGGGGCCAGGCTGAGTAGAGGTGTGGAAGGGAAGCTGAGCATGAGATAGGAGGGGCAGTCAGGAAGGAGGCTGGGAGGAGGCCTGCTTTCTCAAGCTGTCATCACACATTCACTTGCTGTCCCAGTCCATACCCACAGGGACCCAGACAGCATCAGAGACTTGACTTGCGCATTGCCAACTGCTACTGTAGATTAAGTGGGCCAGAGGTCAGGCCTTGTGCTAACTGCTTCTCCAGCGTTACCTGTGCTTTGGGTTCAATTGTGACCGTCCTCCTCTCCTGCCAAAAAAATATACAGGTGATCATTCTAACTCCTCTTATCTATGGATGTAACCTTATTTAGAAATAAGATCTTTGGGCCAGGTGCAGTGGCTCACGCCTGTAATCCCAGCACTTTGGGAGGCCCAGGTGGGCAGATCACAAGGTCAGGAGCTCGAGATCAGCCTGACCAACATGGTGAAACCCCGTCTCTACTAAAAATACAAAAATTAGCTGGGTGTGATGGACTGTGCCTGTAATCCCAGCTACTCAGGAGGCCGAGACAGGAGAATCGCTTGAACCCGGGAGGTGGAGGTTGCAGTGAGCCGAGATCGCGCCATTGCACTCCAGCCTGGGCAACATGAGTGAAACTCTGTCTCACAAAAAAAAAAAGAAAAAAAAAAAAAAGAAAGAAAAAGAAAAGAAAAGAAAAAGAAATAAAACCTTTGACTTACTTTGAGACCAAGGTGAGGCGAGTGGATCATTTGAGATCAGGAGTTCAAGGCCAGCCTGGCCAACATGGTAAAACCCTGTCTCTACTAAAAATACAGAAAAAAAAGTAGCCAGGTGTGGTGACACATGCCTGTAATCCAGCTACTCAGGAGACTGAGGCAGGAGAATCGCATGAACCCAGGAGGCGGAGGTTGCAGCTGAGATCACGCCACTGTACTCCAGCCTGGGTGACAGAGCGAGACTTCATCTCAAAAAAAGAAAATAAAAAAAAGAAAAAGAAGTAAGATCTTTGCAAATGTCCTCAAGTTAAGATGAGGTCATTAGGGTGGGCTCTAATTCAATATGACTGGTGTCCTTATATCAAGAGAAAGGTGTGGACTTAGACGCACAGGGAGAACGCAGTGTGACTGAAGCCACTGAAGTGCTGCAGCAGCAAGCCAGGAACGCCAGGGAGTGCCAGGGAGTGCCAGGGAGGGCCAGGGAGCGCCAGGAAGGGCCAGGGAGGGCCAGGGAGCGCCAGGGAGGGCCAGGGAGCATCAGGGAGGGCCAGGGAGCACCAGGGAGGGCCAGGGATGGCCAGGGAGCACCAGGGAGTGCCAGGGAGGGCCAGGGAGCATCAAAGAGCACCAAGCAGGGCCAGGGAGCGCCAGGGAGGGCCAGAGAGGGCTGCAGTCACCAGGAGCTGCAGGAGGAGAGAAAGGATTCTTTGCTAAGGCTTCAGAGGGAGCACAGCCCCATGGACAACTCGATTTGGGGCTTCTAGCCTCCAGAACGGTGAGACAATAAATCCCTGTGGTTTTAAGCCACCAGGTTTGTGTCCTTTTGGGAAATGGACACACCTTGTTTTACCCTATAACATCCTTCCCCAGCTGCAGGAGGCAGAATAACACCCCCTCCAAAGACATCCATGCCCTCTACCCCAGAATTGAGTAAAAGGGACTTAGCAGATGGAATTGAAGTTATTTTAAAATAGGGAGATGATTAAGGTGGGCCCAGTCTAATCACATAAGCCCTTAAAAGCGGAGAACGTTCTCTGGCTAGAGGCAGAAGAGATGGGGTAGAGGAAGGAGAGAGATTCAGAGAGTGAGAGGGATGTGATGTGTCCTTACTGGCTTTGAAAATGGAGTGGGGGAGCTGAGCAAGCACCCCACCAACCCACCACTGACCACCAGGAAGGAAACAAGACCTGAGCTCACTGCACAGGACCTGAATCCTGGCAACATCGTGAATGACTTTGGAGGCAGAGTCTTCCGCACAGCCTCCAGTGAGGAACGACGCTCTGCCGACACCCTGATTTCAGCCACCTCCATCCAGACCTCTGACCTACAGAGCTGCGAGATAATACATTTGTGTTGTTCTTTAAGCCCTTAAATGTGTGGTAATTTCTTATAGCAGTGATAGAGAACAAATATGCCACCTATAAAACAGATGCAGCAACTGAGACCCGGGCACCGAGGTTTGGCAACCTTGCCCATGTTCTGAGAACTGGGCAGGGGAGAAGCTGCTGTGGGAATCCAAGTTTGAGGGAAACCAACATCCATGTGGCTTACTTCTCTGAAGCTGAAGGAATTTGTGGCAAATTTGGACGATGGGTAAACTGAGTCCAAATAGGAGAGTGACATGACAGGGAGCTGGCAGAGGGGAAAGGAGGGATGCCAGGGAGATCTGTGATCTCTCGGTTGGCACAGGGGTGGTGCCCATGGCAGACAGCTGATACTGAGGAATTGCTGGTTATGAGAAACCGCTGGAAACCCACCAGGCTTGAGCAGGTAGCAGGCTCTGATGGGCACGGTGGCTCATGCCTGTAATCCCAGCACTTTGAGAGGCCAAGGCGGGTGGATGACTTGAGGTCTGGAGTTCAAGACCAGCCTGGCCAACATGGCAAAACCCCATCTCTACTAAAAATACAAAAATTAGCCAGGCGTGGTGGCAGGCGCCTGTAATCCCAGCAACTCGGGAGGCTGAGGCAGGGGAATAGCTGGAACCCTGGAGGCAGAGGCTGCAGTGAGCCAAGATGGCGCCATTGCAAACCAGCTTGGGTGACAGAGTGAGACTCTGTCAAGAAAGGAAGAAAAGAAAGAAAAAGGAAGGAAGGAAGGGAAAGAAAGAAAGAAAGAAGGAAAGAAAGAAAGAGAAAAGAAAAGAAAGAAGAAAAGAAAGAAAAAGAAGGAAGGAAGGAAGAGAAAGAAAGAAGAAAAAGAAGGAAAAAGAAAGAAAAGAAAAAAGGAAAGGAAAGGAAGGAAGGAAGGAAGGAAGGAAAAAAGAAAACAGGCAAACAGGCTCTGAGAATCAGAGCCAGGTAGAGAAGCAGGGCAGGCACTGGAAACAGCCAGGAAAGTGAATGGTGTGGGCACCTCTGTAGCAGGAGGTTGGTCGGCTCCATTTTAGATAAGGGGCTCTATTTCACCCACCAGCTCCCACTGGATGACAGAGCAGGGGAAGAAACACAGTGGCCGTCTCAGGCTTTGCTGGCAGTCTCTCCTAGATCCTCACAGCAGCCCTGGGCAGGAAGGCCGATGTCGTATCATTCCCTGGTGACACGGTTTCTGGGCTCTGGAAAATGGATGGCGGCTCTGTCTGGCTCTGTCTAGCTCCAGGCAGCCCTGTTTGGCGGCGTAAATGACGCTCCACATGTAGCAAGACTCCGTCCAGGGAAGTGACCACAGCTGCACATGTCATATACACTTGACATCCCAACAGTGTTATACATCACTCCCAATAGTGCAGACTAAACACCAGGGGTTATTACTTCATTCAGGAGGAAACGCAGACTTAGAACAGATGATTACAGTTATCACCAAATATTCAATAGCTCTGTCAATACATAAATTGATCACTATGAAACAGGCCCAAGCTGCCACAACAGTGGCTCTGGAAACCAACCCCAAGGAAAACATGACAGAATTTCTGGTCAGGCGCGCCTCCCAATACTAAAAGGGGTTTTTGGGCATAGACAGGCGGGAAGGAGAAGGGTGTTAGTTCTCAATGATTTCCTGGAAGAATGATTGTTTCCCTTGGACTTGCCCGGACTAGTCAACCTGTGGGTGTGGCTTCTAGCCAGCACAGCATTGCCATATGCAATACAGCATACTTGGTTACATCTGGATTTCAAATACACAATGACTATCTTCATAGATGTATGTCCCATGCACTATTTGTTCATGCGATAGTGGGGACCTATTTATACTAAAAACAATTATTTGTTTTTCATCTGAAATTCAAGTTTAACTGGGTGTCCTGTACTTTTATCGGCTCAATTCGGCAGTGCTCTGAAGTCATGTCTTATCTGATTCAGAGGAGATGAGGGTAACCATTATCTTAATGCTTGCTTGAAGCACACAGAGGAGTTTTACAAAGAAAACAAATGGATCCTTTCCTCGTATACAGAGGATTTCTTTAAATAGAAATTTAAAGCAAAAGATAACTCAGTTGGATAAGGTGAAGAATTTGCTGACCGTCATGAGTCAACACTGGAATGAATTTCTACGTGATGCTAAGAAGAACTTTAGAAGAATGTGAGCAAGTCCCCTGCCCTGGACAGCCTAAGCTGCTACTGAAATCAATACCATTATGGGTGAATTTTGAAGATGATTACCGCTAATATTCACAGCCTACAAATAAGGCCACAGAAGCTCATAAAAGCCGAGTAACCTACCCCAGGTCACACAGCAAAGAGAAGTAGCAAGTAATAAGGTCAGGGGTAGGATAGGGTTAGACAGAGCTGCAGAGGGAGGTCTGGATGCCTCTGGTCTGGAAATACTAGTACCAGCTGACAAGTATTGATCATTCACCATGCACTCAGCACTTCACCTGAAGTATTCCATTCAATCTGCGCAGATTGTGTGAAGCGGGTATTAGCATGACTTCATTTTACAGATGAGAACGTGGTGAGGAGGGGCAGATGTAAGGCCCAGAGCAGGCAGCTGGACTCCAGGTCCCATGATCTCAGCCACTATAGGACAGCAGAGGGTGCAGCCTGCTGTCCACAGGCCCACTAGAAAAGGAGTCAACATCTGAAAACTGGGACAATTGTCATCTGGATGGGACAGCCAACTTCTCTGGGAAGATCAGGAGAATCAGCCCCTTTAGCCTCTGTTTCCATTCATCAGCTGAAGTCACTACCCCATCACCGTCACGGGGACGCTGGCAGCATAAGCGATAGCACAGGCTCCAGGGTCAGCCCTCCCTCCCGACTGTGTAACCTTGGATGAGCTCTCAGTGTTTCCATAGCACGATTTATAAAATGGGGGTCACAGTAGTGCTACCTCACAGGGTGCTTGTGATTGAAGTGTGATCACCCATTAAAGGCCATAATCCCAGTTGCATGGAACATGGTATGCACCCAATAAACGTCAGCCTCCAAGCACCCACTCTGTGCTAAGAGGGCCGTTGCCATGGTTCCTGAAAATGTGGAACCTTCAAAGCTTCCACTGGCCTGATGAAAGGGCAGGACAGGGGTCCCCACCTCTGGGCAGGGTGACTGGCAGGGGAGAGACCAGAGGCGGAGGCTGCCCCAAATCTGGCAGGTACCTCTCCAGGGCAGCTGTGGTGAGACTAGGAAGGAAGCAGGTGTGGTGGCTTTCAAGAGAGGACAGCTCCAAGGGGTGCAGTAGCGCAGGCCTGTAATCCCAGCACTTTAGGAAACTGAGGCGGGTGCATCACGAGGTCAGGACTTCGAGGCCAGCCTGGCCAAGATGGTGAAACCCCCGTTTCTACTAAAAATACAAAAATTAGCCAAGCATGGTGGCACATGCCTATAATCCCAGCTACTCTGGAGGCTGAGGCAGGAGAATCGCTTGAACCCGGGAGGTAGAGGTTAAAAAAAAGAGAGAGAGAGAGAGGACAGCCCACAGCTAGGACTGCCGGGCCTTGGTGGGAGAGGAGCGCCAGAGAACACCAGGGCCAGAAGGCCCAACAGGGGGCCGGAGGTAGGAGCTGGTTTCCCGGCGAGGGTGCAAAGGTGGTTCTCCGCCTTGTTGATCCACAGGCTGGAAACGTGGGGCCGCCTCCCGGGGGCGAATCCACGCAGCGAATGGAGAATTAGCCTGAGGTAGCCGCACGCCAGGCCCAGGCAGAGGCCGCTGCAGCACCACGTCCCTGCAAGGTCCCGCGCCCCAGCCGTCGGGGTAACAGACATTTCGTCCAGCTGTGCTTGGGCAAGCACCTGGGCTCCTGATTCGCCTCGACCTGGGTCGCTCATCATCTGCACAGCCGAAACGACTTCAGGGCTGGGCTCGGCGCTGGCGGGGCTGCCCCTCCTCCCTGCCCGGCCGCCCTCTACCTTGATGCCAGCCCCGTCACCCACGCCCCGGGCGGCGCTCGCCCCCGCTTTGCGCGCGCGGTGCTCGCGGCCACACGGGGGCGCTGGCGCCCGATGCGCTCCTCCCTGCGCAGAACCCGGAGAACAAAGGGCGCCCCGGGACCTCGGCCTCCCTCACCTGGAGCCACCTGCTTCCCGGGCGCTGCCCCAGCGCCAGGCCAGCATCCGGCCTCCGCGAAGGAGTTAATTTTTGCTCAGCGCTGCTCTTAGAAATCTGTTAAAGAAATCGCTCCCCACTTGATGGTCTTTCTCCCCAGCTTGGGGACACAATACGAGAGCTCTGGGACTCTAAAAGGGTTACTAGGTTTGTGGTTTTACGATGTGTGGGGCTCTGTATTCTCCACTCCCTCCCCGAGTTTACCAGGATCCTGGCAGCATCATTTTTCTCCCCTTTGGTTTATGAAAGTGAACTTCTTCTTTTTTTTTTTTTTTTTTGAGACAGTCTCACTCTGTCAGCCAGGCTGGAGTGCAGTGGCGCAATCTCAGCACACTGCAACCTCCGTCTCCCGGGCTCAAGCAGTTCTGCCTCAGCCTCCCGAGTAACTGGGATTACAGACGTGTGCCACGACGCCCGGCTAATTCTTGTATTTAAGTAGAGCCGGGGTGTCACCATGTTGGCCAGGCTGGTCTCG
This sequence comes from Homo sapiens, assembly GCF_000001405.40. Classification (NCBI taxonomy): domain Eukaryota; kingdom Metazoa; phylum Chordata; class Mammalia; order Primates; family Hominidae; genus Homo; species Homo sapiens. The sequence continues at coordinate 121,608,211 of NC_000010.11, read as the reverse complement.
AACTCCTGACCTCAGGTAATCCGCCCGCCTTGGCTTCTCAAAGTGCTGGGATTACAGGCGTGAGCCACCGTGCCTGGCGAAAGTGAACTTCTTTTCACATTTGGAAGAAGTAGACACACCCTCGGGAAAGAGTGTAGCAAAGGCAGAAATCAAGAGAAAAGAGAAAGAAACGCATCGTGGAAATGAGGTAATTGCAGGGAAAGGTAACTTCCTCACACAGCTCAATCAGCTTTGTCCTAAACTGGCTTCTATTCCCCACCTTCTAAAGAGACCGTGCTCACTGTGTACACAAACCTATGTACATGTGCCTCTTTGCACTTATGCTTTAATTAGGAAATGCTGGAGGAGGCTGAGTTGCAGTCATCAATCAACAAGCATCTATTAAGAGCCTGTAAGGTATAAACACAGCCCCATAAACTGCTCCCACTAGCCAGGTAGTGCCAGGTCCTGGGAATCTAGAGATGGGAGATGCAGCCCCGGCCTTTCTGAGTATTAGCATTTAGTGGTCCCCAATTAACCCCTTTCCACCAAAATTGTTGTCCAAGGTCAGTTTCTGCTAGGCTTTCTTCCATGGACAGGCTATCTTGGTTCAGTAAAGCCTTTCCTCCCTCTGGGCTTGAGGCTGAAAGCACACAGTTGTGAATCTCTGAGGATTTGAGGGAGCAGGAATCCTCGAAGGGAGGAATTTAGGGCCCATAGAAACTCCCACTGAGACCAGGAGCTGCTTCCAGGGGGCCCCAGGATCAGAAGGTGATGGTGCAGACTAAAATCTTTTTTTTTTTTTTTTGAGACGGAGTCTTGTTCTGTGTCCCAGGCTGGAGTGCAGTGTCGCGATCTTGGCTCACTGCAGCCCCCACCTCCTCAGTTCAAGCGATTCTTCCGCCTCAGCCTCCCGAGTAGCTGGGATTACAGGCACATGCCACCATGCACAGCTAATTTTTGTATTTTTTAGTAGAGACCGGGTTTCACCATGTTGGCCAGGCTGATCTCAGACTCCTGACTTCAAGTGATCCGCCCTCCTCAGCCTCCCAGAGTGCTGGGATTACAGGCGTGTGCCACCATGCCCGGCTAAAATCGTTTTCATTGTCAACAGTAAGACCTGTCCCGTGTATCTCCTGCACCGTTCTCCATCTAAGGAGTAGAATTCTTGTCCCTACCTCCACCCTGGTAAGGCAAGATGCCCATTTAGGGCATGGGGAGCAGTCCAGGGGTGATGAGCGGGGGGACCTGGAGAGGGAGAGCAAGAGCAGTTCCTGGGGACTCCTCTGACTAAGGAGGTCTTCTTGGAGGAGGAAGCGGAAAGCAGGGTGTGCTCTCTAGCACAGCCCAATACATCGTCTGCCACGTTGAAAATACCCTATAATACTGCACTCTCCAATGTAGTGGCCTGGCCCCATGTGACTGTTGAGCACTTGAATTGTGGCTGGTGCTACTGAGGAGCTGAAGTCTTATTTAATTTTAATTGATTTAACTTTAAATAATCATGTTGGCTGGTGGTTAACGTTATCAGACAGCATAGCTTCAGGCAGCGATAAGGGTGTGGGTGGGGTGGGAGCAGACGGGATATTGTTGCTAATCTCATCCTCATCTACCCCACCCTGGCTAAAACCACCTGTATAGTTTCTGTCCAGTGAGCTGGGAAACCTCGTTGTGGTGGAAGTGGTCGTGATGTGTGGAGGGTGGGGGTGATTGAAAGGCACGGAGTCACAGCCAAGAAATGACATGCCATAAATTGCCCTTAAATAGCAATGGGCCAGGGATTAGAGGACTTTTCCGGTAGATACTTGTTACCAGTAGGAACAGCACGGTTCCTAGACTATGGTTTCAGAATACTTTGGAGAGGATGTTCACTTCCTGTAACACCAGGGTGGCCTTCAGTGATGGGTGAACCACAAGTTTTCAGCTCCAGGTGGAGGCGGGGAATGTTCAGAGATAGGCCGGAGATCATAGATAAATTTATTTTTAAGATAGAAGGGGGACACTTCAGTTATGCAAAAGAAGGTGAGGCCAAGGTTAGGGGTGGGATGAGGCTTGTTCAGTAACTTGCCTAGACTTGCATAGTTAGCCCTTGACCACGTTGGGATAAAAACTCAGGTCTTGGGGGCCCTGACTCAGTGCTGTTTCTATGGCACCACATTACTTGTCAAAAATACCTTGAGACCTTGGACATTGTAGATGTTACATGCAGCTGGCTTGGCCAACCAGCTAATTGACCTACCAGTTTTCCTTCATAGATTCAGATTGGCAGAAGCCAAAGGTAGGAATGTGTTTGTGGCCACAGGGGTGGCACAAGGGACAGTACTGGGGTCAGAGTCCATAATGCCCTCCACTAGAGTTCCCCCAGGTTTTAATTGTGAAATTGTTTAAACATTAAGAAAGTTGGGTGAATAGTGCAATAAGTAATGTATACTCTCAACTGTATAGTGTCAAGAGTTAACATTTTGCATATTTGCTTTATCTGTGTGTGTTTGTCCTTTTTTTTCCTGAGCCACTTGAAAGTCAGTTGTAAACATCAAGCCATTTAATCCTTTAAACTTTGGCATGGATCTCATAAGAATACAGAAAATTTCCTACAAAGCCAAGCTGTCATAATCTTATGTAAGTGAATTAACAACAATCTCTAATATTCAATCTCTAATATTAATATGATCTCCTATCTGGACAATATTAAAATTTTCCCAATTATCCCCCCCCCCACTTTTATAGTGATTTCTGCTTTTGTTTAATTTTTTTAAAAACACAGAATGCATTCAAGTTTCCCAAATTGCCCTTCCGTTGCATTTTGGGCAACAAACCCGATTACTCATTTGTAAACTGCAAATGTGTCGCAGAGTTTTAAGTCTTAATTTCTCAAATGCAAGTCTTAGTAATTCTTAAAAATTTTTCACTTCCACTTGTTATTGACAATAGTCGTTCTGTGAACCACAAATTGCTCCTTTATTCCTCCCCTATTTTGAAGACTATGCAGATTCAGCAGATGAAACTGTAGGTGTGTGAAAGAGGTGTCTAACAAGCGTATGCACCTAAACTTGAAGGCTCTTTGAAATATTAACAACAATAATAACCCTTACAGAAATCCTTCTTGGAGCACTTGAAGGAGGAGAAGTGAGCTGAACTCATGGTGAGTGGGTAATTGTTTTCTGGAAATAGTAACAGTTTCAGAGGCAATGAATGCTACTTGAAATATCTCCATTCTGGCCGGGCGCGGTGCCTCATGCCTGTAATCCCAGCACTTTGGGAGGCCAAGGTGGTTGGATCACCAGAGGCCAGGAGTTCAAGACCAGCCTGGCCAACATGGTGAAACCCTGTCTCTACTAAAAATACAAAAATTAGCCACGTGTGGTGGCGGGAACCTGTAGTCGCAGCTACTTGGGAGGCTGAGGCAGGAGAATCGCTTGAACCTGGAAGGTGGAGGTTGCAGTCAGCTGAGATTGCGCCACTGCACTCCAGCCTGGGCAACACCTGGGCAAAAGAATGAGACTCTGTCTCAAAAAAAAAAAAAAAGAAAGAAAGAAAGAAAGATGTGGAATCCCCTAGAAAGAGCCAATTGCCTGGCATTGGATGGGTGAGACTCACCTGCCATGGTGGACTTGTACTAGTGGCCATTGTAACCCCAGCTGAGTCAGGAACACAGACTTTTCTGGGTTTTGCTGCCATTAACCAGAGGGGTGACTTTGAGCCCATCATCCCTCTGTGTGCCCTGCTTTCTTCCCCTGTAAAATCCAGGGGTCATACTTGATGCGCTGTCATAGGTTTGACATGCACTTCTTCACCTTTAGGCCTGGTCTCCTTCGGAAGAACAACCTGTGCCGTTCAAGTCACTCAGAAATTCAAGAAATGGTTAGAGCAGGGCAGCCTTTATTCAGATGTCCCTAGTGGTTTTCAAGAAGCTCTTTCCTTGGGAACAGAGGTGTCTTTGCTATCTCTTAGCTATTTAATAGGGTCAAAGAGGATTCAATGAACTGGGATGTGACAAGCACTTAGACATTTTTATTTGTATGGTCCTCATGGTATTGAGAAACTCTTTGGCACATGGGAAGGTTACGTGTTTTCTATGATTATTCTTAGCCATATACAGTGGTTTGTTCACCCTTATATGTGGTTCTCCTAGTAGGAAAAGTGTCTTCTGCCTGGCACTGTCCTTGCCTCCCCCTGGACCGCTGCTGGGGAGCAGTGGGCACTGATGGGCATTGTGACGCCTCCTGTTTGGATGTTTTTTCCTACGCTTACACACTATGAGAAAGTTTAATTTCTAAATTAGGCACAGTAAAGTATTAATAATAGGCCAGGCACGGCGGCTCATGCCTGTAATCCCAGCACTTTGGGAGGCTGAGGCGGGTGGATCAGTCAAGGTCAGGAGTTTGAGACCAGCCTGGCCAACATGGTGAAACCCCGTCTCTGCTAAAAATACAAAAATTAGCCGGGCGTGGTGGCAGGCACCTGTAATCCCAGGTACTTGGGGGGCTGAGACAGGAAAATCTCTTGAACCCGGGAGGTGGAGGTTGCAGTGAGCCGAGATGGCGCCACTGCACTTCAGCCTGGGTGACAGGGCGAGACTCTGTCTCAAAAAAAAAAAAAAAAGTATTAATAATAATAAACTAATTAAAAAAGGACAGTTATAATAAAAGTTATATGAATATGGTCTCTCAATTAAAATATCTTATTGTACTATGCTCACCTATTTTCAGACTGCAGCTGAACTCAGGTAACTGAGGGTAACTGAAACCATGGCAAAGGAAACTGCATATCAGGGTGGACTACTGTGTATGGATAGTAATCCTCAAGAGACTTGCTCGTGTGTCAAAGTTTCTCCAAACCATGAGGACCACCTGAATAAAAATGTCTAAGCGAGGCTGGGCATGGTGGCTCACGCCTGTAATCTCAGTGCTTTGGGAGGCTAAGGAGGGAGGATCACTTGAGGCCAGGAGTTTGAGACCAGCCTGGGCAACATAATGAGACCCCTGTCTCTACAAAAAATACAAAAATTAGCTGGGCATGGTGGTGCATGCCTATAGTCCCAGCTACTCAGGAGGCTGAGGTGGGAAGCTTGCGTGAGCTCAGGAGTTGGAGGCTGCAGTGAGCTGTGATTGTGCCACTGCCCTCCAGTCTGGGTGACAGAGAAAGATCCTGTCTCAAAAAACCGAACCAAACCAAAACAAAAACAATTAAGTGCCGGGTGCGGTGGCTCACGCCTGTAATCCCAGCACTTTGGGAGGCAGGTGGATCACTTGGTGAAATGCCATCTCTACTAAAAATATAAAAAAATTAGCCGGGCGTGGTGGCAGGCGCTTGTAGTCCCAGCTACTTGGGAGGCTGAGGCAGGAGAATCACTTGAACCCAGGAGGCAGAGGTTGTAGTGAGCCAAGATCACGCTACTGCACTCTGGATGACAGAGCAAGACTCCATCTCAAAAAAAACCAAAAAACAAAAACAAAAACAAAGGCAAAAACAAAACAACCAAAAAAACCCGAACAAATAAAAAAACAAAAACAAAGAAAAACTAAGTGCTTGTCACGTCCTAACTCATTTCATCCTCTTAGTGATCCTATTAAAGATCTAGGAGAGGCCGGGTGCGGTGGCTCACGCCTGTAATCCCAGCACTTTGGGAGGCCGAGGCGGGTGGATCACGAGGTCAGCAGTTCAAGACCAGCTTGGCCAAGATGGTGAAACCCCATCTCTACTAAAAATACAAAAAATTAGCTGGGCGCGGTGGCAGGCACCTGTAGTCCCAGCTACTCAGGAGGCTGAGGAAGGAGAATCATTTGAACCCTGAGGGTGGAGGCTGCAGTGAGCCGAGATCGTGCCACTGCATTCCAGCCTGGGTGACAGAGTGAAACTCTGTCTCAAAAAAAAAAAAGAAAAAAAAAATCCAGGAAATAAGAACCATTATTTTCCCCATTTTACAGCTGAGAAAATGGAAAACTCAGATAACTCAAGCAACTGGCCTGAGGTAACACAGCGTTTGTTTGTTTGTTTGTTTGTTTTTTTTGAGACGGAGTTTCTCTCTTGTTACCCAGGCGGGAGTGCAATGGCACGATCTCGGCTCACCGCAACCTCTGCCTCCTAGGTTCAAGTGATTCTCCCGGCTCAGCCTCCTGAGTAGCTGAGATTACAGGCATGTACGACCATGCCCAGCTAATTTTGTATTTTTAGTAGAGACGGGGTTTCTCCATGTTGGTCAGGCTGGTCTTGAACTCCTGACCTCAGGTGATCCACTTGCCTCGGCCTCCCAAAGTGCTGGGATTACAGGTGTGAGCCACCATGCCAGGCCTTTTTTTGTTGTTTTTTGAGAGGGAATCTTGCTCTGTCACCCAGGCTGGAGTGCAGTGGGGCGATCTCAGCTCACTGCAACCTCAGCCTCCTGGGTTCAAGCGATTCACATGCCTTAGCTTCCAGAGTATGTGGGATTACAGGCATGCGCCACCACAAGCGGCCAATTTTTGTGTTTTTAGTGGAGACGGCATTTCACCATGTTGGTCAGCCTGGTCTCGACTTCCTGCCTTCAAGTGATCCGCCTGCCTCGGCCTCCCAAAGTGCTGGAATTACAGGCGTGAGCCACTGCGCCCGGCCACAGGTCACAAAGCTATTGAGTAAAGAAAGCTGCATCCAGCCTCTCACCTTAAGAAAGCCATTCCCCTTTGCCTCAAAGTGAGGCTATACTTCCAGAAGGACTTTGTCTCCGGGGAAGCCTTGGCTTTGGAATTCAGGCCCAGTTCTAAGTTTAAAATCATTGATGCTGTTCAGTAGTGGGATCAATGATTTTGCTTCACTTAAATGCCACAAGCTCCCTGAAGATGGGCTGGAGCTGTCACAGCATCCAGCCCCTCCCCTTACCCAGAAGTAAATACTCTTATCATAGTCCTCCGACTATTCTATATCCTTCCATTTGAGTGCTTCTTTTATGCCGAGGGCACTATTGAGATGTAGCTTAGAGAATGAAATTCCTGGTGTTGCAGGGAGCTCAGATCCACCCGGGAAGGTTCATGAGCACTTCATGTCAGCAGCCTTTATTTCATCTAACGTTTCCATAGAGTGAAGGAACAGCCACCCATTACAAAACAAATTATTAAAAGAAAAATTCCAAATCTTCAAAGGAGAGAGGCCCATGGTAGTGAGCGCTCCCACCCCCTTCTCCTTTCTCTTCCCATCACCAACGGGCTAGCAGCACAATTTGTTTCTTGAAACTTTTGGGGGCATCGGAGTTCTGGTGTCCTCATTTTTCTTCCTTCCCATTGATGTATCATTACTAGAGTGAAAAAAGAAGGGCGTCTCGAGGGCTTTTGAAAAAAAAAAAGGGTGACTACTCAAGACATTTTGTAAAGGGGGGAAAATTGCGAAGAAAAGAGACCTCAGTAGGGGGTGGAGGAACTGTGAATGTGTCCTTGTCTGGCGGTTCTTTCAGCTGAAACCTGGTGCTGGCGTTCGCAGTTCAGTTCAAACTGTCACCTTTAGTTCTTACTGGCTTTTCTGCCCTTGCCCCAGAACCTCAACAGATTGGGGCTTATTTACCTATTCACACTCCGCCGTGGAAGCTCATTAATAGGCTTTATTAGCAACACCATTCATGGGAGGCCATTGACGAAAGGGGTTCCAGCCACTTGAAGAGGGAAGAGAAAAGAAAAAACTGTAAAGAGATTATTTTCTCATTCAGAAGCCTCAGTGGTGTGAAGGTTTTCCTGGATGGTCTGAGGTCACTTGAAGACTAAATATGGGGACATAATTGATTTTTTAAAAATAATTCTAAACATACTTCCCCCCCCTCCTCAAAACTGAAGAGTTTCCTGTTGTGGTCTTGTGGGTTTCAGTCCCTTATATATGAGCCCTCTTTAGGGAATAAGGAGCTTTTGATAGATTGGTGTCTTTTCATTTCTATAAAAAATACATTCTGCAAACTGTGCCTGGACATGAAAGTAGGTGTTCTTATTTGTCATTTTCAGCGGAAAGCTTCCTTTCCATTCAACATGCATAAAGCTATTGATGAATGGGGGATAGGGACAGCGGCTTCCTGCACCATTAATTTATGTGAGAATGTGTTAACAGCATTTTCAATGGCTGATGGATGCGGTGTAGGATGGGAAAGGAACTGTCCTGAGACACTCGAGTTTCCCATTGGTGGGGAATATAAAGATGTAAGTGGCAACCTGCGAGCAGGCAGACACGTTCAGCTGCATCCCTTTTCTGAGAACTTGAAAACATACTGCTATCAGAACAACCCGTGTGGGAGTGAATGGCTAAGTGTCAACCTGGGCTGAGGTGTCCGTTAATGTATAGGCTCTGGGGCTAATCCAGGTTAGAGGACTTGACCAAAAACATACCCTCCCACCAAGCATATAGAGGGATAATTTTGCTTAAGAACCAGTTTTTATTTTGTTGCTATCAAATTTCCAAAATACAATGTTATAGCCTTTTGCCTGAGGCAGTTAAATGGATTTCTTACTTGTGTGGCTTTTAAATAACTTGCATAAACGTTTTCTGTGCTATATTTGTGAATAAAAATGATTTTCTAATCATGTAGCACCTTGAAAAATATTTTTGTAAATGTTATGAAGGGTGCAATGTTAGTGACACAGGTGCAAATATGTTTCTAAATCCAGGAAAAGTCTGTTTTCCAAGTCAGGTTTGTTCTCAATGCTTCATCTATCTTCAGGCCTCAAAAGGATTCTAAAGCATTTCTGGGTTTAGTGACCTTTTCTAAAGAAAAATAATTAAGGTTTTAATCTATATGGTCTTGAACTTAAGCACGGCTGCTCAGGAGCTGGATGAATAAGGAGGGAGAAAAAGCATATTTAAAATAAATTATTCCGAAGACACGGCTTAGTGAAAAGGTAAATGGACATAGGAACTTTAACCAGTTACAGCTTGGTGTGCAGTTGAAGAATCAGATTTTGCATTTATGATTTTTAATCTAAGATTCAGAGGGAGGAATTACTTTGTTCAAGGTCTATTTATGGTAGAGTTGTCTTTAGACTCCTTTGAATTTCTTTTTATTAATCCAAACATATATTATTAAACACTTTTTTTTTTTGATGCAATTTTGGCTTTTTCTGAGAGAGCCACATTCAAAGTCAGGCTGTCCTAGTAGCCAGCTGTGTGGTCCTAGGCAAATTACTTAACCTCTCTGATCCTGTTTCCTTATCAGAAACTGGGAATAGTACTCTGCAGGGTGGTTGGGCAGATGAAATAGAATCACCTATGTAGTGTGACCCTCCCATAGTAGGGCCTCCATTAATATTCAGTTTTTTCCTCTCATTTCTATTGTTTAGAAGGACAGAAACATGCAATGTCCTGCGAACATTTCCAAGTGGCTTCCTCTCCTCCAAAAGCTTCAGCTGCCTGGCAACCCTCCCCGCAGTATCAAGCAGGCGCATTTTAAAGTCTCTTTAGCGGGAGGGCAGGGTTAGAGCCTTCGGTCATTTGTTTTCTAACTTGACATAAAACAACGTAACGCAGTCGCTCAGCGAGCCGTTGGCCAGCCTCGCTCGCCCGGGGAGGAGGGAGGAGGTGGCGCGGGGCGCGGGACCAGGCCTTATTCGGAGGCTGTCGCTGCATCCCTACGGCCGCATCGCGGCCGAGCCCTCGCCTCCCGGGCCGGTGTCTCCGGCTGCTCGGAGGCGTCGGGAGCCGCGCGGGACTCGGGGCGGCCCGGGCGCGCGGCGCTGATTGGCAGAGAGGGCGCCGCCGTCCAGGAAACGGCTCGGGTTTCAGTGGGGGCGTGACCCGCCGCGAGGAGGCGGGGGCGGCGGCGGCGGCGCGGGCGGCGGCTGGAGGAGAGCGCGGTGGAGAGCCGAGCGGGCGGGCGGCGGGTGCGGAGCGGGCGAGGGAGCGCGCGCGGCCGCCACAAAGCTCGGGCGCCGCGGGGCTGCATGCGGCGTACCTGGCCCGGCGCGGCGACTGCTCTCCGGGCTGGCGGGGGCCGGCCGCGAGCCCCGGGGGCCCCGAGGCCGCAGCTTGCCTGCGCGCTCTGAGCCTTCGCAACTCGCGAGCAAAGTTTGGTGGAGGCAACGCCAAGCCTGAGTCCTTTCTTCCTCTCGTTCCCCAAATCCGAGGGCAGCCCGCGGGCGTCATGCCCGCGCTCCTCCGCAGCCTGGGGTACGCGTGAAGCCCGGGAGGCTTGGCGCCGGCGAAGACCCAAGGACCACTCTTCTGCGTTTGGAGTTGCTCCCCGCAACCCCGGGCTCGTCGCTTTCTCCATCCCGACCCACGCGGGGCGCGGGGACAACACAGGTCGCGGAGGAGCGTTGCCATTCAAGGTAATCGCCGCGCAAGACGCCTCGGGGAGCTTCGCCAGCCGGGGACGTGGGCGCCACGGGAGCCCGGGACGCCGGGTGCACCGTCCTCCGGGCGGGGGGCGCGGAAGGACTAGCATTGTGGAGGACGCTCCGTGTCCTCCCTCTGTGGCTGCATAGGTGATGGGGGAGGTGGGTGCGTGCTGACGGCCGGCGTTCTGGAAGTTCTGCCTCTGCTACCCCCATCCAGATGCTGACATCTGCTTCTGGCGTTGACGCCCCCCTCCCTGTCAAACCCTGGCGGGCGCATTCCCGCTGACTGGGCGCGTTTCTCCGACCCCAGAGCAGACGGGCGGAAGGTTCGCCTGCCCGTGGCACAGCCCCGCAGGCCGGTTCCCGGGGTCATCTCCGAGGTGCCCCATCCGTGTGTCCTGGGAACTTCCGTACCATCCAGGCCCTGCGGAGACCCCTTTTTCGGGAGGGGGCCGCTGGGGTGGGGCCGGTGACATCCCGTAGGGGTGGCGATGGCCAGGGGTGGCACTGCTGGGGAGGCGACGGCTCCGGTGCCTGGGCGCCCCTCGCCCGCAGCCGCCGTCGGCGCTGGAGGGAGCGCAGTGCGCCTGGGGCTAGGGGGCGAACTGGACCGACTTTTTCTAGTTCGCCTGCCTGCTCTGCCGCAGCGGCTGGGAGATGTCGAAAGCGCAGGCGAGTTCTAACTTGCGCGCTCATTTTTTTCGGCCACGGGGCCGCGCTGGGGAAAAAAGCCGAGGGCCCTGCGTGGCGCTGGCTCCGACCCTCGCGGACCACGGACCTGGCGCAGGAGGCCCGCTCGGGGACCACCAGCCTCCGTCGCTCTCCTCGCACCCCGCTCCCTTGCAGACCGTTCTCCAGACCCTCCTTCCTTTCTCCCAATTCAATAAAACCTACCCTTAAAGGCAAACCTGCTTTCAAACTCAGGGCACCCATTATGTGTTTGGTGTGAAACGCTATCAACATTTAAAACTCCATTGTCTCCCTGGTCCCAAATCCCTGTAAATCTTCCACCGGGCTCGACTCATTTTCATCTGAAAAGCCTGTTTAGTTTGAATAGAAAAGCAATCAGGCGCCCCTCTCTCTTTCCCTGGAATGTCAATTAAAATGCAGATTTCTCTGAGCTCTTTAGCGCCCCGAGAAGGGGGAGAAAAACAGGATATTTCAGGCAAACAAATGAAAGAAGTGCTGCCCTGAAAGGGGGTGGTGGTGGGGAGCACCCCCAAGCTGCTCGCAAGTTCTGATTGGACGCAAGCATTAAACCGGGAGGGCTTTGTGGTCCTGGGTCAGTGTGTGTTTTTTGAGATTTCAATTTGTTGAGGAATTTCCCCCTAGCCTTGACCCCTTGACAGCTCCCGCTCCTACTCAGTGCTGGGGAGAAGTAGGGAGGCCTTAAGCGAAGAGATGGGTCTGCACTTTGGAGGAGCCGGACACTGTTGACTTTCCTGATGTGAAATCTACCCAGGAACAAAACACCAGGTGATCCCAGTGGCCGAGCCAGCAGTGGACAGATCACCCCTTAGGTGGAAGCCCAAAGCGGAGGGCACTGTATTGGTCTGCCTTCTTGGAGGGCGGGGGTTTTGGGAATGTCATGGTAAATTGAAGAGCCCAGCACAGGCCTGGCATGGGGACCGCTCCGCAGCCAAGCCCTTCCTGCTTGTCACTCTGCCTGTCTTTGGGGGCAGGCTTGTGCCGAGGTGAAAATGGACCGGGGGGCGGGCGGCCGAGAAGAGCCATCCATCAGAGGGAGGGTGACAACTCCTCCCGCGTGCAGGCTGAGAAGAGAGTTCCCTTTCAAGGGGAAAAATAAACACGCTGGGGCTTTCACTGGGGCTCAGACTCCAGGAAGGATTATGGTATTGAAGGCAGGAAGCCGGGATTGTGGCCGCCAGCGGCATGCTGGGCCTGTATTCCCAACACCGAGCCTGGGGACCTAATTATCCTGCCTAGGAGGTCGCACCATACTTTTGTCCACTGGTGTGAGGAACTGTGCAGACCTGTCGCCTTAGGTCTCCGCCTTCCAGAGTTTTGGGGAGGGGGCTGCCGTGGGGTTTGGACCTGGAAATGGCTGAAATGCAAATTTCTAGTGCCAGCTAGCGGGATGATGGAACGGCTTGAGATTCAGCGGAGCGCCCTGTCCACCTTTCTCTGCCTGGAGCCAAGGAGGCTCCTCTGGGCAGGGACAGGTGGGCGAGCAGGCCGGGGAAGGAGCCTGGGGTGAAACCTCTGCGAGGACTTAGGATTGTTCCTGAAGTCGTGTTAGAGGTAGAAAATTCCCCTGCATTCTGCAAATGCTTAGTAAATCAATGAGAATGTTTGTGTACTTTCCTCCCACATGTATGTAGAAATAGATCCGAAATTATCTTCTGAGGCTCTTGACTAAGAGGAAAGAAAAGTTAAGAGGAAAAATCTTTCAAGCTATCTGAAAGCACATGCACACACCGTGCACGCACACACCATGTACACACACACACCGTGCATACACACACACCATGCACGCACACACACCGTGTACACACACACACACTGCACACATACTTTTCTTGCTTTTGCTGTGAATCACACCGTTTCACCTGTGCTATCTTTGAAGCAGAGGTTTTCTTTATTCCTCCTTTGGAAATGATGTGGCATATTCTTTTCCCTCCTCCATTTTTGTCCTCAGTCAAAGCTAAAAGGAGCAGTTTTTATGATGAGATTTGGGGAGGCTCCAGCAGTGTTGAAATCCTATGACATAACTTGAAACATCGAGTGGGTACATAAAAAATGTAGAGTTTAGAGATTTTTGTATTAAAGGCCTCCCTGCCACCCCCAGTCTTAGAAAATGTGGTTCATTCCTGTGGTTCACAGAATCTGAAGCCTGAGATTGATGAGCCCCTTCTTGTGATTGTTTTAATCATTCTCTAAAGTTTGTGCATTTTACTGTACCCTTAGTCACAGAGAGTACTGAGTGAATTTAAAGTTGCTTGGAATATATTAAGCTTTCTTGGAAAATTCTCTTTCCCTTGGATCAAATGGGTGAACAGAATATTAAGTTGAGTGTCCTCTTCTAACTTATACTCTGAAAATTTAGCCAGTAGGTTTGCATATGGAAAGTTATTGGTCCAATCACATACCATGACTATAATTTACATAATTTACATCATCATTATTAATAAATTCCTGCATTATTCATCAGAATTTGCATCTGCTCAGTTTCCTCACCCTTCTACAGAGGTTGAAGACATTTAGCAGCCCTGGACTGCCATTTAGTCACAGGGGAAGGGAATTCAGGCTTCGAAGTCCTTTTTGGATCAGCTGCGTTGAATGCGCTGCAGTTGTGTTCACTCTTCGTAAGTGGCTGCTTGGCGGAAGACTGAAAGACACTTCTCCATTTGAAAATGAATCCTGACAAGTGTAAACTGGTGGGAATTTTCTGTAGCCTTCCTGGGATTCTTTTGATTTTGCTGGTCTCCTTTCTTCCCAAGAGCGACAGTGAGGGTGGGAGACTGCTCACCTCCAGCCCAGCAGAAATACGGAGCTGTGAGCAGACTCCTCCAACAGTTTAGCTTTCTAAAGCCCAGTTGGACTAAGAGAAGGGAACGAGGTTGGTTATGCCAACCCGAGCATTTTTAACTTGCTTTTGTAGTTGCCCTTGAAACTAAGGTCACGTTGCTTCTGCTCATTGAGGGCGGTGGAGGCGATAGTGGATAGTAGAAGAGAGCACACATTGCCTCACTGAAGTGGCTGCACGTATCTGAGTCCTGTAGCTACTGTTTTATCTCTGTTTCTTAAAAGTATGCTTTTAAAAAGATTAGCCTCACACATTTCTGTGGACCGGTCTGGTGGTATCACCTGGGACTCTGAGGTGAGGATGGAAGGATTTAGCAGATAATGAAAAAGAACTCTGTTTGCGCACATTTGAGAGGCTGAAAAATGGTTTTATCCCACTTGGGCTGGAGTGATTTGGCATTGGGGAAGATTCCCTGACTCGCCAATCTCTTTCCTTTAGTGACTGCAGCAGCAGCGGCAGCGCCTCGGTTCCTGAGCCCACCGCAGGCTGAAGGCATTGCGCGTAGTCCATGCCCGTAGAGGAAGTGTGCAGATGGGATTAACGTCCACATGGAGATATGGAAGAGGACCGGGGATTGGTACCGTAACCATGGTCAGCTGGGGTCGTTTCATCTGCCTGGTCGTGGTCACCATGGCAACCTTGTCCCTGGCCCGGCCCTCCTTCAGTTTAGTTGAGGATACCACATTAGAGCCAGAAGGTAAGTCATTTAATTTCACTTTTCAGGTTTGTTTTGGGATTTGTCTGGGGGCAGATTGTTAAGGCCTGTTTTAGAATCAGCTACCCTTGCATTGTAAATGGGGCTTCTAAGAGCACCAGATCGTGGTCTCTTGGCTCCCGGCAAGGCAGAGCTGATGAGAGAAGGTCCTTTGCCGCAGCACTGCAGGCAGGATGGTATAGTTTGGTGGTTTCTTGCTGTGTGTGTTTCTCTGTGCTGGGTGAGGGAGACAGCTGGGAGTTGGCCTTTATCCAGTGCCCGAGAGAGCTGTGGAAGGGATGAACCTTGGGAGGATGAATGTCATCTCTAGTCTCCCCCAGCATCATTCCTACTGCTTACAATGTAAAGAATTGCTATTTTCGGACAAGATGAACCACTAAAAGAAATTGCCAACATCTGAAATGCTGACATCTTATTTTCATTGTTTAAGGAGAAAAGAAGTTTCTGAAGTTTAGCACAGAGAGAGAGGCTTGACATCTCAGAATTTTTTTTTAGCCATTGTAATTCATAATACTTAAGCAATGCATCATCACAGAGTGGCAGATTCTAGTTTAGGTAAACTTGAAAGTGAATGTGCCAGGGGATCTCCTCCAGCTCCGAGAACCTCCAAGTATCACAGGGCATGCGCCGGTGTCACAGCTTTGGAAATTTAATTTTCAAGGTGTAAGTCCAATTACGAGGACTACATGAGGCTGAATTATTCAGCTTAGCAGATTTGGAACCTCTCTCCCAGCCCTTTGGAGACAACGTGAGCCAAGCCTCTACTTGGTGCTGCACTGAAATCTGTCATCAGTAGGGAATATTGGTAGCTGAGTTATTTTTCGAGTGGTAATCCGAGAATAAAACGGCAGATCCCAGCACTCATCGCCACTTAATGAACCTGTTTGTGGAGAGTCCACCTGGTGCCTGCCTGGCTTTAGGAACCCGCAGCAGTCCGAGTGGTGTCTGGGGTAAGCTGAGCTGCTCTGGGAACACATCTCGTGCGTGGGGTGAATGAACAGCACACTTACCCAGTGGGGTAGGCTGGGAGAGGACAGAGAGCCCAGCCTCCTTAGCTGGATCAGGACAGTTTAGGAAGGAGGGTTGCGTCCATCTGAGATGAGAGTTCTGAGAGACATGGGCTCCCCAGGAAGACCCCAGGCACTTGTCATTGAAGGATGAGGACCGAAGCACTTATCACCTGAAGCAATCGTGTGAGACTGGGGAACTTTTCGTTACACAGAGGGATGGCAGCTCTATAATTAACAGGTGTGGTGACATCTCCCTGCGTCTCTGGGAAGGGAATCTGGTAGGAGTTTGTGTCTGAGGCTTGTATAGCTACAGCTACAGGCCGATTATGGAACTGCCTCTTGGTGATTTGTGCTGGGACACCAGGATGAGTGTAATTTGCAGTGGTGATGCATTTTTACAGGGCTTTCATGTAAGAGGGAAAAAGTTCCTGGTTTCTGAAAGTCATGCCTGTACGTCTTTAATTTTGCTAATAATTAAAATGGATGTTTCCGTGATTGCTGGTTTTCCCTTGAGTGCGTGGCTCGGCAAAAACTGAGGAAGCTGAGCTGGGATTTCCTACGGTGTGGGCTTTAGGAGCAACCCAGGTTAGGGAAAAACTGTCATTTTTCATTTTGGCTTTTCAGGGCAGCGTTATTGTGAGTTTATTTCAACATAAAGTGTAAAATGGTCCCAGAGGATTTGTTTTACTGTATTTAATTCTTGAAGGAAGTTTAAAATTGTGTATACATGCAGGGAGGGACAGGTGAGGCAGAGGGAAGAAATCGTGGAAAGGGACGAAGTTCCCCGAGTGAGTCTTTGTGTAAGAATTTACATCCAACAATGTGGGTATTGTTGGAAGCAGGCCTGCTCAACCTGGGATCTGTGGATGCACTTATGGATCAGGAAGGAGGTCGATGAAGTTCTGGAAATTTTAGGTAATATTTTGTTAATGTCCTTTTGTGCATTTTTATGGGTTTATAGTTTCCATGAGCTATGAGTTCATTTGCATCCAGAATTATGAGATGGAAAAGAAAAGATGTCTTAGAGGAAGGTGCAAAACCTGGCAAAGAAGAGGCTTTGGAAAAGTATACAAGTCCCAGGCCTCAGTTTCCCTTTCTGTCGTCTGAGGGCTTAAGAAGATGATCTTTAGGGTCTCTTCATTAATAGTCATTGAATATTAATGTCCTCAGAAGTCTTCTGACTCTTCCACCAAAAGGTTGTTAGGAGATTTCCATTTGACCTGGACATAAAGAGCAATTAGCACAGGGGCTGGCATCCAGTAAGCACCGGGTGCATGGCCTTGTCGCCGTTGTCGCCAGGGAGCTGGGAACATGGGTCTTCCCAGTCCCGTGGGCTGGCTGTGCCAGGTGCCACAATGTCAAAAAACATCTAGGCTTTTGGAGACAGTTGAGAAGAAAGTTGTTTTTGGATGGAGGAGGCCCTTGGTGTTTCCAGGAAGCTGTGTTTGCTTTCTGTAGGGTCCCCACTTCCCCTCATCTGTTAGTCTAATACTGGCCACTGATTTGAGCCCTAAGACCAGTTCTTCTGTTGCAGGAGTTCGCTTTGGTGTCAGAGGTGATTAGGAAGGTCATTGAATTATAGATGAGAAAGGAGTTTTTAACAGCTGAAAATGGGCTCAGGTTTAGGCTCTGTGCTGGTGAATTGGAAGAGAGAGAGAGAGAGAGAGAGTGTGCGTGTGTGTGTGTGTGTGCGCGAGTGCGCGTGCGTGCGTGCGTGCCTGTGCCCCTGTCCATCAGTTCTCCATGATTAGAACTACTATAGCTTTGGTTAGCAGTAAGTTCCACCTTGACCTTCTGTGCACCAAGGTCTTATCTTGTAAGACTTTTTGGTTTGCTAATTTATTTGGAAGCTCAGTTTAGATAATGTCTATTGGATAGGAGAAAAATGTGACTGAGAAGTTCCAGGAAGAAGCCTGGGCCCTAACACTAGAGGGTCCTTTTCTTTTGGCCCCTCAGGGAAAGGTTATGTTTAGTCATCTTGGCTTTGTGCAATATCGTATCATATCATATGTCATATCATATATCATATATATCATTTGTCTTCTGGACACGTTCTGAAATAGTAGCAGTGGGGTTGGGCCCACTCAATTGACTTAAGAAAATAATCTCTAGAAGATTTTAGTTTTTAATATTTCAGATTAAATATGAGTTTTCCAGTTGGTCATTCATTGTTAATTTCCTTTTGGTCATTCATTGTTATAGGGCACCAGCAGAGGAGTGAAAACATGGTTATTGACTCGAAGGGGGGCAGTCCTCAATGCCAAGTACTATTCTGTTGATTAACATTATAAATATTTGAAGTCTAGTCAAGCTTGATTACCCTGAGAGGGGGCAACTCTTACTTTCAAGTTCTTCCTGACATTGTCACCTACTCTGGTTAATTAAGTCATTGTTGACATTAATGGCATCTTTGTTTACACCAACCCAGTAGGAGCTAAAATGAAAGGGCTTTTCAACCCTACACCCTTAATTACTTTCCCACCCTCCACAGAGTGTGACTCTGAAAAGTAACAACCTGAAAAAAAATGTAGTTTGTGTAGCAATTTTTTGTCAATCTTCTGAGAGGTGATGCTCTCCTGGACCAACGTGAGTTGGTCCAGAGTTCAGTAGCAGAAACGTCGAGGACAGGATCTACACAGAGACCTCCCTAAGTCAGATTTTTCCAGTATGGTTTAAGTCCTTTGTTAGAAGTATTGTAAATGCCATAATATTAACCATACGCATTTAATTGCAAGTTAAAAGAAAGGAAGAAAGAATATATCCGCATACCAAGAGTGAATGATTTAAAATAATCTTCTGTTTCGTATTATCTGCATCTTTGTTTTTCAATATGAGTGTTAATATTTAAGAGTTGACTGTAACTTGATAGTTAGCTTTGGAACAAGGACTTATTCTTGGTCAATTAAACCAAATACAGGCTTACGCAGTTAAATACACAATGAAGTACACATTCTTTATTAGTATATAAAGTGTTTCACAATTCATAGACCAAGAGCCATGTTTAATATTACTTATAGAGCAGAAATCTGGCAAGCCCAGAGAACTGGTACTTGTATCATTTTATACTGGCTCTCTCTGATTCAAATTTGGGGTATATGTGTGTGTTTCTGTTTTGTCTGTTTATTTCAACCAGTTAAAAGACAGAGCACTTACTATGCCAATGGCCCCGCATCAAGCCATAAGTAAAGACTTTATTCCTTTCAAGTCTTTCTGACCCAGTTGAGGGTGAGAATTCACAAAACCACAGCAATCCAATATGAGATGTTTTTAATATCAGACTTAACAAATAATTACATGGCTATGAAATAACTGGGGTCGTGTTTAAACTGGAAGTGTTTTGTTTAATGTTCGTAGTTTCAATAAAATGTATCCACTAGTCTTCCAGTTTGCAGACTGTTGTTTAGGTGTTTGTTTAGCCAGGGTAATTGTTAAAAACTCCCTCTAATCTAGCTTACCCTTACATTTCCATGGAAGCGAATTTTAGTCATTAAAGGAAAACATGGGAAATTGATTTTTGGGTGCCTGGCTGTTAAGCTAGGTAGGAAATATAGCTGGTGTGCTACTCTCCACTGTACTGGTCCGATTCTCGCCAGGGGGACATCTCTGTAGGCAGTTCAGAAATTATTTTTTGGAAGTTTTTTAGGCTATTCCACAGATAATTCTGATCCAGTAGGTTTTATGCAACTGTGCAAAATGCTTATGGTCTCTATTTTTTTTTCCTTGAGAGATGATTTTAGCCTTTGGTTTTTTGTTTGTTTTTGTTTTTTGAGACAGAGTCTTGATCTGCCACCCAGGCTGGAGTACAATGGTGCAATTGTACCCTCACTGCATTGTCAAACGTGGCTCACTGTACCCTCGGACTCCTGGGCTGAAGGGGTCCTCCAACCTCCTGAGTAGCTGGGACTACAGGCCTGGATAATTTTTAAAAATATTTCGTAGATATGGGGTTTCGCCATGTTGCTCAGGCTGGTCTCCAACTCCTGGCAGCCTTGGCCTCCCAAAGTGCTGGGATTACAAGTGTGAGCCACCACACCTGTCCTAGCCTTAAGTTTTGCATTTTTTTCCATCTTTTTGCTGTATCCCATATGATTTAGAGATTTTTGCTGTATCCCATGAGATTTAGAGATGGCTCTACTTTTTTTAGCTTTCCTAGCATTGAAATGCTTGGTGTTGCTAATCATACCCCATCTTTACCACACCATCTTCCTCCCTGACTTGCCTTCTTAGTGTAGTTTGGTCAAGAACTTGAGGCCAAGTTCTTTTTTTTTTTAAATTTAGCTTTTATTTTAGGTTTGGGGGTACATGTGAAGGTTTGTTATGTAGGTAAACTCGTGTCATGGGGGTTCGTTGTACAGATTGTTTCATCACCCAGGTATTAAGCCCAGTACCCAATAGCTATTTTTTCTGCTCCTCTCTCTCCTCCCACCCACCCTCCACCCTCAAGTAGACCTCAGTGTCTGTTGTTCTTTTCTTTGTGTTCATGAGTTTTCATCATTTAGCTCCCACTTATAAATGAGAATATGCAGTATTTGGTTTTCTGTATTTGGTTTATTGCTAAGGATAATGGCCTCTAGCTCCATCCATGTTCTTGCAAAAGACATGATCTTGCTCTTTTTTATGGCTGCATAGTATTCTATGTTGTATATGTACTACATTTTCTTTATCCAATCTGTTACTGATGAGCATTTAGGTAGATTCCATGTCTTTGCTATTGTGAATAGTGCTGCAATGAACATTTGTGTGCATGTGTCTTTATGGTAGAATGATTTATATTCCTCTGGGTATATACCCAGTAATGGGATTGCTGGGTCGAATGGTAGTTCTGCTTTTACCTCTTTGAGTAATCGCCACACGGCTTTCCACAATTATTGGGCTAATTTGCACTCCTACTAACAGTATATAAGTGTTTCCTTTTCTCTGCAATCTCACCAGCATCTATTATTTTTTGACGTTTTATTAATAGCCATTCTGACTTGTGTGAGATGGTATCTCATCGTGGTTTTGATTTGCATTTCTCTAGTGATGAGCTTTTTTTTTCATATGCTGGTGGGACGTATATATGTCTTCTTTTGAAAAGTGTCTATGTCCTTTGTCTACTTTTTATGTGGTTATTTGTTTTTCTCTTGTAAATTTAAGTTCCTTATAGATGCTGGACATTAGATCTTTGTTAGATGCATAGTTTACAAATATTTTATCCCATTACGTAGGTTGTCTATTTACTCTGTTGATAGTTTCTTTTGCTGTGCAGAAGCTCTTAAGTTTAATTAGATCCCATTTGTCAATTTTTGCTTTTGTTGCAATTGCTTTTGATGTCTTTGTCATGAAATCTTTGCCCATTCCTATGTCCAGGATGGTATATTGCCTAAGTTGTCTTCCGGGGTTTTATAGTTTTGGATTTGACATTTAAGTCTTTCTTCCATCTTGAGGTGATTTTTTGTATATGGTATAAGGAAGGGGTCAGCTTCAATCTTCTGCATGTGGCTAGCCAGTTATCCCAGCACCATTTATTGAATAGGGAGTCTTTTCCCCATTGCTTGTTTTCATCAGTTTTGTCGAAGATCAGATGGTCGTAGGTGTGCGGTAGGTGTGTGGCCTTATTTCTGGGCTCTCTATTCTGTTCCATTGGTCTACGTGCCTGTTTTTATACCAGTACCATGCTGTTTTGGTTACCGTAGCCCCACAGTATAGTTTGAAGTCAGGTAATGTGATGCCCCCAGCTTTGTTATTTTTGCTTAGGATTGCCTTGGCTATTCAGAGGCTAAGTTCTTTTAAGGAGAGGTCTGATTGAACAAGATGCTGGACAGGTCATTGTGGTGATCCTTCACGTCTTGAAGATGTCTCCTTCTGTAATAGACAAAAGTCACACTTTTTACAAGTTTCTCTTTCCTCACTGTGATTTGTATGTGGTAGCTGACTTCTATTTATATAACTTCAAGCTCTTACCATTTAAATATTTATACACAAGTATGAATCATTGGGACAAGCCATGGCCATCCTTGAAGAGTGTGTGTCAAGTAAAATAGGCGTGCTTTAGATTTTCAGTAATTTTGGTTTTGGGAAACCGGTACCATGGAAGAGCTTTCAGATGCTGAATGTGTAATTTACTCCACTTTGGAATACTGTAAGTAATTCTGCGCCATTGTGGACTTTGGCCACATCATGCCACTCTCAAAAACTTCTGATTCTTTTTGACAGTACCAAGTCAGGGGGCTAAGCTGTTGTATATTCTTTCCTTTAACCCCTTGTCTAACTAAAGAATGGTAAATTCCAATTCATTTCAGAATGGAATGCACACATATAGAGTTTCAGGTTATGCTGAATGTGTTTTATGAGGAGGCTAAAAATAGCTTATAAGGAAAATGCTGATAGATTCAAGAACGAGAACAAGGGATGTATTTATTTGTATGATTTATGTAGCGCCTTTCTTGGAGAGGACTCAATTCTGAGCTCTAACGTTAATAAACTCTATATCAATTATCGTGATTATTTTCGAACCCTTGAGCTCCTATATTACTATATGTGACCCATTTGTATACCTGACAGTTTACTGTTAAATTTTCCATAGTGACCAGTTGTAATATTTTAAAAGTATCCAGACATTGAAAAGGCCAACTGTGTGTATCTATGGTGTGTGTATGTGCTCAGGGGGGTGTACTATAAAATGAATGTCAAGATCATTGCAATGGTTAAGTTTAGGTTTTAAACTCTTTGAACACCCTTAAAGTTCAGATTTTCAGTTGACAGTGGGATTGCCCCCAAAGATGTGTGGCTGCCTTAAGGAGCCTTCTTGTCCTGCTAAGCCTCCTGGATTTCCACCAATGCATGTTGCATTTCTACCTGGCTGCAATAGACGCACAACTGAATATATATCGTGGACATTTATAAATGTTTCAAATTTAAAACCACTCAAATTTTTAAAAGAACAAGAATCTTCTGTGCATTTAATCTAAATTCTGTATCAGCCATTCTTAAAAATAGAATTGAATAAAATCATTTTGGATGGCATGTGGTATGCTTTCTGGAGACATAAACTAACAGAGGGAACTTGACCTTGGGAGGTAGGTTTGAATCTCTCTACTATCTACTGATGCTGTGATTTCAGAAAAGTTAGATAACCTCTCTGAGCCTCAGAGATAGTATCTATCTTGAAGGGTGAATGTGCAGATTAAATGCAAATGAAATGTAAAGCCCCTACTGAATTTCCTGGCCCAGAGTAGGTGTTCATTAAATGCTGATTTCTTCCCTGTCCCACTTCCTGTCAACATTTCCTGGACCAACAAGATGTTTACTCTACAATATTACCAATATTTCCTGGACCAATAAGATGTTTACTCTACAGTGTATAGTGATAATTGTCTGATGAGAAGCATTTACATTAATTAAAATGTAAAACTGGCTCTAGGCCCTGGATTTGTCCAACCCTTTTTATTATCTTGGGCTTTTGCAAGTCCCATGGATTTTAGAAATGGGATCATCCTGCTGCTTGCAGTCCAAATGGTTCAAGGTTGAAATTTTTTTTCCCCTCTGTTGAAAAAAGTCAGTTGCAGCTCTGTAATAATAACAGCAGACACATACTTCATGAGGAACAATGTATTTTGGCAAAAGAGTTTTCTGTTTGAAGCTTCAAAATACAAAATACTCTGCCACATTGCCATTAGGCCCGGCGAAGAACATTGGAGAGGGGTTATGGAATCGGTTGGGGTGGGGTGCGGGATGGAGAGGGGTTATGGGATCGGTTGGGGTGGTGCGGGATGGAGAGGGGTTATGGGATCGTTTGGGGTGGGGTGCGGGATGGAGAGGGTTATGGGATCGGTTGGGGTGGGGTGCGGGATGGAGAGGGGTTATGGGATCGGTTGGGGTGGTGCGGGATGGAGAGGGTTATGGGATCGTTTGGGGTGGGGTGCGGGATGGAGAGGGGTTATGGGATCAGTTGGGGTGGGGTGTGGGATGGAGAGGGGTTATGGGATTGGTTGGGGTGGGGTGCGGGATGGAGAGGGGTTATGGGATCGGTTGGGGTGGGGTGTGGGATGGAGAGGGGTTATGGGATCGGTTGGGGTGGGGTGCGGGATGGAGAGGGGTTATGGGATCGGTTGGGGTGGTGCGGGATGGAGAGGGGTTATGGGATCGTTTGGGGTGGGGTGTGGGATGGAGAGGGGTTATGGGATCTCTTCGGGTGGGGTGCGGGATGGAGAGGGGTTATGGCATCGGTTGGGGTGGGGTGCGGGATGGAGAGGGGTTATGGGATCGGTTGGGGTGGGGTGTGGGATGGAGAGGGGTTATGGGATAGGTTGGGGTGGGGTGCGGGATGGAGAGGGGTTATGGGATTGGTTGGGGTGGGGTGCGGTGTGGTGTGTTCTGCTTTTGGCCAGGCTGGAGAGGTGAGCTCCATAACATGGTATGGTCATCCTTGCCATGTTTGCCTGTAGTGACCTCCCCTGAACACTCCTAGATGAGATTTTTGTCTGCATGGAAGGGAGCTCAAGGAAATTGTGATGGGACCCACAGTACTGAAGTGGACAGGAGCTGAACAAGCATTTGCACATGATACCCCTATGGAGGTTACTTGGTAGGACAGGCTATGAAGTAGGGGCAGTATGGATGAGGTCACGTTTCTTTAGCCCATTCCTTGAGATGATGATGATGATGATGGTGATGATGATAACTGGCTACCATTTATTGAGTGCCTGTCATGGTTGGACTCTGTGCTAGGTACTTTAACATATATTATCTCTCATCTTAATAACCCAGAACATCTTGGGTTTTCCTGTTCTTATTTTATGGACAAGGTAACTGAAATTCTTGGGGATCAAGTGACTCCTCCAGGACCTCATCATTAGTGAGTGTGGGCCCAGGTCTTTGGGTGAATGTGTTGGTGTAAGAAAAATTTCCCTTCTTCCTGAGCAGGAGGATTTTTTTTTTTTGCTGGAGAATGTGGTGACCCCTCATTCTTTCCTAAATCTGTCGTTTGACTATTAAACCTGTTAGGGACACTGCTGGTTGATTCTGTTTCTTTCTCACACATCCATACCGAATTCTCCTAAAGACATTTGAAGAAAAATTCCAGACAATAAAAATGTTTAATGATTATACTTTGTGATTCTTCTAGAATGGCTTCTGGTGGCATGTGACTTATTGGAAAGAGGCTAACCCTGACTGCTGCCAAGGAGACCAATGGGAGACTGGGTCCCAGTTGGTGGTCCAGGCTGCGCCACACCGTAGGAGTCCATAACAAGAAGGGCTGGCCTCTGTTGCCCGTTGATGCATGAGCCATCTCAGCAGAGCAGGCCGTCCCCAGTTATTCCTTGTCCCAGATGCCTCTGCTGGTTTGTCCTAGTGCCTGCTAACCCTCAGCTGTTGCCACTTGGATATTATGTCAAGCTTTTCTTCCCAGAATTTCTGATTTACGACTGGGTATGAAGTCAAGGCCTACCTGCATAGACAGACCCCTGTACTTGGGACTCCCACGAACTGTGGTCATGGAAACAAGCACCAAGGACTACCTGACCCTTCTAATGTCACTTTTCTGCAGAGATTAGGAGGAGAGACTAAGAAAGCCAAAAAAGAAAAAATTCCAAGAATGAAAAGGCCAAAAGCAGAAACACCTACTCTTCTTCCAGTCTTGGCCAGAAAGGGTGTCCTTAGGGGAAAAAAAGAGGCCAGGGAATGGAGCCCATTTTTAAAGCAAGCAAAGATCAGTTTGGTATTTAAAAATAAAAAGTGAACTCCAGTACCAGCTAATGTGTAGGTGAATCGAGGCTGGTTTAGGCAGCTGAACTTTGTTCTTGGCTACCTGTACAGCAGTTGCAGAACACTCAGGGGTTCCAGGCATTTCCAAGTGGGAGTTGAGTTTTGGAGGAAAGTTGTAGAATTCCTTTTTCTTTTTTTTCTTTTTTTGTGAGACAGAGTCTCTTGCTCTGTCACCCAGGCTGGAGTGCAGTGGTGCGATCTTGGATCACTGCAACCTCTGCCTCGCGGGTTCAAGCGATTCTCCTGCCTCAGCGTCTAGAGTAGCTGGGATTACAGATGTGCACCACCACGCCCGGCTAATTGTATTTTTAGTAGAGCTGGGGTTTCACCATGTTGGTCTCGAACTCTTGACCTCGGGTGATCCACCCACCTCAGCCTCCCAAAGTGCTGGGATTACAGGTGTGAACCACCGCACCTGGCCGTAGAGTTCTTGACTAGGAGATGCTGCAAATTTCCCTCTTAAATTTGCAGCTCCCCGTGCGATGACAACTTTCAGAGCTTGGCAGAGGCAAGATGGTATAAACATGATTTTTAGATTGCAGGGTAATTGCTGTGGTTTCTTTGAGTTTTTTCATCCATTTGCTCCCCAAATAATTTTTGAGACCTACTATGTGCCAGGTTCTGTGGGGATGGAATAGCAAGCAATGAACAGTTGAGTGGGGGAGACAGGCTCTTGTCAAATAATTGCAAAAATGAAGGGCTAGGACTGGGTGCAGTGGCTCACGCCTGTAATCCCAGCACTTTGAGGGGCCGAGGTGGGCGGATCATGAGGTGAGGAGTTTGAGACTAGCCTGGCCAACATGGTGAAACGTGGTCTCTACTAAAAATACAAAAATTAGCCGGGGGTGGTGGCAGGCACCTGTAGTCCCAGGTACTTGGGGGGCGGAGGCAGGAGAATCTTTGAACCTGGGAGGCAGAGGTTTCAGTAAGCTGAGATCACGCCATTGCATTCCAGCCTGGGCGACAGGGTGAGACTCTGTCTCAAAAATAAAAAAAAAAATCAAAATAAATAAACAAAAATAAAAAATGAAGGGCTAGGTCCAGTCAAAGGTGAAGATTCTGTGAAGGAAAAGCATGGGCCGGAGGCATGTGCCCCATGTTTAGGAGTTCCCAGGGACTGGGACTATGAAGCTGCTGCTGCTGCTGCTTTTTTTTTTTTTTTTTTTTTTTTTAAATGCAGGGTCTCTCTCTGTTCACTGTGTCACCCAGGCTGGAGTGCAGTGGTGCAATCACAGCTCATTGCATCCTGGACCTCCTGGGCTCAAGCGGTCTTCCCACCTTAGCCTTCTGAGTAGCTGCGACTATAGGCGCAGGCTGATTTTTCTTTTTTCTTTCTTTTTTTCTTTTTTTTTTTTTTTGGTAGAGATGGGTTCTCACTTGTTGCCCAGCCTGGTCTCAAACTCCTGGGCTCAAGCGATCCTCCCACCTTGGCCTCCCAGAGTGCTGGGATCACAGGTGTTAGCCACCACACCTGAGGCTGGTCTTCCCCTTAAGGAGGTGGCACCCACCTGGATTCCCCAGCAAACCCACCTGCATTGCAAGGTTGACCCTCATCAGTACCAGCCACCTTGCCTGCTAGGTTGACCCTTGTCCAGTGAGGTGATTTTCCAGGGCCTAGCCTCTCTGCTGTCCCTTGCTGGCTTCACCTGTTGATGTTGATGGAGGTGGAGCAGAGGCCGTTGAGTGAATGCGTGCAGCTGGGCTCAGAGGCCCCTCTTCTCCCCTCCTGTGAGGTGCTTGCCCTTGAAGGTGTGGCGAGTGAGGAGGCCGGTCAAGGGCATCCCGGCGGCCTCCAGGCCGTATTTGAGTGGGTCATTTCAGCCTGCTTCCTATCTCTTTTCTGTTACTACCTCTAATTGGCAGAGTTTCTTGCCAGGTCAATGTGGAGGCAGAGAGATGGCCGGAGGGCGGCCAGGGGAGTCAGGCCAGGTGTGGGCAGGATGGGATTCTGCCTCCTCCCAGGTGCCTCGCCTGGGGGATGCCCTGTCCCAGAAAGCCTACATTCGTGGGAGCCGGCGCACAGCCCTTCTGAGATCTAAAGCTTCCCTCTGAATGCTGCTTTGGAGGATTGTGAGAGGTAGTGACTCTTCAAAGTTTGTTTGTTTTCTTGAAGCTTTTACCTCTATGCAAATATGCGGTTTGGAGCAGGGAAGAAAGGTTAACTGTGATGGCGCCGGCTCTTAACGTGGAATGTCCTGAATTAATGTGGGTTTCAGTCCTCTGGCTCAGGATCCCCTGAGGGAGAGTTTTTCTTTCCTCTGCAAAACACAGGAGAAAAGTGATCCCTGTGGCTCCGACCTGCCTTCCTTGGGTCCTGCGGTGCAAAACCAGCTGGGACCGTGTCCCGCCCACCCGAAGGCAGTGTGGGGAACCTTTCCTCCAGGTCATTCCCATTCAGCTGATTGCTGCCGGCTCCCCAGGCCACAACTCTGTGCCTTCAGGCGTCTGCACGGGTTTCGAGATGCTGGCCAGGCCTGAACTTGGTGAGCCTCAAGCAGACCGTTCAAACCCATTCAAATGAGGAAGACCATCTGTTTCCCAGTCTCCAGCTGCTGCTGCTTCATTTGCAAATGGCTGGGATGCTGCTGAGGGGATCAGGCGGGGACACATCTGCAGACTCTGAAGGAGTGTTGGAACCGAGATCCTGCTGAGAGAAGAAAGGCCGAGCCCTTTAAATCAACTTGCCAAACAGTACCCCCAGAAGGTCCTGAGTTGAGAAAGCAGGAGGCAGCCTTGCCCTCCTGGAATAACTCTTAACCTTCCCTTTTCTTTTGTAGCCTTGGCCACTTTAAAAGTATTTCTTTATTCAGAAAGTGCGCAGTGTGGGAGGGCCTGCTCTATGGGCTTGGGGGAAAATGTCAAACGGGATCTGGACATCTATCTGACCTTTCAGGGCCATACAGGGCAAACGTATCCGCTGGAGTATGCACCATTTATTGAATGTTTACATCAATATCAGGGAGGTGAGCTTGTCCCAGCAGCAGCTTCTAGGAGCCACAGGTAACAGTAAGTGTGGCAAGGTGACTGTCCCTGAAAACCTGCTTCTGGAATGAGTCAGGCTTTAGGGTATGCTCTCTGGAATGCAGGCCAGCCGCCCCAACTCGCAGTAACGCAGGCCCTTAGCTCTGTGGACTGCGTGAGGCACAGCTGTGGGGACTCTTGCCCATGGTTTGGTGTTTGCAGGGTTATTCTCGGCATGCTGTGGGGCTAGGGTAAGTTATCCGGCTCCTGAGCCCTGCTGGGGTTCTCATCTCAAGGGAATTCTGTGGTGTGTTACTGTGCCCCACATGCAAATATCAGCTACTCTCAAATGTGTTGGATGGATGAATAGTAGAAGGTATTTTAAGAAGCCACAGGCCTCTTTGTAAATTAAACAGGCATCATACATGGGTGTTGATAATGATGAATCTCACAAAATCTTCAGATGTTTAGTCTCTGGGAACATTCCAGGAATCCTCATTTAGGTAACTTATATGTGATGAGACCTATTTGTTCACTTGAAAGAAAACCTGTTTTGAAGTCAGAGGAATGCGAATAGAGGCTCTCACATGGTTGGAAAAAGCAATCTGCAGGCCAGTTACGCCCCGTAAACAGGAACCCAGGACTGCCCTCCTGGCCAGGGCTGAGTTGCAGGATGGGGACCCCCCACTACCTCCAACCGCCCGCCAGGATGAGGAGTGCTTGCTCTCAGACGTGCCCCTCACTTTAAATATACAGAGGCCTTCCTAGGCAGCCTTTGATTGTGTCCTTGTGGTGACCTTGCCCTGCAGCAGGCAGCACTGGAGATGTTTTTCTCTTCTCTAAAGCATGACTCTGAGGCTCAGCGGTGTGAGGCTGTCCAAGCTGACACGTTCACTACTGGCAGAGGCGGGTCTCAAAGTCTCATCCTTGGACACTGGAGCTGAACTTCTTGTAGTGTGGGTCTTGGACCAGCAGCATCAGGCCTCACCTGTGGGAAATAAAGAATGTCAGCCCGCACCTGCAGGCCTACTGACCCAGAATCTTTTTTTGTTTTTTCCTTTTGAGACAGACTTTTGCTCTTGTTGTCCAGGCTGGAGTGCAATGGCACAATCTTGGCTCACTGCAACCTCTGCCTCCGAAGTTCAAGTGATTCTCTTGCCTCAGCCTCCCGAGTAGCTGGGATTATAGGCTCCTGCCACCAGACCTGGCTAATTTTTGCATTTTTAGTAGAGACAGGGTTTCACTGTGTTGGCCAGGCTGTTCTCTACCTCCTGGCCTCAAGTGACCCACCTGTCTTGGCCTCCCAAAGTGCTGGGATTACAGGCGTAAGCCACAGCGCCCAGCTGACCCAGCATCTTTGGAAGTGGGAGCAAGGAAGCTGTCTTAAACTGACCACGTGGTTTTACGCACAGTAAAGTCTGAGAAACATTGCATTGATCCCTACTCCAGTCCCTCTCCGTACACCTTTTGGGTGGAGTGGGCTGGGGACGCAGACTGTCTTTGGCTGTGCATGTCCTAGAGGCTGAACAGGACGAGATGGGAGCAGTGCAGTGTCTTAATGGGAATCGGGATTTTCACGGAGGAGCTGTTGGAACTGGGCTGAATAGGAGCCTGCCAGGCAGCAGAGCTGGGTGGGCTTGTAGGTAGAGGGAACAGTGCCCATGTGGACAGGTAAGCCAGAGTGTCAGAGAGAGGGATGTGGGGCTTGGAGCAACCAAGCCTCAATGCGCCATGATGTTCTTTGGGTTTTATTCTCTCTGACTTTGGAGTGGTCTGTGCCTTTTTAAAAGAGTAGAGATCATGTGCTTTTCAGAAGATTCCTCTGGGGGTCTGCGGTGGCTACAAGAGGCGCACCATGGGTGATGGGTTAGGCGCATTGCAGAGGTCTTGTGGAGGACTGGAGGAGACCTGTGGGATGCAGTTTTGCCTGTACTTTCTTTCAGAGCTAAGCTTTCTATCAGGGATAGGCCTAATAGGTGAAGGGGTGTGGGGACTGATCAGAGGAAGGGCCAGAGGAAAAGAGGGGCTTCAGGGCCGACTTGGAGCTTGGGCGGCAGTTCAGTGGTGTGACTCCCTTCATCGTGTAAGAGAAGAGGCTGGTGGAGGAGGAGGAGGTTGAAGGTCACTTGCTTGTTTTGGATACGACCTCTGTAGACATCCAGGTTATGTATTTCCTCCCCCCGGGCAGGTGGAAATATGAACCTACAAGCAGGGACTTGAGTGGCATCTGCGGGGAGGAGGTGGGAAAAGCCACACGTGCCCAGGAGACTGGAATGCAGGGAAAGGACCAGAAGAGCCAGAGGTAGAATTCTGGGTATATCCATGGATACAGGAGGGGTGGCAGGGAAGGAGAAATTTCCTAGAAAGGCGAGAAGTCCTCCTTGACATGTTCCTGTCCATAAGAACACATACGCACATGTACGCACCAGCAGGAAGCAGAATGCTAACCGAAGATAATTAACCCCCAATTCTGTGTTAGGGATTGAGAAATAGACCAGGAGCCCTGCCCCCTCCTCTCTCATTTCCTGACCTTCCACACTGAGAAGACCTGGCTAGGCAGCCTTGCTTTTTTTCCTGTTTAGCGGAGGAGTGAGGATTTCAGCCGGAAGGTCTTTCTGATGGCAGATGTGTAAGTGCCAGACATTGTGCTGGGTGCCTTCTGTGTCCTATCTCATTTATTATTGTTCCTGCTCCGAGGACTTGCCTCAAGGTCATACGATTTGTAAGTGGCATAGTCTCGGTGTCAGTGACAGGTCTGTTTGGTGTCTCTCTCTCTCTCTCTCTCTCTCTCTCTATATATATATATATATATATTTTTTTTTTTTTTTTTTTTTTTTTGAGATGGAGTCTCGCTCTGTCATCCAGGCTGGAGCACAGTGGCGTGATCTTGGCTCACTGCAACTTCCGCCTCCCAGGTTCAAGCGATTCTCCTGCCTCAGCCTCCCGAGTAGCTGGGACTATAGGCGCCTGCCACCATGCCCAGCTAACTTTTGTATTTTTAATAGAGATGGGGTCTCCCCATGTTGGCCAGGCTGGTCTCGAACTCCTGACCTTGAATGATCCACCTGCCTCAGCTTCCCAAAGTTCTGGGATTACAGGCATGAGCCACCATGCCCGGCCTTGGTCTGTACCTTTAACACCCCCAGCCTTTTCTGAAGAGTCACCAGAGAAGGGACAAAAATGAGGCCATAGCCTTACTGCTAAGGGACCATGAGAGGCTTGGGGTATAGCTGTCTGTTGAGACAGGTGCTTTACTACTTTGTAAGATGAAGAGAGCTGCCTCTGGCTGAGCACTGTCATTAGGACTCAGGGAATGGAAGTGTTTTGAGACCAGAGGGTTCAGTTTCAGGACTGGAGATCACAATGCATTCATTTTACAGAGTGACAACTCTGTAGGGCCACTCTTCACCCTAAGATTGGGTCATTAAAGGCCAGGCACATCCTATTCACTCCTTCACCTCCTTGTGAGCCCCCCACATGCCTTTTGATGAAAGGGTTTTCCCCAGAACAGTGTGTCCCAAGAAGCCCTGAAGGGCTGGAGATGTACCAGCTTTCTCTGCTATGTCCAGCAAGTGTATTTTCAGAAGGTAGGAGGCTCGGGCTGGGCTGGCCAGGCAGCCAGGCACACAGACTCCTCATTGTACATCCAAGCCGGGGCGTGCAGGACTTCAACATAGCTTGTAACGTAAGTATCTATTTCCTGGGCGCTACATGATCTAATGGCCTGTCGCTTTGGGAAATGCTTTCTGAACAAAAGACTCGATTTATTTATTTATTTATTTTTTGAGACGGAGTTTCGCTCTTGTTGCCCAGGTTGGAGGGCAGTGGCGTGATCTCGGCTCACGGCAACCTCCACCGCCCAGGTTCAAGCGATTCTCCTGCCTCACCCTCCTTAGTAGCTGGGATTACAGGCGTGTGCCACCACGCCCGGCTAATTTTGTATTTTTAGTAGAGACGGGGTTTCTCCATGTTGGTCAGGCTGGTCTTGAACTCTCCTGACCTCAGGTGATCCACCCTCCTTGGCCTCCCAAAGTGCTGGGATTACAGATGTGAGCCACTGCGCCCGGCCTTTTATTTTTTTAAATTATTATTATTTTTATTTATTTATTTATTTTTTTGAGATGAAGTCTCGCTCTGTCACCCGGCTGGAGTGCAGTGGCACGATCTCGGCTCACTGCAACCTCTGCCTCCCTGGTTTAAGCGATTCTCCTGCCTCAGCCTCCCGAGTAGCTGGGATTACAGGGGTGCACCACCATGCCTGGCTTAATTTTTGTATTTTTAGTAGAGATGGGGTTTCACCATGTTGGCCAGGCTGCTCTTGAACTCCTGACCTCAGGTGATCCACCCGCCTCGGCCTGCCAAAGTGCTGGGATTACAGGCATGAGCCACCGCACTCGGCCAGGACTCAATTTTGAAGTTCTTATGCAAGCAAAGCTGCCCATATCTAGGAGTTTATGCACACAGTACTGATTCAATACCTGCGTCTTAGTGGTCCATCAGGAATTTTTCACTCATGAAATATGACTTTAATACACGTGTTGGGACCAGAGAGAAAACCTTCCCTCTGTGCATCTTTTTTTGGAGAACACTGTCATGAACAGCCGAAAA
Source organism: Homo sapiens (assembly GCF_000001405.40). Classification (NCBI taxonomy): domain Eukaryota; kingdom Metazoa; phylum Chordata; class Mammalia; order Primates; family Hominidae; genus Homo; species Homo sapiens. The sequence goes on along the minus strand of NC_000010.11, from coordinate 121,575,364 downwards.
CATCAGATCAAAAGCAAGAGGGATACTGACAAAACAGGGAGTGCGGATTTCCACTGTGGGTGGGGACATTGGGAGACACGGTGACTCACTCCTCAGTAAGTGCATTCTTAGGCTCTTTACTCTGTGTGCATTTTTATTTTCTCATGGGCAACAATATAATTTCTTTCAAACATGAAGAGCCATCCAGCATGTTTCTCAAAGGCAGACTTAAATGATATGAGGGGTGTGCCTAAATATATAATTTTTAATGGTTACCATATTGGAAACATTAGCCATGATCCCATCTGATGACTAGGAACATGAGCCAGTCTGGAGTTTCTGGAGAAATCCAGCTACCGCTGCAGAGGCGGCTGTTAGCTGTTGTTACCGGCATCCTTGTTAGCGACCAGGGAGGTTTCAGTCCCGACTTGTGTCTACCAGACACCCTGACAACTGGTTAGAAAGAGAGGACTGCACCCTTTCATCCTGCGTACTTATCTGTTGTTTGTTGCTTTGACTTCTTTTTGTTCTCCGTTTTTATGTTGGCAGTATTTCTCGAGGTAGAGAACTTTCACCTTTATATTGTGCGGAGTATTTGTCCCTTCCTCGCCCCCTTAAAGAACACGTAGTACCTATGCCTTATAAGGTCTCTGTTTGATGTGAGGAATTTGGTCTTCTTGCAAGTCGGCTCTTGCAGAGGGGAGGCTTTGAGGATGTCTGGGCTGCAGCAGGCTGTCTTCGTTGCTGTGTACACAGCCCTCATGGCAGGGCATGCAAAGGTGGTTGGTTCTGACTTCAATGGCGGGACTCCATTGCCTTTATTTTTTAATTTAATTATTATTATTATTATTATTTTTGAGATGGAGTTTAGTTCTGTCACCCAGGCTGGAGTGCAGTGGTGCGATCTGGGCTCACTGCAACCCCCGCCTCCCGGATTCAAGCAATTCTCCTGCCTCAGCTTCCCGTGTAGCTGGGACTACAGGCACACACCACCATGCCCATCTAATTTTTGTGTTTTTAGTAGAGACGGGGTTTCGTCTTGTTGGCCAGGCCGGTCTCGAACTCCTGACCTCAAGTGATCCACCTGCCTGGGCCTCCCAAAGTGCTGGTATTACAGACATGAGCCACCGCACCTGGCCTCCATTGCCTTTATTTCTTTCTGCTGATAAGTTCTGATGCCAGTGATACCCAGATTGTGCCATAGGAAAGAGGGGGCTGGGCTCTTCCAGAAACCCTATCTTGCAGAAATCTCTCTTCTGTTCCTACGGACAGAGAATTGGGTATTGACCAGTGAGGACTTCTTACTGGGACTGGGCGTGGCCACTACAGGACATCTTCCAGACTAAGAGGGCCAGTTGGGGGTTACTGGACCAGGGAGGACAGTGGCGGCCACTTACTTGCCATGTGCTTTGTGTGCAGTGACTATGTAGCGACATTTGCAGCCGGACTGTGTTTCTCCTGTAGAGACACTGGCAGCCCTACAGCCCTACAGCCGTGACATTTACTCTGTACAAGGTGGCAGGAGGTGTGGGAGGGCACCGGGAACCGAAGGCCATTTTACTACCCTTCCCGCAGCGCTCCTGTTACAGTGCTTGTGGGAGTCCCAGCTGTGCCTCCAGGTACAAACGGGTTTCTTCCTGCAACCCACAACCCTGACAGGACATGCCTCCCGGGTGTGCTCCTAACCTGCCTCTTCTCTCTGCCCCTCCCTCTTTCTCCTCTCCCCTTCCCCTCTCTTTCTTCCTCTTGCCTTCCTCTTCTTTCCTCTCCCTCCCTCTGTTTCTCTCCCTTCCTTTTCCTTGTCTCCGTCTCTCCTCTCCTTTTTCCCCCTCTCCCTCTCTTTCATCCTTCTGTCTCTTCCAGAGGAGTCTGTTCAGGGATTTCTTTCTCTCTTTCTTCTTCCTGGAGGAATGTGTTTAGGGATTGGACACCTCTGACTTTGGAGGAGGGAGAAACCTCAGTGGGATGGGTTCCAGGACGACCCCACCGCATCCTTGGAACTAGGATGATCTAGACGTTGGAAAAGACACCATCCCTGGGAAACCCCAGAAAAGGCTTAATTTGTGAAAAGTAATGGAGGGAGCTGTGCCGTTGGTAGAAACTGCTTTTTTCTTCCTTAACAGTTTAAATCTGTCGTCCATTCTCCGTGAAGTGATTGGACGGGGCAAGACTCAGGTTTCCCATCTGTTCTCTGTTTGCATTTGGGCGCCATTTCAAAAACCACACGGGAAAAGTTTATAGGCAAACATTATAAAAAGTGACAGTCTGAAGTGCTGCTATCGCTGGTTTGGCAACGTAAAGTGTTACCTGAAATAGCTTACCGTTTCCAAACCCTTTTGCTGTTTCAACTGTCTCAAGACAACCCTCCCGCTGAGATGGGTGAGAAGTCCAGCTGGATGTGTGCAGTGAAGTCACATAAGTCACAGCCTTTTTTGACTTTTACAAGATTTCCCCCTCCTGGGGCTATCTTCACACACAGCGAGGATTTTTTTCTCTCTGTTTACTTATAGAGAGGTAAATTCATGCAGCTTGTGGCTAGTGGCACTCTGTGTGATGTCAAATGGTCTGCTGAGGGGCTCGGAGAGTCAGGCAGCCCCTGCCTCAGTTTCTCTCTCTCCCCAGTCAGAGGTCCTATGAGCTCCCAAGGAATAACAGGATGGTTTTCTTAGGGAAGGAAGGCCAGGTCAAGGCAGGAATTACTCACAGCTCATGTGCAGATGCCTGTTGTTATTCATACTATTTATTTATTTGTGTTTTTTTTTTGTTTGAGACAGTTTCACTCATGTCGCCCAGGCTGGAGTGCAATGGCATGGTCTCGGCTCACTGCAACCTCCACCTTCTGGGTTAAACGATTCTCCTCTGCCTCAGCCTCCCAAATAGCTGGGATTACAGGCACATGCCACCACGCCCAGCTAATTTTTTATATTTAATAGAGATGGGTTTCACCATGTTGGTGAGGCTGGTCTCGAACTTCTGATCTCAGGTGATCCACTCGCTTTGGTCTCCCAAAGTGCTGAAATTACAGGCATGAGCCACTGTGCCTGGGCTACTTATTTATTTTTGGAGACAGGTTCTCGTCTCGCTGTGTCACCCAGGCAGGAATGCAGTGGCGCGATCATAGCTCAGTGCAGCCTCTGGGGCTCAAGCGATCTTCCTACCTCAGCCCCCTGTGTAGCTGGGACTACAGGTGTTTATCATCATTCCCGGCTTTTTTTTTTTTTTTTTTTCATTTTTTGTGGAGAGAGGATCTTACTATGTTCCCTAGGCTGGTCTTGAACTCCTGACCTCAAGTGATTCTCCCACCTCGACCTCCCAAAGTGCTGGGATTGTAGGCATGACCTGCTGTGCCTGGCCCATTTATTTTTTGATTAGCTGTACAAGTACCTGTCTCTCTCATTTTTAAAGTATCAAAACAGTCAATTTTTTTTTTTATTTTTTTTTTGAGATGGAGTTTTGCTCTTGTTGCCCCGGCTGGAGTGCAATGGCGTGAGCTCAGCTCACCACAACCTCCAGCTTCTGGGTTCAAGCGATTCTCCTGCCTCAGCCTCCCGAGTAGCTGGGACTATAGGCATGCGCCACCATGCCCAGCTAATTTTGCATTCTCAGTAGAGACGGGGTTTCTCCATGTTGGCCAGGCTGGTCTCGAACTCCTGACCTCAGGTGATCCGCCCGCTTCGGCCTCCCAAAGTGCTGGGATTACAAGCACGAGCCACCGCGCCCGGCCAGTCGTTTTTGTTTGTTTGTTTGTTTGTTTGTTTGTTTTTAAAGAAGCTGCTTGTGGCCAGGTGCGGTGGCTACCACCTGTAATCCTAGCACTTTGGGAGGCGGAGGCAGGTGGATTGCCTGAGCTGAGGAGTTTGAGACTGGGCTGGGCAACGTGGTAAAACCCTGTCTCTACTAAAATACAACAACAACAACAAAATTCCCAGGCGTGATGGCATGCACCTGTAATCCCATTACTCCAGAGGCTGAGGCAGGAGAATCACTTGAACCCAGGAGGTGGAGCTTGCAGTGAGCCGAGATCGCACCACTGCACTCCAGCCTGGGAGAGAGCGAGACTCCGTCTCAAAAAAAAAAAAAAAAAAAAAAAAGGCCAGGCACGGTGGCTCACGCCTGTAATCCCAGCACTTTGGGAGGCTGAGGTGGGCGTATCACGAGGTGAGGAGATCAAGATCATCCTGGCCAACATGGTGAAACCCACCCCGTCTCTACTAAAAAAAATACCAAAAATTAGCCAGGTGTGGTGGCAGGCTCCTGTAGTCCCAGCTACTCAGGAGGCTGAGGCAGGTGAATAGCGTGAACCCGGGAGGTGGAGCTTGCAGTGAGCCAAGATCGCGCCACTGCACTCCAGCCTGGGCGACAAAGCCAGACTCCGTCTCAAAAAAAAAAAGAAAAAAAAGGCTGCTTGCTAACACGCTGCTGGTACTTCCCAAGTATTTGAAACTTCTGGGAGAAAATTCACGTGGATGCAACTGAGCTTTATGCAGCAGGGCTGCAGTAGTGTGGCCACGGCAGTAGAAACGAGTGTTGAGCTGTGTCCCAGGAAGGAGACTTGGTGCCTTGTTTGTTTACCAGTTTTAGGAAACAGTGACAAAGATTGGCCAATACTACTGTGAAGCTTGCTTGCTTCTTTTCGACTTTTAATTCATATTGTGAAAAATACATGGAAACATATTCTCTGTCTGTGGAAGCCTCTGAAAGAGCATTTGTGCATAGCAAGGCGGCTTCTGGAACCTTCTCCCCATTGCGTTTTGGCAGGAGATGAGGGAGATGTTGGGCTGTGCACCCCTGGTGGATTCGCACAGGAAAGGTGAAAAGTATGCCACAGCAATGGGAAAAAGTAAATCCAGGAAGTGCTCACATGACTATAAAAGGAGTTATGTACATTTCCTGGGGAATTCTTTGCTCTTTCACAGAGCAGGCTGTGCAGCCTGGTGGAGTCAGGGAGAGGTTGTCCATCCATGGGGGGTGACCAGAGTTAGGGAGGCCCCTTTGCACATGCAGGCACAGGGGATTCTCTGATTGTCCTGGCTCCGCGCAGCCTGGGGCCAGGTCAGTACAACTGTGGGGATGAACATGGAGGGCTCAGGGAGTGCATGTTTGCAGGGAGTGGGCAGCGGGTCAGGTCACCTGCAGCATTCAAACCCAGAAGAGAAGCTAAGCCCTGTGGACGGCAAATGGACCCAAGGACACGGGCAGGGACAGAGCTGCTTCCACTGAGCCAGCTGTTAGGTGCTTGTGTTCTTGGCCCCCTGGCCGGGGTTGTCTTTGATATGTGTCGTGTGTGCTGGGCCCTGCAGGCTGGGCTTGGGGGGCCACTGGGTGGCCTGGGAGGCTACCAGTGTGGCATTTGGCCCCTCCCCAGCGTATGGCCCCACCCCATCCCTGCCTCTCTTCTTACTTACATCCTCCTCTTTTTATTCTCCCCAACCTCTTTCTCTCTTGTGTGTTTATTCATGCATTCTCCCTAACATGTGCTTGCAGAGTCTTCTGGGATACCCAGGGGTATTACTGGCATGTTTACTAAAGGCACCGCTGATCCCCAAAATGGGCCCTTTGTGAAATGACCACTGAAGGGGTGGAGGGAGGAGTCCTTGCTTTCTCAGTTTACCAAGACAGCAGTTACTGGTTTGAGACTTTGAAGACAGGATGGCTTGATTTTTATGGATAAACATCATTATCTCATTGGTGTATTTTAGGGGGTGATATTTTACTATCCTTGAAGCTTGGATATCTAGATGACAGTTTTGATCTGGTTTTACTGGGATCAAAAGCAGTTTTAGTACGTCAAGTCATCTTAACTGTCCATTGAGATGGGACTCCTGTAAAATCACTTTGTATCTGGAGATAGCAATCCAAGTGTTCTGGCTGGGCGCAGTGGCTCACGCCTATAATCCCAGCACTTTGGGAGGCCGAGGCGGGCAGATCACGAGGTCAGGAGTTCAAGACCAGCATGGCCAATATGGTAAACGCTGTCTCTCATAAAAATACAAAAAAGTTAGCTGGGTGTGGTGGTGCACGCCTGTAATCCCAACTACTTGGGAGGCTGAGGCAGGAGAATCACTTGAACCTGGGAGGCGGAGGTTGCGGTGAGCCGAGATCGTGCCACTGGATTCCAGCCTGGGTGACAGAGCAAGACTCTGTCTCAAAAAAAAAAAAAAGAAAAGAAAAGAAAAGAAAAGAAAAAGAAACCCAGATGTTCTGTGATTATCCTCTGAAAATCGTGGTGCTTAAAAAATCACGGCAAGCATCTTCCGCCTTGAAGAGTAACAGTAATAGTGACAGTCATTAGCCCGACATGTTGTAGTTGATGATCAGGTTCATCTTCGTTGGCTCATTGGAATCTTACCAATAATAAACCAGTATTTGGGTACTCTTACCCTGCAACAGATGGGGAACACCAGGCCAAAAGGTTAAGCAGGAATGGAGAGGCGTGGGAACTCAGGGCTTCATCCTCTTCTCGTCCAGGGCAGCACCCTTCACCAGGCATCTCCCATGTCCAGCTCCAAATAAGACACAGGTCCTCGCTGTCCCCTGTACTTCCTTCTAGAACAGCACGTGGTAGTCCAGCAGCTCAGATACCCCCAGTTTCAGCAAGATTTTGGGGTTTACTGATTTTAGGTGAAGGAAAGGATTCTCAATGAAAACACTTTCATTTAAAAACAGGAAATCATACATCATAACTCCTCCTTTGCCGGGAGAGAGATTTTTTTCTGCATCACAATTGCAAATGCCTTGCTTATCTTTTTTTTTTCTTTTTTTCCCCCTAATGGAGTCTTAGAGCATTCCTCTGCGTGACATAGGGACATGGTTGCACCTTATCTGAGGGTCAGGATGGAGCAGATTGGTGTGTGGGTCCCAGGTGCCTTCCCTGTGAGGGAGGGAAGCTTTGCTGCTTCTGCTCAGCGGCTGCCCTGGTGATCAATTCTGGCTAAGAGGAAAGTACATTCCATAACATTTCTGGTGACTTGCTGATCATGTGATGTTGTCATAATAGACATTGATCATTTTATGACCCAGACTGATCCAATGTAAATTCATTCTAACATGGTGGGTGCTGTTTCAGCAATGAGTTGTTGGAGACCTGGGACTCAAAGGACATCTGGTCCTTGCCTTAGCCAGCTGTCAAAGGGGTTGGACCAATAGCGTTTGGGGCCCCTTCAGCTCTCATGTTGAGTGAATCTGTGACTCTAGGATGTTGGGAGTGGGAGATGGGCCAAGATTTGGGACCAGACTGAATCCCTGCCGTCTTCTCCTCCTTCTCATATTTCTCTTCCTTTCTTTTTTCTGTTTGGTCTCCATAGTTTAAAGTATTTCTATTAGTCACTCAATTCAGCCGCATTTTGACTTAACCAGCCTTGAGAGACCTGCTCTAAGAGCCTTCAAACTAAGTTCCCAACATCTTTTAAACTTCGCTTTGTCCTTCACTTCTCAGCTCAAATGCCTGTTCTTTGGAGAAGTCTCTCTGATTGTCTTATACAACAGGGATTGAAACACTTTTTGCAAAGGCAAGACTGCAAATATTGTAGGGCTTGCAGGCCACAGGGTTTCTGTTGCAATGACTGAACTCTGCCCTTGTAACACACAAAAGCAGCGCCAGACAATAAGGAATGGGCATGGCCGTGTTCTAATAAAGCTTTGTTTACAAAAACAAGCTGCGGCTGGCTTGGCCCGCGGGCCATCATCCGCCACCTCCTGCCAAGGGACCAGCCCTCCTCTGCCACTGCTGTGTGTGCCCGTACCTTGCCATGTCCTTCTTCCTAATGCTTAAGCAAGAACACTGTATTTTTTGTAGATTTTGTATCTATCGTCTGTCACCCCCACCATAATGGACGCTCCACAAGTGCAGGGTCTTTATCTTGTCTCCTCTTGCTGCGGAGCTTCCAGAATAGGCTTGTTGTATAGTAGACATGCAGTAAATAATTACTGAGTGAGAAAACAAATGTTAGAAACATAACCTGCCCGTCAGCTGGGCTTTCCTTGCTTTGGGGTGCATTTGTCCATGTTACATTTAGCTTCTATTTTCCTCCTTTTGTTGTGATTCTCTCTTTGTGTTCACGTGCTAGTTGGCATCTGGGGCTTGGCATGCATGCCTTTGGTGATGCCCCCTTGAGAAGCCCCGGGCCTCCTGTGTGGCTGTTGATGGTGGTGGTGAGGGGGATTTCTTGTCCCCAATGCATGTGGCCCTTGCTCCTTTCACAGTGGGACTGAAACACAGATTGACTTGATTTCAGTCTCCTGTGGGAGATTTGTTCTTCTGAGGGGTGTCTAGGCAAAACAGTTGCCTTTGATCCTGCCCTGATTTGGTGCTGTCTCAGTGCTGGGAAGCTTTGCATTTTCTAGGCCTGGAACTCTGGGTCCCATTCACACTTCTCACTGGAGGGATGAAAGCCTCCTTCTTGGGCCCTCGTGGCCATCCCAGCTGGCCGCTCCAGCTGTTGTTATTAATAAATGCCAGTGGTGTCCTCTCAACTCCAGTGGAGAGGTTGTGTGGGTTGGATCCTTGTGGGTCCAATCCCGTGCTGCATATCTGGGAACTGTGACCTTGTTTGACATGGCCATGTGTCTGCCAAGCAGGATGGGGTCGGTGGCGGGAAGCACAGAGAACCATGAGACCCACGCCTTTTCTCTAGGGTCTTGGTGTCTCCGTGGGGAGATGGGATGCATTCATGAGAATATGGTGCATCCCATGAGCTGGCAAAGTGGGCAGGTGTATGGTGGAGGGGGAGGGAGCCAGTGCTCTTCCGCCCAGGGGGACTGATGCAAGGTGACTCCCATCACGGAGGACCCTGCTTGATTTGGGTCTTGGAGGGTGGATGACAGGGAAGAGAGGGAGGAAGGACTGTCCCTACAGAAGAAGCCTGGGACATGTGTGGTGGGTGTTGGTGAGCAGGGTGGGACTCAGCTTTGTCGTGTGGAGTCGGGGGCACACAGCACCCAGCGGCTTCATTTCAGGACCCCTGTAAGTGCAACGGAGACTGCCTTGCAGCTGTCTGGGCATTTTGCTCTTTTTGTTTTTGGTGTTAAGGCCTCTAGGCTTTTATCATTTTGGGAAAACAGCAGGTCTCAGCTCACCCAGCACAGAATTAGGTCTCTAAACCGGCAAAGTACTGATCTGAACATGAGAGCTCATGAAAACTCTGGATGGCAAAAAATCTTGTAGAGGGATCCCTTAGTTTTCCTTGAGTTTGAGACATTTCATTTTAAGAAGCTTGGCCTTGGGGCAACAGACCAAGTCTAGCACAAATAATAAAGAGTGTATGTGTGTGTGGCGCACAGTCACGTTTCACGTACAAATGTGTAAAACTCGGCATTCTTACAAATAAAACATACCACAATAACAGATTTTTGCAGGTATTACAGTGCAAGCACGCTTTGGCAATCAATTTAAACATTTTCTTGTGGAATATTCTTCCATGCTATGGTTTGGTTTGTTTCTAAAGCCCCATAGGATGTGGAAACTAAGTCAGGACAGATTTTCTGGGGGTATCCTCTGGTTGCTCTTCCAGATACTTCCTGACTTCCTGGGGCTTGGGGAGAGGTGGATGCCTGCTGGGGCCATTTGCAGAGCAAGAACAGCTTCTCCTGGGAATAAGCAGGCCTCCACTGACCTTTGTTGGACGTTCTCTCCTCTCCCTCCTTCCCATCTGTCTCCGTCTTCTCTCTCCCACCTTTCTGCAGAGCCACCAACCAAATACCAAATCTCTCAACCAGAAGTGTACGTGGCTGCGCCAGGGGAGTCGCTAGAGGTGCGCTGCCTGTTGAAAGATGCCGCCGTGATCAGTTGGACTAAGGATGGGGTGCACTTGGGGCCCAACAATAGGACAGTGCTTATTGGGGAGTACTTGCAGATAAAGGGCGCCACGCCTAGAGACTCCGGCCTCTATGCTTGTACTGCCAGTAGGACTGTAGACAGTGAAACTTGGTACTTCATGGTGAATGTCACAGGTGAGTTGGCCCGCCAGCACTATGCTCTCTCTTCTCTGTAGCCATTACATTTTTTTGGCCAAGTGAAAAGGTAGTGAGATCTCTAATTGTAATTGGATGCCAGGCATACAGCTTCATAGTTTTTGAAATTCTTCTTTGGGACCTGGTGCACCAGAAAGGCCGATCATTAAGAATGATAGAATTCTTGTGCACAAAGTAACATTTTTCTTAAGATAGTACGCTTTTATTTAAGTAAATACATGCTTTTTTTTTTTTTTTTTTGTACCACTGACATCTCTGGCATTTAGAATATAGGGTTGAAATTTGGATACTCAAGATTTCTGATTCATTTATTAGAGTTTGAGTTTCTCTCCATGATTTCCTTCTATGCAGTGAGCGGGACAGAACAGGCCCCCTTTGTGGCCGAGTTTAAAGTTCTGCTTTCAGAATGTTAGTTGACGATGAGAAGGGCCACACAGGGACTGAGTTTTGTTAGGGATCAATTTCTTTCTTCAAGGAGACCCCGCATACTGAAAGGTTAATGTTGGAAAAAGAGTCTTTGGGTGCTACACAATTGGTAAATTTGTCAGGGGCTTGAATACTGTTTGAAGCTTGAAATCCAGTTCTCATATATCCAATTTTATAGCCTGTTTAAATAGCGTGAAAGCAGAAAACATTGAGAATCATAACATAGACCAACTGTCATCATGGAGGGAAAATTTAAGCCATTAAAACTATCTTAACTGAAAACAATCCCAGGCTCTTTGCGAGGGTTCCTGGGTTGTTGACTTTGCTATGGAGAAGGTCTCAGTTGTAGATAATTGCAACCTTTTTGCTTTGCAAAAAACACATCCATGGAATATGTTCTTTTGCATACAGATGCCATCTCATCCGGAGATGATGAGGATGACACCGATGGTGCGGAAGATTTTGTCAGTGAGAACAGTAACAACAAGAGTAAGTAACTGCCCGGCTCCGATGGTCCCCGAGAGAGGAGCATGGAGGGAAGTTCTGCCTGTCACCTGTCTTCTTGTCGACTCTTCTGCGCCATGCTGTGTCCCGCGGCCCTTGCCTTTCCCCGCTGTGTCTACTTTCCTGACTTTCAAACCTGAGAATAAACCAGTGTTGCTGCACAGCCTTCTCTATCGTTTGTCCTTTCTTCTCGTGTCACTGGTCATTCGTTTTTCAAAGCAGTTACTACTTTTCTTTCCTTGATTTTCCCTTTTCCCTTTGACTTCTCCCTATTCAGAGACATAAGAATAGTAGAACCATGTAACATCTTGGTTTTCCTTGTAATCAGTGATTGTGCTTGGTTTAATCCAGTGGTGTGTGACTGGGGCAATTGCCTATTCTTGCTCTCCCGGCACATTGGGCAATATTTGGTTGTCACAACAGAGGGAGGGGGTGCTGGTGGCCTTTAGCTGGGGAGGGGCCAGGGATGCAGAGCACAGCCCCATAACAAAGAATTATCTGGTCCAAGATGTCAATCATCCCTAGGGTGAGAAACCCGGCCTCCTACAACACACACCTCATGCTGAGTGAAAATGAAGGACGTGTGCCTTACTTTGTAGACCACGATTGAAAAGGGAGCCAAGGGTGGCTTGCTTAATGAGGGCCATGAACACTGAGCGCTAACATGGGAGAGGCCATTTACTTGCGAGGAAGAACATGGCGTAGCCTCTTGGAGCTGGGCAACCTGGGTTTGAATCTTGCTCCACAACTTCTGAGTTGCTCATTTCACTTCTGTGCCTTAGTTTCTTTATAAAATGGGAGTAATAATAATAATACTATTTTCTGGGGTTGTTATGAGGATTACATGAGTTCCTAGTTGTATAGTGCTCAGAAGAGTGGTTGCTTGCAAATGTTTATTCAATACACAAAATACAATATAGCATTACTTGCATTTTCCAATGACTTGGCTAGAATGTTCCTAAAGTGTTTGTACATAGGGTATTGGGATTCTCTGCTTACATGGTATATTCTACATTTTTCTTAAAAGGATTTTAGTCAATTTGGTACATTTAAACAAGGCCTAAGTAATATACCACACCCGGCTAATTTATGTATATATATATATTTTTTCCCGAGATGCAGTCTTGTTCTGTCACCCAGGCTGGAGTGCAGTGGCGCCATCTTGGCTCACTGCAACCTGCACCTCCCAGGTTCAAGCAATTCTCCTGCCTCAGCCTCCCGAGTAACTAGGACTACAGGGGCCTGCCACTACACCTGGCTAATTTTTGTATTTTTAGTAGAGATGGGGTTTCACCATGTTGGCTAGGCTGGTCTCGAACTCTTGACCTTGTGATTCACCTGCCTCGGCCTCCCAAAGTGCTGAGACTACAGGCGTCAGCCACCGTGCCCAGCCTAATTTATGTATTTTTAGTAGAGACAGGGTTTTACCATGTTGGCCAGGCTGGTCTTGAACTCCTGACCTCAAGTGATCCACCCGCCTCAGCCTCCTGAAGTGCTGGGATTACAGGTGTGAGCCACTGCGCCTGGCAATACTTTATTTTTTCGAGCAGTTTCAGGTCCACAGCAAAATAAAGAGGAAGGAACAAAGATTTCCCATATAATCTTCCCCAACACATGCATAGCCTGTCCTGTTATCAACATCCCCACCAGAATGGTACATCTGTTCCAGTTGATGAACCTGCACTGCCATCATTATCACCCAAAGTGTGTGGTTGACTTTAGGGTATGTAATCATACAGTGTGTAGCCTTTACAGATTGGCTTCTTTGACTTAGTAAGATGCATGTAAGTTTCTCTCATGTCTTTTCATGGCTTGATGGGTCATTTGTTTGTAGCACTGAGTATTCCATTGTTTGTATGTATCAAAGTTTATTTACCCGTTTACCTACTAAAAGATATCTCGGCTGGGCACCGTTGCTCACGCCTGTAATCCTAGCACTTTGTGAGGCCGAGGCGGGTGGATCACTTGGGAACAAAAGTTCGAGACCAGCTTGGCCAACATGGCAAAATCCCTGTCTCTGCTAAAAATACATAGGTTAGCCAAGTGTAGTGGTGCATGCCTGTAATCCCAGCTACTCGGGAGGCTGAGGCATGAGAATCACTTGAACCCAGGATGCGGAGGTTGCAGTGAGTCGAGATCACACCACTGCACTCCCTCCTGCCTGGGTGACAGAGTGAGACTCCATCTCAAAAAAAAAAAAAACAAACTCTGTTGCTTCCAAGTTTTGACAGTTGCAAATAAAGCTGCTACAGACATCTTTGTGCGGGTTTTTGTGGGGACATAGTTTTCAATTACTTTGGGTAAATGTTAAGGAGTGTGATTGCTGGATTATGTGAGAAGAGTATGTTTAGATTTGTAGGAAACCACCTAGCTGCCTTGCAAAGTGGCTGCACCATTTTGTATTCCCACCAGCAATGAATGAGAGTTCCTGTTGCTCCACATCATTCGATGTGCTTGGTGTTCTGGATTTTGGCCATTCTGATAGGTGTGTAATGGTATTTTGTTGTTTTAATTTAAATTTCTCTGATGACAGATGATGTGAAGCATCTTTTCATATGATTAATTGCCATCCATGTATCTTCTTTGGTGAGATGTCTGTTAAGGCCGTTGGCCCATTTTTTAATTAGGTTGTTTGTTTTCTTACTGTCGAGTTATAAGAGTTCTTTGTATATTTTGGATAACAGTCCTTTATTACATCTCTTTTGCAAATAGTTTCTCCCCTCACCTGTGGCTTGCCTTTTCATTCTCTTGACAGTGTCTCTTGCAGAGCAGAAATTTTTAAGTTTCATGTAGTCTGGTTTTTCTTTTATGGATGGTGCCTTTGGTGTTATACCTAAAATGTCATCACCCAACCCAAGGTCATCTAGATTTTCTCCTATGTTACCTCCTAGGAGTATTATTGTTTTGTATTTTGTATTTATGTGTGTAATCTATTTTAAGTTAATTTTTGTAAAGGATGTAAGGTGTGTGTGTGGATTCACTTTTTAGCCTGTGGATGTCCAGTGGTTCTGGGACTATTTGTTGAAAAGACTGTCCTTTAGGTTTTTTTTTTTTTTTTTTTGAGATGGGAGTTTCGCTCTTGTTGCCCAGGCTGGAGCGCAATGGTGCGATCTCAGCTCACCGCAGCCCCTGCCTCCCGGGTTCAAGCAATTCTCCTGCCTCAGCCTCCTGAGTAGCTGGGATTACAGGTACATGCTACCACACCCCGCTAATTTTGTATTTTTAGTAGAGACGGGGTTTCTCCATGTTGGTCAGGCTGGTCTGGAACTCCCGACCTCAGGTGATCTGCCTGCCTCGGCCTCCCAAAGTGCTGGGATTACAGGTGTGAGCCACTGCGCCCGGCCTGTCTTCTTAAAGGAAAAAGATAAAATAGATATTGGTAGGTGCCTCGGATAAATGAGTTACTTAAGTGAAGACTTAGATTTGTCCCTGAGTCTCCTAGCAGCTGGGGCAAAAGAGAAATATTTTGGTTGGTGCAGTTTTTACTTTTTGTCAAGAGGAAGCTTAGGGCAGTGGTTCTCAAAGTAAAGTTCCTGGACCAGCAGCATCAGCATCACCTGAGAACTCCCTCGAAATGCAGATTCTCAGGTTCCTCCTCAGACCCACTGCCTCAGAAACTCTGGGGCTGATTCTGATTCACACTGAAATGCGAGAACCACTGGCTTAGAATTTGCACGTGGAGGTCTGCCCTGAATGGGAGCTTACTGTTAGTGGTCTTGTTCGTAAAACAGTGGATAATAAGGTGAGTGGAAGTATCTTCTGTGATTTGTACCAGCCTTCTAAAGAGGTTATCATTATTGTTATTTAATAAAAAGCACTGATAAGTGGAGCATGTCACTCGCCTCTTTTTTTTTTTTTTTTTTTTTTTTTTGGGGACGGAGTCTTGCTCTGTTGCCCAGGCTGGAGTGCAGTGGTGCTATCTCGGCTCACTGCAAGCTCCGCCTCCCGGGTTCACGCCATTCTCCTGCCTCAGCCTCCCGAGTAGCTGGGACTACAGGTGCCCACCACCACACCCGGCTAATTTTTTGTATTTTTTAGTAGAGATGGGGTTCCACCATGTTAGCCAGAATGGTCTCGATCTCCTGACCTCGTGATCTGCTCGCCTCGGCCTCCCAAAGTGCTGGGATTACAGGCGTGAGCCACGGCACCTGGCCCACTCACTTCTTTTGGCCAGTGGCTCTGGCATGAAGCTGGAGGCAAAGATGCTGAGGGCCTGCACTAGACAGGCTCTGTGCTGGCTGCTGGTTCCGTCCATGCCACCAATAACCCGATCAGGTGGAGAGAGTATTTATTCTTGCTTTATTGAATGGAAAATTGTGGCTTAGCAAGCAAAAGAAGGGCTGCGTTTCAGTTGTAGGCCTGTTGCCTGAGAGCATCCTAGGGTCACGATGGGGGTGGAGTGAGAATGCTTGTACAGGTGTTTACAGCTCTCCAGTTTTACTGTATGTGGGTGCCCTCGCTATGGATTGAGACATCAGATTCTGTCAGCTTGGTTTTTGGATGCCTGGGGAACTGCGTTGTCCTGGTTGTCGGCTACCTGCCTAATAGCAGGTTACCGTGAAACCATGTGAAGCAATAGAATGCAACAGCAAGGTATGGATTACATGACAGGCAGGCTGAGTGGTTCAGAAGGATTATATGCTGTGGACCTTATGCTTTGCATTGTGAACAGTGTTCCTAACTGCCCAGCGCCCATGCAGAAGGGCCAGGGGGTAGAGCACCCATGTGATGAATGCCAACCAACAGTGTACTTGCCATGCCTTCACCTTGCAAGCAGGGTTCTTTTGTAATTAGCTCTCGAATGACAGCAACTCTGCCCCTGAAATGGGTGCTCTGCAGTGATTAAGGGCTAGTGTTAGCTGTACCAGGGAGATACTGCTGTGAGGAGGTGCCTCTGTTTGGTGTCTGTGAAACATTAGATGCTATTTAAAGTGATAGCGGTTCTTAGCTGGCTACTTGGCCTCTGCCATCTGTTAGTGTGATTAGGCTGGTCTGATTCACAGGTGCAGCCTGGGGCGGCTGAGATTAAGCAGCTGTGGTCTGTGTGGACAGAGGAATGCCACGGCCGGGGTAATTGGCAAGGCAGGAAAGGGGACGTTGCCATTAAAACAATTTTTTGCCACCTCAAGTGTCAAATGCCTGACCCGATTAATAGGGAAAATTGCAGAAGCACCAAATTCTTTGTATTTTCAGCCACCTGGAAAACACTCATGTGTCCAGATTGATTTCTTTGGTGCCTTCTGATTGTCTGAAAATGCCACTGGGGTGTGTTTGTATGTTCTTCTTTAGGAACTTTGACAAATGATGCTCCAGTGACCCTGTGTTGATGGTGACGTTTTTGGGCTTTTTTGAGTTTTTTTTTTTTTTTTTTTTTTCTCCTTTTGGATTGAGACATTGAAAATTTAGTTCTGTATCTTCCAGTTGGAAAAATATATTGCAGGTTATTCCCTCTGCTGATTTGCTAGATTATTGATCTAATTTTGTTGGTTAACATAAGAAGGCAAGCTCAGCTGCCTGCTAGAGTGTTTTTTAGATTCTGTACAGAGTACGAAAAGCTTGGGTGCCAAATACAATGGCAAAAATAACAATGAAGAATTAAAGATCGGGCGCGGTGGCTCATGGATGTAATCCCAGTACTTTGGGAGGCCGAGGCAGGCGGATCACAAGGTCAGGAGTTCGAGACCAGCCTGGCCAATATGGTGAAACTCCATCTCTACTAAAATATAAAAATTAGCCGGGCTTGGTGGCGGGCGCCTGAGGCTGAGGCAGGAGAATCACTTGAACCCGGGAAGTGGAGGTTGCAGTGAGCCGAAATTGTGCCACTGCACCCCAGCCTGGGCGACAGAGTGAGACTCCGTCTCAAAAAAAAAAAAAAACAAAAAACTGTATCTATTAACATCATGTTGTACATGCATTGAAAAACCCAGCCATGGGCTGATTTGATTGATCTTTTTAAGTTGGTTTCTTCATCACAGATGTGCAGGGCATTCTCTGGTCATATTTTAGCAGCTGACTAGCTGATGACCTCACATGGTACCAGCACTAGATGTTTCCAAGTGGAACAGTCCTGTGATGTCATTACAAGCCTGGTTGCCAGGAAATAATGCTGTTACATATGCCCCTCGGTGCAACACATTTTCTCCAGAAAGAAAGTTGCAGTTTCATATGCTAATTTTTGAAATGCATCCAGGTTGAGGGTTTTGAAGGGTTGAGAATTTATCCTTTCGCATAGAAAAGTATAAGTTAACTAGTTCTTGCCTTCCCTAGGTACTAGGTATGTTAATGGGTTATCTGGCAGCAACTAGGTAGATGCATATACCCATTTGTTCGAGGGATTTTTATTGTTTCCAGCTTGTTTCGGTGATTAATGTTTCTGAAGAGCTTGAGACTTAGTTTTTGAGAAGATCATGATGGACGAAAAGTTCAGGTCCATTGCTTAACTCGAGGGAAGTGATGGAGAGACAGTTGCATCAAGACTCTTGCTGCTAAAGTGGTTCTTTCTCTCGAGTGATGAGAGAAAAAGTAATTTTCTATTTTGGTTTCATTCCTGTTGAGACCTGCAGATGCCCACACTCCATGTCAGGGAGAAAGGCTATTTTTTTTGGAAGTACCTAGGGAAAATGAAGGTAGTTAGCCTGAGATTCCAAACTCATTTCATTGATTAACCTGCCGATAACAGTTCAAAGTCACCTTTGTTCTAATTGGGATTTTTACTTGGTAGAGATCCTAAGTTGGTAACAGCAGGCTTCTTAGTTGTGTTGAAGTTTCTAGGAATTGAAAAGAACAATATCAGTAATAAAAACAACAAAAAACCCACACAGGCTTTGCAAATTTTTAGAAATTCCCTTTGTAATGAAAACATCATCAATAAGTTGGTTTGGGCCAGCATAGCAGCTCGCACCTGTAATTCCAGCTAGTTGGGAGGCCGAAGCAGGAGGATCGTGTATACCCAGGAGTTTGAGACTAGCCTCGGGAGCATAGCAAGACCGCATCTCTACAAAAAATAAAAGATTAGCCAGGTGTGGTAGCTCATGCCTGCAGTCCCAGTTACTTGGGAGGCTCAGGTGGGAGGATCACCTGAGCCCAGGAGGTCAAGGCTGCAGTGAGCTGTGGTTGTACCACTGCAGTGCAGCCTGGGCAACGGAGCAAGACCCTGTCTCTTAAAAAGAAGAAAAAGCTGCTTTTGGTATTTTATCACAAATACTGTTGATGGTGTTCCATCCAATGGTTGGACTGAATATCTTTCTCAGTCTCCTCCTTGGTCAAACAGCATAGCCAATGATTGGAGAAGTTTCCTTTGAAGGCAGATCTTGGGAATTCCCATGGGCTAACTGGTCTGCTAGTGGGCTCAGTTCTTTCACTTGTGGTTAACTTGCTTGGTTTTGAAAACATATATTTCTGATTGAATGCCTGGCTGGTTAGCAAGTTTTTAATGAGATTTCTCAAAGCCACAGACATACCCCCTCATAATCATATCCTCACTCACATCTCCGTATTTTGTTAGATTTGTTTTCTCTTAGTTTATACCAAACTGAAAGCAGAACTGCAGGGTAGTGGGGAGCTCTGAGACATTTTTCCCCTGTCAGGAGTCAAAGCATTCAAATGTCCTGATTAGTGATATTTTTAAAAGCCCTAATTATAGACTCGAGACAGAGGCTTTAGTGGGGCTTTAGAGAGTTTGTGAGACTTAATCTAGGAGCTGGAACAGGCTGTGTTTTTAAAATTTTTTGCATCCATAAAAATACAGTTGGCAGTCATTGGTGGCCGCGGCTCACATAAATCTTGAACTTTTGACTTAATTACCATGGGAGAGTTCAAAGGGCAGGCTGGAGTGGTTGAAGGAACACTGCTCAGGGAGCTGGAGATGGGCCTGGCCTCAGCCCGGCCTCTGGCTGTGTGACCTTGATCAAATCACTTAACCTTTCTGGATGACATTGATATCATCAGTCGTTGGGCCAGATGGTCACCGAGGTCTCTTTTGGTACAGCCTGGTAATATGATTCCATGTTTCTCCTTTAAATCATTGGGCCGTGTTCTCTGTTTTTTGGTTCCAGAGAGAGAGAGAGAGAGAGAGAGAGAGAGAGAGAGAGTAGATTATAAACCTTAGGTGTCAGCATTGAGATGTGCAAGGGTTTTGGTGGGGGCAGGCCCAGCAGCCTATGGTTTCTCACTAAGTTTAAATTGCAGGGTCAAAAGAAATCACATAATCCTACCATTTGTTGACAGAATCAATACCTGTCTAGCACATAGATACCTGGAAAGTATGTTCGAACTGGCGGGGACCTTAATCAGTGCAACTACTTCATTTTATAGCTAAAGCTTTTAATAGTCATCCATCCGTCCATCCATCCGTCCGTCCATCCATCCATCCATCCATCCATCCAATAACGCTTGAGTGCCTACTCCATAGGCTAAAGACAACTCCAGCTGTACCCTCCAGGTGCCCTACTGTTGTTGGTCAGCATCAGAAGGAGTATTTTTCAGTACAGAGACACTAATGTTGGAAGCACACATCTATCACAAAGAAGGGGCCCTGAGAAAGAATAACTTGGCTCTAGGGTGGGAATAATAAAGGCTGTGTTGGAGTCCTTTGAAGGAAGTTTCTGTGGGTTTATAAATCTCTCTTTAACTCATTGCATCTTAAAAGACTTCTGTTGTCTTAAAGTAAAATTCTACTTAATATTATTACTAATGTGCAATGACTGTTACAGTGTAGAAAATGATAATGAGTAGGTATGCTATATGCTGGTGATGGGATTTAATTGATGGGATGGGATTGATTGATTGTGGCTAGGTCTGACTGTTCTTTAACCAGCTCATTCTTAGTATTTGATGATTAGGAGAACATCATTCTTGTGGTACCTATTACATCAGAAGGTCTAAGAATGTCAGAGCCAAAGGAACCATACCTCTCATCGAGGTTAATTTGTTTCCTTTACAGGTGGATTAGTGTCATTCATTTTGAATGCCATTGGAAGTTTATACCACACGTCTCTATTAGCTGACTTTAAGCCCGCTCTTCATACACCTCTAAGGTATATAAAGTTCAGGGAAACTCATGTGTCCTTAGCTTGCAGATTCATTTGATTGATTGATTGATTGATTGATTGATTGAGACAGAGTTTTGCTCTTGTCGCCCAGGCTGGAGTGCAATGGCATGATCTCGGCTCACTGCAACCTCTGCCTCCTGGGTTCAAGCAATTCTCCTGCCTCACCCTCCCTAGTAGCTGGGACTACAGCCATGCGTCACCATGTCCAGCTAATTTTTGCATTTTTAGTGGAGACGGGGTTTCACCATGTTGGTCAGGCTGGTCTCGGACTCCTGACCTCAGGTGATCCGCCCACCTCGGCCTCCCAAAGGCTGGGATTACAGGCGTGAGCCACCGCGCCTGGCCTGCAGATTCATTTTAGATAAGATTGTTGAGTAAACATCCCTGTTAAGCATCTACTATGGACAAGGCTGATCTCTGCTTCAGTAGATCTTTAATTTGGTACATGAGTTCCTTCTCCAAATGAGAGTTGTTAAAGCTGTTCACGAGCCTTGGTATAAAAGGGGCTTCCTTAGGTAGAGGAGCCCGTTCTAAGTGCCTGGATGGTGTTTGTCTCCAGCTGTTTTGCAGTTCTTGGGAGGCCCTGGCATTTCCATGTGTGTCCTTTCCAACTGCAAAAACATACAGAGGACACAAGGCTGCTGATGAAGGAAACACAGTAGGGCTATCTTATAGTATTATTATTTTTCTAGATCTTACAGATTCAAGGTTCACATAAAGCTAGTGTATTTTAGGAAGAGCTATTGTAAAATTATAAAAGAGTTCCAGCCGGGCGCGGTAGCTCACGCCTGTAATCCCAGCACTTTGGGAGGCTGAGGCAGGTGGATCATGAGGTCAGGAGATCCAGACCATCCTGGCTAAAACGGTGAAACCCTGGCTAAAACGGTGAAACCCTGTCTCTACTAAAAATACAAAAAAAAAAAAAAAAAAATTAGCCGGGCATGGTGGCGGGCACCTGTAGTCCCAGCTACTCGGGAGGCTGAGGCAGGAGAATGGCGTGAACCCGGGAGGCAGAGCTTGCAGTGAGCCAAGATCGCGCCACTGCACTCCAGCCTGGGCAACAGAGCAAGACGCTGTCTCAAAAAAAGGAAAAAAAAAAAAAAGACTTCCTCCCCTCCCGTATCAAGTTCATTAAACATATTTGTGAGCTTGATATTTAAAGAGAGGCTGTGTGCTGGTGTGATGTTAGCAGTCACCAGGGTGGGGCTGGTCACACATGGGAGCCTGGGTGGAGGGTTGTGCCTGGATTTTTTATGGTGGCCCCCAACCTTGGATCTCTGAGACCTAGATGAGCAGCACTGCACCCGTACCCTGCTGTATGGCTGTGTCTGTGTTTTGCAGAAGCAGATTTTATAGGTGTAGCTTTGATGATTGAAATATCACCCGAGGGAAGTGGCTACCTGCCAGAAATTCCAGCAACATTATTTCACCTTAGTCCTTAAATCACTCCCGAGGCACCAAGACAAAGGTGCGGGTTGCCCATGGGCTGTTGCCACAGGTCAGGCCTGCATAGGTGCGCGTGGTCTGGGCCGGTCCCTGGGCTGTTACAGACTCACCCATGGCTTGGCCCAGTGAGGGCAGAAAAGAACAACATTCCTAGTTCCTTCAGCTAAATCCCACTTTTTTTTTAGGGAACATAAAAATCATGCCTAATGGTATGTAAGCACATATCTGTTGATTTCTTTTATGTAAAAAAGAAAAGACATTCCACAGGATCAGCTCAGCAGTAATTGATGTTATCTGAAAGAGTTACTGCATTAATATTTAGCTAATTCATATGAATAGGCTATTGTGTTTACTTAAACAAATGACATGAGTGCAGACACCTGACAGCATGAGGTATGCTTTTCATTTAGGTTAGATTTGTAAACGTCTTTGTGTAGTGACAAAGCTCATTATTTGTTTTGTGCTCTCAATGGTTTCTTTTTAGTGGCTGTGGCTGTGGATGGATTTTTCTAAGTAGAAGCTTTTAAAATGAAAGTTTATTGAAATTGTTTCAGTATATGCCAGGCCCTGAGAGTCTTGGGATGAATGGGAATCAAGTACTCCCTGGTGAACCCTCAAAAGAATAGGTGCGTTTATGGGCATTCAACACCCAGAGCCAAATGTCTACCCAGGTTGCAAATGCAACTGGATTCAAAGGAAGGAATTCAGCCCCTGTTCCTTCTTTCTCCTCCTTCCTCTTCTTCTCTCCTGGCTTCGATAGTTTTGCCCCTCTTCCCACTGTTTCAGCATCATATGGGTGCACCTAAATCCCATCACTTTGACACTTAGATAAGCACAGGGATAAAGATACAGCATGGCCTTGTAAAGAAATCTCAGCTCTACCTTTGACAACAGGTTTCAAGAGCAAGCGTGAAGGCTAATTGGGGTAGGTGTTTGGATGCAGCGATTTCAATTCCTGATTGTACCCTGAGTCTGGCTGCTAAGTGAAGGGGATCCTTATCCCCCAGGGACGTGCTCTACACCCGTAGAATAGAGGAGACTTCTAAATATGCATCAGAGACAAAGCCCCTGCCTAGGGCCATTTTGCCTTGGGTTTGTGAACTGTGTGTGCTGTTGTTCAGTCTAGCCTTCATCAGAAATAAGCATAGTTATGAATTAGCCTTCTACAATGTTCAAGTCCCTGTTGGTGGCTGTTTCAGAGGAATACAGGGATTTTGGTTACTACTTTGCTAAGACAGAAACATATATGTGAATAGTTAAATTGCTGTACAGTAGAGGTTCTGGACAGGAAAAAAGGAGGACGTGTGCCTTGACCCAGGCTGGCTTTCCCGGACTTCAGCCTTAAACATCAGATTGGTGGAAGGTACGGATTCCAACCTCGTGGAGAAGCTGCATCTTCTTAGCAGTGGAGAGTAGGGTTGAAGATAGTGGGCTCTGGCATCAGACTGATGTGGTTCAAATCTTGGCTGCACCTCTTCCAAGCTTTGTGGCTTTTGGCAGGTTACTTAACTGCTCTGTGCCTCAGTTTCCCCACTTGGAAGCCAAGATTATGATAGTGCCTTTCTTGTTGAAGCATTGTGAAGATTAATGTGTTGACATGTAAAAACTCTTTGAGCAGTGCTTGGCAAAGTAGAAGCTTTCAGTCGGTAGTAGTCATTCGCCATTATTAGCAGACATGAAGAATTTACAGTGGTATTCTGGCTTGATGTTGTGGCTTTTATTTAGAAAAAATATACTTTACTTTGTGATTTAAAACTTTTTTCTTGACTTTAAAAAATCACTTGTATTTATGACTTTCGGGGACATCTGGAGGGCATAACTTTAACATATCATTTAATTGGTAGCCTCCTCTTAAGTTATCATTAGGTGGGGTGGTAGGGTTATGGCATTCATAACCACCATTGGAAAGAAATTTTTTTTTTAATTAAAAAAGTTAGTATGTATTTAGTGATACAGTTTTTTTTTTTGTTTGTTTGTTTGTATATAAGTTCTGAGAAATGTACGAATGACTCTCTGGGTTATTTTATTATATTAGAATGACAATTTATACTATTGATTGCCCTTAAAGTAAGGCTCCAATGGATAAGTTGATAGGGCTTTTGAGAACAACTTGCTTTTACTAGTGTGTATATGTGATCATTTAATAGGTGTGGCAATCCAAAATGATCTATTTTTGGAGGACTGAGCTGTCGCAGTTGTATATGTTGTTCATATGTTTATAAAATAGCATTTTAAAACATGATTTGGCATGAAATTATTTTCTGGCATCAAGAACAAGAGAGAGAAGGGGCCTCAAACACTTTTTTTTTTTTCTTCCTGTTGGTAGACATGAACCATCCCTCTCTGGGACCTTCTGCTCAGCCAGCTGGATTAGACTTCTGAAAATATTTTCCAAATGTAAATATTACCCAAAGATTTAAAAAATAGCCTAGCATTTACATGCAAAGCGAAATGATCTTACCTGTTTGGAGTTTACTCATGGAGGGGAAGCTGTCCATCAGTATACATTCTAATACTGTTTTCCAAAACAGGAGCACCATACTGGACCAACACAGAAAAGATGGAAAAGCGGCTCCATGCTGTGCCTGCGGCCAACACTGTCAAGTTTCGCTGCCCAGCCGGGGGGAACCCAATGCCAACCATGCGGTGGCTGAAAAACGGGAAGGAGTTTAAGCAGGAGCATCGCATTGGAGGCTACAAGGTAGAATTAAGCTTTCAGAACATCACATTTCTTACATTTTTGTTTATTTATTTATTTACATTTTTTTTTTGCGATGGAGTCTCGCTCTGTCGCCCAGGCTGGAGTGCCGTGGTGCGATCTCGGTTCACTGCAACCTCCATCTCCCAGGTTCAAGCGATTCTCCTGCCTCAGCCTCCCGAGTAGCTGGGACTACAGGTGTGTGCCACCATGCCTCGCTAATTTTTTGTATCTGTAGCAGAGACGGGGTTTCACCGTGTTGTCCAGGATGGTCTTGATCTCCTGACCTCGTGATCCGCCTGCCTCGGCCTCCCAAAGTGTTGGGATTACAGGTGTGAGCCACGATGCCCAGCCCTACATTTTTGTTTATTTTTTGAAGTGCTCAAAAGTTAGCAGGAATTAGAAGGAATACTTTAACAAGAATCAATAATTGTCACAATTGCCCATGTCAGGGTTTGATATTAAAAAAAAATATTACCCCGGACTTGCGTGTAATTTTAAAGTACAATTCCCGTTTGTGTTGTTCTTCATATGAGGAGAGTTTAATAACAGAAGGGTCGAAAGTTGAGAGTCTGTTTTCTATATGCTTTATAGTGTATAAAACTAAAACGGGTGTGGAGTTTGAGAAGCGTCAGTATAGTTTCCCTGTCAGAGCAGGATTGCATGAATAGTGAGGGGACTTGGATTAGAGACTGGAGTATGAAATATGATGCATTAAGGGAGAGTGCGTGGAGATGACAGTGGCAATCTGCTGTCCTCCTTGAAGGATTCTTGAGAGCACGTCACACAATGCCATGAAATTTTAGTCTCATCACTCCCTAGGGAGTTTGAAATTGGCAGCTGTCTCCCTGCAGATGCCCGCGCATGCTCCTCTAGCCTTTGTTCATCCACTTAGCAGACATTGATTGAGCACCCTGTGTGCCAGGCACACTCCTGGGCTCTGGGGAGATGAGAGGGTGAGGCATGGCCCCAGCTCCAAGGGGCTCTTAGTCCAGTCCAGCAGGAGAGGCAGAGGAGAACTCTGGCAATGGGAGGGACACAGGTTTGGTTGAAGTTGCAGGAGCATGTTGCATCCCATGGATGTACATGGAAAGGTGATATTGGATTGGCGTTTGGAAGAATAAGGAGAAAGGAGGTCAGGAAAGGATTCAGGTCTGAGTTGGAAGGAAAGATGTCTCAGAAAGAGAGAGATGGAATTTCCAAATTATTTAGTATGGAAGGAGAGAACTGTAATAATTGAGCATATGAAAAGGACTGAAGGAAACCTTATGATGAAATTCTCTGATGCATTTGGAACATAAGTGGGCATATTAGTTACCTGTTGCTGCATAATAAATTGCCCCAAGGTATGGTAGCTTTAAGCAACATTTATTACCTCATTGTTGCCTGGATCAGGAATGAAGGTGTGGCTTAGCTGGGTCTTCCATCTCCAGCTGTCTCACAGGACTGTAAGCAAGGAAGGGTTGAGGCTGAGGTCTCATTGGAAGGGTTAATTGGGGAAGGAACTGCTCATGTGGTTGCTGTTAGGATTCACTTCCTTGCAGAGGGCCTCAGTTCCTCACTGACTGTTGGCTGGGGGCTGCCCACTGTTCCATGCCACACGGGCCTCTTCATAGGGCAGCTGCTGTCATCAGGTTGAGCAAAGGAGGAGCCAGAGAGAGAGAGAGCAGGATCGCAGAAGTCAGAGCCTTTTGTAACCTAGTGTTGGAAGGGACAGCCACCACTTTTGCTTTTTTCCATTATTAAGCAAGACACTAGGGAGGAGGTTGCCCAAGGACCTGAATGCCAGGAGACAAGGGGATCACCGGAACCCATCTGGGAAAACTGCATGGTGGGAGGAATAGAAGACGCTCTTTAGCTCAGACCTCAGGTCCTTTACAGCCAGGTAGGGAGGATTCCTCAGTAGCAGCAGTGGGGTGTCCAGGACTGTGTCTCACGTGTCTTTAACACACCAGCATCACTTTAGCTCCATCATTGCTGTAGGTAAATGAGCCTCCTTTCCACCTAAAAATGCCCTGCAACCCTTTTCTGAAATTTCTTAGACAGTTATTCATCTTTAAAGGATTATTTTCTTCTGCAAAAGTTTTTGCCTTTTTGTTTTAACACTTAGAAATTAACATCTAGAGGCCAAAATTCAGAGGAAAATGGGGACAGCCTATGAGTAAGTTTCTAAGAACGCATGGTGGGCAGTGAACATGTGAAACAGTTATGAGGCAGATCTGCTAGCAGGTGGGTACTGTTGAAGCTTGAAAGTAGAAATACTTTGGTTGTTTTCCACAACTCCTACTTGGTGGTGGAAGCAGGAGGCAGGGGGTGATTTGTCCTTCTGTTCTTAGTTCAGTCCTTAGACCAGATACGATGAGATTCAAAGGTTGGCCCTTTTAAAAGAAATCTTTTTGAAAAAAAAAAGTTAAGGATTTCATGGGGGGATGCTGGTTAGAAAGGAAGAGTTAAGCCACTAAAATCACGGCCCCTGGGATTGTTTTTAACCACCAAATGCTTTCTGAAACTCACATAATTGATGCAGTTCCAATGATTTATTTAAATACAATCTGAGTGTGAGAATGGTGGTCAAAATCCTGGTGGTTAACTAATTTTGTCAATTAAGACAGCCTTGTAAATAAGTACAAAGAGGAGCTGATGAGGCTCCAGAGACCCCTGGGCTCAAAATAAATGGAACCGACATCATTATTATGGGGAAGGAGCTTTTTGCAAATCTGAATTAGTGATTACAAATATGCTAAGAGACTAAGAGGGCCTAATGAGAAAATGCTGCCTGATTTTTAACAGGTGCAGTTCAGTGTTAATTATTGATTCCAACATTTCGCTAGATGAAGAGCACCTATGTTCTAAAAGCAAAATGAGGACTCCCAGCAGAAAGCCTTTAGCCTGCCCCTGTGGAGTGCAGATGACCAAAGTGATTTTGTTGTATCACGCTGAGCCGTTTCTGGAGGGAAAAGGAAATGGAATTTCAGTGTGTGGGACAAAAACCTAAAATATATTTTGCTTTACCAAAAAAAAAAAAAAAAAAAAAAAAAAAAAAAAAAGGCCAAAAGCGGCAGAGGGCCACACATTTGGATGCAGTGTGCTGGCGTGGTCCTCTCCTTTCTGGTTCTCTGGTGGAGAAAGGCTATGGCTGTAGGGTGGGGCGGCCTGGGAGGTTGGCCCGCTAGTTGCAGAGGTGGTCAGCCTAGGTTGATCAAGGGCTTTTCACAACAGCAGTGGCATTGAACGTTCATTTTGGAGATGCCAGAAACTCTTAGAAATTCCACTGAGTCCCAAGGGCTTCCGGGACTTGAAAAGGAAAGACACATTTCTCATCTCCTGGGAAGGTTCCTTCAGTTACCTAAGGCATCATCTTCGCTAATGATGTGTTAAGCCAACCCCAGGTCCTGGAGTCACTGGAGCTCAAAGAGGCTCATTCCCACCTGTGGGCCTCCCCCATGGGGAGCTCCTTGGCTGGCTATGGCCTGCGTTTGCCTCAGAGAGTCCTTGTTGGGGCCTGACCAAGGCAGACTTTGGGGAGAATGGTCCCTGGTGTTGGGTTTTCTCTCTGATATTTTCTTCGTTACCTACGTAGACTTAAAGAAATGTGCCTCTGGGTTGGGCACAGTGGCACTGTAATCCCACTGCTTTGGGAGGCTGAGGCAGGAGGATCATATGAGGCCAGGAGCACAAGACCAACTTAGGCAACATAGTGAGACCCCCATTTCTGCAAAAAATTTAAACCATTAGCTGGGCGTAGTAGTGCTCACCTGTAGTCCCAGCTACTCAAGCAGCTGAGGTGGGAGGATCGCTTGAGCCCAGGAGTTTGGGGCTGCAGGGAGCTGTGATTATGCCTCTGCAGTCCAGCCTGGATGATAGAGGAAGACTCTGTCAAAAAAAAAAAAAAGAAAAAAAAGGTACCTTTGCACATTTGACTTCAGGGAACTATATTGTTATTTTCATTCCTCGGCACTTCCTCAAAAGCAAAGAGACCTAATTGAAACTCAGAGGGCCTGACATCTAACTGATTCATTCCTGACTCCTGTCCATTTGCCACTTTGCTTTATTTTATTTTTATTTTTTGAGACTGAGTTTTGCTCTTGTTGCCCAGGCTGGAGTGCAATGGCATGATCTCAGCACACTGTAACCTCTGCCTCCCGGGTTCAAGCGATTTTCCTGTCTCAGCCTCACAAGTAGCTGGGATTACAGGTGCCCGCCACCACACCCAGCTAACTTTGTATTTTTAGTGGAGATGGGGTTTCACCATGTTGGTCATGCTGGTCTCGAACTCCTGACCTCAAGTGGTCCACCCTCCTTGGCCTCTGCGAGTGCTGGGATTACAGGCATGAGCTACTGCACCCGTCCCATTTGCCAGTTTATTTAATGAAGAAGCAAAATGTCAAGTTTTCCAAGATACATTTTTCCAGAAAGCAAATACCTGAAAAACTTCTTCAAACAAATGTGTGTTATTTCTGCAATTTTTCTTTTTCCTTTATAATTCTGTTCATTCCATAAACTATGATTGTGCTTTGGTGGCCTGTCCATCTCATTCTTTCTACCCGTTTATGGATTGGGCACCTCGGCAGCCATCCCCTGCATTACAGCTTGTTTTGAAATGGCATGCATGTGCGGCCTATAAAGGGAGGAGGGAAGACAAAAAAAGCAAAACAAAGTCAAAGAGAATTATGAAATGTGACAGAAAGCTCATTTTCATTCAAATGACCAATAGAACTATTTGGAATTCGGCAGTTCAGTCTTGTTTATCAAAGAACCCATGCTGAGCCATCCTTAGGTGATTAAGAATCAAATTATTATTTTTAAAGTGCATGAGCAAAGTCTTGCTGGATGTTATTAATATGTGATTGATATAATAGTAAAGGACTTGAATCATAACTCTATCTCCCTAATCATACTTATTCCTGGGCTTTTGCGTCAGTCTTGACCATGGGCAAGTTTTTTCAGCTCTCTGTGCCCCAGAATCCCTTGCCTTAAAATGGGAAGATTGGCTGAATAATCCTGATCCCTTCAGGCTCTGAGAACCATAATTTAATAGTATCACCATCGTGTAGCATCAGCCATTTCTCTTCTTAAACAACAGCACAGATTTTTTTTTTTTTTTTTTAATAAAGAGGTTACCTTCATGGCTAGATATTTCACAGGGCTCAGGACAGTTATTGCAATTTAATGCAGAAAAGCAAGAAGCTGGCTGAGATAATTAATAGACCACCTCAATTCTCACCTCCTTCGTAGGTAATTATTTAGGCATAGGGGGTTCTTAAAAACCATCTTTTATGCCACTTCGAAGTGCCTGCATAGACCAAGAGAGATCGCAGGACAGAGGGCTCATTCAACGTGACTGTGAAATTGGCACAGAAGCCCTCAGCGTTGGGTATTACAGGGGTTCAGGTTCCCCTGGAGCCCCTCAGCAGAGAGTAAAGCATTATTGAGCATGAACCAAGTATATTTCAGATCTAAGAAAAGATGATTTTTAAAACTTTTGTTATAATCACTACTAAACTGGTTGTTTTGAAGCATAGGTTAATTAGATTTACATTTTCTAGGTTAGTTACTTAGATGTCATTTTAAAGACTTTTTGATGAAATGTTATGCTTAATCCACAAGTATGTTTAGGGGGAGAAATCATGACTAATGTACTTATCAGCATGTTTATACTTTATGGAGATTTTTTTTCAGTGAAGACATTTCAGCTTTAATCCCACATCAAGCAGTCTTTGATGAGGACACAGGTATATGTTTGTATTAGCCAACGTTTATGGACTGCTCCCCTGCGTCGTGACTTACCAGGTGCCTCCCATGGAGCAAGTTGCTCAGTCCTTCCACAGCCCAAAGAGGCAGACACTGTTATTTTGCCCTTTTACATTTGAGGGCTTGCCCTACCCCTACCTCATAGGTGGCACAGCTGCCATTTGGACCTACGTGGTTTTGCACCAGAATTTATGCTCTTGCTAAACTGCTTGCTTCAAATGTAGTTCCGTGTTTTGTAAAAACACTGTTGCTGTTGAATGAGAAACATAATGAAAGTAATGGCTCCCCAAAAGCATGCAAAGATCTAGCCCATGGTATACAGTTGAGAGCAAAGTTGGGGATATGATGCTGTTCTTTCAACTTCCAAGACCTCTGTGGGTTATTTATTTGTTTGTTTTTGAGACAGAGTCCCTCTATATTGCGCAGGCTGGAGTGCAGTGGTACGAACATGGCTCAGTGCAGTCTTGACCTCCTGGGTTCAAGTGATCCTCCTGCCTCAGCCTCCTGTGTAGCTAGGACCACAGGTGCATGGCACCACATTTGGCTAATTTTTAAATTTTTTGTAGAGACGGGGTCTCACTTGGTTGCCCAGACTGGCTTCGAACACGTAAGCTCAAGTGATCCTCCCACCTCAACCTCCCAAAGTATTGGAATTACAGGCTTGAGACACTGTGCCCAGCTGGTTATGAGGTTTTTACATTTATTGTGGTAATATATGCATAACATAAAATCTACCATTTAAGTCATTATCAAGTTTAGTAGGCATTAATTACATTCATGGTGTTGTGCAACCATCACCACTATTTTCAAAACTTTTTCATCTCTCCAAACAGAAACTTTGTACCCATTAAGTAGTAAGTACTCATTTCCCCTCCCCCACTGCACCTGGTAACCTCTAACCTACTTTTTGTGTCTATGAATTTGCCTATTCTGTGTACCTTATATAAGTGAAATCAGGATATTTTTCCTTTTGTGTCTGGCTTATTTCACTTAACAAAAGTCCATCCATATTGTAGCATGAATCAAAACTTTATTCCTTTTTATGGCTGAATTATATTCCATTGTATGGATATACCACTTTTTTTTTTTTTTTTTTTTAAGACGGAGTTTCACTCTGTTGCCCAGGCTGGAGTGCAGTGGTGCAACCTTGGCTCACTGCAACCTCCGCCTCCCAGGTTCGAGCGATTTTCCTGCCTCAGCCTCCTGAGTATGGGATTACAGGTGCTCACCACCATGCCCGGCTAATTTTTGTATTTTTAGTAGAGACAGGGTTTCACCATGTTGGTCAGGCTGGTCTCGATCTCCTGAACTTGCCATCCACCCACCTCAGCCTCCCAAAGTGCTGGGATTACAGGCATGAGCCACTGTGCCCGGCCCCACATTTTGTTTATCCATTCATCTGATGATGATCACTTGGGTTGCTTCTACCTTTTGGCTATTGTGAATAGCCATTGTAGCAATTGGTGTACAAGTATCTGTCCCAGTCCTTGCTATAAGTTTCTCTGGTATATACCTAGGAGTGGAATTGCAGGACCATATGGCATTTGTCTGTTTTGCAAAAGCAAAAATGGGGAAGATCGTGACATTTTTAAAGAGCTAAGTTCAACAGGCGGTGGATGTCCTGCCGCAGCCACCTTTGTGAGCACCGACAAGCAACGGGCCTCTAAGAAAACATGGCTTGTTGTAATTCACTTCCCACCTCCTCTGGAGAGATCCAGTGGTTGTTTACCGAGCAGAGGGAAGAGTTTCTGCCACTGGTCCCGAGGATCAGATTGCCCGGCCCTGTTCTCTGGACACCTCCTGAAAAGCAAACTTCTTGTATCAATGTTGGAGTTTAAGCATTAACAGGTGTTTGCCTCCACATCTGCATGGTGGTGAGCAACAGCAGGTACCTCTGTCCTTGACATGCAAGGTTAGTTGGCACAAATGCTTTCAGAAAGGATGGCTTCAAGTCCCCCAGGCACCTGCTGAAAGTGGGGGACTGGGATGGGAGAATAAGATTTTATGCATTTTTTGTTTTTTGTTTTGTTTTGAGACAGAGTCTCACTCTGTCACCCAGGCTGGAGTACAGTGGCATGATCTCAGCTCACTGCAGTCTCTGTCTCCCGGGTTCAAGCGATTCTCTTGCCTCAGCCTCCTGAGTAGCTGGGATTACAGGCACCTGCTACCATGCCTGACTAATTTTTATATTTTTAGTAGAGACAGAGTTTCACCATGTTGGCCAGGCTGGCCTCGAACTCCTGTCCTCAAATGATCTGCCCGCCTCGGCCTCCCAAAGTGCTGGGATTACAGGCGTGAGCCACTGCACCTGGCAGATTTTTTGCATTTTAATGGCAACTCACCTGTTGAATGAACTGATCTGTTCATGGGGTGGGTGCCTCTGTGAAGGCCAGGATTACAAGAGATTGCTGTCTTCCTGGGAAAATTGGGTGCTGATACTGGCGGGAGAAAGGCTTGGGAATATCTTTCTGATATCACATGGACACAGCGTTCTACCTGGCACAGAATAAAACTTTGTATCACCTTCTGCATGTTTATTCTGCTTGTTATCGAACACCTGAGTATTTGGAAATGTCTGGATTTTTTTGCAATGTGGAAGGTAAATATCCAGGTGACAGCCTGGGTCTTTAACCTTTCACCCTTCACCTTTCACTGCGGTGTTTTGGTGTCAACAAACTAAATCTACATTCCCAGTTGTCACCTGAGGGTAGCCTGGGATTTAATAGGCATTTTGGGGGAATGAAGGTAACAGAAGAATTCCGAAAAACCTGTCTGGGCCACCTTGTGTCTTTGTGTGGATAGGGTGTGGAATGTTCATGGAATCCGCTTCTTGTATTATACTTGGGAGTTTAGGCCATTTTGCTTCAGTCTGCTTTGTTTCAATATTGAAATGTTATTTTAAAAAAGTCTTTAGTGAACATAGTTTTGAAGTCCATGCTCTCCTGTTCTGTTACTTGGCAGATGAAAAATAATGATGAATTCCACAAAGATTTGGCCATGAGCAGGAAAGAAAAAGAGTCGTGCTTGTGTTGGTTGGTGCAGAATTTCTTCTCTCACTGGCTTTTGTGTTTGTTTTGCCAGATCCATTGGTTCTGCAGGGGGTAGCTACTATTGAATGATTATCTAAGGATCTGTTTTATTATACTTTTTTGTTGTGTGTGTTGAGATTTCTGTTTGTTTGAAAGGTAGAAATAAGAAAAAAGTAGGCAATACCCATAATCCCACTGCTTAATTATATAAAGTACATTGCTAACAATTTGGTATATTTTCTTTCTGATTTTAGCTGTGTTTATAGTCAGGCTTATACTTTCAGTTTTATATGCATCTTTAGGGTGGTAAATGTGTCTGCTTTTTTCTTTTTTTTAAATAAATTGGAATCATGAATTAACTGTTTTTCATTTATCAATAACTGTTTAATGATACCTTACCAGGTCTGAACATAATACTTCATTCTTTTTATGACTATAGACTACGCTGTTTGAATGAACTTTCCATCAGTTCATACAGGATGAACTATGCATTCTTAATGTCTCTCTCCTTGACAGTTTTTTGCTCTTACAAGCAGTGCTTGAAGCAGCAGTTTTGTTCATGTGCCTTGAAGTAATTGTGCTATTTTCTGTGGGCTAGCTTTCTAGAAGTAGAATTAACTAGATCAAAAAAAATGTGTGCTGCTAATTTTAATAGGTACCAGCAAGTTATTTTACACAAAGGTTTTTCTCAATTTATGTTCCCATTCTCAATTGGAATCTTTTATTTCCCTACACATTCACCAAGTACTGAATAACATTGATCCTTCTAATTTTTGTTAATCAGCTGGTGAATAACAGTGTCTCATTATTGTTTTAATTTGCATTTCCCGGATCGTTAATGAGGTTAAGCATCTTTTCATATGTTTATTGGGTATTTACATTCCCTCTTCTCTGAAAGCAAAGACGGTGTATGTGCATTTGGCCTAACTGGCAAAAGAATTGTAGCACTGAAAATCTGAGGAATTTAGAAACACGCGTTGTATATATTACGTCGGAAGAGTGGTTTCTTTAGGTTTATTCTGAATCTCCATATGGAAATAGAGTAATGAAAAAAAACCCCCAAACTTTGTGCTTTTGTTTGCCATCTTTATAAAGTTAACTATTGTAGTTTCTTAGCTTGCTATTAAGCAACCACTAATCAATGGTAGGATATCCCCTACAAAAGTGTCCAGCAGTCCCACTGTTGGTGGATTTAAGAGCATCCATTTGGAAAATGCTACAGCTCATAAAATTTGGGTCAATAAATCAAATACTGGAGCAATGGTGTAAGAAAATAAATATTAACAGCACTGCATGGGGCAATATTGATCTAGTACCAAGATTTCTGGATGGACAGAAACACCCTGTTTGGTAATTGTGCTTCTCATTGTAAAAACATTTTTATAAACGTTAACTTATTAATATTTGTAGTGCATCTCCAGGAAGTAAATATTCAGAGAGCACGTGCTCTTGAAGAGGGATCTTGTATGGAATGCCATGGCCCCAGTGAGAGACTTGAGCTGACCATATCCCCTGGGGTTAAAAAAAGGGAGCAGTGAGCCAAGCTGCATATGCCAAGATTTAATGTGTCAGCCGAGTCAGGCGATGTCCCCTCCCTGTGCAGTTCAGGTTCAGCTCCATTTGGAATACTCCATGTGCCAAATCTGGATCCAGGCACAAGAAAGACATTGACAGTTTGAATGGGGTCCAGAGACAGGCACTAGCCGTGATTAAGGGCTTATGGGCATGACATTTGAGCGGGGGCTCAAAGAACTGAATATTTACAGCAGGGATAAATGCTGGATTACATGGCTTGGTGACGTGGGGACCCGTGGCTACATCCCTAAGTTACCTGCCACATGACTGGTTCCCCGTAGGCAAAGAGAGAATCATTTCTGTTACCCTTGAGAGCTTGAGGTGAAGGGAGGGTCTCCTTTTGGGTCTGTGGACCTCAAGTAAAATCAAGGAGCTTATACCTATGTGTCCCATGCTCTTAGCATAACGATGCCGTTGTAGCACCCAGGGATCCAGGATTTAGGTAGGGAATTCTCATTGCGCTGGAAGATTTAGCATCCATATCTCCTCCTCCTTCAGAAGACACATTCTGCATGGAAGGTGCTTATCTCTCTTAAGGGGAGACGCGCTAGCATGTTGTCTGGGTCCTGTTACAAGTCTACGGCTCAACCAAGAGCAGAAAGCGAGTCTTTGTCATACAGTAAAGACTCTCCACTGTCGATCAGATGCCCGTAGATTCATTTTTCTGCCAGACATTTTACCTGCGACAGTGAGGATCAGTTTCCCATCACCAGCTCCAGGCTGTTAGACTCTGAAACTACCTTCGTAGTTGTCGATGACTGCAGCAGCCCAGCAAAGTGGCTGACCAGAACTATCTTAACTCACTGCTTGTACTCTGTTAAGGAGGAAGGAGGCCAACCTTCATCCAGTGATCCTTTCTAAGACTGTCAGTGATGAGCAGCGACCTCGTTTTAGAACTCAGCAGCAGTACCTCCACCCTGCAGTCATGGCTTGCATAGAACTGAGTGGCTGACATGAAAACCGTGGCACTCCAGTGTGCTCTTCGCATCTCTTAACTCTGTTGGCAGGCTAATCACTGGCGCTGCTTTGCAAAGTGGACAGCTGCTCTGCCCTCCTGTTTTTATAGTGGAGTGGTTACGAGATGATTTTCTTTATTCTCTAGTTTCTTATATCACTCATGTGCTTGCAGATGCTCTGCCTGTATTTGTTTTTTACGTGATTAACCCAAAAACACTTGCAATGCCCAGGGCATGGCTCAGAAGGTCAGTTGAAATTCCTGAAATGATAGCTAAGGTTAGTAGGCCTTGACTGTTTATTTTTTCATTTCGTTTCACTGGAGTGCCTTGTCCAAAACACCTGTAGAGAATGACTTGGATTCAGATAGAAATACTAAAGCCTCAAACCCTGAAGATACAAGATGTTGCATTTTGTGGTAAGGAAAACTCTCGCAAGTTTGAAAATTTGAGTCTATGGAAATATTTGAAAAGCAGGGGGAGAACATAAGAATGGCGTCTCTTTGTGTATTGATGGTACCTTGGGTAGGAGTCACAACAGCTGATTTTCACATGTGCTGCTTATCTTTGAAAAGTCTCAAGAAGTT
This sequence comes from Homo sapiens, assembly GCF_000001405.40. Lineage (NCBI taxonomy): Eukaryota > Metazoa > Chordata > Mammalia > Primates > Hominidae > Homo > Homo sapiens. Next base: position 121,539,397 of record NC_000010.11, on the reverse strand, counting down.
TGTGAACGGACGGATATACAACTTGAGTTTTGTAAGGATTCATTGCCGCCATATTTGGAATTCTGGGTATTTCTCTGAGGAACATGTATATCTATTCAGCCACAACCAGAGATGGGAAGGGCAGACTGATGTTCCCAGCTGAAACTTCTTGAGACATCCAGACAACATCTGAGAACTATGAGCCCCTTAGGAGAAATGAATTAGCTACGGCAGCACAGAGGGCTTGGAGCAGTGCCTGGCATATAGTAAATGCTCACTATAAATGTTAGTTCTACATGGTTCTGTGATGCCATAGAGGCTGAGGCTTCCTAGTGGATGGGCAAACTGGTAGCTCGCCTGCCCGTGGCCATTGGTACCAGGCTGGCTGGTGTTCAGGCTCCCTGGCCAGTTGGCCTCTCCTAGAGGAGCCCTCAAATCCATTATGGTAACAGACCCACGCTGTACACTGCCGAATACTCCTGCAGATCTGAATATGTCAATATTTGCTTCACAGGTGTTCACCATGATGATGATGATGGTTTTCATTTCTCACGATTCTTAATGACAGTTATCAATTTAGAATTTAGGTGATTCTTCCATACCTTTCTTGCCTCCTTCAGCTTCTTTTTAAATCAAGAAAGCACAGTACTTGGTATTCTGTGCTAGGATTGTTAAATAACCGCCTTTGCTTTGATCTTTTCAGGTACGAAACCAGCACTGGAGCCTCATTATGGAAAGTGTGGTCCCATCTGACAAGGGAAATTATACCTGTGTAGTGGAGAATGAATACGGGTCCATCAATCACACGTACCACCTGGATGTTGTGGGTGAGTTTGCCTCTCCTCGTGTGGCGGCTGCATACCAGCCCATTCTTGCTTGACTCGTTTGAAAGCATGAACGTTAAGTCCTGTTTCTCCCATAAGTTTCAGGAGAATTGGTTCATTCTTATTCTTTCTACTATCATTTTACAAGGCTGCTTCTGTCATCTGACAATATTCTGTTTTCCAGGCAGCCAGGGTTTATGAGCTTTGCATGATCCTCATGGTTCCCAAGCGTCATCTGTGTAAAGTGGACGTGGTATGAAATGTCTGACATTTTGGAAGCTGAGATTACTCTGAAAATGTTAATTGGGCAGGTGAAAAGGGTACAGATGTGCTGTAGCAGACCTTTGGTTTTAAAAGAGAAGCATCATTTCCCCAACAGGGCAACTGTAGAAGGCCAGCTGAAGAGTAAAGGAAAAGGTCTGAGGACTGAGCCTGTGGCTGGCTGGAAAAAGGTGAATGTTGAGGGCCCTTCACTTCCATCACAAGAAAGTCATTAGACGGTACCAATTCAGTGTCTGTTCCTGGCATCTATTTCCTCTGTGCAAAGGGAACCATGTATATGAGCTTATAAATACATTTTTGTCAGAGTGCACAGATAAGTAGGCCATTTTAATTAAACATTGAAGACCACCTCGCCTGTTGTCTTGGAAATTCAAGTTTCTTCCCAGGTTTTGCCTGTGATGATGGGGCTTTGTTGTAACTAATGAAGAAAGGAGGTTTCTGTGTCTTGGAGGATTGCTAACATATGGAACTCTACCCAAGACATACTTCATTGTTGCAGGATGGCAGGTTAAGATCCCTTCCATGTAGGGGCCATCTTTTCTCTTTCCTGTCATGTGCCTTGACTTTCAACCTGCCACCTTGAGCCTTCTTTTGGTTTGTCCTCCCCTAAATACAGGTTGCTATCTTCTGCTGTAGACTCAACTCAGTTCACACTCACGTTTTGCCGTAATGTGACTGTTGGTAATTCCACAAGCCCACACCACCCACTGTGCCTCTGTAAACGAAGTGTCTCCTACATCATAGCCTGTGCGTGTGTGCCTAGTATCATCTCATGTGTGGGTCTCCTTCAATAAAACATCTTTGAAGAGGGAGACCCCGTTACATATTGGAATTGCCCAAAAAGCCACTAAAAAAATAATCCAAAAGCTTGATTAACCAAATTGCAAAGATTTGGTTAATTAAAATTTTAGGTTAACTGAAAAGTAAACAAAACTATTTTGATTTTCTGTCAAGTTAAATGGAATTGGATCTACGAGACACTCTGCCTTAGAAAGCATGATATAACCATTACTTCCATTTGCATATAAGCATTCAGGGAAAATAGTGTTTATTCGAAGATTTGAGTTTTGTTCTTCAGAAGCCTTCATGTGAAATTTGATAGGTCCTTGAATAATGTTGATCCTATAGATATTCATAAAAGAGTGAGTTTTAGAGCTCTTTCCCCATAGAGAAAACATGTGGCATGTTTCTTAGTGAGAATTACCATGTTCAGATATTTTACAAAACAAACAAAAAGAGAAGTAACACTCAAATTTGAGAAGAAAATGATTAACATTTGTGTTGGCATTGATACACTGTAAATCCATTGATCAAAGAGCATATGACTTGGCCTTTACCTGGGTTCCTGTGTGTACCGAATGTGACGTAAAACTATTTCTATTTAGGGAAAGAGAGATTTTGGGCTAAATGTTCTAAATACCTAATTTTGAAATTAAGTAATTTATTGTGGGAAAAAATAATTGAGCTATAGCAGTCTTTTGGGATTATAGCTTTGCATAGGTCTACACATCATTCATTAGGCTGGGCTGGGGCCATTCTAGGCATCGTGGAGTCAGATGGCGGCCACTCCGGTCTGGGCTCTTGCTTAAAGCAAGTTTTAGGTTGAGTTGTTATGTAAAACATTCAAAAGCCCCTCACCCCACCTCCCCTTTGAGCTTTCTGGCGGCTCATCCCTGTGAAGCCCTGAAATCTCTCTTAGAGTTTAGGGTTGGGATTTGAATTGGGCTGCTGAATAATGGAATTGTGCTGTCTAATGTTAATCCCCTGGCAATCAGTCTTGTTGAAAAGAGCGTATGATTCAGTGGTGTAATGTAGAGAGAGCGTGGAGTGTATGGAGTAATGCAGAGAGAGGCCTGATTATGTCACAAATTTGGGAGATCGCCCAGCTAAACACGGGCCAATAATGACACAATGCTGGTTGGGAATATCCATTAAAGCTCAACTCCAATAATTTTCCAAGCCTTGAACCTTCTTTATAAATAGAAGCCAAAAGTCAGTGGAGTAAAAGGCATTTTCAGTAAAGATGGAAGTGTGAAATACTCTCATCTCTGCTCAAAACCCTAGTAATTGCTTTGCGAAGCACTAATAAAATAAGAATTGAGTCAGCTAAAGAGGCTCATATAGACGTACAGGGTTGGCAGTCATTCTGAACATCTCAGCAAGTGGAAACAAAAAGGATTCAAGCTTAAGCAGTGAATTTCTGGTAGCCCACAGGCCCAAATGTGATACACTGCTGTGTGATAACAGCTTTTCAGCCACCTCTCTGTTTCACAGAAAATCAGAAACCCTTTCCCAGTGAAAGCGAAGTCCCATTCTTGCCCACATTCTTTGGGGTTTTATTTTTGTTTCTATGATACATAGATTGTGGTTCAGATATTATGAAGCATCAAGATGGGTGAGATCTTTTTATTGAAATTCTTCCTTGGAAAGGCATTCCCATAAGCACTTTAATGTAAAAGCCGTGTAATTTAAGTGACATTCTTGTGTTCTAGAATTAAACGGCAAGCCATTGTTGTGTGTAAGGGAAATGCTTTCATTTATGGGAGCCCTTTTAGGAGCCTGGCTTGATCCTCATTAAAATTGACACCATTACTTTTCAGCTATTTACTGCAAGGGAAAATTAGTGTGATGCTCCACGTTTTGGTAATTGTGGCGATAATAAAATGGGCTCCCCTAAAGTAGCTGTGGCTCCGGGAGGTGGCGAGCCTTCACCATCGTTCATCATTGAGTGGTACCAGAGCCCTGGATTCTGACTGAGGTCCTGTCACTGTGAAGCTACAATGCTGGGATGACTCATTGCACTTTCCTTGTGTCCAAAAATGAAGGAACTGGAACTCATGAATGTTAGAACAAAAAAAGCGGCTTATGCCGTGGAATGAACAGCAGGTTTGTCCGTGGCCATACCTGGGGCCCCTAGTGAATTGGGACAAATTATTTAGCTTTTCTGAGGCTCTGTTTTATCATCAGTAAAATCGGAATGATGATACTTACCTCATTCCTATGATGGTTGTATTAGGTTTCCTAGGGTACCCCTAACAAATTACTATAAACTAATTGGCTTAAAACAAAAGAAATCTATTCTCTTACAGTTCTGGAGCCTAAAAATTCAAAATTAAGGTGTTGGCAAGTTCCACGCCCCTCTCCCAGCTTCTGGTAGCTGTCCTTGGCTTGTAGAGGCACCGCTCCAATCTCTGCCTCCATCTTCATGTAGTCATGTTCTCACTGTGTGTCTCAAAATCTCCTTCTGTCTTCCTCTTGTGAGGACACCTGTCACTGGATTTAGGGCCCACCGTAAATCCAGGATGAGCTAACCTTGATATTTTTAACTTAAGTACTTTTGCAAAGACCTTTTTCTTCAAATAAGGTCACATTCCTAGTTTCCAAGGCTTAGGACGTGGACGTACCTTCTCAAAGGTCACCCTTCAGCTCACTACATTAGTTACGAGGCATCAGTTGGGTTAGCAGATGAAAACATCAGGCTGGCAGGTAGGTGGCCAGCAACAAATGCTGGTTTCCTCCCTTCCAAACCAGGATTCTTTTGAGGGTTAGAATGGATCTTTAATAGCTTTTATTAGTCTCAATCAGAAGTCTTATTAAACAAACAGAATGCCATTTTGGGGCTGGGCATGGTGGCTCACACCTGTAACCTAGCACTTGGGGAGGCCGAGGCGGGCAGATCACCTAAGGTCAGCAGTTAGAGACCAGCCTGGTCAACATGGTGAAACCTCGTTTCTACTAAAAATACAAAAATTAGCCGGGTGTGGTGGTGGGCGCCTGCAATCCCAGCTACTCGGGAAGCTGAGGTAGGAGAATTGCTTTAACCTGGGAGGTGGAGGTGGTAGTGAGCCAAGATCATGCCATTGCACTCCAGCCTGGGCAGCAAGAGTGAAACTCCATCTCAAAAAAGAAAAAAGAAAGCCGGGCGCGGTGGCTCACACCTGTAATCCCAGCAGTTTGGGAGGCCGAGGCAGGCAGATCATGAGGTCAGGAGTTCAAGACCAGCCTGACCAACATGGTGAAACCCCGTCTCTACCAAAAATACAAAAATTACCCAGGGGTGGTGGCAGGTACCTGTAATCCCAGCTACTCAGGAGGCTGAGGCAGGAGAATCGCTTGAACGCAGGAGGCAGAGGTTGCAGTGAGCTGAGATTGTGCCATTGCACTCCAGCCTGGGCGACAAAGTGAGACTCCGTCTCAAAAAAAAAAAAAAAAAAAAAAAAAGCCATTTTGGGACCTACAGACGTGGCCAGAGGCTGACATTGACATTTCCTGCTGAGGTTTCCACCTTTGATTAATGCTGTCATCAAGGCCATCCTGAGACTGATTTGGCTGTTGGACTTGCAGGAGAGGGGTGTGGAGTTTGAGGACTTGAAGTTCATGGAGTTGGCTTCTTTACGCCCACCCCTCCCCTCCCCCACTTTGCAGTGGAGGAAGTTCAGGTTCAGCTGGGGTAAGTGATTTGCTAAGTAAGGGCTTGGAGCAGGCATTCTGGAGCTGGGGCCTCCATCTGGGTGTTCTCCACGCCTATCTGTATGAATGCTCCTTGCTCTCCAAGCGGACTTCTTCATTTGATGTTCACTGTGGTGTGTTTCAGTAGTGACTGCCACAGCCCGACTCTAAGGAGGTGCTGCTGTCACCCCACCCTGCTTTCAGTTCTTTGCTGCAGAAGACAGAATGTGCGGGAGAAAGATGGGACCTTAAAAGACTAGTTGCTCTTCCTCACTCATGTAGACGATTTGGCTTTGAATCGTGAATTATTGCTTCTTTTGGGCATTCCAGTTCTGCATTTCCAGAGACCCTCAGGTATGTCAAGCTTTTTGCCTGGCATTTGATATTTTGGGGGCAAAGTACAGTGGAAGTGGAAATGGTGCCTCTGGTTTTGTCAAGGCCAGATATGTCTTCTCTCCACTCCTTGTGTTTTTTGAGACAGAGTCTTGCTTTGTTGCCCAGGCTGGAGTACAGTGGCATGATCTTGGCTCATTGAAACCTCTGCCTCCCAGGTTCAAGTGATTCTCCTGCCTCTGTCTCCTGAATAGTTGGGATTATAGGCATGTGCCACCATGCCCAGCTAGTTTTTGTAGTTTTTAGTAGAGATGGGGTTTCACCATGTTGGCCAGGCTGGTCTCGAACACCTGGCCTGGAGTGATCCGCCCGCCTCGGCCTCCCAAAGTGCCAAGATTACAGGCATGAGCCACCGTGCCCGGTCTTTTATCAGTTTAACTTTCCAGAAATTTGTTCCCCCTGCCTGTCCGCATCCCTTCAAATGAAAGCTGTAAGCAGCAGGCAGTTGTTGTTTGGGGGCCCATCAGAGGCCGCATGTCACTTCTGGATGGGTCAGGCATCACTACCAGCCCTGACTTGATGGCGGCAGATCAGCATGGCACTGTCAACTAGCCCTTGACATAAATCTGTTGTAACTCAGCCCCAGACATGATAGGACACAGCCTGAAAGCGCACAGGAATCCGTACCAGAGCGAAGTCCCCCCTCAGGTGTGTGTTCAAGAATGAAGCGTCTTTTATTCCAAGCACTGACTGATAAGCTCGAATGTGGAGTTGACACCTGGAAGGGAGTTTTGGGAGCTTTTGGCAGCCCATCCCCAGTGGAAGAAGGAGGAATGGCTGAAATTGTTGACTGCTTGGGGCAGCCTCTGTCCCAGGAAGACAAAGGCTCCAGTGTGATAGCTGAGCTGGGGCCAGGGGACGGAGGCACGGCGGAGTCCCTCAAACCACAGCTGGAGTGTGAAGTTTGGACTGTCTCCTGGGTTGGGAACAAAGTAGTGGTTAAGTAAATGAAGAAGCGGTGGCCTAGTTAATTAATTAACCTGTTAATTCATTACTGAAGCTGTCAAGATTCAGTCATTCCTGCTCACTTGCTCGTGATGGAAGGCTGCATCTCAGTCTCGGCTTCCATCACACTGTGGCTTCTGGATGGAATTTTTGTTTCTGTGTGTGATAAGGAGTGGCTGTGGTGGCATCATTTAAATGACATGATTCTGCACGTCCAGAGACGTTAGGATATTGAAAGCCTGACCATTACCTTTTAGGTTGTCATGCTTGTACCTGTTCCTGGCACAAGGTCTCGGCTCCGTAGAGCCCTGTGGGGTTCTGAACTTGAAGCCTCTTGACTTAGAGGCTTCCTGGCCAGGGCTCATTTGATTTTCCATACTCCTGACTTTGCTGCCAGTGAATTCTTTTCCATTTCTTGCTCTGAGTGTAAGACTTGGTGTCCTACCCTGACACGGGCTCTGCATGCCAGCTCTAGAGTTGCGAAATCTCACCGGAGGGGGGCAGAAAGCCCCTCTGTTGAGAAGGGATTGGGGTGGCGTGCCAGGTAATGGGTCACAGCGACAGCCTTTCTAAGTGGGCTTATTTAGTTGACAGATCACGGAACCGGAGCGGAGTTGAGGAGGAAGCACCTTCCTTTTGCCGCTTTCGTGTCCCCAGCAGCCATCTCATCCTGTTCTTATAAACCATCGCTGTCACAGACAACCCCTAAGGGTCTCTACTCTGTGCCAGATGCCCTCTCTGGAGGTTCAGGTGGAAATTACGTGGAGAGGGGTGTCAAGTTCTGTTTCCACCCTTGCTAACTCTATGGCCTTAGAAAAGGCATGGAACCTCTGAGCCTCAGTTTCCTTGCCTGTAAAATGGGGTGATGACTGTTTCCTTGTAGCACTATGGGGAGGAGGAGGTGGTAGGAGAGGCAGCGCTTTTAAATAATAGTACCATGCAACTGTTAGTCGTTATTGTGCGTTGGTCCCATACTTCCTCTTGCATCTCCAGACAGAGCCGTGCACCCTGAGCCCATCCTGATGAAAGGAGGGGTCAGTCCTGTCCTTTCCTCCAGGATAGAGATTTCAAAACTTCCTTTGGTAGCTACTGTTTAATGAGCTTTTGATTGCTACAAAGCAGCTTTTCATTCCTGTTTCACAACAGGGATCCCGGGGGGCAAAGGCTGGTTAGTGGCAGCTAGATCACTCCAAACGTACTGACTGGCAAATACAGACTCTCCCGCAGAACTGACCCCAGCAAGAAGCCTTTGGGAGCAGGTGGTATTCTGCGGGTGCCAGCTCCCTGGGGTGGGAGCAGGCACACGCCAGCCTGGATGGGGCATGGTAGAACTCTGCGATGTCAGCTTTTTTGTCACATTCTCTGCAGGCTACCCGTTGTCCTTTGCCCCACCATTGAGGAAGGAAGCCTTATTGATTGCTTTCGATTCTTGCAGGGGGCCTGGGTGAGGTGGCTGGAGAGAGGGCTAATATTTGGTCTGGCATTTAATCTTGGCATTTCATTTATGGTGTGGGCAAAGAGGATGTAGAAGTGTTAAAATCAAGTTAATATCTTACAGTTTTATGTAAGAAGAGGTTACCTGGAGATTCAGGTGAGGATGGGGCAGAGAGAAAGCTGCTTCTGTCAGAGCTTGGGCAAATAAACTTGCCATGAAATGTCAATTTAGTGATGGCAGTAAGAGTGTGCAGTAATGTGCTGGAACTTAGCGAGGTTTCTATCAGCGTGTGCTGAATTGAAATAATCAAAAAACAGTTTAATAAGTTGCTTATATTTGGAGTTTTGTGGTTCTTAACATTGCAAATTCTGAAGCAAGAAATTAGAGTTTCTCTCTAAACTCATTTACTCATGTGGCTTTATCAACGGCTGCCTTTGTAAACCGAAAGACCTCAGTTGGGAAGTTTTATGAGACGGAGTCTTGTTCTGTTGCACAGGCTGGAGGGCAGTGGCATGATCTTGGCCCACTGCAACCTCCGTCTCCTGGGTTCAAGTGATTCTCCTGCCTCAGCCTCCTGGTAGCTGGGATTATAGGCGGACATCATCATGCCTGGCTAATTTTTGTATTTTTAGTAGAGATGGAGTTTCACTATGTTGCCCAGGCTAGCCTTGAACTCCTGACCTCAGATGATCTGCCCGCGCAGGCCTCCCGAAGTGCTGGGATTACAGGCATGAGCCACCGCACCTGGCCTGCCAACTCTTGTTAAGATGTGAGTGTGGAATGCTGTGTGTTCTTCCCCTTTTAAAAGATGTGTCTGTTGGTTTGCTTTCACGGATTCCCTCTCCCTTAGGAGACCCGGCTGTTGTATTCATGGTCTTCATGCTTGGTTTGTTTTCACAGTCAGAGAAGGTAGGATGCTGTAGGGTTCTACCTACAGGTAGGATGTGCTCCTTACTTAGAGATTTGGAAGGGTGGCATCAGAGAACCACTGTGCGTCTTTCATGATAGCTGGTCAAATGTGGGTGTCTGTGGGAAATAGATGGCCAAGGGTGTCGGTGTTGCTGTGGGGAGGTTGTTCTGTTTCCTCTTCTGAGAAGAGACAGATGAGGCGATGAGGCAATGGGAGCCTCATTGCTTTGGCTTGGAGGGAGAAAATAGAGCAGAGCTCTCTAGCTGGGATTTTGTGTATTTGCTGAGTTGCAGTGGTTAATTCTCTATCCTTGAAGCACGTGGCACGCTCACGCAGCCTTTATGTGGTCGAGAGGGTGACAGTCACTTGAATGAGGTATAAGGCTTTGCCCTCATGGAGTTCCTCAGGTCACATTTTGAGGTCGAAGACCATAAATTGGGATGGAAATTTCTAGATCTTGATGGAACTCCAACTTTTTCTCTCTTTCTCAAAGCCTCTGGATTACAGGATTCTCTCAAACAAGGCTGGCAGGAATTCTGTCCATCCCAAATAAGTATGCAAATCTACAGGTCAAATGGTGCCCCAGACATATTCCCCACTGGATCAGGGAGATTGTGGTCTTTTGAGAGACAAACATTGAATATTATTCTAGTAGGATCTTTTGGAAATTATGCTCTATTAGAAAAAGGAACTTTTCATTTTACTGGTTCAGTGTACACTCTGGACTGAAACTGAAAGGTAAAGGACTTAGCCCTTTAAATTTTACATTTTGGCCGGGTGTGCTGGCTCACGCCTGAAATCCCAGTACTTTGAGAGGCTGAGGCAGGTGGATCATTTGAGATCAGGAGTTTGAGACCAGCCTGGCCAACATGGTAAAAACCCATCTCTACTAAAAAATACAAAAATTAGCCAGGCGTGGTGTTGTGTGCCTGTAATCCCAGCTACTCGGGAGGCTGAGGCAGGAGAATCACTTGAACGTGGGAGGCGGAGGTTGCAGTGAGCTGAGATTGTGCCACTGCACTCCAGACTGGGTGACAGAGTGAGACTCCTTCTCAAAAACAAACAAAAAAAATTAAAATATTAAAAATTAGCCAGGCGTCATGGTGCACACCTGTAGTCCCAGTTATTCTAGAGGCTGAGGCAGGAGAATTGCTTGTACCCGGGAGGCAGAGGTTCCAGTGAGCTGAGATTGTGCCATTGCACTCCAGCCTGGGCAACAGAGCGAGACTCCATCTCAAAATAAATAAATAAATTTTACATTTTGGACTGAAAAAACAAAACCATTCTGTATGTGAGACTCTCACCGAGTGTTCATAGGGAGGGACTGGGGCTGGGGCCTGACTTGAGGCTTCCCATCTGGCTTGGACAGTGAGAAGAGCAGTGGCGTTTGGATTGAAGGCTTTTGTGATCTGGGTGACTATTTTGAAGTTTCTCTTTAGGTCATGCTGTACTTAGAAGTATCTAGAACCGTGATTATTTTCAGTTTCTGAGTTTCATCTCCAAGAAAACAAATGGGATTTATTGTTCAGCCTCTCATGTTATTCCTATCAAAGGGAGGCATTTCTTGTTTGCTCAGATGGGCTGAAAGCTTTTACTTCTGCTCGAACCGCCCTAGGAGCAAAACAAGGCATGTGAGAGAGATGAGCATGATAGATTTTCTAGACTTCTCTAGAAGAAAGGCTTTTTAGATGGTGAAGGTTGATGAAACCTGCCAGCATTTTTACAATGGACATCCCTCTATGTCTGCACATCTCAATCTCCTTCATTCTTACTAGTGGCCAATATGCTCTTCTTTCACGGATGTAGTACAATTCGTTTAATCATATTAAACAATATGATTGTTGTGCAGATCTTTTGTTTTCCAGTAAAAAAAACCCTACAGCGACAAGCTTTGTCCACACTTATTTAGTGGGCATCTGTGTGAATATTTTTCTAGGACAGATTTGTAAAGGTTGGTTAACTGGATCATTTTTGATAGATTTCAGTCAAACATTTTAAAGCTAAGGGGCCTTACTTACTTGGAGTGGTTGCTGTCTTTGACGGAGGGCTCCCCTGTGGTTTGGTTTTTAGCTTCTTTGCAAATCATTTGAGAGAAGATACTCTAATTGGGAGTTCACCCATTGTAATAAGAGGGTATACCTAATTCCTGGACATTAAAAAAGAACAAACTTTTCCAGCTCGAAGGAAACATTTTCTTCCCCTGAAGGAAACCCAGCTATGCAGACACCAGCTGATAATCTTGCATTCCTGAAAGATGTTGCACCCCTATGGCAAGTGGCGGCTGCTGAGGCTCTGACGTGACTCCCAGGCATGAACGCTCTCAGCTGTGTTTACCTCAGCTCCTCGGGAGGGAGCCTGGGAGACTGACGCCTGAGTTTTACATCAGTGTCAAAACCCAAGCACAACCTAGGGAGGGACCTCCTGCCTAGTGTGTGTGGGTCAGGAGATAGAAAAGCTCTCACTGAGTAAACTGGACAAGGTCAATATACCTCGCTGATTGAGAAGGTAGGTTTTCCATGACCCTAGAAATTGATCTTGTTCACTCTGAGATATTGTCACCTTTGTTATGTCTCCTTTTTAAAAAAAAATTGTGGTAAAATATACATAACATAAAATATACCTCTGTAACCATTTTTGAATGTGTAATTCATTTACATTAAGTACATTCAATTTGTTTTGCAATTATCATTATTGTTCATCTCCAGGACTTTTCCATCATCCCCAAACCATGACTCCTTTTAGCAAAAGAGACCAATTTCGAACGTAAATTTGGCATAATAACTCTCTGGTTACCAAAGAATCTTCAGTTCTGGTGAAACTTTTTGAAGGCAGAGAGCTCAGAGTGTCTTAAACACTTGGGGTGTAAATAACACACAGCCCTACTCCTGTAATTCGCCCAAGAAGACCCAAATTGATACCCAGCTGGTAGAAGCCACTCAACCCCAAGCCAAATAATACAGCCTGTAACATTAATTAGGGAAGGTACTAATAATACAGCCTGTAACATTAATTAGGGAAGGTACTTTGCCTCCACCTGCTTTGGTCTTCCCAGGCCCTGAGCCCAGCCAGCACTTTACTCTCTTCTTCACTTCATCGAGCAAGCACAAAGGCATTAGTGGTGTTTTGCTTCTAGCATTTCACAGGGTGCAGCCTCCATAAGTCACTTTGTGACTTTAGTGCTGGAGGGAGGACACTTCATTTTTACCCAAACAAGTTTGTTCCGCAGACTTCACTCTCTCTGCAAAGAGACGTGTGTGTTTTAGAGGAAGTGGGAGCCCCAGCCGATTCTGCAAGACTTCCGAGAGTCAGATATCCAGACAGAAGATGCGGACACCTGGGTGACCAGACAGCGAAGAGGAAAGAACAAAACGAGCATGTGCCAAGCCTGTGAGGGAGAAAGGGCAACAAACCAGTGACCTTCCACAGAAATGTGTTTAAACAAAACAAAACAGGTGATTCTGGGTGCCCAGCATCCCAGCCCACTCATCTATTCTAGGAGGTGACAAGCCAAGATACTGGCTGTGGGCACCTGGGCTCTTTCTGAAGGTGGTCTTCCTGGCCGTCATAGCGTTCCCTTTTTCTGCTAATCATTTTTAGTTCTGACCTTCCTTTGTGCTGATCTTCAGAAGCTGGAGAAAGCTTCGTATTTCTGGGAAAACAAAACAAAACTCAGAACCCAACGAGATTTAGCCTGTCAGGCTTGAGTGCGTTAGGTGGAGTCTTGACAAGGCAATGAACTCATTCTACTAATTGTAATTAGCGTGGGGCCTTTAGCAAGTTCTGGGCTCCTCAGACTTCAGAGAGCTTTGATCGGCCTCCTCCTCCTCCTAATAACCATGCCTCATGCTAACTGGTTTAGTGCGTTTTTATGCAACAAAAGCAACCACCGCCTACTCTTTAGAAAAAAGCTAGGCAGGCTTTAGAAAAAGAATTCTCAGTTGTTTTCACTTGTCCTCCAAATCGCAGAATGTTCTTTCCCTTTTCAGCTCTTTGGCGTTGCTAAGAGACTGCCATTTTGGAGGAAAGGTAATTAAATTTTGATTTTAATTTAAAGACAGAGCAAGCGAGGTTATCCACGCTCCTTACATGAATGGGGGCCTGAGAGCAGGAGACTGGCTGTTTCCAGATCAATACTGGGAACTCCGTGTGATTCGAGTCTCTTGGTGTGTGACTGCCGGAGAGAGGTGGCTTTGAAATGGCTCTTTGTGGCAAGTACTGCCTAACTTTTGGGGAGAAATGCTCAGGAGACCAGTGTGAGCTGGGAAACCAGCCACTCTGTGCTTGATTAATTTATAGGTGTAATTTAAGAGCCTGGTTCTCCTTCTGATCCCCGGGATGCATGTTTACTGAGCCTGTAGACATGAGGCCTCTCGGCTCGGTGGACATTTTTTATGGCCTTTGCTATGTCAGAGCAAAAGTTGTAGATCTCTTATGAGCAAACATATTACTATGTCCAGAGGAGGACTGGCATGTTATAAAATTTCAATGGTCAATTAACAAAGATTTATTCTTTGTCACTCAGGTATTTTTTTCCTCTCTCTCTCTCTCTCTCTCTCCCTCAATAATGACCTCTTGGAAGGAAGCAGGCTGTGCTTTCCTGCTGCAGTCTTTAGGTGGGTTATGGCTCCCAGCTACAGAGCAGGGCTTGACAGAGCCCATCCTGATATTTCAATTCTTAGCAGCTGGGCTTTCTGCTTTAGTAGAGTGGACACTTGAAGAAAGGGGGCGAGACCGAGAGTGAGAGAGAGAGAACGCTGGGAGAGAATGTATTTTTTAAAGCACTTCAGCCTGTGTTTACTACGCGTTTATTTGGTGGAACCTCATTCCAGCAGTGCAGCCAACTGTCCCGGCAGCAGTGGCCGCACCCTTTGGACTGCTTTCCATTCCGTCTTAATTTGGAATTCACACAGCCACCTTCCAATCACTCTTTTGAAGGTTCTCATCTTGTTCCAGGTCCATGCACTGTGCATTTGCAACCTGCTGAACCTCAGAACGTCTATTCTTATATGTGTATATATGTAATTAAAATTACAGTAAACAGAGGAGCTACTCATCAGCCTATTTTCCATGTGTTTATCTCACTCCCTTTGTAAAAAGGAAAATCTGTTTTATATAATATCTGAGAGTTAAACATGCTAGAAGAGAATCTTGCCTAAAACTGTAAATCCTTCCTGTCCTTCCTGGTGGAGAAGATGTGATTTTTGTTATCACATAGAAGAAGAGATGAACTAGCACTGGGCTTTAGTCTCTCGCCCAGAGATAATACATCAGGGGATTCTTTTTATATCAGTTTGTTGCAAAAAAGTTGCAAACTTGAGGGGTTTGGTTTGCCCAGGGACCGGGGAGGTTCCTGGTGGGGAGAACACATGAGCTCTTTGGGTCATCGTCCCCTTTGTCTCTGCCGTAGTGCCCGCTGGGCCAGGCCACGAAGGGGGCCCCCACTCTGCCCAGCCTGCATCCTCGTCCACCATCTGCACCCTGCCATCACCTCGGTTTTTCAGAAGTTAGGAAAGGAGTCCAGGCGCTGTCATCCACTTACTGTTCACTGTTTCTGAGGTTCTTAGGGATTCCGAGGGGTGGTGGATCGCTGAAGGGTTCGAGAGGAGGAGCGCAGCGTTCGGCAGATGCTGGCATCCTGGGCCCTTTTCCAAGACGTCCAGGCCTCCTCCTCCGACTTGTTTAAGGGCAGAGAATAAGGTTGCAAAGGAAATCAAAGCCTGATGTGGAGAAATGAAACATGAGACCTACTGACTTTTTAAAAACATTTTAAATAACATTCTCTAAGGTTTCATTTTATACTGAAGGCAGCTGTAATAAGTTTGGAAGACAGTGTAAGGTTTCTATTACAGAACAATCCTGCTTGCAGTTTTTCTACCAGAAGTGAGAAAGGGCGGAGGGGGAGTGGAGGTGGTTAAGAGGTTATTTTGTATAAGGTGAGAAAATTTGAAAAGATGAATTCAAGACTGCAAGCGTGTAACATTTGGTATGCTGTAATTTGCAAATGCAATAACATTAAACCATTGCAAACTTGGGGTGTGTGTGTGTGTGTGTGTGTGTGTGTGTGTGTGTGTGTGTGTGTATACATAGCCGGGATAGCATTGGAATAACTTAATAACTGGAGCTCAGCAGCACTTTGACCACAAGGAAAACAAGACTGCAGCTCTGTAGTGGGCCCTGCCAGTGTTGCCTCAGTGACTAAATTCCCTGCCGAAGCCTGGCGCAGGCCAGAGATGTCAGGCGGGATGAAAGCACTCATTGTTCACGGGGCATCATGGTTTGGTACTGCATGCACAATGTTTACTTGTGAAACGATTTATTAGAAACAAATATGTTTAAGAAAGAGGACTTGGTTTGAAACTCAGTTGATCTGGCTTATGACATTTAAGATTTTATGACCTTTGTTTCTAAGAATAGATGTGTAGGCCCACTGTAAATATTTATCTTAAAACGCACCCACACTACACACACACATGCATGTACAAGTGCAAAACTGGAAAACGGAGCCAGGGCATGAATTGATACTAAAGTTCACATTTCTGTGTGAAGGAATAAACCTTCTTACTATTTGCTAGGTGCATAGGAGCATAGTTTGTGACCTTGTCTGGCAGGATCTAGCCCAGAGGACAGCTTCCCCTCGTGCTGTGAAGTCTCTTGGTAGGAGGCCTGGGGAGGAGAGGAGCGTGTGTCTGTTCGTGCGCGGACTTAACTCTGCCCTTCCCACATGGATGAGGCCAGCTGGGATTAAATCAGACCTCGGTCACTGCCCGCTGTGGACAGGTCCCTGGGGTGTCCAGCCAGCTGCTAGGCCTGACCAGGAGGCTTGCTGGGGCCCATCCCTGGGTCATTGTATGAGCCAGAGAGCAAGGGTTTCACCTGACGTCTGAAGGGGCCCAGCTTTGAGATTTTCTGCCCACCAACACCAGAAGTCTTAACTTCAGGTTCTTTGCTCAGCCTACATGGGCAATATAGGGGCAGATGAATGATTTCTTTGCGGCTCCAGTATCCTTATCTTTATAATGTGAAAACATAGATGTCTGTAAAGTGATGGGAGATTCTGGAATGAAATGTGCTAAGAGTAACCACTAGCACTTTTTCTTTCTTTTTAAAGACCAGCAACAGGCTTATGCAGTAAAGTCAATTTGCACATGGTCTGGCTCTTGTCCAACAAATTCCACTAGATGATGTTTTAATCTGAAAGGTCCAATGATGTAGATATCTATTGTTCTAATTTGCTGTTTCCAGCCCAGTGCATGGTGATTCTCAGGTACAGTGCAGAGACATCCTTGGTGTGCTGAGCTGGCTGAGTTCTCCTCATTTCCCTCAGTTGTTTTTTAACACTGGAGGTTAGGGTAGTGGTACCCACACCTAGGGGAGGAAGAGAGGGAGGAGGCTGGTAAGTGCAGGCCTGTTGGGATGGAGTTGTATTCATGTATGGACACATGATTGTGTTTTGTGTGGCTTTTGACAGATCTGTGTAGGAAGGTTCCAGTAAGTTTGTACGACAAGATCAGGTAGCAGTCTGGTGGTCTGGTGGTTATTTAATTCTTTTTATTTTATTTCATTTTATTGTTGCAAGAATGCTAAGCATGAGAACTACCATCTCACCTAAGTTTTTTTTCTTTTCTAAGACGGGGTCTCACTCTGTTGCCCAGGCTGGAGTGCAATGGCATGATCGTGGCTCACTGCAGCCTCAACTTCCTGGGCTCAAGCCATTCTCTCACCTCAGTCCCAAGTACCTGGGACTACAGGCATGCACCACCATGTCTGGCTAACTTTTGTATTATTTGTAGAGATAGGGATCTTGCTATGTTGCCCAGGCTGGTCCCACACTCCTGGCCTCAAGCAATCCTCCTGCGTCAGCCTTCAAAGTTCTGGGATTATGCTCAAAGGCATGAACCACTGCGCCTGGTCTTCAACTAAGTTTTCAGTGTACAATACGTTGTTGTTGACTATAGGCACGATGCTGTGCAGCAGGTCTCTAGAGTTTGCTCATCTTGCTTTACTGAAACTTTATGCCTCTTGATTGCAACTCACCATTTCCTTCCCTGTCCCAGCCCCTGGCAACCACCGTTCCGCTCTTTGATTTTATGAATGCGATGAATTTAGATACCTCATATCAGTGGAGTCAGGCAGTGTCTGTCTTTCTGTGACTATCCTGTTTCACTTAGCATCATGGCTTCCACGTTGTCACATATTGCACCATTTCCTCCTTCTTCATGGCTGAATAGTATTCCGTTGTGTATATAGCCACATTGTAAAAATTAATCCTTTGGCAGACACTTAGATTGATTCCATTTCTTGGCTATTGTTAATGGTGCTGCAATTAATATAGGAGTGCAGATCCTGATTGCAGTTCTTTTAGATAAATAGAGAAGTGGGATTGCAGGATCTTAGGGTAGTTCTGTTTTTAATTTTTTGAGGAACCTCCATATTGTTTTCCATGGTGGCTGCATCATTTTATATTCCCACCAACAGTGCGCAGGGGTTCCAGTGTCTCCACATCCTTGCCGACACTTGTCTTTTTTTTTTTTTCTTCCCATCCTGACAGGTGTCATGTGATAGCTCCTTGTGGTTTTGATTTGGAACGCGCCCGATCTCGTCTGATTTGCATTTCTCTAATGATTAGTGACATTGAGAAACTTTTCATACACCTAGTGGCCATTTGTGTCTTGGAGAAATGCATAGTTAAGTCCTTAGCCCATTTTTCCATGGGTATTACTTAACACTTGAGGAGTCTCATGTGTGGTTGCTAGCACACCTTGGCTTGATTGTCTCCACAAAAGTTTTGCAGAGACCGCCTCTTAGCTGGAGAGAAGCCTTTCCAGGCATAAGATGAGAGGGTGTATTCTTTGTTGAGAACGTGTTCTCGAAGGAGAGAGAGGCAAGACAAGTGAAGCTAGGAAGTAATTTTGGGATACCATCTCTGCCCTTTTATAGGGCAGTCTAAAACATAGCCAGGAGTTGGAAACCAGCATCTCCTTATGTTTCATTCAGTGCCATATTGGAATAAGCTAAGAAACATCTACTTGTGCATTTAGTAACTGGCATAGAGTAACACCTGATATTCATCAAAGAGCTAAATGGGTGAATAAAGAATGAATGAATGGAGTGAATTCCACAATAAAGAGGTGAATCCCATTATTAATCAAATCTGTTCATAACTTTGGGCTTTAGGCTTTAGTTTAATTTTTAAAACAAAGGTTGGAAGTCTTCTCAGAGCATCTTAGAAATGTACTGGAGCCGAGCGTGGTGGCTCACGTCTGTAATCCCAGCAATTTGGGAGGCCAAGGCAGGTGGATCGCTTGAGCATAGGAGTTTGAGACCAGCCCAGGCAACATGATGAAATCCTCTTTCTATAAAACATTTGAAAGTCAGCTGGGCGTGGTGGCGGTTGCCTGTAGTCCCAGCTACTCAGGAGGCTGAGGTTGGAGAATCACCTGAGCCTGGGAGGCTGAGGCTGCAGTGAGCCGTGATCATGCCACTGCACTCCAGCCTGGGCAATGAAGTGAGACCCCGTCTGAGAAAAGAAAAAAAAATGTATTGGGAGACATGTGCCTATTGAAACCATTTTTGGTATTCAGAGTGTCTTTAAAGTTAGTCTTGTCATTTGCCTGTGATGTTAAGCTTGTGGTTGAGGTGAGTTTTTGAGATTATCTCAAATAGGATAAGTGAAGAAGCTTCCCTCCCCTACCATTTGTCACTTAGATTGTCAGAGTAGAATTTCTTCCCGTATTCATCAGGTGGCAGTGGACAGCCAATAACCTGGGATGTAATAAGTTCTTTTCTCAATTTTCTAAGTAAGTGTTCTTTTTACAAGGGTCGCGCTCCGGCAGTCTCCTTTGAAGTCGTTTCTGTTATTCATGGGGCCACAGTGTTATTTCAAAGGTGTCAGCCAGCAGGCTTGAGGCTTTTCTGGCATGAGGTCACTGACAGCCCTCTGGACAACACAGCTTATTTATTGGTCTCTCATTCTCCCATCCCCACTCCTCCTTTCTTCCCTCTCTCCACCAGAGCGATCGCCTCACCGGCCCATCCTCCAAGCCGGACTGCCGGCAAATGCCTCCACAGTGGTCGGAGGAGACGTAGAGTTTGTCTGCAAGGTTTACAGTGATGCCCAGCCCCACATCCAGTGGATCAAGCACGTGGAAAAGAACGGCAGTAAATACGGGCCCGACGGGCTGCCCTACCTCAAGGTTCTCAAGGTGAGGACTTTCTGAATCTAAAGGTACCCACAACTGGGGTCTCCTTCATGGGTTTGGCCACAGGTTCTTTGATTTCCTGTTGGAGTTGAGAGAGGATGATTCTCTTTTTTGACTAGCCAGCAGAGAGTGTTCTAAGGAATTAACAGATCATTACACTTGCTAGTAGAATTTCAGAAGGGAACTATGGAGTAGGGGAAGAACTACTAAACTTGGGGAAGAACTACTAAACTTGGAGAGAGAATAGTTCAGCTATTTATCAGCCCTGAGATCGCAGACATTTAGGCTTAGCTGCGCCTCTATAAAAGTAGAGATCGTGATACTCTGTCCCCCATAGGGCGGTTGTGCAGAATAAATGGGATGGAGTGGATGGAAAGAGCTTTGTAGGCTCAAGGCATTGTGCCAGTGTTGATTGTTACTCTGATGTTGTTTTCTATTAATAGGACATTAGGATCCAATTTTAGTAGCCACGTTTTAGAAACAATTTGGATTTTTTTTTTAACAAAAACAAAACAAAACAAAACCCTGACCTTTGAAATCCATTCAGAGGTGATTTAGACAATAAACTCTAGGTCATATTTCTGCACCAGTGAAATGTTGAACAAGGAAAATATCTTTCCCTCCTTATTTCTTATTTGCAAGCCCCCATTTTCATAGCATCTGCCTCTTTTTTAGATCTAGGTTTGCTCTTCAGGAGACTGAGGACAGGGGCAGCTAAGTCTGTACAGCTGGCTCTTAACTCCTTGCCTACCACGCCTCCCATGTCTAGTTGCTCATGGAGAATGAATGTCCTTAAGAAGAACATTCTTCCAGTAGAACCATAGGTGACCCAGCTAAGAACTTTCAGCCAATGAAGTGTTCTCACCAGCTAATAATTCCAAGGATCAAAGGCATTGGGAAAAGATGACCAACCTGGGGACCCACCCGACCTATCCAGTTAGCTATCGCTCACACCCTCCTGCCCTTCTCTCCACCAGGTCTTTCCGTTGTCCACCACTGGACTGATTTTGTTCTTTAAAATCCGCAGCCCTTTAATGCCGCTGTTTAGACGTAATGGAGTTTGTTTTCTTGCGGTGTGTTGGTGGTGGGACCATAGACAATGCTAAGACCTTCCTGGTTGGCCGTTATATTGTTCTCCTGTGTCTGTTCTAGCACTCGGGGATAAATAGTTCCAATGCAGAAGTGCTGGCTCTGTTCAATGTGACCGAGGCGGATGCTGGGGAATATATATGTAAGGTCTCCAATTATATAGGGCAGGCCAACCAGTCTGCCTGGCTCACTGTCCTGCCAAAACAGCAAGGTAACAATGCTTTCATTTTTGTCTTTTTTTAAAAAGAAAGCTGGATATAGAAGCTGAAAAGACTTGGTGCTTTGGGAGACTGCAGGCAGCTTATAGGATAACTCTTGTGGCCTTGGTATATTTATAATAATCTTTCTTCGGTGATGCAGCTGGTATGATGCCAGTAGCCATGGAAAAATGCCCACAACGTTCAAAGTGCTTGCTCCAATTTCTTCTAGAGATTAGCCTCCACCCCCACCCAGTTTTTAAGTTGTTCCTTCTGGTTGATCTTGTTTAGGCTGCACATTTCCCATCATTACTGCACATTAACACCATTTAAAACACACGCTTCCATGCCTGTTTAATACGGGGCATTTGAGTATCAGCAGAGTTTGTCTCCTTCTACTTCAAGTTTTTAGGGAAATATTGGCAAGATGCAATTTGTTCAACAAAGCATCATTTCTTTGGTTGCATGGTTGATCCTTATGAGTTGCTGTTCTTGACCTTGTTGCACCAAATTTGAGGGGAGCTCATCTTAATGAATGTACTACTGGACGCTACTAAAGGCAAAAGGTTGACTTTTTAGGTTTGTCATGACTCACATCCAAATGTTTATTAATGAAAAGAGAAAAAGCCCAGTTTTTTTGGTTACCAAGATGATGCTTGCTTCCATTTCTTTTTGTCAATGCTATGTAGGGCAAGATGGTATCGCAGAAGTAAAAATAACCAGAGCCTGGTAACCAAGACAACCTTCCACCCCAATTGGTTCCCACAGGGCCAGGAGGATGGGTGAGGTGTCCATCTGGGCTTATGTGCAGTGTGTTGTCTTAAAACACAGCAATTTAGATAGAACTACCCTTTCCTCTTGGTGGGAGTCTGCAGCCAACAGGACCAGAACCAGCTTGGCCTTCTGGGCACCATACTTTTGGAAAACCACCCCTAAATGCAAACCAAAGCACAGGCCAAGAGAACGGACCTCTGTGGGTTGATTTTTTCCATGCGTTTGATTGCGTGCATGTGTAGGAGGTGAAGCCGGTGTGGTGACGGGCCTGTGGAGGTGAGCTGGTCAGTGTTGCTCCGTGTCTCTCGGTTGTGGGCTTTGTGGATGGGCTGCAGTCGGAATCTCCCAGTGGCCAGCACCCCCTGAAGCCCCCGGTGCGACGCCTTGTGGTTCCACAGCCCCCTCCACAATCATTCCTGTGTCGTCTAGCCTTTTCTTTTGCTTCCCTTGTTTTCTAGGCCGCCGGTGTTAACACCACGGACAAAGAGATTGAGGTTCTCTATATTCGGAATGTAACTTTTGAGGACGCTGGGGAATATACGTGCTTGGCGGGTAATTCTATTGGGATATCCTTTCACTCTGCATGGTTGACAGTTCTGCCAGGTATATACTGTTCTTTCTCTCTGGGTTTTTTTCCCTTTTCTTGGTTGACTGCTATAAAATTAACACAGCTTCTGTTATCAGAAATGGCCCCTTTTATCCTTGCATAAAGATATAAAAAATGTTAAAAATGATCCCTCAGGGATAAGAAAACTGCCTTGGAAATTCACACACAGTGAGATCCCACACTCACATTTATGATCAAGGGAAATTTCACCCTTAAAACCTGAAGGGATCTCATATTTTTAGTGAGTCATTGAGCCAATGTATAAATTAGCCCATCCCCCTTTCTCTTAAGGAACAAGTTGCCATTACTTTGGTAAAATTCAAAGTAATTTATTCTCATTTCAAATTCCATTTTGCTAAAATCCTGTATGTGTTTTTATTGCTTTCATCCCACTTTGTATTTTTAACGAGATGTAAATAGAGGGATGTGTATGGAGGAGCCTGGGGAGCGGCACCTCTGAATGTCAGATGCACAGAAGCAGTGTGTTGCCTACCTTGGGGATCGGTGGCTTGCTGCATGTTGCGATAGGATGGACTTTCGGTTTGCTTTCATTGCAAAGCATGCTCCTGCCATCTTGGGCTTGATGTTATTTCTGCCTCACAGAGAAATAAACATCATTGCAGCCCTGTTGCCTAAACATTGCTGCTGTCTGAATCTTTAACCGACATCTCTATTCTAGTGAAACTTTCTTGAAATTAAACACTGTCCTCTCTGATGCATCTGCCTCTTTGTCATTTCCTTTGTGAAACTGCAGAGACTGTGGTTTGCTAGCTTATGATGTTCCACTCCAGTTATTAATTCCTTGTTTTTAGAGTACAGTGCTTACCTGCATGCTTATTTTACATCTAGTAAAAATAAAATAGATCGTTTCATTTTTGTGCTGTTGCTGCTGAGAGTTTTGACTATCTTGCAAGTATTTTTCTGATTAAAATGTATAAGCTTTCAATAATACCATTGCATCCGTTTTTCCTTTTGTTGCGAATCTGCTCTGTGAATATTTGCTTTGAAACAAAGAGATGTCTCTTATGTTGAAGCTTGCTTTTATTTGCAGTACTGCATTCTGTGGTGCCTAACTGGCACTTCTTAACCAGTTTGCCTGACAGTGCTAGCACTTAACTAAGAATGCAGTTTGAGAAAAACACTATTTGGAAATACACTGCTTGTAGATGGATCATCGAGGACTAAGAAGAAGTCAGACATTGGAAGTTGATATAAAAATGTGCTAAATTAAGTAATTATATGTATACTCACACATAATACCTTTATGTTTTTTCTTTAAGAGAAAAGCTGTAGTGACATAACAATATAACCGGATATGTATAAACTTAAAAGGTTATTAAAGAATATTATAATCTTTATGTATTATGGATCTAATGGTTCTATATTATAAGCAATTCAATCTGTGTATTTAATGCATTGGTTTGTTTATGGACTAGATGGTATTAAGGAATTCACCAAAACTTTTTCAGACCAGCCTACTAGATGAACATCAGTTTCATATGGAATTGTGTTCATCCGGGTTAAATTATCCTGTGGAGTCTTCCTTTGGAAGAGCCTACCCATGTAAGACTGAAGCATTGTCACTGTCTCCTTAGAAACAAAAGTGGGCATCGTTGATATTTCAGAATTTTTTATTTGGTTTGCATTCACAGACGATCATGAAAGATAATCCTTTCATTGTGGGTACAGTTGGTCGTCCTCCACTGAAATGTCTAACAAAATGTGGCCTCATAGCCTGCCCTGTGCAACTGGGTGTCAACCACTCACTGGATTGCAGGTGCCCACTGAGGCTAGTGACAGTGACTACCTGGGTCCTGGTGGTCAAATGATGGACCCCTGGTTATTCATTTTCATTTGGGAGTTTTTGGGAAGCCCACCTTGCCTTGAGAATGGTCGTCGCCTTTTGGTTCCTTTGGTTGTGCTATGATGCGTCAGTCTGGTGTGCTAACTCTATGGCCTGCTTATCTGTTCCTCCTCCTGTGATCTGCAATCTAGCGCCTGGAAGAGAAAAGGAGATTACAGCTTCCCCAGACTACCTGGAGATAGCCATTTACTGCATAGGGGTCTTCTTAATCGCCTGTATGGTGGTAACAGTCATCCTGTGCCGAATGAAGAACACGACCAAGAAGCCAGACTTCAGCAGCCAGCCGGCTGTGCACAAGCTGACCAAACGTATCCCCCTGCGGAGACAGGTAACAGAAAGTAGATAAAGAGTTTAAAGAAATTTACTCCTCCCCCATGACCCAGCCAGCTTGTGGATCTTGTCCTCTGCTTTGATGCCATCGACTTCTGTGAGCTTCCATGTGCGAGTGATTCTGGTGTGATGCTTGGCGGTCACCCAGTTAGTGTTTGGAGCTTGGAGAGTCTAGTCATGGTGCGTTGCTTGGATCAATGGGGTCCAGTTCCAAGGGCAAGAAAGGACAATACTGTCAGAATCAGAAAACTAATCAGCAGGACTGGAAATAACTGGAGGCAAATCCCCCTGTGTGTGTTTGATCAGACTCAAGTACAGCGGTCTCTTCGAAGCTTTAGCCACATTCGTGTCCTGTGATCTAATACCTTTTTTAAGATAAGCATGAACATTCGCTTGGGACTTATGCCACTAGTACGAAAGAGACTCTAAGTTCTCTGACTTATTTTTTAAAGTCAAGATCAGTATCTTATGCCCTGGGGGTGCATCTGAACTGTTTGATTTAAACTGTTGCACAATAACTTTCTACACAGAATTTTGGCTTAACCTCTTTGCAATTTACAATAGAATTGTATGCATCTATTATGTCTCATTGTTAGTAGTTCACAGGTGTGGCTGTGGATTTATTAGTAGAATATTTGTATGGAACCAGCAACAGATTGTTTTTAACCACCAACTTGGTCTTTGGTGGTTGCTTTTTGCTTGTGTGTGCCTCCTGATTGGTTTAATTTTGCTTTGGGGGAGATGGGGCAAGATGGAGCCTCTGGTGTAAACCAAAGCCCTGCATAGGTAGGTGGGACAGGAAATGCCTCAGCTCTTTTCTGCTTATTCACAGAGATGGAAGCGGAAGGCAGATGTAGATGCAGAACGTTTACAAAAGCATTTGAAACTTGGTTCTGATAAAGGTTTCTTTTGAAATAGCAAGTAAAACAGCAAACTCATTGGCTCTATTTCAGTGTGTATTTTAGTAAAATGTACGGGGTGCTTGTTAAAATTTCAGATTCCTTTGTCTCAGCCCCAGAGATTCTTGTTCAGTCATCTTGGATAGGGCCAGGAATCTGCATTTTACACAAGCCCTATGGTGATTTTAGAATGCACTTTGAGAAACTCCAGGTTAATTCCAGGCATGCCTCTCCCGGGACTTCAGGTAGGAATGACATTTTCTGGACAAGGCATTAGGAAGGATTAGGAACCAGTTGGTCAGCAGTGGTTTTGGAATGGGTCTGGTTGTTCACAACCCAGCTTCAAACTCCTGGCTGAATGGGTCCTTGTTAACTTCTCTAAAGCCATGTTTCAAGCAGGTCTTTCTTTGTGGAGACGGAGGATAGAATTTAAAGTGTGTGTCAAGCGTAGGCGAATGACCAAATTGTGTTAACAGCATGGAAAAGAGGGGCCTGTTGGGTCACGTCTGCCACCAAGAATGCTGTTGTCATTTTGAGTGACATGATTATCTTTCTTGGGGCCAGGAAAGCAAAGATGAGGCCAGTTGGCCAACCAGTTTCTAGAAGAGTCCAGTCCTGAGATAACTCTTACATGGTTTCTATTATTTTTTTTCTAATAGGGAAAAATGGTAACTTCTGGAGGCAACTTGTAATTTGGCATAGCTAGGCCACTGCCCCTTAATTATCTCATCATCTTTTTTTCTGCAACTGTTAAAATGCTTTTCTTTTTACTTAATATAGAAGGGTAAGATGCCCTTAAAATCCCCCTGACTCAGCCACAGTCATCGTGTTTTCTTTCCCCAGTGCCAGCTGGCTTTTCTTCACTGTCCATCTAAGAATACAGTTTGAGAAAAATAGTATTTGGAAATATACTGCTTGTGGATGGATCCTTGAGGACTAAGAAGAGGGCAGACATTGGAAGTTGACATAAGAATGTTCTAAATTAAGTAATTATATGTATACTCACATGCAATACCATTTATATTTTTTCTTTAAGAGAATTCAGCCTGGCCGGGCGTGGTGGCTCACGCCTGTAATCCCAGCACTTTGGGAGGCTGAGGCGCGTGGATCACCCGAGGTCAGGAGTTCGAGACCATCCAGCCTGACTAACATGTTGAAACCTCGTCTCTACTAAAAGTACAAAAATTAGCTGGGTGTGGTGGTGCATGCCTGTAGTCCCAGCTGCTTGGGAGGCTGAGGCAGGAGAATCACTTGAACCTGGGAGGTGGAGGTTGCAATGAGCCAAGATCACACCATTGCGCTCCAGCCTGGGCAACAAGAGTAAAACTCCGTCTTTAAAAAAAAAGAGAGAGAATTCAGCCTAAGTTGGTCCTTTTTCCTCTCTTCCCTGTGTTACCAGAGGGAACATCAGAGTTCCTTCCTCTTTTTCTTCCCTCCTTCCTTTATTTATTCATCATAATTTACTAAGTGCGGGGTATAAATCAGGTTACATGTAAGACACAGCCTGTCACATTCACCAGTGGTTCCAAGGTTATTTGATGGTAAATGCCTGTAATCCTAGCTCCACAGGAGGCTGAAGCGGGAGGATCCTTTGAACCCAGGAGTTCAAGACCAGCCTGACCAACACAGCGAGACTCCAACTCAAAAAACAAAACAAAACAAAACAAAACAAAAACCCAAAGTGGGAAAAAAAAGAAAATGTAATTGGCTTGTGTTCAGTAGGGCCGAGGAGTATAACAGAAGCAGAGGAAAGGGGGCAAATACCAGTTCCCTGGAAAAGTACATCTCTGCGAGATTAATTTATTTGGGGGGAATGTTGACACACCTCAGCTCCTTCTACATGTCCAAGTGGGGTACATTATTGGATCTTCACAAAGAATGTTTCATCAGTACGCATGGCCCCTTTGGTAGAGAAAGAGATGCTTATCGGGTATCTGGATAAAAGAGGGTTATTGGACTGGAGCTGGAATGAAAAGCCCCAGAAAGGCCTGCAGATACGTTGATGACAGAGCAAATACCACAGGGATGCCAAGCATGCCTTTACCTGAGCCTCTAATCAGATGTGTCAAGGATGGGTTGTTTCTAGGCATTTATGAGGCCACTTTTTATTCTGTGTTGGCCAGTCTCCTCTAGGACACAGGGATCACTCAGTGTCTCCATGGCCCTGACTCTTTCCCTCTCCAACACCCATACACACACAGCGTCTCACTCAGGTCCCTCAGTCCATCCTTGTTCTCTTTTCAGGACAAGAAAAGTTGGGTTTTCGTTCCTCCTGTGAGTTTTTCCTTCTTGGCATTTATTAATTTGCACTAGACTTACTGGTGTAACACAGACGTTTCAGTTTATGTTATTTTTTTGAGCAAAAATATTTTTTTCCAGTACCAAAGAAGAAATTCCTTGCAATCATTTCCTAGTAAGCGTGAATTTTTTGAGACTTTGTATGCACATGGTTGAAGAAGGAGAAGCAACTTTTGGGTGGTGGGAGGCAGATGGCAGGTGGCATCTCCCTGTGTCCTTTGATGGAGGCTCATGTCACATTCAGTGTCAGGGCTTGGGCACCGTGCCAGACACTGCTCACCCACTCCCACTCCTTTGGTGCCCAGCGAGTTAAATGAGACCAACAACAGCCAGCCCAGAGAGGGGCATCTTTGTGAGCGTGTTGGTTCTGGTACAGGTATGCTGGACAGCCAGTGACCAGTGTGAAGCAGCCTTTGTGAGTTAAAGGGGGCAGCATTACTTTCTGTGTTTTCCACACATCAATTGGGTGGTGGGGGAAGGTGTAGGGGTGGGTGGAGGATGGAGTGCAGAGGAAACTGAGGATGCCTGTTTAGGAGACGTGCGGTGTTGCTGGGTTTGCTGAATCAGTTTTACATCGAGCACATCAGTTTCTTTCTCTGGGGCTTGAAGCTTCCATAGGGTAGGATGGAGATTTAACTGTCTTATGGTTGGCTCCGTCCAGATAAATTCATCTCCTGTGCAGCTTACACCCTCTCTCACTGCCGTCAGCATGGTACAAGAGGCTGCAGGGTGGTTTTTTTTTTGTTTTTTTCAGACTTTAGTTTCACCTTCTCAGCTGCTGATATAGGTAGGCTGAAAACCAGAGAAAAATCAAGAGCAGACTGGGTGCCGTGGCTCATGCCTGTAATCCCAGCACTTTGGGAGACCAAGACAGGCAGATCACCTGCAGTCAGGAGTTCTAGACCAGCCTGGCCAACATATAGTGAAACCCCATCTCCACTAAAAAATACAAAAATTAGCTGGGTGTGGTGATGCATGCCTGTAGTCTCAGCTACTTGGGAAACTAAGGCAGGAGAATCACTAGAACCCAGGAGGTAGAGGTTGCAGTGAGCTGAGATCGCGCCACTGCACTCCAGCCTTGGTGACAGAGTGATACTCCGTCTCACACAAATAAAATAAAATAAAATAAAATAAAATAAAATAAATCAAGGGCAGTGAAGGCTACCTTTTGTAGCAATACTTTTGAGGCAAATGGCATATTCCTGGGGACGTTAGGAATAGGACCAAGATGAAGGGGGAGGAGCGGAGCGGGTGCCTCGGGGGAGGAATGTGTGACTCAGTAGCCAGTTCTCAGGTCCAGTGTTAGTGATCCTCAAACATATGCCAAATTCCGGGAAGGGGGATGGATGTTCTACTCCCAGAAGCTCGTTTACTGCCTGGCAGCTGAACATCATGATCTGGGAATATTCTCTGTATTTTGGTCAATCAGGTGGTCTAAACCTTACCGGCTCCAGAAAACATTTGGGTAATTAGAGTGGTCACGGATGACTTAACTGGAATCTGCCCTTTCATGTGGGCACCTCATCCTCCCTGCCCCTATTTCGCTGCTCCCTTTTCTCCTCTCTCAGCCTCCAAAGGACATGACAGTTTGCCCAAGATCTGACCTGGACCTTGGCTGATGCGATCTCTCGAGCAGAGCCAGCGCATCTGGGGCTGGTGCGTCATGGCTCTGATAGGTTTACTCACAGAGTCCCAGGGAAAGGCCTGCGGGAGGCAGAGACTCGCTATGGGAGAAAAGTGAGTGTCTGATGAACTGCCTTGCCTAATTACCTAAATTTTGTTATGGAGGAATTAAAAATGCAACTTCAGAAGCCTTTGAAGGTTTATCTCAGGCACCCAGCTTGCGGTGGTGAAAGCATTTTGTTTGGCCATAGGGGAGTGGTGGGCAAGGCTTATATTAGAGCAGAAGTATGTTAATGCCAGCCTCGTGTTCTTGTGGGGGAAGGTGGTTTGCAGCCTAAGAGTCACAGGGCCTGTTTGGCAGGCTGTGGTCCAAGTGTGTTTGTCAGTCCTGGGGAGTAAACACACAAATATTAATTCGTCTCTTCTCCCTGGAACATCTTTGCTTCTGCTTGCTCTGTTCTCTGAGAAATCCCCTCTAGATGGTAAATTTAATTCAGTATAAAGAGATAACACTGTTAGACCGGGCGCAGTGGCCCACACCTGTAATCCCAGCACTTTGGGAGGCCGACGTAGGTGGATCACCTGAGGTCAGGAGTTCGAGACCAGCCTGACCAGCGTGATGAAACCATGTGTCTACTAAAAATACAAAATTAGCTGGGCGTGGTGGTACATGCCTGTAATCCCAGCTACTTGGGAGGCTGAGGCAGGAGAATCACTTGAACCCGGTAGGCGGGGGTTGCAGTGAGCCAAGATCGTGCCTGGATAATGAGAGTGAAACTCTGTCTCAAACCAAAAAAAAAAAAAAAAAAAAAAAAAAAGAAAAGAAACAGATAACACTGTTTCTTGGTGGCCCTTTAAAAAGAAAGGAAAAAAAAAAAACACTTCCTCACTTAATCTCCCATATGTACTATGGAAATGTACGAAAAGCACATTTACTTAAAAGCTTGACTTATGGCACATGCTGGAGAGATTCCGGAAAGTGAGGAAATGGAATTGGAGTCTGTGAAAATACATGCTTAAAAAAAAATGCCTGCCAAGATTCGGGAGTGGGAAAACAGTTTACTAGAGTGTTCGTGTTGATTGTTTATAAGTAACTCACTTATCACTAACAAGAGAATATGTTAAAATTGGTTAGGAATGAAACTCTGGAATTGAAGTTTCTAGGTAGGAATTGAAGAATAAGGAAGATTATGATTTTGTGCAAAAGAAAAGAGAATTTAATAGTGCTAAAGAAGTAGAAGGATTTCAGAGATGAGCAGTGGGAGTTATTTGAGGTTCCTGATTCAGAGGAAAGATGCCCAGTAAAACATGGAGTCCCACAGGGGAATGGCCTGCCCAGGACCGGGCCAAGCCCCCAACACAGGCTCGCTCTTGGAGTGGAAGGGAATGAAGAGAAAGCCAGCCGTATTTTATAGCCCCAGAGGGGATTTTAAAAGCATAGTAAAAATGCATGGAGGTAAAATTAAGATATACCTCAGTAGACAGAGCAATCAAATTCTATAGTTTCTTAGACTTTGCACGTTTTCTTACCCTTTTCCCCCGTTTCGTGTTCTTATAAAAGTATTTTCCAGGTTTGTACATTTAATCTGAATCTCCGTACTTCATCTGAACAAAATTCCCGTAAGTCATCCTTCTTGTAGACCTCATTTTTAAAATTCTAATAATAATGACAATAAAGTTGATAAAGGCTTTCTTATTTATTTATTTTTAGGCTTTCCATTTGAAAAGCTGTCACATGAAAATCTTCTCGAGACAGTCTGTTTGGGGGATGGTGTAGATACATGTGAACTTTTGCCAGGGGTTTGTGGATGCAGATTCCTTTGGGGTCATGGGTGAGCCATAGAGGGGTGAACTTCAGACTGAATGTTAAATTTTTCTCTTCTGAGGTAACCCCTAAGCCATATTTGTCATTAGGACCCTCTTACTGTCCAGTTTTCCTCCTGCCCTGAGATGATTCCCTGACTCCTGGATTCTTCATCTCCTGCTTACTAGAACCCCAGCCCATCCTTGGCAGTGAGCAGAGGGCCTCATCTAGCAAATCAGACATGCCCACTAAGGCATATCTTCTGCAGTCAGCCTTTAATGTCACTGGGTTATCTTCCTGGTTGCACACAGTTTGACAGTACAATCGTCGCTTGGTATGCGTTGGGGATTGGTTCTAACAACCCCGAATATACCAAAATCTGTGGATGCCCAAGACCTTTATTTAAAATGGTGTAGTATTTGCATATGAACTGTGTACATCCTCTCATATACTTAGTCATTTCTAGTGATACCTGTAATAACTAACGCGTTGTAAATGCTATGTAAATAGTTGTTATACTGTATTGTTTTTTATTTGTATTTTAAAATTGTTGTATTGTTATTTTTTATTAATTAGCTTTCAAATATTTTTGATCTGTGATTGGTTGAAACCATGAATGCGGAACCCACAGATATGGAGGACTGACTGTATCTTACACACAGAACCACCCTAGGCTCCAAACGCTCCAAGTTACCCAGAGAGAAGTGTCTTTGTCTGTTCTCTCAGATCTGGGCAGCAAATGATTCTAAAGGGACTAAGAGAAAATATTGCAGTGTTGGTAGCAGACATTAACTGAGCTCTTAGTGCCAGGCCTAGCACTAAGCACTTCATCAGTTTTTTTTTCCCTCATTTTATCATCACATTAATGCTGTGCAGTTGGACCTGTTCCTGTCTCCTCTTTTCTTTTTTGAGATGGAGTCTTGCTCTGTCGCCCAGACTGCAGTGCAGTGGCACCATCTCGGCTCACCGCAACCTCTGCCTCCCAGGTTCAAGCAATTCTCCTGCCTCAGCCTCCCCAGTAGCTGGGGTTACAGGCACTCACCACCATGCCCGGCTAACTTTTCTATCTTTAGTAGAGACAGGGTTTCACCATGTTGGTCAGGCTGGTCTCGAACTCCTGACCTCAGAAGATCTGCCCACCTTGGCTTCCCAAAGTGCTAGGATTACAGGTGTGAGCCACTCTGCCTGGCCCCTGTCTTGTTTTTAACAGATGAGGAAACCCAGGTCTAGAAAGGTTAAGTGATTTCCCAAAGCTCACACAGTGAGTGAGTGCTCAAACTGGGACAGGGACCCTGACAATCTGACCGCACAGTCCCATGTTATTGCAGTTGGTCAGGATGCAGCCTGCCTAATGCGGGGCCTCATGTTGTGAATGATGAGCACAGGAAGGGCAGCAACGGGATTGGCTGTTGCCCACATCGAAGGATGCAGAGATGCCACAAAACCTAGCCTGGTAGCAGAAGGAAGGGCCGAAAGCAGTGATCTTGTAAGTTTTCACTCATTTTAGAAGTCAGCATATTTCAAGCATATGCCCTTCGTTTTCTTTTCCGTTGTTCATGCCTCAGCTCAGATCCTTATTATTCTAAAAAATATTTTTGTTAAATAAAGTACTTCTTCTAGAACATAAAAGAATTACATACACATGGTCATAAAATCCAAATGGTCTAGAAAGTTCTGAAATAAAATGTATTTTCTACCCCCTCTCTCAACTCCTAATCTCTCTGCCCACAGGTGATCACTGCTAAGTCTCTTATATATCCTTCCAGAAACGTTTAAGTGCCCTTGTTCTCACACCTCGCTGTGGGACAGCTGCCTTCCCCACATCCTATTCTGTGAGCCTCGCTGATGAGAGCGGTGATTTTCAGGGAGGAGGCACAGAAGCCCAGCCATGCCTCTGCCTCTGCTGGGTGTTAACGTCATCCAGGACTGCGGTCCCAAGCAATTGCTTAATCGGTTCCCACTCCTCTATTGATTGCAGCTTCCTATGCACCCCATAGTGGAATCCTGGAAACTGGTATCCAGTGATGAGGGGCTACGCTGCAGGCCATGCAGAGAGTGTTCTGGCTGTACAACCTGCCAGACCCTGGCCATTTGCGGAAGTCGTCCCATTGCTAGGCCTCTTTTTTTTTTTTTTTTTTTGAGACGGAGTCTTGCTCTGTTGCCCAGGCTGGAGTGCTGTGGTGCAATCTCAGCTCACTGCAACCTCTGCCTCCTGGGTTTAAGCGATTCTCCTGCCTCAGCCTCCCAAGTAGCTGGGATTACAGGCGCCTACCACCACAACCGACTCATTTTTTTTATTTTTAGTAGAGATAGGGTTTCACCATGTTGGCCAGGCTGGTCTCAAACTCCTGACCTCAAGTGATCTGCCCACTTCCTCCTCCCAAAGTGCTGAGATTACGGCGTGAGCCACCGCGCCTGGCCGGCCGGTTCTTACTAGTTTGGCTGGAGCTTCTTGCCCATGATATCCTCAAGCATAAGGTCCCCCTGCAATGAGTGGTGATTTTTGCCTGTTCATGGGGAAGAACTTTCAGAAGACCTTCTTAGTCTTGAAAACACCTGCGTACTTAAGCATCCACAGCACACGGCCCTGATGCAGAATGAATTAGGAGGACAGAAAGATTTGGGGAAGCATCATTGGCCGTTAAACCCGCTCCTGAATCTTTCTGAGCTCTGTAGGTGGAGCTTGAGATGTTCCTGTGGACCAATGCAAACTGGAAGTCTTGATGTTCTCTGAAAGTTCCTGGCTTCTGATGTGTCCCGCAGACGAGGTTAGCTCACTACAGTGAGGTTGGATACCACATGGCGGGGACTTTAAAGTTGTCTGTTTCATCCAGGGTGGGGCTTATGCCTAGTCTGTGACCTCAGTGGGGAGCAGGACGGATTCCCCAGGAGCACCCACATTTACCTTCTCGTCTTTTCCCGCTTGCTTCTGCCATTTGCTTGTGCAACCCAGACACTTGGGTGTGAGGATCTCAGCTCCACAATTAATGATTCTTTAGTTCCCGCTTTTAAAACATTTTGACCATACAATGAATAAATGTTGCTCATACTATCTGCATAATGAAGTTTAGGAATAACTGCCCCCTGCCAAAAGATTGAATGGAAGGCTCAGGAAGTGCTCATGTACGTTTTAAAAGATAATAGGAATTCTATGTGAAAAATGGCCCACTTCTTTATTTTAATACTGAAAACAACTTCCTAATCCTAAAATGATTTTCTTCCCCTAATCTATTCTTGGGCATCTTCTTGAATTTCCAGCCTGCTTTGAGGGAAGTCTGGGTTTACAAAGGCGAGATTCAAAGCTTTTCAAACAGGACAGGTCCTCTGGTTCCCTGTGAGAAGAGCCCAGGACCCACCCTGTGAAAGTTCATCCCACCTAAATTTGTTCATCTGGACTCAGTCTTTGCCAGTGTGATTGAAGGCGTTTGTAAGCACATCCAGGAGTACTATCCACCTGGGCAGTCACGCAGGAGACAGAGCCCAGGGTGGGCTAGTTGCCTGCTTGGAGATGGATCGTGGTTAACTTCACATTCTTGTTCTCTTGGGCCAAAGTCTTGTTCATGGTTTAGAATAAGACAGTGTTCAAGCAGCCTGTGGTCAGACTAAGATTGCGTAGTCATCCTCAAAAGTGGCCTTCCAGTGTGCTCTGTGTGAGTCTTTTTTTTTCCATAGAAACCAGCCAAAGGACAGTGATATATTTAAGAAATAATCATTTTATCAGACACACTGAAATGGATCAGGATAAACAAGAAAGTAACTCGGTGGAGCCCTGTGTACTGCCAGGTGGGAGAGGAGTTCTCTTGTGTGGTTATGGGAAAAGGTGTATTTTCTTTCCATTGATGCTTCATCCCACGTGTTTAGTGCACTGGTTTCTGAAACCGAAGACAAGAGGCAGCCCATTTCCACTGAATAGCCTGGCCATCAATAAGTTTCCAGAAGGACTGGGGAGAAACAAAGAATGGCCCCCAATGCTGGGGTCTGGGGTTATTTTGAGTTAAAGGGACTCGGAGCTACTGAATGTCTTCCACATTCAAGTCCTAGAACTCTTTCCTTGAGATATTCCACTTTACATTTCCAAAGACAGAGGAAATATGGTAGAGCCAATTTCCTAAAAGTTTTCGTAGAATTTCATAAGCACAGCATTGATCCATGATCCGGGTGGTCTGAGAGGGGATCCATTATCCAGGGCTCCAGTACAGGTGCAGGTACAACCATAAAGGCACTAATGAAGCCAGAGAGGACTGTCTGCATGTCCTCAAGTGACTCTCTGGAGGAATTAGGACAGAAAGAAAATTTACATTGTGATCAGATGGTATAGAAAAATTTCATAGAAAAACCTGAACATAGGAACATAAAATTTGGATGAAATCTGGTACTGCATGGACTGGAGGGCAGAGGAGTTAGATTCCAGTGGTTTTCTAATTTGGTTTCTGACTTCTGCCAGCCCCCAACCCATTCCTTTCTAAGATTCGATACTCTGGCTGGGCTCTGGCTGACTTCCAGCCTTCTCAGATGGAGCCAGGATTACATCTGTGTCTTTGCATTTTGTATCCAGGTTTCGGCTGAGTCCAGCTCCTCCATGAACTCCAACACCCCGCTGGTGAGGATAACAACACGCCTCTCTTCAACGGCAGACACCCCCATGCTGGCAGGGGTCTCCGAGTATGAACTTCCAGAGGACCCAAAATGGGAGTTTCCAAGAGATAAGTGAGTACTTCTCTTGGCCATGTCCCAGGATGGAGACTCAGCTATAAATGGGGATATTGGATTAACATTTTCTTTTTATGACCCTTAGCCACAAAGGTCTTGGTGTGATGATGTCAGCAGGAGTAAGATTGTATTTCTAAATAACCAACTCCTGGAAAAGAAAAAAATGGATTTAAAAAAAAAAATAACTCCTTGAAAGCAGAGCTACTTGCCCCTGGCTGGTCCCCAAAGAAGATGGCATCTGGTTATCATTTTTTAAGTGTCTGGGCAATTCAGACTCCGTCAAATGGAATAAAAGTAGAATTATCCAATTTATAAAACAGATCTGACATTCTAGCTTTTGGTTACTAGAACAAGACTGTTCTCTGTTCACTTCTGTGGAGAAATTAGATGCAGAATATAAATGGCCTTAAGGACCGCTACCCAGTGTTGCTGTTCTCATTGGTTATTAATGTCATATTGGGCTGAAAAGCTTCAAATATGGTACCTGACATCTAATTTCTGTGATCCATAATATTTTCCTTGTTGGATGATACAGAGGTGTGCCAATCAGATGTTTAGTCAAAATATGGCCACCTGGGTGGTGTTGGGGCTACGTATCTCTTGGTCTCGCTTGAACTCCACGTACTGGAGCTCCGTTGGGCTGCATTTGAATCCTGGCTTTGCCAGACAGTGGCTGGGCAACCTCGGGTGAGGCACCTGATTCTCTGAAATTCATTCTCATAAAATGAGGGTGGTGGTTCAGACCTCCCAGGACTGAGCAGAGTTCTTGGCTTGTGCGAGTTTTCCTTTCATTTCCCTTCACGTGGTGGTAACCTGGGAGCTCTGAACTGCAAACCTCAGCAGGATCATCGTGTGGGGCATGGAGTCAGTGGGCAGAATTTGAGCTCCTAGCCCTCGTCCTCTAGGCAGGGACCGACCCCTAGATCCTCCTTATGAAAGGAAGTGCAGTGGTCATTGTAGGGCTGTCCACTCACTTCTGGGGTACTTTTTGTCGTCACAGCTTGAGAGTACGGGAAGGTGGAAATGCTGACTACTTCTGCATCACATACACTGGAATAAGCTCTTGACTTGCTTATAAGCAGCTACCCTGTTTGCCTTGACATTTTCAGTAGCTCCTCAGATTATATACACTTCTCATGTGTACCTATACACATTTGGAAATGCAAAGATAAGCTCTTCCAGAGACTGATCTGATGAGCTCTATTTGGAAGGGAGAGGTAGCTTATGTGGCTGGCACTTCTGATTTTGATTCACGTGATGTCACATCAGTTTTGTTTCCCAAGTGCCAATTTAGAGATGTGTACCGTTAGCTAGGACTGAATAATTGTATGGATATTATTTGGTTAGAGTGTTAATGGAAGTAATTTCCAGTTGATTTGTATACTGTAGTGAAAAGACCACTCACTCATTCACTTATTCATTCACTCAAGGCATGTTAATTGGACATTTACTGGTGGGGCACCAGAGAAAACACAAAGAATGGTTTCTTTACCTGTAGGATGTGGAGAAATGGATGTTTCTTGTGAACTCCGCCAGCCCTAGTTTGTGTGTGATTATATACACAGATAGGTTCATGTGCACATTCCTATATATATAACTGAACTGGGGAGTTGTGATCATATTTTAAGAAATTGCAGCTTTCGGGTTTAGTCCATAGTTTTTGCCACCTGTGACACCACAGTCAACAGTGGAAGTCTGTATGTGCCCAACTGTTACCTCCCACCCGGGGTACCCTGAGTGTGGAAAATCTGAGTGCTAAACATTTCAAAACAGTGTTTAGCGCAAACGTAGGTGGAACAGATTTCCAATGAATGAAGGCTATTTAGAAGCAGTTTATTAGATCGGAGGCAGAAGTTATACAAAGAAAGGATTGTTATGCTTGTAGTAGCAAGGCGGTGGGACATAAATTAGCCATTTTTCCAATGCAAATATTTATTTTCTGCCAAGATGTTAAATTTAATTTTCGTTCTGGGTAGAAACAAAATGACCTCAGCATAGCACATGCTGCCCTTAGTCTTTATGCTGCACTTTTGCAAACTATTGTGTACTTACCTTAAATACTGTTTACTAATGGCAGCTCCATGCTTTGCTGTGTTATGCTTAAGTTAGAAAGAGCCGTATTCATAAGTATTCCAAAGACTTTTGCGTTTTGTTGGTTTCTGGAATGCACAAGGACAATATATGGCTATTCGTCCGATGTGCATAGACCTTGTAATCTTAGAAATTTAATTTGTGGTGTTCACTTTGGATTTTCTTCATTGTTAATTTTATGTAGTCATAAGGACTTTTAAACTTATGTCAAAAAAAAAGTCCCCAATTTTTTAGAATTTTCTTTTTAGTAAAAAATTAGAGATTCCTTGAAATGCTTTTAAGAGGCATATCCTGTAACTTGGCAAGGAATGTGACCATAAAATCCATTGGTATTTGAATAATAATTTTAAAGCCACCATTTTACAGGGACAAAAAAATAAGAACAGTCTTAACGTTTTTTCTTTGAGCCATTCTAAATTACAAATATTTAATTGGCTCAAGATCAAAAGCTCTTCTCTGGCACTTAGGAAAGCTGACCACCGCACTAGCAAGGATACCTTCCCTAAAGAAAATAAACCGAGAATACCAATGTGAAATTTAATAGCCGTTCCACCAGTAATTGACATTCTCTAAAACGTCACTAGGAAAATACTCAGGCGCGTGTGTACCCTAAGTCTCATTAGTTCCATATGATAAGCACTCCATGCTTTAGTAAGCCGCTGAAAGATTTTTATATTTAGTTCTGGAATTTCCCTCACTACACCCCATCACCAGATGCTATGTGCTAATCCCCTATTTACACATTTAGGCTGACACTGGGCAAGCCCCTGGGAGAAGGTTGCTTTGGGCAAGTGGTCATGGCGGAAGCAGTGGGAATTGACAAAGACAAGCCCAAGGAGGCGGTCACCGTGGCCGTGAAGATGTTGAAAGGTGAGCGGGGAGGCGGGAGGCTCGGGGAGGGGCTGGGTGGAGAGTCTTATCAAGAAAGTTCCTTTTGTGGCATGTGAACTCTATCATGGCACGGGGTCAGAGAGCACATAGTTGACCTAGGGGTTGAGAAGTTTTCGGTATAAATCAGCATCTCGGACAGACTATTTATCTTGAGCTGTGTGTACTTATAAAGAAAAGCCAGTTTTGTTAGAAAGCGGTAGCCTCCTACATAGAGTTATTCTTTGACTCCTTCTTCGTGACCACAATTCTTCATTCTCTCTGTATTTTTATGTGCTTAGAAATTATCAACTCACATATAATTGAATTTATTAGCTAGGAGTTGGTGTGTTAGATTTGGGACTTAAACCTTAACTTTACAAGTACAAGAAAATTTGTGTTTTTGGAGGGAACGAAGAGACGTAAGGGAGCAGAAAGCCTTCTCTTTTGCGTGAGGAACAAAGCAGAAATGACACTGGTCTGGGAGAGTCACTTAGAAGCTGAGAAGGAGTGAACAGGATCAGGGCTGGTGCAGAGCCTCCTGGGACACATAAACAATTACCCTGAGATGTAAATGTCGTGTTGTGTTTGTGGGACTGTGAACACTTCTACGTTAACCTTCCAACCCTGCTTCATGCCCATGTCCAAAGAACTTAAAGAACTTTTAACCATTAACTTATTCGTCCTGCAGTATTCTTTTATGAGAAGAGTTATAGGGAACTGTCACATTATAAATCCTCTTGTAGGGATCTCGGAAAGAAGATCCCATGCCGAGTGTTTCCCACGTTTCCAGGCAGAGAGGCCCATCCTTGGGATATGGTGCTGGGCATGTCGCAGGCGCTCTGGAGTTAGGCTTTGTCTTTCTTTTGTGGGTTCTCATGGGATAGTCATCACATCCCTCCCAAGGGGAAGTAGCAGGCTGGACTTTGTCAACAAGATGTGCATTTTGTTTTTTGGGTTTTTTAAAAGGCTGTTTATCTGAGTGACTCCCAAGGAAAACTAGAGTGCTTTGAGATGTTCCCCACCTTGGAGCCTGATGCCGGGGAGGAACACTGTGCTGTCTTGCCCCAGGTGTCATGGCACCACTGACTGAGGCAGCCCCTGGCTGCGTACCAGGGCCAGGTGTGGGGAGGACCCAGGCTTCTCATCTCTTTTGGCGGAACTTCTGGTTTTGCTAATGGAGCTCAGAGTTACATGGGATATTGCAAAAAGGGAGGTCTGGGAGTTCTCTTTCTCTTGTGATGCCCAGGCTGGCAGCCTTCCCTGTAAGGACACAGAAGGATATTAGTCCCCAAGCCATTGTGGCGTGTCCTTTCTTACAGCCCACGGCTGTGTCTCCCTCCCTCCTCATGGCCCGTGGCTCCCTCCTTCACATACATCAGTGTAAATTTTGCACACACAGTCACTTGTATTGATCTTCCTTTTGTGAAGCTAAAAAACTGTTTGCAACATGGTTCTTATCCATGCCCATATTTCATTTTTTTTTTAAAGGAAACCCAGATTTTTCCATACTGAATTAGCTTGAGGTGGAGGGCACATGGGAAAGTCTTGCCACTTAGGAGAATCTAAGAGAAGCTAACTGCGAGCCCGCGTATGTGGAACCTGTGCCATTCTTGCTTGAAATTACAGAGCGGAAGTTTATGTAACTTTTCTTAGGATGGGAACTGCAGTGCCCTCTGAGAAGCCACTAGAAGTCGCAGCCCTTTACCTGCTCAGAATGCACATGCACACACGTTTATGGCCCTGTTTATGGGGAACCGTCTGAACCCACCTCGGAACGCTCTAAGGGCCTCGAGGGGCTGGGTTAAGAATGCTTGGTCGGGAGCAAGTCTGTAGTGATTTGAAATGGCCCTACCCTCGGTCTCCTCGCTGGTTTCAGGCACCATGAAGTTTGGTGTGGTTTTCTGAGACGCCTTAGATATGGCAGAGGATGAGATTATCTCATGGTCTAGGAAAGAATTGGCATTAGTGTCAGAAGCCCCTGCTCTCGTCCTGACTCTTGGCCCCATTGGCCCCCCAGTGAGCTCTTTGACACAGAGTGAGGCAGTTCCCTGTGTAGGCCTTTGTCCCTTCCTCGATAAAATGAGGGAGATGATTTGGAAAATCTTTTCTGATTCTGAAATTCAATTTCATGCTGTTTCAACTAAGTCTTTGGCAACTAACAGTAGCTGCCCATGAGTTAGAGGAAATGAACTGATTTGTGAATATGCCTACTGTTCATAGATGATGCCACAGAGAAAGACCTTTCTGATCTGGTGTCAGAGATGGAGATGATGAAGATGATTGGGAAACACAAGAATATCATAAATCTTCTTGGAGCCTGCACACAGGATGGTGAGTAGGAGGAAAAACTGCATTCGCCCAAATACTCTGCAGTTTGATTGAATCATTTTAGAAATGGCTGGGCTTCCAGATCCTGCTCCCAGAGCACCCTGTGTGCATGTTTAAAGTTCTTTTTAAAATCCCCATTGGAAGATGTTCCTAGCCATGAACACAAAGAAGGGTCTGTGCCCGTACCTGGGGGCCAGTGGAAAGGAGGGTGCAGGTGACTTTGGATTTGAGGGCCTAGAGGGCGCTGCTGTTTCTAGGTCATAACCTGGAGGGGGTTTTGGAAAAGGCAGCCTCCTTATGTTTTTGTTTTGTAAGTGCTAAGAGAGATTTGTCAGAATAAGATCCTATGTTTTGGTTGAGAAGTTCTTCCCTTAAAACAGGGATTGAAGAATCCACATCTTGCTGTGGGTCACAGATGGCTGAGCTCCCAAGAATAGCTTAAAAGAGGAGAAAGCGGTATGAAGGAATACGTTATTTTCCCTGGGGGAGAGAGACCCTGGCTTCTTCCATTGAATGTTTACTGGCACTTTGAAATCAATTTGCTAAGTAATTAGTAAACTTGAAAACGCCTATCTTTGACTTAGCAATTTCTCTTGTAGGTCTATATAGTAATTGGTGAACTTTTTCTGTAAAGGGAGGTCGTAGATATTTTAGACTTTTGTGGGCCGTATGGTCTTTGTCGCAACTTCTCGTGTCTGCCATAGTAGTGAGAAAGCAGTGCTAGAAGTACAGAAATGAATGGACCTGGCTGCATGCCAATAAAATTTAATTACCCAAACAGGCGGTAGGCAGGATTTGGCTTGCAGGCTGTAGTCTGCCAACCCCGAGCCTATACCATGGAGAAATTATTGCACACGTGTGTAAGGGAACATGTACAGAGATGTTCATTGCCTACTGTTTGTTATGGCTGAAACCTGGAAGCAAATGCCTATGCATATAAGGGAATGGATAAATAAAGTGTGGTGTGTTTATACGATACAGTATATGCAGCTGTGAAAAGGAATGATCTGGTTTTGTTTTTATAAGCCCAACAGGTTCCAAAAGGATAATGTATGGGTAAAAAATGTTGCAAAGATCTAAGAGCTTTATTATTCATTTATGTGATTAAAAATAATATATTACTTATTGAATAGTTAAAATGAACCAAAAGGATAGAGTGGAGGGATCCATTGCTTTCCAAGAGGGCGCAGGTGACAGCATGAGAGTGACAGGGAAGAGCACGTCAACTGTGTCTCTGTGCCTTTTGAGGCTATCATGACCAAGGGCTTATTTATCATTTTGGAGAGATTATAATCATATTTTTATGTGTGCTTTTCTGTATGTTAAAACTTTTTCTTTTTTCTTCTTCTTTTTTTTTTTTTTTTTTTGAGACAAAGTCTCGCTCTGTTGCCTAGGCTGCAGTGCAGTGGTGTGATCTCGGCTCACTACAGCCTCCACCTCCTGGGTTCAAGCGATTCTCCTGTCTCAGCCTCTCAAGTAGCTGGGACTATAGGTGTGTGTCACCATGCCCAGCTAATTTTTGTATTTTTAGTAGAGACGAGGTTTCGCTATGCTGGCCAGGCTGGTCTTGAACTCCTGGCCTCATGTGATCCACCTGCCTCGGCCTCTGTAAGGGCTGGGATTACAGATATGAGGCACCACGCCCAGCCGCTGTATGTTAAACTTTAAAAAAAAAAAAAAAAGCATGGGTTGTAATAACTAAAAATGTTTTGCTGAATTGCCCAAGGGGAGACCCTGGATTCTCTCTTTAGGGAGCTTCTCTTCTTCCTCAACAGGGCCTCTCTATGTCATAGTTGAGTATGCCTCTAAAGGCAACCTCCGAGAATACCTCCGAGCCCGGAGGCCACCCGGGATGGAGTACTCCTATGACATTAACCGTGTTCCTGAGGAGCAGATGACCTTCAAGGACTTGGTGTCATGCACCTACCAGCTGGCCAGAGGCATGGAGTACTTGGCTTCCCAAAAAGTGAGTCTTTCACATTCTACTTGGCTGGGTGGAATCCAACTAAAAATGTCTTTAAAGAAAACAGGCAATTTGGACATGCTCATTTGCTAGATCAAGCCCTCGCATGTCTTGTACAACCTGGAAAATATTTATTGCGTTATTCCCATTTGAGTTTAATGAACTGTTTAAAACCAAAGCAGCCTCATAAACCTATAGCATCGCTGCAGAGATGAGCAGAAAAGATACCTCTTCTTTGAGACAGGACCATGTGTGATTTCCCTCGGAATTCAGCTCTCCAGGTGGGAAATGGATGGTTTTAAAGGCCCCCTTTAATTCGGATGATTTTCTTTCTTTCTTTTTTTTTTTTCTTAAGCTTCATTTATTTTGTGGTTACTGAGTTTTTGAACATAGACTTTAGGTGTTTAGTGTTTTGGGTTTGATATGGCATTAAATATTCTAAGAGTAAAGGTCAAACAAAGGGGTATTTTAGTAACCTTGCGTCCTGGAGCTCTGCGTTTATTTTGCCTCGTTTGGCGGGTGACCCTCTGTGGTTAGAAGTTGGCCAGGTCCCCTGAGGTGGACTGCCTGCATTCCAGGCGTGCCACTTACCGTGGAACTTGAAACATTTCAGTTATTCTGAGAGTAGTTAGACAGGTGCCCAGATGT
The DNA here is from genome assembly GCF_000001405.40 of Homo sapiens. Classification (NCBI taxonomy): domain Eukaryota; kingdom Metazoa; phylum Chordata; class Mammalia; order Primates; family Hominidae; genus Homo; species Homo sapiens. Next base: position 121,495,886 of record NC_000010.11, on the reverse strand, counting down.
CCTCGGAGGCATTTTGGATGACCCAAAACTCCCTTGTCAGCCCCACACATAGGGAAGCGGAGGGGCGGAGCTGCCTCCTGTGCAGAGGTGGGCCTTGCTCCTACCTGCATTGCAGTTTATTGCAGTGCCAGGAATTCCTTGGGTCCCCAAAGAGGTGAGATCCTCTGGTCGGCGTGCACCCTCTGTCACTGGGGGTCTGGGTTGCCTGAAGAGTCACAAACTCAAGTCTCCATGGGGCCATGCCAGTCACACCACCAAGGCCTGCGGATCACTCAGAGTGCAGAGATTCGAGGGATGGCTGCACCTCAGCTCTACTCTCTGGCCACATAGGAACATGGCCCAGAGCTACCCCATGTTCTGGATGGTTTTTTCTTTCTTTCAAACAGGCTGGAGTGCCGTGGCATAATCACAGCTCACTGCAGCCTTGACCTCCTGGGTTCAGGTGAGCCTCCCACCTCAACCTCCTGAGTAGCTGGGAGTACGAGGATGTGCCACCATGCCTGGCTAAGTTTTGTGTTTTTTGTTTTTTGTTTTGGTAGAGACGGGGTTTTGCCTTTTTTCTTTTTAATTTAAGAAAAACTTTAAAAACATTTTTTCAGGAGAGTTTAGAGTTTAAGACTTTTTCAGATCTTTTTCGTATAAAAATCTCCCAATATATAGGTTTTGGGAAACTAATTAAACACAGTTTTGACTTCTGTGATTGTGTTTACGTACACGTGCGTGTGTGTGCGTGTATGTAGGGTAGTTTGCCAATCTATTTGGCATCCAGAGACAACCAGACAGATCCAGAACATGGGACATTTGACAAGATATCGCTTCCAAATGTCAGTGTCTCGAAAGACAAAAACTGCTGGGGAGACGGTTCCAGATAAAAGGGGGCCGATGAGACAATTCCTAAGTGTAAAAGTGGGATCCTGGACTGGATCCTGTGGGTCGGGGAGGGTGGCCAGTTCTTAGAAAGGACATTTGTGAGTGTCCTTTGAATATGGACTGTATAATATTACTGGTTATATTTCTGTATCAGTGTTGAATTTGCCGGGGGTGGTGACAGTGGTATCTGTTGTAGGAGAAATACGCTGAAGAATTGAGATTTGTGAAGTATCAGTGATGCCTGCAGCTCAGTTTTAAGTGGTCCAGCCATAAAATATAATCAATCCATTCACTATCCCAAGTGTGTATGTGTGTGGGGGCAGGTGGGGCAGGACATGGAGACAGCAAGTGATTGAGTAGGTGTAACAAGCAAACCCAGCAGTGGTGGATACTCACTGTGCCATCCCTCCTTTTCTGCAGCTGTGAACTCTTCCTAAATAAGCCTGGGGAGGGTAGCCCATCTGTAGGCTGCCTATTTTGATATTCTGGTCTTGATCACTCCCTGCCCTACCTGTGTGGGAGATAGGGGAAGCAGTTTTGCACCCAGCAGGGTGGTGCTACTAGGGGAAATGTGGTAGGAGGGCTGGCTCAGTCATTTTATTAAATCCTTCAACATCTACTCCTAGAGCACCCCCGATGTCTCATGCCCTTGGTCAGGCTCTCCAGCGAAGTGGCCAGAAGAGACATAGTCCTTGACCTCCTGGGGCAAGAACCATGGGTGACAGTAAGAGAAATTGACTGTAAATGTGGGAATGAAAATAAGGTTGTAAAAAAATATTGAAAAAGGTGCCATGGAGGAAACAGGGGGATAAGGCCTTACTCATGCCAGGACGCTGCACTTTGCTGTCACTGCCATGGAAGCCTCTGAGGGGGAGGAAGAGGATCAGTTAGTGCTTCAAAAATGCCTCTCACTGCTGCTTGTGTGGTGAATGGGAAGGCTGAGCCCCTGTCAAAGGTGATGATGGTTTGGGCTAGGGTCTGTTGGGTCCAAAGACACCGAGAAAAGCTGGTGGGCTGATGTTGGACATATTTTGCTCTTGGGATAATGAATGGATTGATTAGATAGGAGGGAGAGAAAGAGAGATCAAGGGTGACTTCTGGATTTCCAGCTTGAAAAACTGGATGGTGGTGCAGCTTCCAAGTCTGGGAGGACTTGGGAATCAGGGCTGGGGCAGGGGGCATAGATTTGGGTGGAAAATCCGAGCTCGTCTTGAGCGTATCTGAGTCATCCAAGGGGAGATAATGAAGAAGCTGCAGGCAGCAGCTCAGCTCTGAGGGTGGGCTAACAGCTGGGAGGCAGCAAAGGGAGCTGTGAGTTCAAGCCATGGGCGTGGACAAACTCATCTGCGGAGAAGCTTGGAAGAGGAGAATAGAAGCCTGAAGTCAGGTCCTGAGAAAATTCTCAAATCTAGAGATTGACTGAAAGCACCAGAAACAGCAGCGGAGGCCGAGCAGGCACAGCCTGAGCAGTAGGAAAATCAGGACACGGAGCACAGAGGCCCCACATGGGAGCTTCAGGAAGGAGGGGGCAGGTAGTAGAGCCTCGGCGCTCAGACTGGTGAGAAGCACGGGTGTTGAGTCCTGGTCCTAGAGGCAGTGGTGGTACCCCTGCCCACCCTAGCCCTGAGGACCCAGAGCTCCTTCCTGTTTTGGAGCTGGCAGAGAGAAAACTAAGAGACGAACTTTGCTAAGCAGGGCAAATGCATCCATTTAATCGTGGAAGAACGGAAGTACCCATATTAAAGTGTTGTGATAATAGTAACTATCGTTATTATTAATTACTGACCCCTCCGGGAGAAGCTAACCATCTTCCAGGCACCGTGGCAGAGCATTTGACATAAAGCATCTTACGTAGCCCTCAGAACAACCCGGAAATAGGTGGGATTTGGATCCCCATTGTATGGGGGAGGACGATGAGGAAGCAGCATGAATGGTTTGAGACCAGATGTGTCAGGAGGACTCAGATGTCCTCACTTCTGAGAAGCGGACTTGTAGGTCTGAAGAGTGGAGTGGCAGGTCCCAGACCTAGGTCTCCTGGTCCCCCACTCAGCTGTCTCCTGCTCTCATGAGGCCCCTAACTCTCTCTAAACTGAGGCAAGACCAATGAGATTCCACGTGGGGGGCGGGTGAGGGGTTGTTTAGTGCCCCAGTGTGGCCTCATTGTCTCTACATTGAATAACAGCCCAAGGTAAAAGGGATATTGTATGGGCCTTTAAGACATGGCATGGTTCCAAAGCCACTTACTGGAGGCCACCTGCAGTTAAGGACCCAGAATAGGTTTGAAAATGGAGGTAGATGAAGATGTTAAGCATGGTCCCCTTGCGAGGGCTCTGCTTCCAAAAATGGAGGGCTTATTCTTGAAAGTGGAGAATGAAGAACCAGGCAAAGGGTCCGGCCCTGGCTTTCCCACACCCATCCCCTCACAATGGGGAGCCATGGGCTTGTGAGAGACCTGCTTGCCTGAAGGAAGGGGCAAAAGAGAACTGTTGATTACATCGTTACTGATGTACTGGGTTCATCTGTGCTCAGCGCTGGGCCGATTGAGATGAACACACAGTGCCTGGCCTCCAGCAGCTTTCAGTTGTGTGTGTACATGTGTGTGTGTGCGTGAGTGTGTGAGTGTTGGGGTAGGGGTTGGGGATTGGAGACAGAGAAGTGAAAAAACACCATGGTGTATATAGCAATGCAATTAGGTAATAGGGTATTTGAGCCTTACACAATTTATAAAATCCTTACTATTTTTAGCTCAAATCACACTAATTTTACTTTTTTAACCAAATCCCAAACCCAGTTAACCCTCAAAGTGTTAAACCTGAGCAGTTTGTTTTTCGTTTTTGTTTTTGAGACAGGGTCTCACTCTGTCACCTGGCTGGAGTGCAGTGGCGTGATCTTGGCTCACTGCAGCCTTGGCCTCCTGGGTTCAAGTGATTCTCCCACCTCAGCCTCCTGAGTTGCTGGGACTACAGGCATGTACCACCACACCTGGCTATTTTTTGGTAGAGACGGGGTTTTACCATACCATGTTGGCCAGGCTGGTCTTGAACTCCTGACCTCAAGTGATCTGCCCACCTCAGCCTCCCAAAGTGCTGGGATTACAGGCATGAGCCACTGCGCCTGGCCCTGAGCAGTTTTTTTTTTTTTTTGGTTGAGACAGAGTCTAGCTCTTTTGCCGAGGCTGGAGTTCAGTGGCGCTATCTCGGCTCACTGCAGCCTCTGCCTCCCAGGTTCTAGCGATTCTCCTGCCTCAGCCTCCCAAGTAGCTGGGACTACAGGCGCTTGCCACCACGCCCGGCTAATTTTTTGTGTTTTTAGTAGAGATGGGGTTTCGCTGTGTTAGCCAGGGTGGTCTCCATCTCCTGACCTCGGGATCCGCCTGCCTTGGCCTCCCAAAGTGCTGGGATAACAGGTGTGAGCCACCACGCTCAGCCTGAGCAGTTTTTTTAGTGAAGCCCCAGCTTCCCCACCTGTAAAATGGGTATAACACTATCCATGTCATAGGTTGCCGCAGGAATTCGATGTCATCAGCCATACTGGGCACAGGGCATACTGTCTACATCATAGGGATGTTGGTCTTCCTTCCCTTAGTGACCCACTGACCTTCACCTATGGAACACCAAACTGTCCCAGGGCCCTAATTGTATAAAATGGTCAGCTCCCTGTGCTGGAGAACGGCTGACATTCCTGTGGATGACGGGGATTTGGCTTGCCTTTGATTACTTTCTTTTTCTCGGGTGTGGGTTCCAAGTCTCCTCTTATTCAACCCAGAGGCTGGGGTTTGATGTTTCCTAGCCCCTGGGATGAGGGATGGCCACGCTAGACTCTGGCTTTCGCTGAGAAGATGGTGGAGGGAGCCGTCAGCAGTGTCTCTGTGCAAGCTGAGCCCTAATGCATAGTTGGAGCCCAGTGCGTGGGAAGCACATTCTTCTGACCACACAGCTTGCCAGACACACAGAGCGCGTGTCGGCAGGAGCACACCACCGGGAGAGTTTGGCCCGGGGCTTGGAAGTTCAATTTGAACAGGCCTCCAAAACTGGGAACAGGGCTGCAGCCCCAGACGAATCTCCAGGCAGCTTCTGTGAGCTCTCATGTTTCCTGCTTCCAACCTGGCCAGGGATTGCAAGCTTGCGTGGCTTTCTTGCTTTCCCGCTTCTGGGCTTAGGCTACCCGGGAGGCCCAGAAGTGTGTGAACACAAGGAATAGCTAGGGGTCGGGGTGGAATCAAATAATTCCTTATTTATATTTCAGGGATCACGTAGCTTGCCCCTTTTTTAATTGTCCATTTCGTGGAGTGCCTAAGATCGCCCCCATTTCAGCCTTGTTGAATGGACTGATAAGACTTTCTGCTTCGTATGATAGTTAACCTTTGCCAATAACCAGTGTAAAAGGCTTCGGTGGTGATATTTGCTTCTTTGTGTCTTATCTCTTCCCAAAATAGAAGGTGATGATTGGAGACCCTAATTACCTTGTATCTTGTGGAAATCTTGCTATATGAAAGTGTAACAAAAATGCAGCAGCTCACAGTAGCGTATCATTTGTAGAAAGGAAAAATCATAGGCCGGGCGTGGTGGCTCACGCCTATAATCCCAGTACTTTGGGAGGCCGAGGCGGGTGGATCACTTGAGGTCAGGAGTTTGAGACCAGCCTGACCAACATGGTGAAACCCTATCTCTACCAAAAATACAAAATTAGCCTGATGTGGTGGTGGGCACCTGCAATCCCAGCTACTTGGGAGGCTGAGGGCAGGAGAATCACTTGAACCTGGGAGGCAGAGGTTGCATTGAGCCAAGATCGTGCCACTGCACTCTAGCCTGGGAAACAAGAGTGAAACTCCGTCTCAAAAAAAAAAAAAAAAAAAAAAAAAAGAAGGAAAAGTCGTAATAGCTAGATCTTTCTGAGACCCAAGAGTTAGTGTCAAGACAATAAATTAGCTGTTCTGCAGCAAGTATTTAATATTTCAGTGTTTAGAATCAGTGTATGTGGCACATTCAGGCTGAGGCCAGGTGTTAGGAGAAACTGGACTGAGAACGTGGATAGACGGGCATTGGCCATGGTAGAGACCAAGAAAGGACATGACTAGTCATTTCAGGAACCTTAGTCATGGGACATGGAGGAGGTACAACAGGGCTAAGTTTGGAAGCGTAGAGACCCGCTAGACGGGCAGTGTGGAAGTCTCAGGGGGAGGGGCAGACAGTGAAGATGGCCTGGACTAAGGCATTAGCAGTGGGAAAGGCATGGTGTGGACACATGGGAAGGCATTTTGGAGTTGAAATCAACAGGACTTGGGAGGAATGTGTAAAGAATACCGGTGTATAGCTCTCCGATTAAGAGAGACAAAGCATTGGAGGAGTTGAAACCTTGAATTTGAGACGTCAAGGGAATGTCAGTGGGGAAGTGTCCCATAGACAGTTGAAAATGAGAACATGGGTCTCAGGAGGGAGGTCATGATGGAGATACGAACTTGCGCATATTTTGTATGTGTTTAGAATTAATGCCTTGAGGATATATGGAAATACATAAACTTAATGGAACAATTCCTCTATTTGAAGGGACAGAAAAAGAGAAGAGCCAGCCAGAGATTCTAAGAGGGCAGGGAGAGACAGAGAGGCAGCTGAGGGAAGGGGACGGGATAAAACTAAACAGAGGGGCTGGGTGTGGTGGCTTACACCTGTAATCCTAGCACTTTGGGAGGCCGAGGCGGATGGCTCACCTGAGGTCAGGAGTTCGAGACCAGCCTGACCGACATGGTGAAACCCCGTCTCTACTAAAAATACAAAATATTAGCCGGGTGTGGTGGCAGGCACCTGTAGTCTCAGCTACTCGGGAGGCTGAGGCAGGAGAATCGCTTGAACCCAGGAGGCGGAGGTTGCGGTGAGCCAAGATCGCACCATTGCACTCCAGCCTGGGCGACAAGGACAAGACTCCATGTTAAAACAAAAAAAACAAAAACAAGAAAACCTAAACAGAGGGACCATTTTAAAAAACAAGCAAGAAATCAATAGCATCTGAAGCCACAGAGGAGGAACAACTGAGGAGTTGGAGGACGTCATTTGCGTCTAACAATTCAGAGGTTCTTCATAAGCTTCAGGAGAGGCAAGAGTGGAACACAGATTAGAATGTTTGAGAAGTGACCAGGAATGAAGAAGACACAATGTTGGATTTTAACCAACGCTTCTGAAAATTCAGGTTTAAAGGGCAGGAGAGCAAGTGTTGAGAGAAAAGATTTTAGGATGATCAGATACAGATCTATAAGCAGCTGAAAGAAAGACACTGGTGTGGCTGGACAACTGGAGGTAGAAGAGAATATGGTTATTTAGTCTACCTTCGCTCTTCAAAATGATCATTCTATTTATTTATAATTCCAAAACAAATACATGTCGTGATCCAGGCTCTCCGATGATCCCAGTTGACCTGTCTTCTTAATCTTAGAGCCACACTGCGTTTTCTTTTCTTTTCTTTCTTTTTTTTTTTTTTTTTTTGAGACAGAGTCTCACTCTGTCACCCAGGCTGGAGTGCAATGGCGTGATCTCAGCTCACTGCAACCTCTGTCTCCCAGGTTCAAGTGATTCTTGTGCCTCAGCCTCCTGAGTAGCTGGGACTACAGGTGCACACCACCACGCTCGGCTAATTTTTGTAGTTTTAGCAGAGATGGGATTTTGCCGTGTTGGCCAGGCTGGTCTCGAACTACTGACCTCAAGTGATCCGCCCACCTTGACCTCCCAAAGTGCTGGTATTACAGGCATGAGCCACCGCACCCGGCCACACTGTATTTCTTATAGTATACCGCAACTGGTTTTTAACATCAGCTATATTTTCTATCTGCATTTTAAGAAATGAACATATTTCCTTTTTGTTCTGGCGGTGTTTTGAAATTAGTTATTTCTCTTGCTTCTTTCTTGATTTCAGTGTATTCATCGAGATTTAGCAGCCAGAAATGTTTTGGTAACAGAAAACAATGTGATGAAAATAGCAGACTTTGGACTCGCCAGAGATATCAACAATATAGACTATTACAAAAAGACCACCAATGTAAGTCGATGGCAGTAACACAGTGGGCAGGGGCGGGGGTGAGGCTCAGAATGTTCCAGGAAGAAAGGCCGTCAATGTTGAGAGCTGGGTGGGATGGCTGGGGACCCATTCCCCTGCCCCGATTCCCGTTCTTTTGACTTACTATTCACAAACTCTCAATATGCAAATTTAGCCTCTATTATGTCAATTTTAGTAAATGTGAAACACTTATATACAGAATAATCAGCAACCGCTAGGATTTTCTTATGGTTCTCATCAAGAACTTTCATAGCAAAAACTACAGCTTGGAAGTTACTGGTTTAATTTTTGCCTAATAACTGGTCAAGGAGCATCTGTGTGCTAGGGAGATAAAGGATAGAATCCAAGGAGATGGCATTTTATTAACGGCCCAGACCTGTGCATCTCACACATTGTTCATGGTCCTCATTGGGACTGATTTCTGCTCTATTGACTGACTAGTAAAAACCGAGAATATCAGCTCTTAAACAGGGCATAGCCCTATTGAGCCTGCTAAGATAAATTCTTTTAAATATATTTAGTTTTTGCATTTTCCTCTACATTTGCAGGGGCGGCTTCCAGTCAAGTGGATGGCTCCAGAAGCCCTGTTTGATAGAGTATACACTCATCAGAGTGATGTGTGAGTAACTCTCTTTTCTCTGGCTTTTTCCTGGGCTTGAGCTGCAAAAATACTGTACGTACTTCACCTTTCTTCCTTCTTTAGTGGCTGCTGCATTTCACACATTCGTAGAAGGTGCAGGAGCTGGCCTTAGAAAGGACAGATTTTATGGTAGGCTGATAACCAATGCTCTGTTACTAATCTGCCTGGCTTCAAAGAGCACAGAAGGTGGAACTGCTGACCTCCCCCTGCCAGAGCGGAAGTCCTTCCCTTGAACATATTCATGGATGTGCAACTACAAAGCGGTTATCTAATTCGCCAAGCTCTTGGCATGTTCTTCACTCCATTAAAGGAGTAATCCTGGAGCTTTTCCCACTTACGAGTAGTTTGTCATATTTCCCTCTAACCCAGATTTGTCCTTAAAGAGTGGAGCTGAGTGAGATGTGGTCCAGGCTGGGGACCTCCACAGGGTCTACTCTCTATGTTTATCCCTCAACAAAAAGGTCTGATCTTGCTTTGGCATCCTTGATAGCATTCTAGAAACACAGTAGAATATTTCTATTATGATATACTGACAAAACCAGTGGGGTCAGGCTCCAACTGATATTTTAGATTTGAAAATTCAGTTGAAGGCTGTGTGCAGTGACTCATACCTGTAATCAATCCCAGCACTTTGGGAGGGCAAGGCGGGTGGATCACGAGGTCAGGAGATCAAGGCCATCCTGGCCAACATGGTGAAACCCCGTCTCTACTAAAACTACAAAAATTAGCTGGGCGTAGTTATGCGTGTCTGTAATCTCCACTACTTGGGAGGCTGAGGCAGGAGAATCGCTTGAACCTGGGAGTCAGAGGTTGCAGTGAGCTGAGATTGTGCCACTGCACTCCAGCCTGGCAACAGAGCGAGACTCTGTCTGGGGAAAAAAAAATCACTTGAACTATTTTTTATTTGTATGAGCAGGAGGAGTTCTGGGTAGGCATTAATTCTGTGCTACCATAGTTGGTCCTCTCAACAATCCTAAAAAAAAGACATGACTATCCCATTTTTGCTGTGAGCAACTGAGGCACAGAGGCTGTTCTGCCTGTCCTGTGCTGCTGCTTTTGCTCTGTAGAAAACTGCGGAGTGAAACACCACCATCGAGTACAGAAGGTTGAGTTTCCAGAACGACCATGATGTAGCTAAACCTGGCTCTCTCAGCTTGCTCCTCCCAGAGATTGAGCCTCCTGAACTTGGCACAGGAAGTCCAAATCTCTGAAGAGTCAAGTGTAAATAAATTATGGCCTGTGAGATGTGTTCAGTTTTGTTGTGTGCAACTCATCTGGGGCATGTGATTCCTCATCCTAACCCCAGCCCAGTGCTGATTGCCTTTGCGATCTTAGTAAGTTCCAGAGCCTCTGTGCAGCAGATGTTCCGCCAGCCACACAGGGCAGCTGTGATCCTGCGGAGTTGGCTTGCTGGCCTTATTCTGTCAACTGCCCATCCTGGTAGATCACAACCCTTGGGTCAGGCACATAAGGAGTTGGAAAGGAGCGTAAAGGCTTTGAAACTGAGAAACTGAGATCCTTGCATTGCTAACACCACATTTAAGACAAGCAGCTCTATTCCAGAGTGATGGCAGTTTGCCTTTTTGTCTATTGATGGAAAATTCCATCAGCACATCCCCGTGTCATCATCATTCGGGGATGCTCTTGCAGGGCAGGAAAGAGCACATAGGAGGAACTGCAGGAGGGCCCATTTGTCTTTGAACTTCAGAAGTGAGGAGGTGTTTATGTCTCAGCTGGGCGTGTTTAGGTTTTGGCAACGTGGATGGGTTAGTAATGCCGTGCTTTCTCCTTTTGTTGCAGCTGGTCCTTCGGGGTGTTAATGTGGGAGATCTTCACTTTAGGGGGCTCGCCCTACCCAGGGATTCCCGTGGAGGAACTTTTTAAGCTGCTGAAGGAAGGACACAGAATGGATAAGCCAGCCAACTGCACCAACGAACTGTAAGGGCTGTTGTCTTTCCTGCCGGTGCCCCAGTGGACTTGCCACACCAGTAATACCTCTCCTGATGTATCTCGTTTTTGAAGGCCCCTGGTTTCCTAAACATGCTCTAAGAAGAATGGCTGAAGCTCTCTGGGCTCAATCCAGAGCTGGGATACATAGCGACACCGACAACCATTACTTGTCTGAGAGAAAGAACATTATTCTGAGTATGGAGAGGGCTTTGGATCAGAGGGTGTCTGGCTGCCTGGCTGAGGGCTCCTGACTTTGCAGAGCCAGCAGGAGTGGTCTTCCTGGGCCACTGTGCTGCACCTTCTGCGGTCTCCCGTGGAGTGACAGGAAGACCCACGGGTCAGGAAACAAGCTAGAAAGCCGCGGGGCCGCCCTGCAGGGTGTAGGATTAAGGAACCAACACAGCCTTTCCCTGGTGGTTGTGCCTGGCCCCCGCCTGGCCCCATCGTGGCCAGTAGAGAATCGGTGTTTCCAGAACTTCTCGAACCATTGAAAATTGCCATTACAGATTGACGCCAACCACATTTCCTCAGAGCGAAGGAACTCGTGTTTGGTTACCTAGGTCTCACTTGTGTTTTAGTGCAGAGAATTAAACATGTGTCCAGGCGCCCTCCTTACTGTACCAGATCTGCCTGTAAAACCATGAACTGGTTTGTAGCAAAACCTGCCTCACACTTTAAGTGGAGTTATGTTGTGTTTGTGACGTGTGCCTGGTGCAATAGAATCAGTGCTTTGAAAGGAGTCTCTCTGCCTCCTGCCTCAACCCCTCCAGGATTAACTAAGAAGAGTGATTGTCCCAGAAACTGCGGTCTATTGTGTATCATTTCATGGGGATTTTATATCAGTAATCCCGTGAGTGCTTTTCGGTGTACCGTGGATGTCTGATGAATGGCCACATTTTATAGCATATTATATAAAGGCATTTATTGTGCTCTTTGTCATTCCTATTGTTTTTTTTCTTTTGTAACGTAGAGGATCTGTCGAAACCCAAAATCAAGATAAGACCTGGGAAGCTAAGCCTATCTAAGAGTTAATCAGGAAGTTAGTGTGCAGCCCAGTGGTGGCAGATTAATTCATCAAAAACTTGAAGTTGTAGTTTTCAAATTTTATTTAATTTTTTTTTAACTCAGGAAGCTGTGTCAACTAGAATCATTAAGACCCAAAGCACCGGGCAGATAAATAGTGGAGCTGCTTTGGTGCTGGGCAGGGTGTCAGGGGAGGGAAGACTGGAGACCAGCCCATGGAAATACGCATTTTCCTTCAGCCTCCAAAGCATCTTTAGGGTGTGACGCCATTGTGAGATGTCACTGTGGCCCAGGGTTACCAGGGAAAACACATAGCTGTGTCTTTCTTGATGGCTTCGATGCCTTTCTAACATGTTTTTGTAAGTCAAAGTGCCTTTCGGAGGAACTGGCAGGGAAGCTTTTGGGAAAGTGATTCATGACCCCCTAATCTAGTTGCTTGGAAGGTTCTGATGCATTTTCCTAATTTACACCACGTCCCCATATTGCCTATTAAAACTGACTATAACCACGTACCCAGTGCATATGAAATTAATTCAAGGAAATCCATTTTTCCCAGGTACATGATGATGAGGGACTGTTGGCATGCAGTGCCCTCCCAGAGACCAACGTTCAAGCAGTTGGTAGAAGACTTGGATCGAATTCTCACTCTCACAACCAATGAGGTAAGAACTTCCTTCTAGAAGCCCCTTGTCCTTGGTTGTCTTGTGAGACATGCGTAGTGTTTTACACACACACTCCCCTGTTGGCTGTTGGTTGGAGTCTGTGGTCTTGTTTATTCTTTTTCCATAGGGTCAGATAGTTCAACTATGGGTTCCTCTCAAATCATGATTTTTCTCAGAACTTCATTTTGTGAGTTCTGACTCATGAAACCAAAGACAGAGGGACATCCCCGAGGCTGCCTTCAGTGTAGCTGCTGGTGGAGCAGTCCGGGGTATGTGGGAGAGTGGGAAAGGGGAAGCAGTATTCACTTGCATTTTGGTGTGCATGGGAAAAAGCTTGGATTCCTGTGCAAGTTTGATTCTGTGCTTTGGTCATTAGTGGGTAAACTGATAATGTTCGTCATCATTTGCTTGATGGAATACAATGAAGTTTTCTAACACCAGCTTCTGTTACCACAGTACTATCCTATGTGATCCTGTTGGTAATGCTATATGCCTTGCAGCCTCTTTCTAGGTGTATATAAACATACACTGTTTTCTACAATGAGCAACTTACATGATTTTTACATAAAAACATGTACCTTTTGTTAAAATATTTATTTTCCCTAAAATATTTATGCTCTCGCCTGTAATCCCAGCATTTTGGGAAGCCGAGGAGGGCAGATCACCTGAGGCCAGGAGTTCGAGAGCAGCCTGGCCAACATGGCGAAACCCTGTCTCTACTAAAAATACAAAAATTAGTTGGATGTGGTGGTATGTGCCTGTAATCCCAGCTACTTAGGAGGCGAGGTAGGGGAATCGCTTGAACCCAGGAGGTGAAGTTTGCAGTGACTGAGATTGCGCCACTGCACTCCAGTCTGGGAGACAGAGCAAGACTTCATCTCAAAAAGAAAATAATAATAATTTATGATCCTTGCCAACAAAATAAACACTCGTCTGTCACTCACTGTGCAAATTTAGCCATGTCAGTGGCTCCTTCAATATGCAGATAGAGTGCCTTTTATAATTATGGAAAGCATATGCTCTGAGCAGGAAAGATGATAAACCCATCAAGTCTAGTCAAATCTTAAGATAGAGAAATTGTTAATGAATGTATTTTGAGATATTTAATGAGGATGCACAATAGTGTTCTTTTACACAGGAAACTAACTCCAAACCATGCAATTGTCTCAACAAGAAAAAAGTTAAAGTCCCCCAAGTATTTTAGAAGGAAAATAATACACTTAATTTCTGATTTAGGAAATAGTTTTAGAGTGATTTTTTAAAAAGTAATAATCAAATGTAGTGATATGAAGTCTTAGCTCAGCAGCTTTATCTTATGCGTCTGACTGTGGCCTGTGCTGGATAAAGGAAGAGATTGCACTTAAATGAATACAGCTGACCTTCAGAAGTTGAAAGGAAAGGAACGGTTCAAGGGGGGGAAGAAACCAACTTTCTTCTTCTGCCAAAATTGTTGTTTCTAGTATAAGTTCCTTTAACTGTAGACTTGGAATCTACTGATATCCCTGTTTTTTTCCTATCAGATCTGAAAGTTTATGGCTTCATTGAGAAACTGGGAAAAGTTGGTCAGGCGCAGTGGCTCATGCCTGTAATCCCAGCACTTTGGGAGGCCGAGGCAGGCGGATCATGAGGTCAGGAGTTCCAGACCAGCCTGGCCAACATGGTGAAACCCTGTCTCTACTAAAGATACAAAAAATTAGCCGGGCGTGTTGGTGTGCACCTGTAATCCCAGCTACTCCGGGAGGCTGAGGCAGGAGAGTCACTTGAACCGGGGAGGCGGAGGTTGCAGTGAGCCGAGATCATGCCATTGCATTCCAGCCTTGGCGACAGAGCGAGACTCCGTCTCAAAAAAAAAAAAAATAAAAATAAAAAAGAAAGAAACCGGGAAAAGCACTAAAGTTCTATTTTAATGATCTCATGTCTATGCTCAAAGTGATTTATTTATATATTTACATGTAGAGTGGGTCCGTTGATACTGAAATTTGTATCTAGTACCCTAAAATAAAAAAGCAGAATGCCATATTGTCTGGTGGATATAAAAATCGAAGTTTCTTTCCTTCTGAAAATCATTACCATATGCTCAAGAAAAACGGTTCCATTTAGGACAAAATTTCGTTTTTATCATTGTAAGCAAAAAGTTCTCTTTTGATGTGGTGGGCGTGTTTGTTTCCAGTTGTGTGGTTAATGCTGATGTTGTTGGAACTGATACATTCCCCTTCTGGGATGCTGGGATGGGGACTCTTTCTCTTGCCAACCCTGGTGATGAATTAGAGGGTTTTGTGTGTGTGTGTGTGTGTGTGTGTGTGTGTGTCTTTAAAAATGTCTAGTTGCCAACATTCCATGGGCTCTTTTCTGATAACACTGAGGCTGTTTGTGCTGTGGTCTGCACTTTTTGCCCCCTCTCAGCAAAACCACATGTCATAGAATAGTTGTTGGCTTCTGGATGTGTGAGCAGAACTGCCCCACTGTGCCAGCCCAGTGGAGGCAGAGAGACCCACAAGTTCCCAATTTAGAAAGCTTTTCATAGCTTCAGAACAGGGGTCGGCAACTGCTTTCTGTAAAGGGCCAGGGAGTAAATATTTTCAGCTTTGCCGGCCCTGTGGTCTCTGTTGCAACTTCGCCACTGTAGCCTCAAAGTAGCCACAGACAATATGTAAATAGATGTGTTCTAGTCTGTCTTCTAGTAAAATTTTATGGATCCTGAAATTGGAATTTTATATAATTGTATATAAATTTTATTCATTTTAATCCTATAAGATATTCTTCTTCTTTTGATTTTTTTTTTCAACCGCTTACCAATGTTAAAGACCATCTTTAGCCCTCAGGCCATACAAAGTCGTCTGTGGGCACCCAAGTCGGAGGAAGTGTCACCCTGGGGTGATCCAGAGGGCTTTTTGCAGCACCAGCACTGGATGCCTTGGGGAGCAAAGGACACTTTCTGAATCTCGAACCTTCAAAACTTTGAAACTTAACCGATATTTTCCTGAAGTTTCCTTTAACAGTGCATTATGGATTTAACATACATGAGTATGTCTAAGCCTTTTTTGAACCTGTTTACATTTTCAACTCGGAGAGCTTCTGAGAGTAATCAGTTACATCTGTTAAATTACCCACTGAATGAAGAAGTATTCCCCTTCAATTATCCCCGAAACTACAATAGTAAAATGTAATTCAGAAAATAAATATTCATAGTCTCAACTACTTAAAGGGGGTCTGGGGACCCACAACATGTTACCGGTTTTCATTTTGCTGGGGCTCGCATTTGAAGCAAGGGCTCTAGTGAGGAGGTGGTGTAGACTCAGCGGGTTATTTAGGTCCGTGTGAAGCCGAGTTGCCTGCCCAGCACCTATAGCTCAACTAGGTTTTATTGTTCTCTACCTGTCAATAGTTGATTTATGATGGATTCCAAGAGAAAAGCTAAGGACAGCCTGGGGTACATCAGACGTGGTCTCAGGGAGGTCTTCGTGGAAGTCAGGTGGGCTGGGTCTCTGTTCACCTTCTAGGGGTCTCCTGTCCTGTCCCACGTCCAATACCCACATCTCAAGAGTTTGTGTTTGAAATAAAACTCTTCTCTTCCCTTCTTTCAGGAATACTTGGACCTCAGTCAGCCTCTCGAACCGTATTCACCTTGTTATCCTGACCCAAGATGAAATAAAACGTCTCTCTTCCCTTCTTTCAGGAATACTTGGACCTCAGCCAACCTCTCGAACAGTATTCACCTAGTTACCCTGACACAAGAAGTTCTTGTTCTTCAGGAGATGATTCTGTTTTTTCTCCAGACCCCATGCCTTACGAACCATGCCTTCCTCAGTATCCACACATAAACGGCAGTGTTAAAACATGAATGACTGTGTCTGCCTGTCCCCAAACAGGACAGCACTGGGAACCTAGCTACACTGAGCAGGGAGACCATGCCTCCCAGAGCTTGTTGTCTCCACTTGTATATATGGATCAGAGGAGTAAATAATTGGAAAAGTAATCAGCATATGTGTAAAGATTTATACAGTTGAAAACTTGTAATCTTCCCCAGGAGGAGAAGAAGGTTTCTGGAGCAGTGGACTGCCACAAGCCACCATGTAACCCCTCTCACCTGCCGTGCGTACTGGCTGTGGACCAGTAGGACTCAAGGTGGACGTGCGTTCTGCCTTCCTTGTTAATTTTGTAATAATTGGAGAAGATTTATGTCAGCACACACTTACAGAGCACAAATGCAGTATATAGGTGCTGGATGTATGTAAATATATTCAAATTATGTATAAATATATATTATATATTTACAAGGAGTTATTTTTTGTATTGATTTTAAATGGATGTCCCAATGCACCTAGAAAATTGGTCTCTCTTTTTTTAATAGCTATTTGCTAAATGCTGTTCTTACACATAATTTCTTAATTTTCACCGAGCAGAGGTGGAAAAATACTTTTGCTTTCAGGGAAAATGGTATAACGTTAATTTATTAATAAATTGGTAATATACAAAACAATTAATCATTTATAGTTTTTTTTGTAATTTAAGTGGCATTTCTATGCAGGCAGCACAGCAGACTAGTTAATCTATTGCTTGGACTTAACTAGTTATCAGATCCTTTGAAAAGAGAATATTTACAATATATGACTAATTTGGGGAAAATGAAGTTTTGATTTATTTGTGTTTAAATGCTGCTGTCAGACGATTGTTCTTAGACCTCCTAAATGCCCCATATTAAAAGAACTCATTCATAGGAAGGTGTTTCATTTTGGTGTGCAACCCTGTCATTACGTCAACGCAACGTCTAACTGGACTTCCCAAGATAAATGGTACCAGCGTCCTCTTAAAAGATGCCTTAATCCATTCCTTGAGGACAGACCTTAGTTGAAATGATAGCAGAATGTGCTTCTCTCTGGCAGCTGGCCTTCTGCTTCTGAGTTGCACATTAATCAGATTAGCCTGTATTCTCTTCAGTGAATTTTGATAATGGCTTCCAGACTCTTTGGCGTTGGAGACGCCTGTTAGGATCTTCAAGTCCCATCATAGAAAATTGAAACACAGAGTTGTTCTGCTGATAGTTTTGGGGATACGTCCATCTTTTTAAGGGATTGCTTTCATCTAATTCTGGCAGGACCTCACCAAAAGATCCAGCCTCATACCTACATCAGACAAAATATCGCCGTTGTTCCTTCTGTACTAAAGTATTGTGTTTTGCTTTGGAAACACCCACTCACTTTGCAATAGCCGTGCAAGATGAATGCAGATTACACTGATCTTATGTGTTACAAAATTGGAGAAAGTATTTAATAAAACCTGTTAATTTTTATACTGACAATAAAAATGTTTCTACAGATATTAATGTTAACAAGACAAAATAAATGTCACGCAACTTATTTTTTTAATACTCGTGTCTTACCAAATGGTTTCCTGTGCTTGGAGGTGCTGACTGAGTGCTGTTGTGAATGCAGGAAGGGCAGGGCTGCCAAGGGTCTTATGTGCTACACACGGGGGTGACTTGCCAGAGGGGTTGACTGAGACCAGCAGTACCTGTGACAGGTTGAGGTTGATCCAGTGGAAAATCTGAATCAGTTGGTTGGAGCCCTGGCTCGGTTGCTTACTGGCACCTCAATGGAATCATCGTTCCTTTCTGAGCCCTACCAGTTCCCCAGAGGAGCAAACAAAGAGCCACATGGTAGAGAGCTTTGCAAACTGGAAGGTGACCTAAGGATGACAGGTATTGAGTAGGGAAGACGTTCAGAACATCTGAATCCTGGGGACTTAAAAACCTTTTAGGCTGTTTTCTTCATGATGTATGGAGAGAAGGATTTGCTTCAAATTTTCCAAAAGAAAACTTGGACAAATGTTCGAATAATTATTTATTTTCATACCACCAACGATCTGAAGAGGGAAATGGAGTTTTGCCTGTCAGTTAACAAATGTGAATCTGTGACTCTTAAGGGTCTGTTGTATCTACTTGCCAGCCTCATCAGCAGCAGGAAAGGGAATTGAACATAGGCCAACTTCTCCTGCACTTCAGCCAGGCTCTTAGAACCTTACAGGGCCATTGGTAAAGAGTGCTGTCTTTGGGGTCTTCTTTCTGTTTGAGGCCATTCATGGTGGAGCAAGGTGTCACCAGCCATCAGGGGAGTGGCCTAGGGTCCTGGTTCTGTATTTCCCAAACCTCTGTCCTTCTGTTTCTTACAGGATAACAGGGCTCTTGGGAATGTGATTTTAAAAATAAGGTGCATGAAAGCCACCTAAGAAAATTGTCACCTGTTAGACACAAGTGTACAGGGTGATGTTCTGTACCCCTGGGGACATTTCTACCGTGAGATGTCCTTGGCAAGGGTGAGGATGGACTTGCTGGGGTCTACGCTGGTTCCTCCGTGCAGCTCTCTGGTGCATATGCTGTACTTTAGACACTGAAGGGCAGTTTATAGCCTTGACAGTGTAGATTATAATGGCAGTAAGAACTGCTGTATTTCTGGCCCATTTCATGGAGATGGGTGGGCAAGAATCCTAAATGGTCTTTTGGCCATTTTGATTTTAGAATTATTTTGAAAGAGACACTTGTCATGAAGGGCAAGAAGGCAGTGTGGTCCATGAGAATGATAGGTAATACAGTACCTTTTTTTTTTTGAGACCTGTCCCAAATGAGCATACACAGGTAGGATTCGATAAGAATCCTGGAGCTTATGGCTCTCCTCCCCCAAGAACCTAAGGAGAGCGTTGGAAATTAGTTGCAACTACATGTGATGGTCACCTAACCATCATGAGATGAGTTCATTTGTGAAGAACCAAAAGATTGCAGGCATCTTGGATGTGTAGTGCCCGGCCTGCTGTTCCTAACTGGGAAAGGCATATCCAAGAGGCTGCCTCAAAACGTCTAGCTGATGGTAGCCTCTGGCAGGATGGGGAGCCAGAGAAAGCGGGTGGAAAAGTAGCATCTTCACGGGGGTTCTGTGCATTCCCAGGGGACAGGGTACCCTGCATCCACCACACAGCCTCTCCATCCCTCCTCAGGGAGCTTCTCTGCATCTGATCTTGTGGGGAGTTCCTTAACCCCACACATAGGAACATAGGAAATTAAAACATGCATTTATAGTAAAACGTCTGAACAACTTGAGCTGCTATGAACTGAGGACTCCACCTCCAGTTTTGAAAACAAGAAATGGGGCTGCTACCTTATACTGCATCACTGAAGATTGCTTGCAGGGCTGGGTCCAGAGGGCTCAGCTAGGACAGAAGAGGAAGCTGAGGCTCCGCTTGAGGTCCCTGAGGGTCACATGGCTGGGATGTGGTCTAAGGAACAAGACTGCAGCCTTGTTCAGTGCAGGAGAAAGACAGTGGACTTGTGGGCTTGGACAGAATTGATTGGTTTGTTTCTTACAGCTGGGTGATGGTGCGCAAATCCCAGCTTCTGTCTGGATGTTTGTCTCTAGGTGAACCTGGTCCTCACCAGCCTCTCGACTTGCCATGAGGATTTGCTGTAGGGCTTAGCTGTGGCAGACAGGACTCAATAAGTGTTCGTTTTCTACTTCCTGAGAATTTTTTTCTACATTTCAGTGATTTTAGTATATCCACGTTGTGTAACCATCACCACTATCTAATTCCAAAACGTTTTCATCACTCCATAAAGCCAACAAATTCCCATTGTTAGCCACTTGCATTTCCCCCTCCCCCAGTCCTTGGCAACCCCCAATCTGCTCTCTGTCTATGGATTTGCCTACTCTAGACATTTCATGTAAATGGAATCATATGCTATGTGACCTTTTTTGTCCAACTTCTTCACTTAATGTTTTCAAGATTTGTTCATACGGTAGCCTGTAACAGCACTTCATTTTTATTGCCAAATCCTATTCCATGATATAAATTTACTACATTTTGTTTATCCATTTGTCCATTGATGGACATTTAGATTGTACTTTCCAGTTATGAATAGTGCTGTTATGAACATTCATGTACTGGGTTTTTGTGTGGTCAGGTTTTCATTTCTCTTGGGCATATATGTAGGAGTGGAATTGCGGGATCATATGGTAACTGCTAGACTGTTTTCCAAGGTGGCTGCACTATTTTACATTCCCACCAGCAGTGCATGAGCATTCCAGTTTTTCCACATCCTTGTCAACACTTGTTATTATCCATATTTTTTATTATAGCCATCCTAGTGGATATGAAGTATCTTCATAAGAATTTCGTAGCTGAGGAGATAGGATGCAGATCATTGAATAAAGATACATAATGCTTTCCTGGTTTTTCCAGAAAAAGATACTTCAATTAATCAGCTTGGTTTCTACACTGATGAAATGGCCAAGGTAGCTAAGATGCCTCAGTGGATCTTCATGAAATGGAGAAGCTGAGAAACCAATCAATTCCCTGTCTTCCCTCTTGGCTGAGAGAGGAAGGAAGCACTGCTAAGTGGTGCAAGGATGCAGGATCTTTCTGGCTGGAATGCTTGAGTGTATCTGTCCTCACATCCCCAGTTTTATACCAAGTAAAGTCACGCAAGCTTGAGCAGTCCATGCGGACTAATGAATGCACCATTACTTATGTATGTGGGTCCATTAGGTTCCTCCTTACCAAGCCTGCATTTTGATGTTATTTATTTTTTCATGGTTTTAAAGATGAAAGCAAAGTTTATCTTCTCTCACATTTCATCCCCAGGAGCCTTGAAATGACTTGGCTGTCGACCCTGGGCAGGGACAGCAGAAGCCGTCCATGTCTCAAGTGACATTCTGGAGTAGGGCCCTTCTTGTGCCCTTTTTTTATGCCGGGTGTCTGGGATTTTTGAATGGGCTCCTCCAAATTGCCTTGAAGTCCTGTTTCAGAAGGTCACATGAGGTGCTGTAGAAGTCAGTGGATGGGAGGGCATTCAATGTCCGGCACTGGGGAACCATCCGCTCCGGACCTTTGAAATACAATTTACAAAGGGATACCTCAGCACATGAAGCTGTTCAGTGACTGAATTCAGCTTACCGTGCACATATGGGTAGGTGATTTTTTCCTTCTGCAGCTCAGAACACTGCCTCCTTTTGGGCTGCACTCCTTTTAGGTTTCTTTTCCTCTTCTAATTCTTTTTTAGGCTGGAGTGCAATGGCATGATCTAGGCTCACTGCAACTTCCGCCTCCTGGGTTCAAGCCATTCCACTGCTCCCAGCCTCTAATTCTCTTTTGAGGACACTTAACTGATGCTTGCTGGTGTCTCTTACTAGTTAAAATCCATAGCATGAGGTGCTTTGAAAGGGACAGAGGACACTTAACTGACGCTTGCTGGTGTCTCTTACTAGTTAAAATCCATAGCATGAGGTTCTTTGAAAGGGACAGAGGACACTTACAGATTTATAAATTAAGAATCAAGCAGCTGGGCGCGGTGGCTCATGCCTATAATCCCAGCACTTTAGGAGGCCGCTGTAGGCAGATCACCTGAGGTCAGGAGTTCGAGACCAGCCTGACTAACATGGTGAAATCCTGTCTCTACTAAAAATACAAAAATTAGCCAGGTGTGGTGGCTAATGCCTGTAATCCCGGCTACTCAGGAGGCTGAGGCAGGAGAATTGCTTGAACCCGGGAAGTGGAGGTTGCAGTTAGCCAAGATCACGCCGTTGCACTCCAGCCTGGGTGAGAAGAGCTAAACTCCGTCTCAAAAAAAAAAAAAAAAAAAAAAGAAGCAAAGAACGCTTTCTTGGTCTGTAAGTGGGATGACAAATGATTCTATGTCAAAGGATTGTTGAGTTAAATGAGATTGTACCTGGGAAGCATGAAACAGTGCCTGCTGCATATTAGCCACTATCAACACTCAGGTATTAGCTGCTATTTCCATCTGTCTATCTACAGCTATTTGACATAGATGTACTTACTGAAACAAATATGAAGATAAAATATGTGTATGTGTATAGATATAAAATTGTCATTGCGGAAGAAATTTGTTTGTGAAATTGCTAATCTATTACAAACACAAGTGTCCATTGTACACACAATTTTTAACAAAAAACATTTAATAAGTTTTTGGTTTGTTTTTTTTTTAATTTTTTGAGACAGGGTCTTGCTCTGTTGCCCAGGCTAGAGAGCAGTGGCACAATCATGACCCACTGCAGACTTGTCCTTCTGGGCTCAAGCCATCCTCCCACCTCAGCTTCCCGAGTAGCTGGGACTACAGGCATGCACCACCATGCCTAGCTAATTTCTGTATGTTTTTTGTAGACCTGGGGTTATGCCATGTTGCCCAGGCTGGTCTTGAACTCCCGAGCTCAAGCGATCCACCTGCCTGGGCCTCCCAAAGTGCTGCAATTACAGGCGTGAGCCACTGCGCCCAGGTTAATAAGTTTTAAATCAATGAAAATAATGATCAAAATTTTCAAAAACTTATGAAGTTGTATTGATAACATTCAACCTGTTATGGTTCCCTTTTTAAACAAGCATTCACTTTACGAATACTAAATAGGCAATGAATGCCTAATATGATTTTTAAGGGACAATTAAACACTTTTAGAAGTGCACAGACCAGGCCAGGCACGGTGGTACACACCTCTAATCCCAGCACTTTGGGAGGCCGAAGCGGGTGTATCACCTGAGGTCAGGAGTTTGAGACCAGCCTGGCCAACGTAGTGAAACCCCATCTCTACTAAAAATACAAAAATTAGCCTGGCATGGTGGCGGCATGCCTGTAATCCCAGCTACTCGGGAGGCTGAGGCAGGAGAATCGCTTGAGCCTGGGAGGCGGAGGTTGCAGTGAGCCAAGATTGCACCACTGCACTCCAGCCTGGGCAACAGAGCAAGAGTCCATCTCCAAAAAAAAAAAAAGACATGCGCAGACCAAGCTGGTGAATGGTGAAGTACCACGATCTCAAAGGCAGACCGGAACAGGAGCAGCTCAGGATGGTTTCTGCACGGCAAGGTCTCTCCGGCTCCAGGTTTGGTGTTGTTACAAGCAAATTGAAATGGGTGGTGTTACAAAGGGAAATATCACATGGGAAAAACGGAGGAAGCCTGGGGCTCTCGAAGTTTAGGATTGTGTATGGTTCAGGGGCTGCGGAATTTCTGGGAATTGTAAAATTAGCGCCGTTCACCTGACAGGGTTGGAGAGTGAAATAAACTTTCCGTTGTGTGGGGAAGTCCATTAGATGTTCTTAATCACTTCTACAGCGTGTACTGCAGAGGTTTAAGTGGGAGAAGATGGCTGGAACATGAACACGGGCTCAAGGCTGCCCTTTCAGATTGTTCTGTGACTTGACTTGCTGCCTCTTCTGGAAGGAGGCTGTGTATATCTTTGTACACATGATCACAGCAGGAGAGGAAATCGGAAGCCTCCTCTTCTTCCTGGCCTGGTCTTGACTCCCCATGAGACTGGCCCTTTCGTTGCCTCTTGCCGGATTTAGGTTTCACCAAAATGCAGAAATTCCTTGTTGATGGCTGGCTCTCACCCAGTAGCAGCCAGAGCTGTGAATGAAAAAGGCAAAGTCCAAACTTCAAACCTGGGCTGAGGGGTGCAGGGAGTGGGAGGGCTTGTTCTGCTGTTGCTTATTTCAGAGCCTGACAAATGGAGGCCCACAGACCAAACCCAGCTCACTACCCGCCTTTGTACTGCTTATGAGCTAAGAAATATTTTTAAATGGTTGAAAGTATTATTTTAAATATATATTTTGGCTCACGCCTGTAATCCCAGCACTTTGGGAGGCTGAGGTGGGTGGATCACGAGGTCAGGAGATCGAGACCATCCTGGCTAACATGGTGAAACCCCGTCTCTACTAAAAATACAAAAAATTAGTTGGGCATGGTGGTGGGCGCCTGTAGTCCCAGCTACTGGGGAGGCTGAGGCAGGAGAATGGCATGAACCTGGGAGGCAGAGCTTGCAGTGAGCCGAGATCATACCACTGCACTCCAGCCTGGGCAACAGAGTGACTCCGTCTCAAAAAAAGAAAAAAAAAAAAAAAAAAAATATATATATATATATATATATATATATATATATATATATATATATGTGCAAATTATATAAAGCCCCAGTTTCAGTGTCCGTAAATATTTACTGGGACACAGCCACATTCATTCATGTACATAATGTCTATGGCTGCTTTCCCACAACAGCAGCAGAGTGGAATGGTGGCGACAGGGATTACCCACAAAACTGAAGACATTTACTACCCATGGCTCTTTATGAAAAAATTTGATGACCCCTGGCTTAGATCTACAATGTGCTAGTTGGTTGCCAGACCTAGGCAGGTGGAATCCTTCCCATGCCTTGTGGGGAAAGACAATAGCAGATAACAAGGGCCTGAAACTGGGAGTTGCTTTCAAAAATAGGGGTCCAAACTGGGTGTGGTGGTCCAGGCCTGTAGTCCCAGCTACCGAAGAGGCTGATGAGGGAGTATTGCTTGAGCCCAGGAATTTGAGGCCACCCTGGGCAACATAGTGAAATCTCATCTCAAAAAAAAAAGAAAAAAAGAAAAAAGAAAAAAAAAAAAAAAGAAAGAGGCCGGGTGCAGTAGCTCATGCCTGTAATTCTAGCACTTTGGGAAACTGAGACGGGTGGATCACGAGGTCAAGAGATCGAGACAATCCTGGCCAACATGGTGAAATCCCGTCTGTACTAAAAATACAAAAATTAGCCAGGTGTGGTGGCACGCACCTGTAGTCTCACCTACTCGGGAGGCTGAGGCGGGAGAATTTCTTGAACCTGGGAGGCAGAGGTTGCAGTGAGCTGAGATCGTGCCACTGTACTCCAGCCTGGTGAAACAGCAAGACTCTTTCTAAAAAAAAAAAAAAAAAAAAAAAAAAAAGCCAGGCGCGGTGGCTCACACCTGTAATCCCAGCACTTTGGGAGGCTGAGGTGGGCGGAACACGGGGTCAGGAGATCAAGACCATCCTGGCCAACATGGTGAAACCCCATCTCTACTAAAATACAAAAATTTAGCCGGGCATGGTGGCACACACCTGTAGTCCCAGCTACTTGGGAGGCTGAGGCAGGGGAATCACTTGAACCTGGGAAGCGGAGGTTGCAGTGAGCCGAGATGGCACCACTGCACTCCAGCCTGGTGACAGAGCAAGACTCCGTCTAAAAAACAAAAACAAAAAACAGAATTGGGGTCCATTTGAGAGATCTCCACTAAGGGTGGGGATGAAAGTCATGAAAACTGCCCTTTGACCAAGTGGGATGTTCTAAGATTGTCTGGAGACAGTAAGTGGCCAACGCGCTGTGTCTAAACCAGCCTTCTGGGCACCGTTTTGCCCCTGCAGCAACATGCCCACTGCTCTTCCTAACAAGCTTGCCACAGAGATCCACAAACCAAAGGCTAAATAAACAATGCGGTTCTTCCGGAAGGAAGGGAGGTGAGAGGCTGACATTCGGATTTGAACGCTGCTTGTTTGGTAGGAAGTAAACCTGGTCTCTTCCAGCGAGGGAGCACCTCTGTACCGTAACACTGTATTCCTTGCTCAGGCTGGAACACCAAGTTCAGGGGGCAGGGTGGCCCTCTACACAACCTTGTTGCCCGGGTTTTCTTTCCCATCACCCCGGTGTCCTTGCACGCATTAAGCTTTCCATGGATGCAATGACAGGCACGCACCCTTGTCAGACTCTGAACACAAAGGCAATCCCAGGACAGACTAGTGTTGGAACCGCCTTAGTTTGCCTGGACACAACGTAACTGAAACTTCTTTTTCTTCCCATTAGCTGGAGTTTAAAAAGCGTCTCCACAGCTGTGATGGCTGAAGGCTTGAAATGACAGAGCCACTTGCCCCATAAATCAGCATGCAACACCCCCCACGTAAACAGATCCGGGAAAAAAAATCTACATACGCAATAAATGTGTACAGGTACTGGAGACTGGTAATAAAAATGCTTGGATCTGCTTTCAGTTTTTCCCTTGTCTTCTAAATGAAGCTGAAAGCAAATCAAGCACTAAGCCCTTATTTTTCTGATCTGAAAGCAGGTGAATGTGGTCAAGAGCAGGAGATATGCAGATGAAGGGGGGACCCCTAATAGTGGAAACCTGGGTGTTCATAGCCTCTTTGGGGAAGCAAAGCCTTGGGCAGATCCCCAGGGTGAAAGCGTAGACTCTTTTTAAAGACTGGGCAGGAGGGAGGGAGCAGGCGAGGCTGGAGCCCGCATTGTTGGGCTGCTCTGACTTACATGGCACCTGTAGACCCAGGGAGAACCTGAGAAGGGGCTCCTGGGCCAGGGGCCAGGCAGGTATTTGTGGTTGTGTGTGTGTGTGCATGCCTATGCACTGTCGTAGACCAGGGTTTCACAGCTTTTAAGAACAATAAAAACATTCAGAATTCTTCTAGTGGCCCCACGACGTAGGGCCTTCTGGTTATTTAAGATCTCCAACATGCGTCAAAAGCAGCTTAGGAGGGGAGTCCAGATCATCCCTACAGCTGCAGAAGAGCACAGCAGCCAGTAAGAAAGAAGGGTAGTGGGGGAGCGGGGTGTGGGGGAACATGGATGGTTCCAGAATTTCTTCAGAGAATTAGTCAAGGGTCTGAAGTTGGCATGAAACGGGGTTTGAGGAACTGGGGAGTTGACTGGGAGCTGGTTTTGCAGAGCAAACATACTGCTTTAATGTAAATCAAGTAGTTTTGTTCATTTGATTTAGGAGGCTGGAGTATGATACGGTTTGGCTCTGTATCCCCACCCAAATCTCATCACGAATTGTGATCCCCACATGTTGAGGGAGGTACCTGTAATCCCTACGTGTTGAGGGGAGGAGGTGATTGGATCATGGGGGTGGTTTCCCCCATGCTGTTCTTATGATGGTGAGTGAGTTCTCCTGACATCTGATGGTTTTATAAGTGTTTGACAGTTCCTCCTACACACATTCTCTCTCGCACCTGCCACGGTGTAAGATGTGCCTTCTTCAACTTTGGCCGTGACTGTAAGTTCCCTGAGACCTCCCCCGCCATGTGGAACTGTGAATCAATGAAGCCTCTTTTCTTTATAAATTACCCAGTCACGGGTATATCTTTATAGCAATGTGAAAACAGACTAATGTAGAGTTTAAAAATCTCCCCAAGCTACCTCACCCTGGCCTGCCACTTCCAAAAGGTCTAGTTAGCCCGAATAGTTTCATTTCTAAGCCCTTCTCTCAATCTTCCAGACCAAAGTTGTAGCCACCCCAGGGGTGCCTGCTCCCCATCCTTGCAGGTAAGAAGGGACATGCGTATTTTCCTGCTCCCCCACACTCCTTTAAGCAGTCATGCCTCGCCTGTTGGCTGCTTGTTGTGCCTGGCTGATGGATGCAGCTCCAAAGCTGAAACACCGTCAGAGTTTGTGTGAAGGGAGTTGGGGTGGAGTGGTTAACTTATCTCCCATGAGGCAGGTGCTTTGACCCAAGGGGCATGGTACATTCTAGAAATGTGTAGCCACCCCCCGTTTCCAGGGGAGAATAGGCTGTTTGGGTAGAGCTGGCATCACGAGGGGAGAAACGAGGCTGGCACCTTCAGAGCTGGCTCTTTAAGCCTGGCCCAAAGCAAGTGTGTGAAGTTGCTGTCTGGGGAGACCTCTGGAACAATTTCTGGCCTCATTCTGCCTTCCCCAGCAAGCCAGCAAGTCACAGGTACTATGGGCCCAGCACTGCACTGGAGATGGGAAGTCATATTAGTTATTAATCATCCTTGAAATAGCCCTAAGGGTGTTCTGTTAGTTTTCTAAGGCTGCTTTAAGAAACTACCACAGACTTGGTGGCTTAACACAACAGAAATTTATTCTGTCACAGTTCTGGAGGCCAGAAGTGTGAGATCAAGGTGTCGGCAGGGCCATGCTCCTTCTGAAGGCTCTGGGGGGGATTTCTTTACCTCTTCTGGCTTCTGGTGGCGCCAAGTGTTCCTTGGTTTGTGACTGCATCACCCCAGTCTGTTTCTGTCTTCACATGACCGTCTCCTCTTGGTGTTTGTCTGTCCTCTGTGTGTCTCTTAGGATGCTTGTCATTGGATTTAGGGCACACCCACGTAACACACGATGATCTCATCTTGAAATCCTTAACTTATTTATATCTGCAAAGACCCTGTTTTCAAAAAAGGCCATGTTTAAAAGTTCCGGTGGTTAGGACATGGGCATATCTTTTGGGGGCCACTATTTAACCCATTGCAGAAGTGGAGGGTTGGAGATTTGAGGTTTGGTGGCCCTCTCCAAGAATTTTACAATCAGGTTAGTGGAGAACAGGGTTGGTACTCGTGAAAGAATTTGCTAGGTAACATATTTTATCCAAGGGGCTGCTGTGGTGGCAGAGACTGTGTAGAGAGGCCAGGCCCATTCCCTGCCTCACCCTGCCGAGAAGGAAACTTGCTTGGGGTGCGTCTTCCCAGCGTTTTTTCTCATTTCATCCTCGTAACAGTGGCGTGAGATAGGCACTGAGAGGTCAGTTAACACCTACACAATCATGTGGTTGCCACATGGGAGAGCTGGGATGCAAATCTGTGTGAGCTGATTCTGGATCTGGGGATCTAAATACTGGTAACCCTGACAGCTGCCCAGCAGGCCCTCTCTGATGGGGGAGCTTCAAGGGAGGTGGGGACCCACACTTGACCTTCCTGGAGGCTAGAACAGGAGACAGAAAGTGAGTGAGCTTACCTAGGCCAGAGGAAGGCTTGAGGGTCATTCTTGGGTGGACAACAGCTATAGGAATAAGCCCTGCACAGGAGGGGAACAATAAGAGAAGACTCTTAAAAAAGACTCTTTAGGCTGGGTGCGGTGGCTCACGCTGGTAATCCCAGCACTTTGGGAGGCCAAGGCGGACAGATCACCTAAGGTCGGGAGTTCGAGACCAGCCTGGCCAACATGGTGGAACCCCATCTCTCCTAAAATTACAAAACAATTAGCCAGGTGTGTTGGTGCTCGCCTATAATCCCAGCTACTCGGGATGCTGAGGTGGGAGGATCACTTGAACCCAGGAGGCAGGGGCTGCGGTGAGCTGAGATCATGCCACTGCACTCTAGCCTGGGCTACAGAGCAGATTCTGTTTCAAAAAAAAAAAGACTCCATAAAGACTTCCCTTCCCTTCACATCTGCCCACGTGAAGGGAACTCTTTAAAGAAAAAATGATTGTCTGAGCTCACTGGGGCAGGCCTCAACCCACGTCTCCATGGAATGGAAATAGTATCCCTTGTGGCTTCCTGAGGAGGAAAAAGATTTTAGGGGGATGGTGTTAGGCAGAGAAACTGGGGGGGTGGGATGGCATGATGCCCCCTGGGTGGTAGCTGGCCGCTGTGAGGTGGGTCCATGCTTTCTCCCTCTTCTTCTGAGTTTGTCCTTGACTTAGCTCTGGCTGCCATAACAAAATACCACAGACTGGGTGCCTTAAACAACACGTTTATTCGCGTACAGTTCTGGAGGCTGGAAGTTCGAGATCAGGGTACCAGCATGGTTGGGTTCTTACCGAAGGCCCTCTTCCTGGCTTGCAGATGGCCACCCTCTCGCTCTGTGCCCACCTGGCATTTTCTTGGTGCAAGGGCATGGAGAGATTAAGCGATATCTCCCACTCTCTTCCTCTTCTTATCAGGCCACCGATCCTATTAGACCAGGACCCCATTCTTATAACCTCCTGTAATCTTCATTACCTCCTAACTCCATCTCTTAGTCACATTAGGGGGTTAGGACTTCAACATATGAATTTTGGGGTGGGGGGCACAATTCAGTCCATAGTAGCCCTCCTCCTTCCTTCCTTCCCTCCCTCCCTCCCTTCCTCCCTTCCTTCCTCCCTCCCTCCCTCCCCTCTTTTGCTCTGGTCTCATGTCCAGCCCCCAGACAGCATCCACGGGAACTACAAGACTGTGGGCATTGACCCTTTTCTTCCCCAGCCAGTGGGGTGGCTTCTGAGTAGCCAGTGGCTTTAAAGCCAGCACCAGCATCTCCTCCTGGCCTCACTGTTCAGACCACAGGGAATCCCCTCAGCCTTCAAGTAAGGGTGAGAAGGGGCAGCGGGTGGCCAGGCAGCCCAACCCAGGGGAAAGCCAGAAGCCGGACTTAAACCCGGCTCAGCTCTCACCCTCCAGATGGCCCTGACAAATCACTTAGTCCCTTTGAGCCTCAGTTTCTCTTCTATAACCTAGGGTGGTATTAAACCCCCTGGCCCTGCCTCCCTGACACAGCTGTTGTCAGGTAACATTGGGAAAGGACTAGAAAGAGGCAAAATGTGATAGAGTTCTAAAGAGAAACCACAAGTGTGTGTAAATAAGAAGTCGTCATCCCTGGGCCACGAGGAAGATGGCTCTGCCCACATCCATTCGTATCTAGGCTTCAGCACGAGGACGTGAGTCCTGGGACCCGGCACGCACGCCGTGGGCAGGAGAGGCTCTCCCCTGGCTGCCGCTGCTCCAAGCACATGTCCCACGGTCAGGGAGCTGCTGTTCTCTCAGGGGACGGGGGAACTGCATTTCTCTGGAGATGGAGACCTGTTTGTTGTCCCCACTGATGTCAGGAGGTCCTAGAGATAAGGGTGGCCTGCTACCCACAGATGCCAGACACCCACAGCCTTCCGACTTTCCCACATCAGGGGTTCTGAAAGAGAATGCCGTCAAAGAGAAAGGAAAAAACCCACGTCCTTTCCAGGAGATGAGTCCAATTTGTTTTCAACTGAGTTATGTAGAAGGAGGGTGGACTTTTTGGTGGAAGAAAGTCCTTTAAAACAGAAATGTGGTCCAGGATGAGGTGGCCATTGTTAAGTCAGGTCAAAGGCAGAGCTACCCATGGCCGTCTTCACGTGCCTCTGGAGGGTCAGAAAAGGGGCAGAACAGGAGAAAATGCTGAGAATGGCCCATTTCTAACAGAGAGTCTTGATCTTCTTGCAGAATTTTGGTTTTTATTGCCTAGAAATGGGTGGTTTTTCCTCACAGAGAGCAGCCTTGGTTTCCCTAGCCTCCTCTTGGCCTCCCAATTGCTGGGTGAACTTGGGGTAAGATGCTTGCCCCTTCTGAGCCTCTATTTCCTAATTTCCAAAATGCAGACAGAGGTATTGACAAGTGTCCCTGCCTGTCAGGCTTCTGGTGAGGATAAGAATTGTGGATAGAGCTGGGCGTTTCCACGCCTATGCAAACACATGGGTGGCTTCAGCATGTTACCAGTTCTCTCTCCTTCCAGAGGCTGGAGAGATTCCTCACAAAAAATCTCCTGACCCCTGTGGAGTGGTAGAGAAGGCTTTACCCACCTGAATTCACCAGTAGCTCCAGGTTGCCTCTGCTTTCCAAAGAATACCCCTTCCTCATTTGTTGTTCTATTGGCTGAGGGTGTAGAATCCTGGGTTGTGGTGGGTGAGCTCTTACGGTTCCCCTTGACCTGCTCCTTTTCACAGATGAAAGGATGGAGGCCCAGAGAAGGGGCCAGGCAGCCGCACAGATGACATGCAGAGGAGTTGGTAAAGGAGCTGGGACAGGAACCCATGTCTCCCGACTGCAGTCTCCTGATGCTGCCCGAAGAAAGGGTCCTTTCTTTTTTCTCCTTCCCTTGACCTGTTGAAATTCTGCCTTGATGATGTTTAGAGGCAGCAGAGCTCAGATCTCAAATGGTGCCAGTGAGCTGTGCTTTGTTTGGCCTGTGTTATGGCTAAAATATTTTGGAATTGGTTCTCCATGTTAAAATTCAGAAGACTTCACAGAAGCATGCATATTTCAAGTGCTCTTCATAGAAATGCAGATGTTGGCGACATTGGCTCCCTCTGCCGCATGGCCATAGTCCCTAGAGGGAATTAGCATTTGTTCATTTTAGACGGGGCACTTGAGTGCCACCTGGTCAGCTCGCACCTGGCCAGTTTCACTCTGTGATGTGTCTGCCTGGTCTGTGTGGACACTCGTGCCCTTGACTCCTGAGTAGAGCTGGTTGCCTGGCATCATTAATTCTCCCCATCTCACAGACGACACATCTGGACCACAGGTGATTCCTGTTTTGCTACTTTCTGATTCTCGAAACCAGTTAACTGGGCTTTGGGTAAAATTGAAGGCAATAAGACATCCCATTCCATAATGGAGTTATTTTCCTAGCGTCCATTTGAAAACGCAAACTTTCCAGAAAAAAAAATTACTTTCTTTCCCAGTTGACCTAGTTGCAAAGGAAAGTCTTATTTTCTTAAGGGGCTGAGATCTTGCTGGTGTGGTATGTGGAGAGGCTGGTCAGCATTTCCATTAGGAACACTTTCCTGGGCTTTCAAACCCAGCCATAAAGATGTGTTTTGGATGAAAATTGGTCCTTCCCCAGTAGAACCTGGGAATCTTTATTTCAAGGACTCTTTCAAAAGATCTTTCACTCTTGAAGTGCAAATATATGTGGTTTGTGGCTTACTAGACCACGTTTGGGGTTTGGGATTTTGCTGTATGACATTTTCTCAACCTTTAATTTTAAAGCCATCATCTCCTATATTTATTTCCATGGTTAAAATAGGTATTTTCTCTCTCTCTCTCTTTCTCTCTTTTTCTGAGGAGAGTGTTGCATAAAAGGGAACTTTGTCCATCATTCTCGGCTGGGGTACAGACTGACATGGGGCCTTGGCAGAATCTTCATGTGGATGTCTCTTAAGTGTGTTAATTTATGTTAGTGGACAAAATTAAGTGGGCATGATTCAATTATGTAATGCAATTAAGAGAGGTTTGCATTTACAGCAGTGTTTTGCTTGTTACTCTTGTTTTGATCCTTGCCTGGCAGTCACAGGTTTTTAAAATTATCTGGATTTAATTATTGGAAAACAGAGCTTTTTTGCCTGATATGATTACTCTCAGGAAAAATTTTGAAAATCTACCGTGCATAATCTATTCACTTTTTTCCAAGAATGGCTGGACATTTTAAGTGTGAAGGGGTGGCCTACTTCTGTAATGCAAACTGAACTTACCAAATACACACCCATTTGCTCCATCCGTGTCCACCTGCCCAAGTCTGTGCCTCTTCCCATGTTCCCTAACTTAGTCAAGACCGTCCACGCAGCCTCCCAAGCCAGAGACTCTAGACTCGGCCTGGACTCCTCCCTTCCTCTCCTCTCTAATATCCGGTGAGCCACCACTTTCTGTCCATTGTCCTGACTAGAGTATCCTGAATCCATTCTCCTTCTCATTTCCCAAGCCTTCATCTCTTGCCTGGGCTCAGCTTCCTCACCGGCCCAGCTGTACCAGTCTCTCCCATCCAGGCCACCCTTTACCCTGCTACCAACCCATTATAGTCCTAAAAAAGTCGTATTTCATCCCATCCCATTCTCTTGCTTAAAAACTTCTGTTGGCTCCTGCGGCTTGCAGATAAAGTCCAAAGTCTGCAGCATCATGTTCTAACCACCTTACCAGGGCCTGATATACGCCACTCCCTCCTCAGGAAACTTATGCTCCTGTTGCTCTGAAACCATCGCTCCGTGGACTTGCAGGCCCTTTCGTGACACAAGCATTCTGTTCTCTATATCTAGAGTGGCTTCCCTCAGACAGTTTTCATTGGCAAACTCATTCAAGGCCCAGGTCTAACATCATGTCCCTTGGAAGGCCTTCCTGGTCACTTCCAGATAGAGTCAGCACTTTATTCAAATCTCAGTGACAGCATATATCATGATGTATTGTGGTTTATCTTTCTTTGGGTCTTATCTTCTCCTAGACTATGAACACTGTGAAGGCAAATTTTCAGATCTTTATTGCTATGAATTTCTGTCCCCTAATACGGTGACTCAACGCCAGAGGATGCTTCATTAATGTCTGACGAATTCAATAATGCCTGAATAATCATACCTAATATTTATAAAGGGCTTGTCACGCACCGGGCGGTATTTCAAGTGCTTTACATATTTTAATTTTTACAACCACGTTTGTAGTATAAGCACGCTTAGAATTTGATTTGCTCCCGAGAAAACAGAGGCACAGAAAGGTAATGTGAGTTATCCAAGGTCACATAGCCTGGACTGAATTCAGGCCATCTGAGCACAGAGCCTGCTGGTGGCTGAATCCTCACATTATTCTGTTTCCCAGTAAATGAGTCCCAAGTGCCCAGATAATTTATGGGTAGATTTGAGGCAAGAGTCATAGTAGGGCCTTAAACTCAAGATCCATTCCTGGCCCTGAGTTTTGCATCTCAGACTATGGACCAAAAACTAGATGTCTGTGGTCTTCATCTCCTCGGCTCGTAGGTCTGGGTGATCCACAGGGAGCTTGGGTAGGAAGGTTGATAAACTGCTGGTCTGCCTTTCTGAGC
Organism: Homo sapiens; assembly: GCF_000001405.40. Classification (NCBI taxonomy): domain Eukaryota; kingdom Metazoa; phylum Chordata; class Mammalia; order Primates; family Hominidae; genus Homo; species Homo sapiens. The sequence continues at coordinate 121,461,592 of NC_000010.11, read as the reverse complement.
AAATCATTTATAACATGAAATCCTGATCTGAACAAACCCCTAATAGGGAAGGTCAAGGCGTCAGAGGAAAAGGAAGGGACACATTAGCCCCTTCATCATCATCATTGTCATCATCATCATCATCATCTCATCACTTTCATTACCTGGGAGTTGCTTTGAGGTCAGAAATAGACTTCACGCAAGAATGAGTTATAGTTGTCTGTACATTTGCTACAGAGCACAGGGATATAGATGAATGACACGGTGTTGCTGAAGTTCCCTCAGGAACACCACTCAGGAGAACCCAGGTAATTACCTCCTTCCTAGAAGATTTGGTTGGAATTCATCTGCCTGGAACGGTTTAGGTACTACCTTCCCTGGAGACAGGGACCTGAACTAGGTCTCTTCCCAAATTCCTTTCACAGGAGCGTAAGTTCAGCAAACAACACCCAGAGTTGACATCTCAAACAGAGGGTCTACGTGGAAATTGGCCAGGCTTGCTAGAGACAGGGCCTGGAGGAGCGAGCCTCACCTGGCTCAGGTGCCGCTCTGCCACTGAGACAGGCACTTGCTGCTTGTCTCTCTAGCATAATTCCTCCCTTACTCTTTCCTAATCCAGACTCCCTGTTTTGGTGATTCAACTGGTTAGGGGGAAGCTGATTCATCTCCTGGCTCCAGGGATGGAGCCAGTACCTGGGCCAGGCCAATGACCAGGCTCTGGCCTGGTCGGAAATGGGCATGTACCCTAAGTCAGTCCAATCAGAGGACTTTTTCCTGGGGATACAGGACAATGAGTGAGACTGTTCCCCATGGAATGTACCCCTGGATCCTATAGCCCTGAAGGCTTGTTAGAAATGCAAATTCTTAGTTCTTGCCCCAGATCCTCTGAATCAGAATTTCTGTGCCAGGGCCCAGGAAACGAGCTTTCCAGATGATTCTGATGAGCACTCAAGTTTGAGAACCAATTCTCTCTTCAGTTTACAGATAAAAAACAGGTGCAAAGACTTGCCCAAAGCCACACAGCTGGGGAGAGCCACTGCAGGGCTAGAACTTGGCTTTGCTTCCACCCACACCCTCTAAGAGCCATCTCTTTGTTTTCATTACATTGTAAAACTATTCCAATGACAGAAATCTCACCTTTTGAAGTTCCTCCCTTACCCAGGCCCTTTACTCCAGGCCTAAAAATAAACGACACGTGCTCTGAGGTTACACCGGGCGAAGCCTCCCTCTTACTCCCAGGCTCATGTGCCGTATCACAGGCTCCACGGAGGCTGCATTTAGGAGAATTTGGAGTCAGCGAGGACCACACAGTGTCTGCAGGGACAGGTCCATGTTTGGCCCAAGAACCAGGGCATACCAGGAGAAGGCTGGTTGCTATCATTCCTGGGGGCAAGCTGCTAGTCTCTCAGCTGGTTCCTGCTGATGGATCTGAACACTCAGTTTGGGTTGCCACCCCGAGGCTCTGCTCCATGCATATGTGAGGGTAGGTTTGTTTTTTTTTGGGGGGGGAGGTGTGTGGGGGGACACAGCTGGTTCCTGGCCAGAGCCGTGGCTCCAGTCTGAAAGTCCAGGCATACCTAAGTCGTCTCCTGTGGCTCCCCAATGCCATATTAGGCTGCCCCCTCTGAAGGGTGGAATCTCTGACTCATCCTCCCTCCCCAACACCCCCTCACTCCTGCCAGTTTTGGCCAAGATTAGAATTCACTCAAATCTGTGGGTTCTAAGGTTTATGTGCTATTTCACTTTGGCAAATGACTCCTTCTTGTTTCAAGTTCGAAAAAAATCCCTTCCCGAAAGGGGCTTTGAAAGGCTTTTCTTGGCGACACAGTGTTTTGGGCAACCCAAAAGCAACGTGGTGATTTCAGTGCCCTGAGTCAGGAAGAAGCCGATTGCATTTCTCAATATATCCTGGGGTTAATGGATGAGAAGCAAGGAGGATTTCGAATCAGAAGGGCAACAGCAACACCCTCCTGCCATTCTTGAGCACACCGCAGGTTTCCAGTGCTGAGCTAGGCACTCTCTGCAGTTTATTAACCCACACCAGTTGTTACCCAGTCCCAACAGGTATGCAAACTTTTTCCCATTTTAAAGGTGAGGAAACTGAGATTCGGAGACATCCCGAGCCTAAGGCTGAGCGGCTGAGAAGTGAGTGAGATGGGAGCTTGGGTCCTGCCCGTGGCTATGCCCCGTGGTGGGCCTGGTTCTTGGGAAGAGGCACGGGGTGTGCTCTGCTACCCCAAGGTGACTGGAGGTGTGTGTTCTTTACACCACCACACCCTGGGATTTGGAAGATGAATCAGTCAGGGCTTTTTGTTGTGGGTAACAGGATAGGAAGTTGAAAATGAGGGGGCAGCTTGAGAATCAGAGAGAAAGCAGGAGAGGAGCGGGGCACAAAGGATGAGAGCCCAGGAGCTCTGAGGGTTTCTTGGCAGAGCTGATGGAAGGTCTCTGACAGTGCTGGTCATGGAACAGAGGCCTCAGCCATGTCCCCTGCTGTTGTCTCTCTGCTCACGATCCCGATTCCAGGGAGAGCAGGTGCAGTGGGCTCTGCTGGGGTCTGGCGCCCATCTCCTGTCTTTGGGAGGGCAGGTGTCTTGAATGACGATCCCATCAGACTGTATCAAAGTGGGAAAGAGGCCATTCCCCAGGAAGAAATCAGGATGTTGTTACTAACAGAAAGAGGGAGGAGAATGGGTGTTGTGTTGAGTGGCCAGAAAGCCTGAAATGTGCATGATACCGGGTGTTGGGTGGAAAAGCTAGAAGTTCTCCCATCCTCTGGCTGTGGGGTGAGACTTTCCTCTCTCTTACATCTAAGAACCAGAGATGCATTTGTAATTGCAGCAGACCTGAAGACATTGCTCTGTTGTAGACTGACTGGTCATTCTGAAAGGTGGCTTTGAGTGACGGGCCAGTTGTGATAACGAGGCTGATAAATGAAAACCGCATAGAGCTGGGGCCTCTCCTTCAGAATATAGCCCCTCACCACCCACCCCAGGCTTAGGATCCTGGCCTCTGCAGTTCCCAGCTTTGCTAATCTGCAGCCTGTGGGATCCGCAGGGCCAGCCATGGGGAGCTATTCTCACCAATTATGACAACTCCGTTACTGGCTCCCCAAATTTTGAACCTCTGGGGCAGAAAATGCTGGCAGATAATGAATGGGAGCTGAACTAGCTACTCTTCCTTGGTCCGCCAAGAGATGCCCCTGGGATGAAGTGGAATAAAGAAAGACCAAGAAATCTCACGAGTCTGAGCTGAGCTGGGTCTTATAGATGACCCAAGCCAACTGTTTTACTTTAGAGAGGGAAACTGAGGCTGAAGAGAGTCAGGCAGTACCCAAGCTTCCATGATCAATTGATGACCGAATGGGGAGGGGTCTCCAGACTTTCTGACCTGCCCAAGGGTGTGCCACCCACCGACTCAGGGTCTTCTCCAGCCACTGCTCTGGGCAGCTTCCCTTCCAGCTACCATTTATTATGTACCAACTGCAATTTATTAAGTACCTACTGTGTGCACAGCTACCAACTGCCGTTTATTAAGCACCTACTATGTGCACAGCTCTATGGGCATACCAGGACTCATGAAACCCACTGCCTACTCTCAGGGGGTTTACAGCTAATTGGGAAGAAACAAGGAAACAGCTGCAGAAACAGGCTGCAGGCGAAGGGTTTGCTGCAGGGACTTGGGCAGGTGCCAGTTTCCCTCTCTGGTTTCAGGTGGACCCAAGCTCTTGCATCTGTATGTGTGTGCAGGTATATGCTGAGGTCTCAGGTCAGACCCTATTTCTTTTTGCTTCCCCTTTGGGGGGTTGCTGGGAGCTGGGTTACTGGTGACGAGTCTGCAGGGTGGGGTAAGGGTGGGCATGTTTACAGTGCTTTCTGGGATCACATGTGTTCTCATCTTCTCGGCTTGGCCAAAGTTTTTAAGAATGAAGAATGTAAAAATTCCCTAGTAACAGCTTTCCCACCTGGGCCTTGGCTGCTTCTCCTGGCCAGTGGCTCCATTACCTTCCTTTACACCTGTCCTAACCCTCATTCTAATTCTCCAAGTCCCAGCTCAAAGAGCCTACCCACACCTCTCCTGGGGAAGACTTGCCCTGTCCCAGGAGTCCTTTCTCTGCAGATAGAAAGTGTCCGGGGCCAGTGATAGAGTTTGGATGAGTGTCCACTCCAAACCTGATATTGAAATGTGATCCCCAGCATTGCAGGCGGGGCCTAATGGGAGGTGTTTGGGTCATGGGAACAGATCCCTCATGAATGGTGGCTTGGTGCCCTCCCTGTGGTTATGAGTTACCTTGAGATCTGGTTGTTAAAAAAAAGCCTGGCACCTCCTGATTCTCTCTCTCTCACTTTCTCTCTTGCCATGTGATGCGCCTACTCCCCCTTTGCCTTCTGCCATGATTGAAAGCTTCCTGAGGCCTTACAAGAAGCAGATGCTGGCACTGTGCTTCTTGTACAGCCTGTAGAACCATGAGCCAACATAAACCTTTCTTATCAATTACCCAGCCTCAGATATTCCTTAATAGCAACCCAAAAAGGCTAACCTAGGCAGCTCAGGTATTTGGCTTTGTATACAGTGAGGACCCAACAAGCTCTTGATAAAGGATGAATCTCCTCCCTCTCTCCACGGGAACTGTGGTGTTTGCCAACTTGTATTCTCTTTCTAGGATAACTCCCTGTCTTAGCCCATTTTCTGTTGCTATAACTGAATGTCTGAGACTGGGTAATTTGTAAAGAAACTTAGACATTTTCTAGAGGCTGGGAAGTCTAAGGTTTAGGGGCCACATTGGGTGAGAGCCTTCTTGCCACACATTACATGGCGGAAGGTATCACATGGTGAGACAGCAGGAGTGTGTGTATCAGCTCAGGTCCCTCTTCCTCTTCTCATAAAGCCATAGTCCCATGATGGGGGCTCTACCTTGATGAGCTTACCTAATCCCAAGTACCTCCCAGAGGTCCTACCTCCAATCAACATATGAATTTGGGAATTAAGTTTTCAACATGTAAAATCTGGGGGACACATTCAAACCAAAGCACCAAAACGGCAACTGTCCAGAAATGCTTTATACACTCGCTGAACAAGCATCTTGGCTCTATCCTAGAGTCATAAAATCATCAAAAATGGGAATTATGCTTCAGGCAAGTGGAATTTGGCAAGGACATAGCAGCAATAGCAACATGGTAGGTTTGAACTTGAAGTTCAGTCCTCAACTCTCCTATTTAAAGGCTGTGGGACATTGGACTAGCCACTGGACTTCTCTAAGCTTTAGTTGACTTGTCTGTAAAATGGATAGAACACTGATGCCTGCCTCTCCAGAAGGGGGTGAGAATCAAATCAAAGAGTGTATCTATAAAAGCACTGGCTGAGCCTCAAAGTAGTGGACAAATACTAGCTATTATGATTACATGGCCCCTTGATATGATCTATTTGCAAAAAATAGAATAATTCAGATCTTTATGCTTGGGCCTAATCTTTATGATAAAAAGAAAAAAAGGCCAGGCACGGTGGCTCACACTTATAATCCCAGCACTTTGGGAGGCTGAGGAGGGTGGATCAGCTAAGGTCAGGAGTTCGAGACCAGCCTGGCCAACATGGCGGAATCCCATCTCTACTAAAAATCTCTACAAAAAAATAGCCGGGTGGGGTGGCGGGTGCCTGTAATCTCAGCTACTCAGGAGGCTGAGGCAGGAGAATCACCTGAACCTGGGAGACGGAGGTTGCAGTGAACTGAGATGGCACCATTGCACTCTAGCCTGGGCAATGAGAGCAAAACTCCATCTCAAAAAAAAAAAAAAAAAAAAAAGAAAGGAAGAGAAATCTAGTAATCTGTAGTCCTGTGGTTTTCTCTTAAAAATGAGGTTCCAATTCAAGACGAAAGGCCTGGGGAACTTGAACTGATTAGATAATTCTCCTAGGGGATCTGCAGTCCCTTTCGAGGAGGGTTACTTATCGCAGGTCTCAAACAAAGCAAGTGTTGACCTTTCTAAGTGAGTGTTCCCCCACCCAGAGAAAAGCCTTTTTATGTCATAGCTGATGTGAGTGGTTGCTGGGCTGATGTTATCTTCAGAGTGTGCCTGCTGTTGGGGAGAGAAGCAGAGACACCATCCACATCCAGATCAGCAGAGGCAGAAACGGCTCAGGCAGACATGCGGAGGCTGGCCAGGATGTGCCAGGAACTTTGCCTGCCTCTAAAGAAACTTGCACATTCCAAGAGCAGGATGGGGCATTAAAAAAATTAGCCCTAGCCTGACTTTTCTACAGAGAATATGATAATGCTTTTCAAGTATGTGAAAGGGGAATGTCACAAAGAAAGGAACAGCCCAGTTCTCTATGGCCCAAGGACGGAGCAACCCTAGACCTGATGTGATGAGGTTGTGGTAGGCACAGCTGTCCTCAGGGAGAAAGGAGGTACCGACCCAGAGGCCACAAGGCCACCAGGAAGGAGAAGGGAGGATGGGAGCTGCAGAGAGTATTTCCCCATTAAATGAGAAGAAGGTGTGGGGTAGAAGGGCATTTAGACTTGGATTTTTCAGTGTCTTCAAGATTTGAGCTTTGGGGTTAAAATGCTAATAGCGCCTTATGCTCCACTGCCTTGTGGGACTTTGGATCTTAGTATCTCCATGTGCTCTGAGTTCCTCCCATACAGGTCTTGCACAATTATTAGTTGAAAGATCAATAAACGATTGGAGTCCGTCCCATGGTTATGCGTGTAAGATCTGTGGACAGAGAGCTTGGATTCAAATCATGGCCCTACCTCCTGCTACTTGTGTGACCTTGGGAAAATTATTAAATTAATTAAACTTCTCTGTGCCTTGTAGCTTTCATTTGTAAGGTGAGGATATAAATACACACTAAGTCATAGGTTGCTGTGGGGTTCAAATTAGGTGATACGTGCAAACTGCTTAGCGCAATGTCCCCTGTAGAGTAAGAACCCAAAGAAAGCAAGGAGATTGCGTCTTGGACTTTTGGCTAAGAGCAAGCAAAGGTTAGCATGGAGGCCATTAAGACATGGTACCTGGGACAACTGCACTTACCCACCCCTATGAAGTTCAGTAGGGCCTTATGACTTGCTCTCACCAATAAAATGTATGTAGCAGTCATATGTGGAGCTTTGTAGGTAAGAAGTTTGGCTTGCCTGTGTGTCCCCACCCTTCAGAGGTACCTGTGAAGGCACGGTTTGAGATGGCGCCTGGGTCCCTGAGTGACTATGAGCAGAGTCCCCTTGCACTGGAGATGTAATGGGAGCAAGAAATAAACTTCTTTGGAGGTTAGGCTCTAAAATGTTTGGTGTGTTTGTTACTGCATAATAGCCTAACTTCTCCTGGCTAATACAGGCACCCAAGGAGAATTCTTTTTATGCCAGACTCACATATCTTTTTTTTCTGGGAAGAGGCAGCATGATAAAATGGCCAAAGCCTAGGCTTTTGTACAATAGGCCTGGATTTGAATCCTGTCTGGCCACTTTACAGGCCACTTTACAGCTCAGCATTCATTATGGGTTTTTTTTGTTTGTTTTTGTTTTTGTTTTGTGGAGACAGCATCTCACTTTGCCACCCAGGCTAGAGTGCAGTGGTGTGATCTCAGCTCACTGCAACCTCCACCTCCTGGGTTTAAGCAATTCTCATGCCTCAGCCTCCCAAATAGCTGGGATTACAGGTGTGTACCACCATGCCCACTAATTTTTGTATTTTTAGTAGAGACGGGGTTTCTCCATGTTGGCCAGGCTGGTTTCAGACTCCTGACCTCAAGTGATCCTCCCATCTTGGCCTTCCAAAGTGCTGGGATTACAGGTGTCAGCCACCACACGTGGCCTTATCATTACCTGTTGACCAAAGGTCCCTGCTCCTCTCCAGTTGGCCCTACCACATGAGGCTCCTCTGAGGGCAGTAACTGCGCCCTCCTTCACTTCATCAGGCCTGGGGGTGGCAAAGGCTCTGCTGCTGTTAGCCCCGTGTTCCTGTACTGTCCTGCCTCACACTGCCCACAACCAACTTGGGTTATTCTATCTTCAATGTGCCATCTTGTTTCTGCTTGGGCCCAGTGACAATGCAGTCTTGCTTCCCTGGGCCATTAGCCTCCTCTGCTGATAGCAGAGTAGCTTGGTCACTTTTTCATGCCTCATCTTTCCAGTTGTGTTATAGGTAAGCTCTTAAAAGCAGGAACTCTCTGTTCTTTGCTGGGTGCCCAGAGTGGACTGGTGCGTTCTCCTCTGGTTGCACATCTGGAGCTGTTTACATTGCATACAGATGCCCAGGCTCTGATCTGTATCCAGATCTCTGGCTAGGGTGTAGGGTTGAGTGAGCAGAGAGGGTCGAAAAGCAGCAGAAAGATGGTTGGTAACAATGTGTTCATGAGGCTGTGAGGTACCACGGTCCTGTTAATTATATTATAATCACATGAGAAGCTTGATTTTGGATGTGATCACTTCCATGCATACATACTCAGTATGGACATGTGTGCATGACTGTGCACGTGTGTACAAGTGTTCACCTGAGCAGGCTGACTGGTCTGTTCCACAGAAAGACTCTGCTCCCTGCTTCTTCTGAGCCTTCATACTGATCTCTCAAACAGAAGAATAATACCCTCCCCTTCTGCCCTTGTAACTCTCCCCATCTCTCAGGGCTCACAATTTCAGCCCTAAACCATTGCGTGTAACACACAGAGAGGGATAAAGACACTTTGTTTCTTTTCTGTTGGTTCATGCACAACACTACAACCTTTTTCTCTAGATAGACATTTTGAGAGCTGGGACTACGTTTTAAGCTTCCTCTTTCTTCTTCTTTCTTCTCTTTTACTGTTTATCAATGGCTTCATCTAAACCAGGCATCTTGCAGGGTGCTTTTTTATATGTCAGGTCATTAATCTTTGCAACCACCCCATGAGATAAACAGTATTATCACCATTTTACAGATAAACAAGGCTCGGGGGAGGGAGGGTTAAACAACTAGTCCCAATGGTAGCCCTGGGTTTTCAAGGTAGGTCTGTCTAACTCCAAATCCTTTGCTATAAGTCGGTGATTTTCAAACTTTGGTGTCAGGACTCCTTTATACTCTTAAAAATTATTGGAGATTCCTAAAAGCTTTTGGAATGCGGGTTATATCTGTTAATATTTATTATATTGGGAATTAAAACTGAGGAAAACTTAAAAGTATTATTTCACATAAAATAGCAATAATGAGAACACATGGACACAGGGAGGGGAACATCACACACTGGGGCCTGTCGGTGGGTGGGGGTTAGGGGAGGGATAGCATTAAGAGAAACAGCTAATGTAGGTGACAGGTTGATGGGTGCAGCAAACCACCATGGCACATGTATACCTATGTAACAAAACTGCATGTTGTGCACACGTACCCCAGAACTTAAAGTATTATAAAAAATAGCAATAATCAACCCATAACATATTAACATATATAACTTTTAGAGTAAAAATTAAGTATATTTTCCCAAAGAAAAAAGTGGCATTTTTAATTTTTTTTACATATTGCAATATTCTTTATTGTCTGCCTTAATAGAAAACAGCTGGATTCTTATATCTGCTTATGCATTTGATCTCTTGTGGTACTACATATCATGTAGACTCTGGAAAACTCTACTGTACACTTTTGAGATAATGAGAGTTGAAAAAAGCGAAGAACTTAGTGTTGTTATAAAAATTGTTTTGTACTCATAAACTCCTGTAAAGGTTTCAGGGTCCTCCAGCTGTGCCCAGGCAATACTTTGGGAACCACTGCTGTATGTTTCTAAGCTCTGTCTTCTCTTTGCATTTTTCCCATTGTTTCCCAGTATTCTTTTTTTATTTATTTATTTTTATTTTTTGAGACAGAGCCTCGCTCTGTCACCCAGGCTGGAGTGCAGTGGCACGATAGTGGCTCACTGCAACCTCTGCCTCCTGGGTTCAAGTGATTCTCATGCCTCAGCCTCCTGAGTAGCTGGGGTTACAGGCATGCACAATCAGCCTGGCTAATTTTTTTTTTTTTTTTTTTTTTGTATTTTTAGTAGAGATGGAGTTTCATCATGTTGGTTAGGCTGGTCTCAAACTCCTGACCTCAAGTGATCTGCCCGTCTTGGCCTCCTAAAGTGCTGGGATTCCAGGCGTGAGCCACAGCACCCGTTTCCCAATATTCTTGTCTGTTCTCTTGGGTGCAGCCTGGACTTCATGTGTGCCTGTTCATTGGCTAATAGATGAGGATTCTATGGCTCTGCCACAGGATCCTGGAGGGAGGCTGCCTGATGTTCCAGTGAATATCCTATGTTTTCTATACTATTTAAGGGACATGGGTGTACTGGATGTTCCTAGCCTGGCCTCATGAGACTTTGCGAACTCAGCTTTGTGATGGACCAATGGTCCTAATAAGTCAACACCATTTATTTTTAGGGGAAAAAAGAGAAAACGATATAAATTTCTCTAGTAAATAGGAGATAAATACCCCTTCTGCTTTGGGGAGAGGGAGGGATGAGTAGGTGGAGCATGGGGGATTTTTAGGGCAGTGAAACTATTCGGTGTAATTCTGCAATGGCGGATACACATCATTAGATATTTGTTGAAACCCATAGAATGTGCCACATTCTATTAACATTTAGTTAATAGCAATGAAGCAATATTGGCATATCAGTTGTAAAAAATGTACCACACTAATGCAAGGTTTAATAATAGGGAGAAATGAGGGCGTGCAAGGGAGTGTATGGGAATTCTCTGTATTTTCCAATCATTTTTCTCCAAACCAAAGCAGCTCTTAAAAATCCCCAGAAATCACTGCGTCCAAAAAAAAAAAAAAAGTTCCCCTTGCCAATTTGGTCCTTAGCCAGAGACCTTTTGTGGTTTGGGCTGGTCCAGTGGAAACCTCTGAACTCTTATCCTACCTGAACAGCTCTACTGGGAGATCATATACACATGCACAGTCATTACCCCAGACAAGATGTTTTCTTGGGATTTTTCTCCCATCGACTTTAGCTCCCAAAAGTCTACAGCAGCACAAACTGGGATTTGGAGGGTGTAATTCTGTGGGGAGACTAGTAATTAGAGGATTGTTTAAAAGACTGCCAGCGTTGTTTAATGAGTTGAGAACTATCAGCCCATCATCACAGGGATAATGGGCCCTCTAACGCACAATGGAGCAGGAACAATGTGTGTCACTTTCTGCAGCTGGAGAATCTGCTGGAGTGAGAACTGGGAGGGGGCCCAGCCCTTCTGTCTAGACCACTGGGGACTTCCTTTGGCTGGGAACTCAAGAGGACAGTGTTTGGTGATGGTGGGTTGGGTGGGAAGATGTGGCAGGCTGCCGTATGTGGACTATTAGTTCATGGCCAACTCCCGCAGACAAGCTTCGGCTTGTGCTGTAATCCCTCCCCACCGACCAGTTGTATTTTAAATGCAGCCAAGCTAGAGGAATGGAACCTGTTATTGCTATGCTTGGGGAATTGTAAACCACAAGGCTGGGGCTAGGTGCAGCAAGAGAGGCACCTAGACCATCCATCTCAGGTACTTACACTCAGGCCCAGGCAAGTGCAGAATTTGCACCTGAGAATGGTAGCAGTTTGCAGTGGAGATGCCCCACTCCACCTAGCCATGGTCCTGTTGTCCAATATGCCTTACCTTAATACCTATTTTGTCACCCGTCTTCACCACACCTGGCTTATACACACTCTGAATAATTCCCAGCTTGGCTCCTGCATTTCTTTACCCAGTGCACAGCCTCTTCCTCAACCCCTTTGGGACTGGCAGGCTCAAGAAATGTGCTTGACTCTGGAAGGTTTCTCCACAGCCCAGTGAGCACACGGACTCTCAGATAAAAATGAGCTTAGGAGACAATAAGTAGTTGTTCTGAGACTGAAAGTGGAGACCCTAGTGACAAGGCGTGGGGGAGCTTTCCTTAGGTGCTTTCATGAGACTCCACATTCAGGTGGGGAGTGGCGGCAGTGCTATTTGTGAAGACAGGCATTGCGGTGACCCTCCTAAAGGATTTGTGTTTTTTTTACCCCCCTCTTTGCTCAAACTTAATTGGTAATATTATAACTTTCAATTTAATCATTGACCTAAATGAGTTGTATTTTTATCTCTGCAGGAGCCTGGCTGGGCTGCACAAAAGAGTGGTGGCAGCTGAGTGAGGGAGAAACTTACTAGAATATTTGGGCTGGCAAGTGACACCACTTCTGCTCCGAGATAAGATGGAGACTTTTTCAAGCTACGTTTTAAAATCGTAAAACCCAAGATCTCCTGCTGGAGATGAGCTGTAGGTGGGTCTGGAGCATCTGAGAGCTGTGAGGGAGGAGAGTCATACCAGAATTACTGAGATGATTGCTGAAACCAAGATTATAAGTCATTAAGGGTTTGAAAGTTTTCTGCAGGTGCACAATAGACTACTCAGTATCTTGGATTCTTGAGCTGGGGTCAGGTTAACTATTAAAAGAGGACAAAAGTCTTGCTAACAAAACCTGAAGTTTAAAACATACACTGTTCCCGCTGCCTTGGCCATTCTTGCTTAACTTAGCTCTCTTTTCCTAGCTTTCAGGATCCACTGTTGATTTACTTCCATGCCTAGATTAGTAGCAGTTTCCTTCATGGTGATATTAAATTAGCTGGCTCGTTTTCCACCATGAGAGTGGGTGTCCCTCACTGCAGTGTCCACTGTAATAAAAAAAAGACACAGCCATAGGATATGTGGGGGTGGACAATTGTTGCATTTCTTCTCCAGCTGGTGACTCCCTCTGCTAGAACTGAACGCCAGACTTGCACGGGAGATTCTTGCTCCCTTTCCTTCTCAGACAGAACAGGTTGCATTTTTCATTGTAGAACCACAGATGCCATAACCTTTATGTGCCTAAAATCTTCTTTATAAGCATCCAGTTTCAGTATCTTTGATCTGGAGGATGCAATCACATTTTCCTTGAAGATAGTAATCATCTAGAAAAACATAGAGGAGGAGAAAACACCCTTAAATAAATCCTCGAAACAAATTTAAAATCCACATTGGTTTGAATTATTCCATTATTCTCCCTCTCCTATCTTCCACTCTCATCTGGTCTTTGAATGGGAGGATTTGGAGCCATAAAGGGTCTTAGCATTATCTGGGCTGGCCACTCTGAGTCTCAGATGGGATACTTTCTTCGCAAAGGGAAACTTTCTTACAGTTAAATTGGTATGGGGTGACTTTTTCAGGATTAGAGGATTTAAATCTGCTTTTAGGTTTTGTTTGTTTTGCTTTTTTAAACCAGAAGAGACCAGGTGTGGTGGCTCATACCTGTAATCCCAGCACTTTGGGAGGCCAAGGTGGGTGGATCCTTGAGGTCAGGAGTTCAAGACCAGCCTGGTCAACATAGTGAAACCCTGACTCTACTCAAAATACAAAAATTAGCTGGGCGTGGTGGCGCATACCGGTAGTCCCAGCTGCTAGGGAGGCTGAGGCAAGAGAATAGCCTGAACCTGGGAGGCGGAGGTTGCAGTGAGCCGAGATCACACCACTGCACTTCAGACTGGGTGACAGAGTGAGACTCCGTCTTAAAAAAAAAAAAACAACCACAAGAAATCCTAGCAATCATTTAATCAAATTTCCACCATGGTAGTCAGGATTCCTTGTGTTGCAGGTGCCAGCAACTCTGCCCAAGAACAAGAGGGGCCTATGGAGGGGATGGAGGATGGGTCGGGGGTCCTGGGACTGAAGGGTGGACTCCTGGGGCCAAGCAGCTCCAGGATCATGGGAGCCTGTGCTGGAGCAGAGGCTCTGCTGACTCAAGCTGCCTATGGCCCCTCTTGGCAACCGTGGAAGCTTATCCACCTGGGATTGCCAGGGCTGCTGGTACCTTCAGGGTTACAACTTTGTAGCTAATAAAAAGAAAAGAAAAGAAAAGAAAAGAAATTTCTGGGGGAAGGATGTTGGTTTGCTCAATTTGGGTCATGGGCTCAACTCAGCACAGGACTGCTACTAGAGGAACTGGGGGGTGTCCTGCAAAACACCAGCCAGGGCACTCCCTTCTTCCGGATGAGAAACTGACATCCAAATTCATCTAAGTGATGATCCCTCAGGGGAGTGGCAGAGTCACCTTCATACCTCCCGATGCCCCAGGTGAGGGCATTTGCCCCATCATGCAGGGTTACTTCATCCTCTACGTGCCAAAATGCTCCCAGTCATTCTTTCTCTTAGAAGAAATGAGCTCAGACTCAAACAGTGAAGCCACGAGCAGCTGGGACCCTCAATTAACCAGAAATCTGTTTTTCATTCAACTTTGGAGGAAAATAGAAGAAAGTCTCCGGTTTATTCCATGGTCTTACTCTTAGGGTGTGTTTCAGGGGGCATATATAGATGGCTTAGTCTCCTGCTGTTTTCACATATCTTTTTTATGCTTTTAAAAATTGTGATAAAATACACACAATGTGAAATGTACCATTTTGACCATTTTAAAGCGTATGATTCAGTGACATTAGGTACATTCCCAACGTTGTATAACTTTCACCACGATTCATTTCCAGAACTTTTTCATCATCCGAAATAGAAACTCTACACCCATTGAATAATAATTTCCCATTCCCCCTCCCCCAGCCCCTAGTGACCACTATTTTTTTTTTTTTTTTTTTTTTTGAGACAGAGTCTTGCTCTGTCACCCAGGCTGGGGTGCAGTGGCATGGTCTCGGCTCACTGCAAGCTCCACCTCCCAGGTTCACGCGATTCTCCTGCCTCAGTCTCCCATGTAGCTGGGACTACAGGCGCCTGCCACCATGCCTGGCTAATTTTTTTTGTATTTTTAGTGGAGACGGGGTTTCACCGTGTTAGTCAGGATGGTCTCAATCTCCTGACCTGGTGATCTGCCTGCCTCGGCCTCCCAAAGTGCTGGGATTACAGGCGTGAGCCACCACACCCGGCCCACTATTCTTTCTATCTGTATGAATTTGCTTATTCTAGGTAGCTCCTATAAGTGGAATCATACAATATTTGTTCTTTTGTGTCTGGCTTATTTCACTTAGTATAATATTTTCCAGGTTCATCTATGTTGTAGCGTGCATCAGAATTTCATTCTTTTTTTCTGGGTGAATAATATTCCATTGTGTGGATATGCTACATTTTGTTTATCCATTTATCTGTTGACATGTACTTGAGTTATTTCCACATTTTGGCTCTTATAATAATGCAGCTATGAACATTGATGTGCACCAAATGTCTTTTGGCAGTGCTAAATATTCATCATCATAAAAATGATACTAAGGTTTCCCCATTGACCATACCAAAAAAAAATTAAGTTTCCCATCAAATGGAAGCTTTGTGGGATCATGGAGAAAGCATGGGCTCCAGAATTCTATAGCACATTCATTAATGCTGGGCATATCATGTCCTAGTTTGTGACATTGGGCAAATGAACCTCTCTGAGCTTTCATTTGCTCATCTCATCTAACAAATGGCTGACAAAAAAGGCTGAAGTTGATATTTCTGGGCTGCTTTGAAAATTTGGTGCTTCCCGGCTGGGCACAGTGGCTCATGCCTGTAATCCTAGCATTTTGGGAGGCCAAGGCAGGTGGATCACTTGAGGTCAAGAGTTCAAGACCAGCCTGGCCAATATGGTGAAACCCCATCTCTACTAAAAATACAAAAATTAGCCGGGCATGGTGGCAGGTGCCTGTAATCCCAGCTACTCGGGAGGCTGAGGCAGGAGAATTGCTTGAACCCAGGGGGTGGAGGTTGCAGCGAACCTAGATCGCTCCACTGAACTCCAGCCTGAACAACAGAGCGAGACTCTCTCAAAAAAAAAAAAAAAAGAAAAGAAAGAAAAAGAAAAAGAAATTGGTGCTTCCCAAATTCACTTAGTAATCAACAGTGCTTTGTGAGGCTTTAGGAAAACAGATTCCTGAGTCCCGCTCCACAACTCCTGATTTAGAATATATAGGAGTGAGGCCTGGAAATCTGCGTCTTTACCAAAACCTTCAGGAGATGCGGATGAAGCCAGTTTAAAACTCACTACTGAAATGAAACTTAAGAAGCCAAGTGCACACTCAGAACCTGCCTCACAGATGGAACTTGATGCTGGCTCTTCCCTCTTGCCCTTCTTCATGCTTTAGATATGAAGAAAGAGCAGAGGACAATTGCATTTTGAGGAAACACTTGCAGCAATGACCATGTCAGGTCACAGCAACAAAAATTCTAATAATGGATTGTTTTCCACTCTGAGCAACTAATCATTGGTAAATGATGTTGGCAGTTAAGGGTATAAAACCAGTCACTTTATTCATTTGCGGTTTTGATCATGCATTTGGCTATGATTGCACTGTGTGCAATACAAATCTGCCAATGAGGATGGTGGAGTAAAGGGGGGCTGGTGGAAGGCACCCTGTTATGTTATGTAGAAGAGAGAACTCCTTGGAGATAATCGTGCAAACCTGAGACTTCCATGCAGAGAAGGAATCAGTGAATTTATATCAAAGAAGCCAGATTGATATTCTTTTCTTCTTTTTTTTGGTTCCTTTCAAATTATAAAAGGAGTGGACAAAGGGAATGTTGTAGATGTAATTTGTTCCAGGCTCGAATAAAGCGTATTTGTGTCTTATGAAATTTTACGAGAAAAATGTAATTCAAATTGGCTTGGAGATGAGAGCTGTCAAATAGATTGAAAGCTGGATTATAAACCAAGACTAATGAGAGCCTGCAATGAGCACAAAGTTAGGGATGGAGTCCAAGAGAATCTCTGCAAGGTCTTACAGGGGAGGTAAACAGCCTATTAATTAAGGTAGCAGATGGTAGTAAATTGGGAGATGTTTTAGATTCCAAGGACAGAAAAAGAAATGAAAGCTTGGGATCTGTACTGGGTAGTTAGAAACCTCAGCACGAAGTCAATGACAGGAAAGTAATAAGAGCTGCAGGTAGTCTTGGAAGCCAGCAGGATTTGGAATACCAAGGGGTTAGAAAGAGACTAGAAATGTTAGTGGAATGGCTGAGAAGCTACTGGAGAAAGTGGTTCACGCTGCGAGGCAAAGTTTTAGGGACCCAGAGGGCCGGCTTGGGCATGTATGCTCAAGCTGAAAGAAACACATTTCTGGGTGGGTGTAGTCTTAAGATCTCCCCCAGCGGGTATTTGCAGATAAAGAAGCTGCTTGAGTAGAAGGGACTCAGTTGGATGTAAACTGAAGAAATAAATCAGCACAGGAGGGAAAAAGCAGGTGAGCTGAGATAATCAGTGTGATTTGGCTAGAGGTGGAAGACAGAGTGACGAGGTGGATAGAACGTGGGCTTTGGATCTCAGGTTTTTGGCCACCACTGCATCTTCCAGTTGACTGGGTGTTGACTATTAATATTTAGCCTTTCTGAGCCTCAGTTTCCCCACCTCCTATAAAATGAAGACACAATTTCTTACCTTTTATAAATATTATAAATTTGGATGAGATTTGCATATAGATTACTGGGACATGGTAAGTTTTCAACACGTGCTGACTTGTCCCGTGTACCTGTGTAACGAACGTGATCAGCACATACTTGCGGGAGGGGAAAGTGAGGGATGCTTGTGGGAACTTTGGGCAGCACCTACACAGCTATCCCCATTTCTTTTTGTTTGTTTTTGAGATGGAGTTTCACTCTTGTTCGATCTTGGCTCACTGCAACCTCTGCCTCCTGGGTTCAAGTGATCCTCCCGTCTCAGCCTCCTATGTAGTTGGGATTACAGGTGTCCACCACCAAGCCTGGCTAATTTTTTGTATTTTTAGTAGAGATGGGGTTTCACCATGTTGACCAGGCTGGTCTCAAACTCCTGACCTTAGGTGATCCGCCCGCCTCAGCCTCCCAAAGTGCTGGGATTACAGGCGTGAGCCACTGTGCCCCACCAACTGTCCATTTCTTGGTTCTCATTTCCTACACAAGGCAGTCAGCTATACCCTGTTTTTATTACAGTGGAGTCACATTTAACTCAGAGGCTAGAGTGTAAAGCCATCACATGAAGTGAGAGTCACATATGGTCAAAATTATCCTTAAAAATCCTTCAAAAATCACCCATAAAATACAGTACTATGTAGTCTCTCAAAAAGTTCTTTTCAGCCAGTTTTTCCTCTGGTGTTGGAACTGATCACAGTTTTATGTTTGTGTGTGTGTGTGTGTGTGTGTGTGTGTTGAGCACCAGGTGAAGTAGTTGGCTTAATTTATGGATCATGCTATATGAAAATGCTTATTATTATTATTATTATTATCATTTGAGACAGACTCTTGCTCTGTCACCCAGGCTGGAGTGCAGTGGCTTCATCTTGGTTCATTGCAACCTCCACCTCCTGGGTTCAAGCGATTCTTCTGCCTCAGCCTCCCGAGTAGCTGGGACTACAGGCATGAGCCACCAAGTCTGGCTAATTTTTGTATTTTTGGTAGAGACGGAGTGTCACCATATTGGTTAGGCTGGTCTCGAACTCCTAGACCTCGTGATCCGCCCACCTCAGCCTCCCAAAGTGCTGGGATTACAGGCGTGAGCCACTGCGCCTGGCCTATTACTATTATTTTTTTGAGACAGAGCCTTGCTGTGTTGCCTGGGCTGGAGTGCAGTGGTGCATCTCCACTCACTGCAACCTCCGCCTCCTGGGTTTAAGTGATTCTCATGCCCCAGCCTCCCGAGTAGCTGGGATTACAGGCCATCATCCCTGGCTAAGTTTTGTATTTTTAGTAGAGAAGGAGTTTCGCCGTGTTGGCCAGGCTGGTCTTAAACTCCTGGCCTCCCAAAGTGCTGGGATTACAGGTGTGAGTCACTGCACCTGGCCTGAAAATGCTTATTTTTTAACACTGAAATGGCAATTGGCATGGTGAGATGCTTACACCATAGGGGCATCCAGTTCAAGCTGACTCCATGCCTGTGCTGGGCAGGTAGAGCTGAGAATCTTTTTGTTATCTCTCTTCTTGGTCAGTTTGGGCTGCTATAACAAGATACCATAGATTGAGTGTCTTAAACGACAGAAATTTATTTTTCACTAGAGTCTAGAAGCCCATGATCAGGGTGCCAGCAGATTTGGTGTCTGTTGAGGGCTCTCTTCCTGGTTTGCAGACAGCTGCGTTCTGATTGTGTCCTCCTGCAAGAGAGAGCAAACTCTAGTCTCTTCCTTATCCCATTATTGGGGCTCCACCCTCATGACCTCATCTAAACCTAATTACCTCCCAAAGGCCCCACCTCCTAATATCACTGAGGGTTAGGGTTTCCCTATGTGAACTTCAGGGGATACTAACATGCCGTCCATAGCAGAATTGGATATGCAACTCCCTTGAACTGAAGCAACTGCCATGGATCAGACTGGCTGGCTGGGGGCCTGTGAGCTCAGCTTTGGTTGTGGGGAAAATGGACATAATAGGACTCCATACTGATCAGCTTCCCTGGGCCCCCTGCTCAGCTTGTTATGACAGGGCACAAAGGAGGTGGCTGTGCCAGAGGACGTGAGCCCTATCCAGAAGCTGCCTGCACTTGGCCCAGTATGAGCTGGGGTGAATGGGGGCAGCCTAACTGCTTTTGCACTCTGCATAAACAAGGCCTGATGGCAAGCACTTACTGAACAGCTACATGGCCTTCGGACAAGGGGGTGTTCATCCTCTGAGTCTAGAGATGACTTGGATATGATTTTGTTTCTCTGCTTTTCCTCCAGAGGGATACACTTTATTAAAACATGGTCAATTAATGCATTAAGAACTCTGTTGATGATAACATGTACACCCTTTGTTCTGTAGTGGTGTACTTGCTTTTTTTTTTTCTTAAAACTATATCCTGGGGATTATTCCTATTGGTACAGAGAACTTCCTGATCCTTTTTAAATTTAGGCAAAAGTTACTATAACATAAAATTCACAATTCTAACTATTTTAAAGTATACAATTCTGTGGCTTCCAGTACATTCAGTGTTGTGCAACCATTACCACTATCTAATTGCAGAACATTTCCATCATATCAAAAAGAAACTGTATCCACTAAGCAGTCAGTAGTTTTAATTTGCATTTCCCCAATGACTAATGATGTTGAGCATCTTTTCATATGTTTATTGGCTGTATCTTTTCTTTGGAGAAGTTGTCTATTCAGATTCTTTGCCCTTTTTTTAATTGAGTTTTTTGTTTTGTTTCTGTTGTTGTTGTTGAGTTGTAAGAGTTATTTACATATTGTAGATCCTAGACTATTATCAGATATATTATTTGCACATATTTTCCTCTCTTCTGTGGTCTGTCTTTTCACTTTCTTGACAGTATTCTTTGATGCACAAAAGTTTTTAATTTTGATGAAGTCCAATTGATCTTTTTTTAAAAATTTTGTTGCTTATGCTTTTGCTGTCATATCTAAGAATCCGTTGCCAAAACCAATATAATGCAAAATTACTCCTGTGTTTTCTTTTAAGAGATTTATATTTTTAGCTTTTAAATTCAGGCCTTTGATTCATTTTGAGATAATTTTTATATATAATATAAGGTAAGGGTCCAATTTAATTCTTTTGCACAAGTCATCTTTTTTTACATCCATGTAGCATTCTGTTCCATACTTTGTTTAACCAGCTTTTTGTTTTTGTTTTTTTGAGATGGAGTCTCACTCTGTTGCCCAGGCTGAAGTGCAGTGGTGTGATCTCAGCTCACTGCAACCTCTGCCTCCTGGGTTCAAGTGATTCTCCTGCCTTAGTCTCCCAAGTAGCTGGGACTACAGTCGTGTGCCACCATGCCTGACTAATTTATTTTGTATTTTAGTAGAGACGGGGTTTCACCATATTAGGCAGGATGGTCTCGATCTCCTGACCTCGTGATCCACCCACCTCGGCCTCTCAATGTGCTGGGATTACAGGTGTGAGCCACCGCGCCTGGCCCTAACCAGTTTTATACTCTATTCTATGACTTGGGTTACCACTAAACTTTCACTATTAAAACCAATGATACAATACATATTCTTGTATATAACCACTCCCTACATATCTGCACATATTTGTAGTCTGAATTCCTAAAAGTAGAATTGCATGATCAAATACTGATTGCCTAATTGCTGTCCCTGGAGGCTGAGTGGATGTGCATGACCTCCATCCACTGGTTGAGAATGTGTTTCCCCACACTCTTGCAGATCCTTGTAGGTTTTTGGCAACCAGATGGGGAGTTTTAATTTGGAACTTTCTTATTATGAGCAATGGTGTACACCTTTTAATATATTTTAAAAGACTGTCATAATTTCTTTGCTATGAGCTTTTCATAGCCTTCGCCTATATTTTCTGTTGGCCTTTGTTTTGTAGGAGATACTTATAAAGCAACTGATGTCTGTTTGTGATATGTTTATCATTTACCCGTTAGCTTTATTAATAGCATTGTTTTCCTTCCCAGGAAAAAAAAATAATGTGTTCAAGTGCTCCAGTTTTTCTTTCTAAGACTTTTAAGTTAAGTGATTACTTATAACAGTCTTCCCCATTCCAATATTATAATACTATTTTTCTTGTATTTTTATGATTTCAATGTATCATTTAATCTTTGATACAGATGGAATTTATTTGGCCATGTGGTGTGAGGTAGGGTTGCATTTTCTCCCCTAGATAATTGAGATATTAATAGTTACTTTTGAGGTCAGATATCCATTTCCCATAGAAAATAAAGCAATAAAAGTTCAATCCTAACATGAGGGAAGCCTAAACCCACTTCATTGCTTGGTCCAGGCTGGGAAGGCCATCTCTGCACTGGAACCAGAGGATGGCCTGTTCTTGGCCTTTCCCAGATGAGGAAGCGTAGAGCAGTGGTTAAGAGCAAGAGTCCAGAGGCAGGTGGACGGAGTGAAAGTGCTTCTCTCTCAATACCTAGTTGTATGACCCTGGTCAAATGTTCTCACCTCTTTAATGTGCTTTCTCCTCATCTGCAAAACAGGGATAATATCAGTACCTGCATCATAAAATGGTGGTGAGAAGTAAACAAAGTCCTGAATGTGAACTGCACTGCACAGTGCTTGGCAAGGGAACACAGGGGAGCTGCTGCCATTATCATTGTCACCATTACCCTCACCACCACTATTTGGACCCTTGGTGATGGCTCCAACCTCAGGCCTGCCATTTACTGATGTAGAAGTGACTGGAAAGTGCTGGCTTCCTTTCCTCTTTCCCAGGATAGAAAGCTGACCTGGGGCTCCTCCACCTGGCCTGGCTCCATCATTCAGACAGTCTTCTTCCAGGGCAGCAAATGACCTCAGATGTTTGCCCTGGGCCACCCAAGGGGAATTTTGGGCTTTCTTTGTGTTCCATCCATTTCTCAGTCTTTTCAATTAAGTGAAATCAAGTAAAAACACAAATCAAGTGATCCCTGAAGGGAGATGAGATCTCACCAGGGAGTACTAGAGAACTACAACCAAAGTAGCTTGGCATGTTGCAGGTGGTAAATGGAGGTTCAGAGTGTGAAAGTGAATATATAACCCCAAATTAATGATTTTATGGTAGACCAGGACCCCCTGGGCCCTGATTCTTTGAGCAGAGCTTCATCTTTGCAACCATGGCTCCCAGCCCCACTGTTTCTTCAGGTGGCAGTGTCAAGGGGAAAGGAGCCCTGGGTCCTTTTTTTTTATTTAAAAAAAATTTTTTTAGATGGCTCATAAAGCCACCTCCTTTTTTGAGGAAGGGGTATGAATCTCAGGGAGGGTTCCTGCTACAAGGCCACTTGGCATCACCCTTGGCTCTGCTTGGAGCAGCCTCCAGGCAGTGACATTTCAATTGCTGCAAGTCTGGAGCTGTATTATGCCATGTGTATCAGGAGAGTAATTGGATAAATTGGCCCTGGAGGGGTTTTGGTAACCATTACTTTCAGTTATTTTGTGATCCCCCCCACAGGGGAAGAGTGGGTCCTTTTCTTCAACTGCAGCATGAAGCAGGCTGTACGCAGCCCCATCACCTACCTCAGCTACAGAGCAGATCCGATGGCCTTAGGGGACCAAAAGCTGGGGAGCGGCTGGGTGTTGTACCTTTGCTTTCTCCTTTCTGCTGCAGGTGAACCCTGTACCACTTAAGCCTGATGTCCATGGCTGTTCTCAGCAACTTCCAAGCATTACTTTCAGTTATTTTGTGACCTTTGATGAGGCAGCTACTTCTTTCTCCTCCCAGCCTCAGATAAGGGATGACACAATTCAGAGAATGAGAGAGTCAAATTCTTGTGGTTTGGGCTTAAAAGGAGAACTAGATGAAGAGTTAGGTTATGGGGTCCCCATGCTCTCAGGACTGGGGAGATGCCCCAGAGAAGCAAGAGAGGTTGGGTTTAGCTGGGTCCTCCAGAGGGGACTGTGCATCCTGCCCAGGACCTGGGGAAATGGTGGTAAAACCAGAAACCCCAGGCAGGTGGCGGGGATCTGCGATCCAGGGCATCCACGCCTCCCATCGCCCGGGGTCTCTGGTTCTGGAGTAGAATGATCTGTCCAGTGATCTTAGGGAGGCTGACCTGAGGCTGCTTTACAGGAGGTCTCTGAATCCAGAGGTGAATTTAATTGTTAGATGACTTAAGGTTTAAACAATTTGAGACCCTCTTTAGAAAACAAAATTAGAAATGATAAATTTCAGATGAGATACAGGCAGTGTCTCTTTTGGGGGTGATGAAATGTTCTGGAATTTGTGTGATCATTGGACACGTCTGCAAATATACTACAAAACACCGAATTGTCCACTTTAAAAGGGTGAATTTTATGGCATGTGAATTAGTTATAATTAAAAAAATATATTGTTAAAAAAATCAAGTAAGGGTTCTAGAAGGGGCCCAACCTGAGAGGGCCTGCAGCAAAGCTTTGCCCACTTCACGGTGCAAACTCTGCAGTCCAGTATGGCTAAGAGTGGCGTGGGCAGAGGGCCAGAGGCAGGAGAGTCCTGCTAGTAGCTGCTGTGTGGACAGATGGCCCCCTTGAGGATCAGATCCTTCCCCTTCTCTGGCCTACCTCCCACAGCCAGGCCCGAGTGAGCCTCCAGGAACTTCCATGCAATCTTGGAGGAAACAGAGTGGGAATTAACGGGGATGAGGCTTCAGCTTTGTGGGATGGGACCAGGAAAACAAAGAAGCCACATGTCTTGTACTCCTGATTTTGACCCAGCCTGTGTATACAAGCTCTGGCTTTGAGGGGCTCAATGACCAGGCCTCTCTCCGGCCCTGCAGCCAGGAAGGCTGACCAGAGGAACCCTGCTTCTACCCCTGTGAGGTTTTTTTTTGTTTTGTTTTTTGGGTTTTTTTGGGGTTTTTTTTTTTTTTTTGGATGGAGAAAATGCCTGCAGTCTGGGCAAACAGACGAGGCTCTTTGGAGGCCAGGGATATGCCACTGTCATATTTATAATATAATGCTTGTTTATCTTGAATCGGACCCGGCTCTCTGCATAACTTCTGTTCCTCACATTTTGAAGATTTGGGCCCAAAACACATTTCAGGGAATAAGGAGAAAGCCCTTGTTTGAAAATGAACCAGCAAAATAAATCATTGTGTTTCTGAAACAATGCCCACTGCATACTTTTCAATTCTGAGCTTTGGCAGCAGCGTTTTTAAAAAGCACACACACAAAACCTATCACATAATTCTTTCTGAAAGGCTCATTCAGCAGGCCTGCCTTTCAGTTCCCAGCCCCCTCTTTCTTCTCTCTTTTTTTCATCTATTTTAAACCAGCCCTTCTGGTGAGAGGGCAAGTGTACATACAGCCTTCCATTGTGTTTGTAAAACAGAGCCATATCAGTTGAGAAGTAATGATAACATTTGTAGTTATGCAAGTGGAGATAACAGTAATCAGATCTCTGCTCTGGGCAAAAAATCCTAGTGGCCAGAACCTAACAATGGGTTAGGGTGTTATGTTGAAAGGTGAGGGAGTTGTGTTTGTGTGTTTTTGTTTTAGCAAAGCACCAAGCCCTTTGTTTTTCCTGCTGGAGGATCTCCTAGTTAAAGCCCTTCCGAAGCTGACCGGTTAAGGAGACCCTTTCCTAAATGGAGATCTGTGGTTCCTCTGCTCACTCGAGTTTTCCTGGCTATTTTTTCTGGCGTCAAGTGATTTAGGGTTTCCTCTGCTTTCCAGCAGGTAATGTGACCTCTCCAGATTAGAAGGAGCTGAGGCTAATGTATTCGCTCAAGCAGAGGCCAGTGGAATGATAGCATCAGTTTGCACTGCCATTTGGGTTTTTTAAAAAGAAAGGTGTTGTTCTGGAGTTGCCCTTATTCTTTCCAAATCTGATTCCCCTGTGGCGGTTTCTGTTGCATTTTTCCTCAAACAACATGCAAATATATTGATACCTGGGAGTTTAAACAACGGCAAGAACTGGAAGGTGCAATTTCCAAGAAATGCCAGGCCCAAAACAGCACCCAGCCGTGTCTGGATTTGACATAATGGAGACCAAGGTTCTCAAAATGTGAGCTGTATTTAGAGATCACGAAGTTAACTCCTGATTAGGTGTTGGATATCTGAGTTTCTCTGCTGGTTGGTTTCTCTGATTTCATTTTGGGGTTGCCATTTACTTATTTTGGTTGGGGGAAGTAGTAGCCTTGGGTTCTCCAGATGTAGCAAAGAATATCTTAGTGTAGACCAAGTGCCCCATCATAGAATGGCTGTCAAGAGACATATCCTGATTCTTATCCGACTTAGGCAGAACGTTGGATCCACAATAACCGTAATTCTCAATAAAATGGAGGCCCAGATATTTTTGTCTTCTGCTCTGAAGCGTTCCTAATTACATTAGAGATAAAATGCAGGTTTTTCTACTTTTCTTCTGGACACCTGAAGAAATGCTCCATTTTGCTCTCCTTTCCTACTCTTATTTACCCAGAAAAGAAACTGGAAAAAATATGAATGTAGACATGGAATTGCGAAAAGCAGCCACATAATCCATGAATTGCTTAGGGGTGGGGACTGGGGCGGCAGGAGGACTTGTATGAAGAAATCCAGTTCTGTTTTATTTTTCAAAGTTACATTTTCTTCCCTGTCTCCAGACATAAGTTTTTGAATTAAAAATTATACTTTGAATGATGTGCAGATGTTGGCATCTTAAAACCAAATACTGTTGTCCCGTGGGTTGCTAAGCAACCTGTGCAACCAAATCAGCTCGGGTTTGAAAATGGAAACAATTTCAAGAGATAAGAAAATGAAGCCCCATCCCTGAGTGTGAGGCGGAGGGCTGGGGTAGGATGGACTCTTCCCATTGCCTGCCCTGGTTAGAAGTGTGGCTCTTCTGGCTTTTGTGGCTTGAACATGCATTTTAATTTCATTGTGTCAATTCTCATTAACTGTCTATATGGAATCCCCTTTTTGGTTTTCAGAAATAATTAAGTAAAAAGCCCTTTCACTCACTGCATTTTTTGGCATTGATAAAGGCATTTGAGGCATTTCAGACAATGCGGGAGCGAGTATCAGAGCAAGTCTTTGAAGATGTTCTTTAAAGACGGCCCTGACAAACAGTGGCAAACAGACCAATTAACCCCAGAATCTAAGTCCTGGCTGCTTTAAACTCCCTTCAAAAGAAATTAGCTCTAATGTTAATAAAGTGGGTGTTAGACCATTTTGGAACATCAACTTCAACAGACTGAGTCAATTGGAATGGAATTATTACATCGTCTTGCCAAAAGAGGAGCCCAGGGCTGGTGTGAATTTTTGTTACAGTTACTGTCTGAAAATTAGAAAAAAATTCCAAACCTTAGTTGGAACAAAAACTCCCAAGTGGGATAACACAGGTTTATGTAATATTTTTTAAAATATTAGCTTTAAAAAACAAAAAGACTCAGGAAAGGTAGAAAAGAAAATGCCCAGAAGTGTGTCCTCGAATGTTGGGATTTGTGGTTAGAATGAGGATTGCATTCAGGCCCCGGCCCCGCAGTGACACGGCTCACTGCTACTTGGTCGCTTGCGCAGGAAGGCCTGGAGCTCAAGTTGTGACTCCTTGCTGATTTTTCAGATCCCAGGAGAGGAAGACCAAGAGCGGCAGGCTCCCCAGGCAGTGCCAACGAATGGCCGTGGCCTGGGTGCATATCGTCTTGCTTTGATGATTTCTTACAGAAGAAAAAGGAAACAAAAAAATTTTGCTGGGGGAATAGTTTTCATCCACTGGGACCCCATAGTTCGATTTTGCATCGTTTTGGTAAAATGTCCATTTCCAAGGGTTGTGTCTCACTCCTATAATCTCTTTCTTTGAGGAAAGACATAGATCTTTTAATCAATGCAATTGCTAAGAAAAGGTAAGATTTGTAGTGTTTGTCCTGCCAGCGTAACTGTTTGACAACAAAGGGTAGGAAGAAAAACGAGATCACGACTCTTGGGTGGCTGGGAAGTGTGGCAGAAGGGAATGGCATTCTGTGTGACAAGAAGCTCAGAGCACTGGCCTTATTGTCAGATGTGGGAGGAGGGATGTGTCTGGGACCACACAACAAACTCCTCTTCAGCTGTGGAGTGTGAGCCGCTGGGGCCTGGGTGTCAGAACTCAGCTTTAAGGAGCTACGTGGATAGTCTTCACTGATCCTTGTTGCTCTCTCACCACCTTCCCTAGCCAGAAGTGACCCAGGAGGGAAAACAAAGCTGGGAGGCGAAGTCACTTGCTGAGTCACGTGAATGATGTGTGCAGGATCCCAGTCCTCCTGCCTTAGCTGGTCCCATATTCTTCCTCCTGCACAGGGAGCGAGTGTCCCTGAGGTGTCGCCTGCTCAGGGCTTTGAAGCTGGCAATGGTGGGGTCAGGCTCTTGCATTTGTGAACAGGGCTTTTGCTCACCCTCTGCACAACACCCCGTTCTCAGGCTGGCTGTGGGTTAGAGGCTGGGGTCCCTCCTGGTTGGAGGCACTGGGTGGGAAGTAAGACTCTTGCCACTGTGGCTGAGGCCATCTTCCTCCATGCTCTCCACCTCTGCCTTGTCCAACCATGGTCTCTGACACCCAATAAATATGAAGCACTGACTTGGTAAGAAGAGGAAAAACCATCAATGCTAAAAGCATTGACTCTCCCTGTAGCTTTGAGAGGCTTTAAGGTAGTTTTTCTTTGTTTGGTTTTGTTTTTTGAGATGGAGTCTTGCTCTGTCACCAGGCTGGAGTGTAGTGGCGTGATCTCGGCTCACTGCAACCTCCGCCTCCTGGGTTCAAGCGATTACCTTACCTCAGCCTCCTGAGTCACTGGGACTACAGGCGCCTGCCATGACACCTGGCTAATTTTTTGTATTTTAATAGAGATGGGTTTCACCATGTTGGCCAGGATGGTCTTGATCTCCTGACCTCATGATCTGCCCACCTTGGCCTCCCAAAGTGCTGGGATTACAGGTGTGTGTCACCACGCCTGGCCCATTTTTCTTTTTTAATCTAGGAAAAATGAAGATCCTGGTTTGGATTCACTTGGGAGAACTGGGCCATCTTAGTCTCATTTTGGCATCCTTGCCCTTTCTTTGCCTGCTCTGTGGGGGATGCCCAGTCCTCTGTAGAGTGGTTCATCAATTCAGGTGTCCCAAAAGGTGGATTCCTTTATTTAGCTAAATTCTCAATTTAATGTCTATTTTGAACTTCAGGATGGCAGAAATCAATTCTTTGTCAATTGAGAGAAACGTTCCTCTGTTTCTGGGGTTGGGCCTGAAAATACAGGGGCTTATGAGGTCACGGGGCCAGGCCCTTAAGAGTGACCTATTCATGCTGATGTCTACTGAGTCGTCCATTGCCCCTTCTGGTCCATGAAGGTTGCAGCTCAGCTGGCCTCTTTCCCTTTCGTAAGTCTCCCCCAGGGGTAAAGGTTTTCTGTGCCATGTCATGGTGCCAAGGAAACATCTGCTGCCCTCACACCTATCTAAGGAGCCAGGGCTCTGTCTGCCTAGACAAAGTATAGTCATCTTTTTGAAGTTTGGCCACATTCTTGGGTGCTCCACCCAGGACACGGTGCATCGGTTCTTCCACCCAGGGTTCCAGTAATCATTCTTAGATTTTCTCATCTTTCCTCTACACTCATTTCTTAGAGTATGTGTGTATGGGAGTGTGGTTTGGGATTCCTCCTTAAGGACCCACAGTTGTCTCAGTTAACTTGCCTTCTAACTCCCTTTTGCCCAACGTGGGAATCCATCCAGTATCAAGGGCACTCAAACTCCTTGTTCATGCCCCAGTCTGGTCCTCTCAGATCTAAGCTTTTGAGGTTCCCTTTCCTTCTGCTTTCTGACCTAAAAAATTATTACACACACCAGATGCGGTGGCTCACGCCTGTAATCCCAGCACTTTGGGAGGCCGAGGCGGGTGGATCACCTGAGGTTAGGAGTTCGAGACCAGCCTGACCAACATGGTGAGAAACCCCATCTGTACTAAAAAATACAAAAATTAGCCGGGCATGGTGGCAGGTGCCTGTAATCCCAGGTACTTGGGAGGCTGAGGCAGGAGAATTGCTTGAATCCTGGAGGTGGAGGTTGCAGTGAGCCGAGATTGCGCCATTGCACTCCAGCCTGGGCAACAGAGCAAGACTCTGTCTCAGAGAAAAAGAAAAAAAATGGTCGTGTATGGTTGCTCACGCCTGTAATCCCAGCACTTTGGGAGGCCCAGGCCGGGGGATCATGAGGTCAGGAGATCGAGACCATCCTGGCTAACATGGTGAAACCCCCTCTTTACTAAAAGTACAAAAAAATCAGCCAGGCATGGTGGCGGGCACCATAGTCCCAGCTACTTGGGAGGCTGAGGCAGGAGAATGGCGTGAACCCGGGAGGTGGAGCTTGCAGTGAGCTGAGATCGCACCACTGCACTCCAGCCTGGGTGACAGAGCGAGTCTCCCAAGTGCCTCAAAAAAAAAAAAAGAAAAAAATTATACACACACACACTGTTACTAAGATATAGTTTACATATCAAATAATTCACCCATTGCAAATATACAGTTTGATGAGTATTCATAAATTTATAAGTTGTGCAGCCATTAGCACAATCCAGGTTTATAACATTCCCATAACCCTCAAAGTTTCCTGGGCCCATTCTCTGTCAATTCCACTCTCCTATGGCCCCAGGCAACCACTGATCTGCTTTTTGTTTCTATAATGTTGCCCTTTCTAGAAATTCCATGTAAATGGTATCATATATAATACGTAGTCTTAGGTATCAGGCTTCTTTCTCTTCTGCTTGGGAAACAAGAGTTCCCATTTAAGAAGTCTGGCTTGGCCGAGCGCAGTGGCTCATGCCTGTAATTCCAGCACTTTGGGAGGCCGAGGCGGGCGGATCACCTGAGGTCAGGAGTTTAAGACCAGCCTGACCAACATGGCAAAACCCTGTCTCTACTAAAAATACAAAAAAATTAGCTAGGCATGGTGGTGGGCACCTGTAATCCCAGCTACTTGGGAGGCTGAGGCAGGAGAATCGCTTGGACCCAGGAGGCAGAGGTTGCAGTGAGCCGAGATTGCGCCATTGCACTCCAGCCTGGGCGACAAGATCGAGACTCTGTCTTTAAAAAAAAAAAGAAGTCTGGCCATGAGGGAGGCTACAAATATGATGGTGGCTGGCAGTGGCAAGGGAGGGAGGGAAGAGTTTGTTTTAAGATATAAGATACTTGAGGGCTTAAATGCTGACAAAAAGAGTCATTAGAGAAAGGGAGGTTGAGTATCCAGGGTGAGGACGCAGATGCAGGTATAGGGTGATGAGCTGACAGCAAGGGGCTTCTAAGATGGGGAGGGGTTGGCTCTAGAACTTGGGTGAAGATGTTCCCCTTGGACAGGGGGACTGGGCCGTCTCTTTTGGTGGGAGGGAAGGGGTGAAGAATGGGCAGCTTTGGAGATGTGGTGGACATTTGGGACATTTCCCTCCAACAAAGGATACTCATTTCTCCGTTACCTGCTGAAAATGAGGAGGGTGGAGAGTAGGGAGGGTGTTTGAACACAATGCAAGTTAGAAATTATTATTATGGAGAATGGAAAGTTGAACTGACCAAGGAGATACATACAATTGGAGTGCCAGGCAGAATGAAAGGCCCAGATGGTGTTTGTGGATGTGACTGCAGGGTGACACTGATCTGTTTGAATGTGGTCTTTACTCAACAATACTGGGTGCACGTGGTGAAGATGAACCATTGAGTAGATGTGGTATTCAAGTTTCACCTAGTGACAGCCATGGAAGAATAATGGGCAAGGAATTTAGGATGTTGGTAGGAGAAAGTTTGAATAAACCCATGTTGAATATGGAAAGTAAAGATAGGGAGGGAGGGAGGGGGAGAGTGAACAGAAAACAGGACAAATAAGTGGAGTATTGGGAGTCACTGAAAGACCAAGCCAGAGGGAAGAGAGGCAGTGATCTGAAAGACAAATATCTGAATCTGTGATTTCAGAGGTGGGACACTCTGCAGTGAAGGCCACGGGATAGCTGAATGGGAGTGGAGAATCAGGTCAGTGGAAATGGGTGGTCAAGGATTGGAGCAAGCAGGTGTAGGAGTAGATGTTTGTCCCCTCCAAATCTCATCATGACATGTGATCCCC
Organism: Homo sapiens; assembly: GCF_000001405.40. Classification (NCBI taxonomy): domain Eukaryota; kingdom Metazoa; phylum Chordata; class Mammalia; order Primates; family Hominidae; genus Homo; species Homo sapiens. The sequence goes on along the minus strand of NC_000010.11, from coordinate 121,430,285 downwards.
AATGTTGGAGGTGGGGCTTGGTGGGAGGTGCTTGGGTCATGGGGGTGGATCCCTCATGAATGGCTTGGTGCCATCCTTGTGGTAATGAGTGAGTTTATTAGTTCACATGAGAGCTGGTTGTTTAAAAGAGCCTGGCAGCTCTCTTGCTCCTCTCTCCATGTGATGTGCCTGCTCTCCCTTCCCCTTCTACCATGAGTAAAAAATTCCTGAGGCCTCATCAGAAGCTGAGCAGATGCTGGTACCATGCTTGTACAATTTGCAGAATTGTGAGCCCAATAAATATCTTTCCTTTGTAAGTTACCCAGCCTCAGGTATTCCTCTACAGCAACGCAAAACAGACTAACACAAGGAGGCTGGTCCCCATGCAGAGAAAGCTGCTTACAAGGTCATAGTGGGGCTGAGGGCAGACAGGAGGAGAGGTGGAATGACCTCATGGGCAGCTTGGGACAGAAAAAGGTGGGGTAAAGGGTGGAACAAACCCATTTACCCGACAGTGGGGGGGATGGTGGTCTGGAAATTTTGAGAGGGTCAAGATGTCCCTGAAAAAAGCTGCATAAGGTGCAGAAGGCACAGTTTTCATTTGACATGAAGCTATAATGAGGTTACAGGTGTCACTGGAGTCAGATTCCAGATAGGGCCAACAGATCAAAGCTGGGGATAAGTAGGAGCTTGCAGGCACCTCCTCCTGACTGGTTCAGGTAAACTGGGGTTGAAGAGCAAAAGTCAATCCCAGGTGTAAATTCCCTTCAAAAGGCTGGGCACGATATAATCCTAGCACTTTGGGAGGCCAGGGTGGATCGCCTGAGGTCAGGAGTTCGAGACCAGCCTGGCCAACATGGTGAAACCCCATCTCTACTAAAAGTACAAAAATTAGCTGAGCGTGGTGGTGGGCACCTGTAATCCCAGCTCTCGGGAGGCTGAGGCAGGAGAATCACTTGAACCCAGGAGGCAGAGGTTGCAGTGAGCTGAGATCACACCACTTCATTCCAGTCTGGGTGAAAAGAGTGAGACTCTGTATCAAAAAAAAAAAAAAAAAATCCCTTCAAAAACTTCTCTAAAATTGTCAGGTCAGCCACACTTTAGAGCCTGGGGGAGTTGCCTGGTTCTACAGCTGCTGTTCAGAAAAGAATCTTTGGTGTTGCTTTACTGCTCAGTTCTGCCTTCTGCTATTGAAACTTCTTCTTTGTTGCCCTGAATATCTGCAGTGGGTGCTGCTGCCTGGAGGACAGGCAGGTTTAGACAGGACTGCCTTCAGCCAGGCAAAATGGGCTTTTCATTGTCACAACTGTTTGTATAGAGTCATTGGCTGTGATGACTTGTTCTGACCGATGATACAAAATCACTATTGGAAATTCTTTATGAAAGACCAAACAATAAAAAAAACCTCTTTGTTTTGTGGAGGATAAATGCTCCATGGCATCCACCTAAATGATCTTTGCTTTTGAAGTTTTAGTGCTATTTAACACTTCTGTTTGTCCTTCTTACGTCAAAGAGCCTTAATCTTTTAAATATGTTTCATAACCTCCCAGCATCTGAAAACACCATATTATCTGCAACTTCTGGGCAAAGGAGAAAGGGCTATGTCTACCACCTTTTGTCCAATGGATCCATGTCCCAAAGTGACTTTGCAATGGAAGGTGAGAACCTGTTCGTCCCCACCTGGCTGCCATCCCTGCTCAGCTCTCTTAATGGGGCATCCCGTGCTGAGTGAGATGACAAGGCTTAGAGGTAGGTAGGTAGGTATTTGGACTAAATATGATGTTTATTTTATGCTCTGACTTTGAAACCCAAATATAATATGCAAATCCGTTCCAATTTTCCTGGAGTCACAGAGATTCCATTGAGTTCCTTCCCATTGTCTTATAGAGGTACACTAATGAGGCTGTTGTATGTTAAAGGAAAGAATATAGGACCCTTCATTGAGTCTCTACTCTGGGACCAAGGTGACATTGATGGGATTTTCTTCCTGATGTCCCTCTCCCTCATTATCCTGGGGACACCTCCCATCCCACATCGACATAGCTACTGCATGAGCTAACGTGTTCTTATGTAACCTGCACTGCTGGTCAGCTTGGTATTGGGTGGCCTCTGACCCAAGCTGGACCAATCAGTCCTTACCTTTGAATGTGAGAACACAGAAGGATGACCAACTTCTCCCAATTTGCGCACGACTGTCCCAATTTTAGCACTAAAAATTTCATGTCCTGGGAAACTCACCACTCCCTAGCAAAGGGAGGTCATTGGCTACTCTTGGCTGGAGAGAACATCAAAGCCAGTTTATTTCTGGTGATTGCAGCTCTGAGCTAGTTTGTAGTGAGGGAAAATGTGCTGATGTAGAAACCTTGGTAGAGACTGGAGACCAGGAGAGAGATTCTAGCTTCATCTCTGCACTTCCCGTGCTCCACGCATGACTCTTCAAAGTCCACCAATCAGTGCATTTCGCTTGTGGCCTGATTTACGTTAAATGGAGCTTCCTCACCTCAACCAAAAGAAGCCTGGTGACTGGAGCACTCTTCCTGGAGCTATGCTAAACCTTCCTTCTCATTTCATCTAACAGCCTGGGAGCTGGACAGCAGTGTGAAACTTTACAAAGAAATGAGGAATCAAATATTTTAAAGGACAGGGTCAAGGCCAGCATGCTACAAAGATAGAGAACTGGGAGTCACACCCAGGTCCAGAGACTCCATATGGTCTTATTGTCACACTGCAGCTGCCTCTGCAGTTGCTACCTGAATCTGTTAATATTGGCAAGGTATTGGTAAGTCTGGCATCTTATTCTAAAGACATCAGAAAAGGTCAGTAGACCACCTTATTGTCACTTCTTCAAGTCCTATTTCCTCCTTTTGCTGGGGGAAATTCTTAGCAAAAGCAAATGGTTCTCTCACATTTGCCATGGATCAGCGTCTTATGTATATGAACTTACTTAATCTTCACAGCAGTCCTACAGGGTATGGACTATTACAGCCTTACTTTACAGGCAAGAAAACCAAGGTCCAAAGAAGTTCAGCCATTTTCTAATAAGCAGCAGAGTTGGGGTTGTGAGTCCTGGCTCAGGTCCCTGCACTCCATCACTTCAGAACCTTTAATGATGTTCCCAGAACCAGGCTGGAAATCAAGATGCACCTCACTTTCTCCTGCACTAGCTACTGACTGCTGTGGGATTTCGGGAGGTTTTTCACCAATTTGACTTTCTCCTTTTTTCCCCCATCTGTGAGGATTAAACGAGAGTCATGTAGATTGCCAATTTGTGGTTCTGGCTCATGGTGAGTGCTCAATATATGGGGGTGGATCTAGTTCAGGCCTTCTCTAGATGTATCATTCAAGTTTCAGTTACAGAGAACAGAATCAACGCACATTGTTTAAGCAAGTAGGGTTTTATTTTGATTTTTTTTCCCCAAAGTGGCAAATGGCTTATAGAATTGTTTTGAGGCTAAAGAAAGAGACTCAGGCTGACCATTCAAGAAGAAATCTCAAATCTAGAGTGCAGAACTGACCACCCGGGAACATGCGGGCTCTTCTGCGACAAGGAAACCACTGGCTCCTGAAGTCCAGAAGGCACCCTGGGCAGGAGGCCACTGCTGCTTCCACCAGCTCCAGAACAAGCTCACATCCGCTATGATCCACACCAGCAAAATGGGTGCCCCTGCTCACTGACACTCACGAAGCCGGACACTAACACCTGCTGCCGAGAGGCTAAATGCTCCAAGCCAATTCTTATCAGTAGGGAGAGTCAACAGAATCATTACTTCAGCCTTACTTCCACTTTCCTCATCACACATGCTTGCATCTGATTGGCTGAGATGAAATCGCAGCCATACTGAGATGCAGGGGAGTCTGGGAAATGTAGTTTTTAGCTTTCTAGCCTCTGCAACTCACATAGGCATGCAAGAGACGGTAGAATTGTTGTTGGGTACCAACGGACATTGGGCACTAATCCATCAATCTAGGGTTGTCCCCTAGGACAGGCAATCTACAGGATGCTGAATGGTACTTCTGGATAGAACTGCTAATATTCCTGATGAGGCTATTGGGTGCTCGTGGGCATGGCAGGAAGCCAATCTCCATGATCCTCCTCTGCCTGCATGGAACTATGAGTATAGCTGCTGTGCAATGCACACCCCTGGGACACATCCTTCTCTGCACTTCACGTGACAGGTGGAGTGAGCAATATGTGTGGTGCGAGGTGCTCTGGACCAAGGTTTTGGTTGCCCTTGTTCACCAACAAGATGTGACATTGAGCATGCTTCCTCCTTTGTAAACCAGCGGGCTGGATGTGACTCCTCACCACACTTAGCAAGCTCTAAACTTATAAGAAACAGATTCATATGTGGTAACTTCATTCCAGAGGAACATTGAAGGAATAAGGTATTTCTTTTCAGTATCAACAATGTCAAAACCACAGTATCTGGGTCTGCGTGGTTTCTGGTAACACAGAGGCTGTTAAAACTCCGTCAGTGCAAATGTGGCCGTAAATAGATAATAAATCTTCATAGGTACATAGGACTGCTATATTTGGACTCAAACTTGTTAACCCTCACAAGATAAAATTCAGTTTGATGGCTCAGCTCTCCAAACTGGGCAAAGGTTCAGAAATGGAAGGTTTGTGGATTTCATTGCTAAGAAAACAGTAGAAGTAGCAATATAGAATGTCAATATTGAAGCTGAATTTTACTGCTGGAGCACAGGCCAAAGTTGGGCCCTTAGTTTTTGGCTCTGTGGAGATCAGACGTGAATTCCTGGATTCTGTTTGCCTGACATTTTAAGGGACTAGAGCCATTTCAAAATGCTGAATATGCGTGCAAAAACTGACATGTAAAAGCTAGCATTTAGACTCTGTTAAAAACTTCTAGGAGCCTGGGTGACCTTCCTAGGCAGAAGTCACCTGTGTAAGAAAGCCCAAATTCAGAAAAGCCTGATTGGTGGCCAATACAAGACTATTTCCCTGGCAAAATCCCAAGTATCTTAGCAGCTAGTTTCATCCTGAGTTTTACATAAATAAATCTCTTTTGGCTCTCTGGAAATTCATCCTTGATGGGGCGTGAAGCCCTCCATACCAGGGCAAAACTTTTCTCTAGGAATGTACATTTTCATGGTTGCCTGTGGCATTCATGGTTTTATTTTCTTAGGAGGGTTAAGAGGCCCTGAGGGCTAGAGAGACCTTTTAGTTCACTCAGCTTAGCTCCCCAGTTGCGGGGAGAGGTGAGGCATGAAGTCAGCGTGAGAAGGTCTAAGTCAGGGGGAGCGAGTCTCGACTGTCATCTCTCAGTCCTATTCGACCCCTCTCCTGTCCTCAGCTGACAGCGTGTCCAGCAGACATTGAGGTTCTGTGAGTCAGTCAACTTCTCCCAATTCCCATCTCACCCTCCATTTTTTTTCTTGCTTTCTTAAGCAATCTATGTTTTCTCATTTTTGTAGCTGGCAGAATTCTTTCAAGATTTACCCAGTGACAGTATCTTGGACATTTTACTCAATTGGCTTTGACATTGTCCAGCTTAGCTTCATTTCTGAGTCTGATCAGTTCCCAAATATTGATCCGTCAATGACCAAATCCCCTCCCCTCTTCCCTCTACCCTCCTTCCACACCAAATCACGAAAATGAATGACTCTTGGCTAGACTGGGGGGCCTGGGTTACTGTGAGTAGCTTCTCTCCAATAGCACCAAGTATGCCCATGGGAGCTAGTAGCGAGGGGGACAAAGCAGGAACCTGTAGATCCCCAAACCAAAGGAGCCGCCACCAGATATTTCAGGCAGGAGACTAGACAATGAGAATATAAGAGAGCAAACTTGAATGCATGAGTTAGGGGCTTGCCTACAACAGGATTGTTTTTTTGTGTTAACCAGAGTGAGTAATAGATGGTCAGCTTGGTTTACAGGCCAGCATCCACCATGATCTTAGCACTGTGTGTGTGTATGTATGTGCTTGTACAGTATGTGTGTGTATGTGTGTGCAGGAACCTATGAGCAATAGGAAGCATGAGATACAGTCCTTAGTGACGGTTTACAATCCATTTGAAAATATGCAACGGACCCATGCAACATAGCAGGCCATGGATTAACTGCTAAATAACAGTGGAAAGAGAACTAAACTGGTAATGAGGATGCCAATTCCAACCCTCTATCTGCTTTTTAAACTTGGCTGTGTGGGTCTCAGTTTGCCCTTTTGCAACGTGAACGTATCTTAGCTTGGGCTGCCGTAACAAAATACTACATACTGGGTGGCTTGGACAACAGAAATGTATTTTTTCACAGTTCTGTGGGCTGAAAAGTCCAAGATCAGGTCCAGCAAGATTTGGTTTCTGGTGAAGGCTCCTCTCTCTCTTCTTGGCTTGTAGACAGCTGCTTTGCCCTCACATAACATTTCCTTTGAGCATGCACACACCCAGAGAGAAAGCTCTCTGGCGTTTCTTCTTATAAGGGCACTAAGTCTGCAGGATCAGGGCTCTGCTCTCATTTAACCTTAATTACCTCCTAAATGCCTGCTGTGCTCCGAATGTTTGTGTCCCACCAAAATTCAAATGTTAAAACCAGATCCCCAATGCAATAGTATTCAAAAGTGGGGCCTTTAGAGAGGGCAGAGCCCTCATGAATTAGATTAGTGCCCTTATAAAAGAGGCCTAAGGGATCCTGTTTGTCTCTTCCACCCTGAGAGGATGCAGCCAGGTGCCATCTATGAAGCAGAGAGTAAGCCCTCCAGAGGCTGACTGCTGGTGCCTTGATCTTGAACTTCCCAGCCTCCAGAACCATGAGAAAATAAGTTTCTGTTGTTTATAAGTGACCTAGTATAAAGTATTTTGTTATAGGAGCCTGAATGGGCTAAAACAAAGCCCTATCTCTAAATACAATCACACTGGGCGTTAGGGCTTCAACTGATGCATTTTGGGGAGACACAATTCAATCCATAGCAGAAGGGATGGGACTAAACAATTCTTAAAAAAAAAAAAAACTTTAAAAAATAACATGGATACAGGAATGTGCACAGAGCATGCGATTCTCTACAAAGCAAACACTGGGGTCTGGGGTCTTTGGGTATCAATACCACCCACGTCGAGAAATAGAATGATGCCCGTACCCAGGAGCCCTTTGATTGCCCTCCTAATTGTCCTCCTTTTCTTTCCTGGGGACAACCAATGTGGTGTACATAGTTTTTGAAATCCCTTTCACATCTAGCATGGGTGACTCTAGACATAACCACCATGGACAGAAGATTCCCACAGCCCTGGGCCAGAGCTGTTAAAAAACTAAAACTCTATGTTATCTAAGCTCTGTAAATCATCTAACAACAGCAATGAGTACTTAGGGCCCAGATTGTTCTTTTGGCCTTCAGAACTCTAATATTTTTTAACAACTGAGGATGATCAACTGAGTTTCCATATCTTCTTTCTCTGCTGAGTACTTGGCATGGTGGTTCTGAGGTTGTTCTGTGGGTCAGAAAATTCCTGCTTTCATCCCAAAGCTCAGTGCCAAGCTACAGAGCTATTTTTTTCTGGTGGTGCAAAATTGAGCTGGGTGGGTACATCATGGTGCTAAGCTGTTTCTCAGGGCTGCCAAACTGGGACTTGGCTTGTGTACTTATGCCCCTAAAAGGTTGCCGCAAACATAGAAAAAGGCTAAGCATTGTGATTTCACACACACACACAGCACACACACACACACACACACACAGCACTGCCTCCAGACCCTGAACCACATAAGATGCACACGGTGCATCCATTCAAATGATGTTTGCAAAAGGAAATGGGTTTGAAAATTCTTTGAATGGAAAGAATGGGTCCTGGATACTGTTCAGAGACAAATGAGTACACGAGTTTTTACTAAAAAGCTGGTTTCCAGCAAGGCTTAGAATCATTTCGCTGTGGCTTTCACTGTATTAGAGGTTTCTAACCTTGTTCAGTTGGTGACGCAGTTGGAGGAACTTCTGGTGATTCACTGGGGGAGTGAATGACCTTTTCTTGTCTCTTTTCATCTGCCCATCAGCTCAGTCCTATTGGATCATGCCTGCCACATGCTCCCTGCCTAAGTGCCCAAGCACATTCACTCACGTATACACATGTGCATGCACGTACACACACTCCAGCTGCCCTTACCGTCTCTGCATCCCAGCTATTGCCCTTCTGCCTACCGGTTGGACATGAGGTCATAGCTGGCCTGATCCACAACTTGCAAGTTGGAAAAATGTTGAAGAAGATGGTCCTATGGATTTCCTCCTGACCCCTGAACCTGAAGGAATGGTGGCTCTGTTGAGCTAAGTGCCCACTCTGTTTCTTCCCCTCTAGGATTTAAATAATTCTCACCATGTGACATCTTCTGCTGGGCAGACCACACATGGAGCTGGAGCAGGTGTTCACTTAGGGTGCATGGGTTGAGGCATGGGGAAGTCCCCGGCTCCTCAATTTCCCTCTTTTTCTCCATTTCACCTGCCTGTCCAGTGACCAGAGTCCACCTGCTGAGACCCATTCCTGGGCTGTGGAGGCCTTTTGGTCATCAGGAGTTTCTCATTAAGAGGCATGAGCTCACGCCTTCATGGGCTAATACCTAGTAGAGATTAGATAACACCAGTGAGGAACATGTGGAGAGGGGTCACAGGGGGCAGAAAGCGGGAGAGGAGGGCCTTTGGGAGAGGGGCAGCAGAGAACCAAAGACCACTTTGCTTCTTAACAGCTATGGGGAAGACTAAACATCAGAACTTCAGCAGGCAAAAGGAGATATTCTGCTTTTAGATAAGCACTGGTCACATCAAAATGGCCCAACAGGCTGAGAGTTTGAGGATTCACTAGTAGAGAGGACTGAGGCCTCTGGTTACGTTAGGCACAAATGAAGTGTTAAGGACAATCAGGTTAGTAGCTAACTCAGCTCTGACCTCCTGCTTGTTAATTACTTGGTGCTTCTATTTCTTTGTGGTGAGAATGGACACCTGACATTCTGCATTGGCTTAGCCCCAGGTGTAGACTCCAAGTTTAGGAACACACGAAAGCTTGCTCAGTGCCCTTGATTTGCACAAAGGAGCATGCCTGCCTAATACCAAAACAGAGTCACAGAGGCCGGGAATTCATCACACAATGGAGCCTGATGTGCATGAGGCAAGCCCTTACAAAAACTTGGGACTGTTGTGGGGTGGGGGGAGGGGGGAGGGATAGCATTAGGAGATATACCTAATGCTAAATGACAAGTTAATGGGTGCGGCACATCAACATGGCACATGTATACATATGTAACAAACCTGCACGTTGTGCACATGTACCCTTAAAGTATAATAATAATAAAATTAAAAAAAAAACTTGGAGGTTTTTAAGAGACATAAAAGTAAAGTAGTTCTTGAATGTGAGTCAATGCAAGACTGCAAATGAAAACAGAGTGAAACTTGATCAAACCTGGTGTTCCCCTCACAGGCTACCTCTGGGCGAAGGAGATTGCTATAGACCGGAAAATGTAATTTCAAGGGGGCCTGGAGAGAGACAGCAATAAAGACCAGTTTTTTTTATTGCACATTTTGAGGCAAAAGGCTTAGGAAGTGCCTTAATGGATGAAATGAGAGATGGTTCTAGAAGACGGAGCTTGATAAAAGGTGGGTGGCCGAAACTCTCAACAGGAGAGATCATGCTTTTTTAATCTGTAGAAATTCATGGAAGTTTTACTGTACTTGCCACAAGGTAAAAATTATGGGCTGTTTGAGTTTCCATTTATCGTTGTTGATGAAGCAGAGGTGAAAAAAACCTGCAGCTAGTTGTTATCAAATAAACTGGTGTGCTGGTAAGTGCTAACAACAGGCTCTGGGGGTGGAGGAAGGGGTGGAGGTGGGGTAGGGTGGGAGAAATCCTGACCTGTTGTGCTTGCCGATTTCCATGGTGTAAATACTCCCACTGTGGCTAACTTCAAGCTATAAAAGAGATGTCAGTGAACACAGAGTTGGGAAGAAATCTGCACAGTGTGTGTTCTTGTGAGCTAGTGAGAGCCAGGTCCACACAGCCCTGCTTAAACAACCCAGCTAGTTGTTTCTTTGGCTTTGATGTGGGGAACAGTGGGAGGCGAGAGCAGCTGATCTGGTTGTCCTTCCTCAGATGAGACTTGACAGCCGGCTTCAGGATGGCAGGCCAAGCTGTTTTAGGTGGCACAAGACTGGGGCTGGGGGAGGAGAGCCAGATACAGGCCACTCTCTCCTGAAGCCGTTATTTGAAATTCTAATGTTTTAAAATTATTCCTGAGGAATCTGAAATGCTTCAGAGAAATTCCAGTAAGCCCAGAGGATTCTGAATAACATGATACTAATGGCAAAAGAATATTGGGTCTTTAGGGGAAAGTGCCCGTTATTTGAAACGGACTCTTTTTAATGATATGTGAGCTGACCTTGGGTAACAGGATCAACAGGGGTCGTGGGGTCATCCCTCTTGTAGCTGGTGAAGATTACTTAGAAGGGAATGGCTGCTACTTCCCTCGGAGCTCCTTACCCACGCTCCATGTGTTTAGCGTTTTTGAAAAGACCAGACCTGAATTAAAATATCACCTCTCAAAGTACAATCATATTTGCCAGACCAAGCGAACAATGCTTATTCCTGTAAGGATGGTCATCTCCCGAATGAGGCACCTTTTCTTTGAGTGTAGGGTTTCAATTCTTTGGCCTAAGAGTATTGAAGAGCAGTCCCTCTCCTCTTGCCAGAAGCCGCAGGGAAGGGGATGCCAAGGGAGTGTCCCTTGACCCCTCTGTAGAGCAGCCCTGCATTTTGGATGTCCGAGTTAGACTTTGACTGAAGAAAGGTTTCTGTAGCTAATGAACAAAACAAGTAGTTAAAAAACCAAAATGCAAATACCTACTCACCAAAACAAAACACAAAACTGTACAAGGAAAAATCTGCTGTTTAATGGCTTATTCCTGCTTGCTTTTTTTTTCTTTTTTTTTTTCCATTGAGCTTATCCCATGCTTACTAGATATTTATGTCTTTTACATTTAAAGACTGGAAAGCTAGGAAACCCATTATACAATTTGATCTATGAATATTTATTACTAAGTGCTAGAGAAATAAGTAAGACCTGGTTTCCCTCTACTCAAGACGCTTGTTATTTAATAAGGAACACAGTGACTTGTAGGAGTTAGAGCCTCATTTGGGAGGCTGTGGGAAGCCATGGTCAGCTTGTGACCAGGGCAGGATCCAGTCAGAGCTGTGTTTTTAGAAGGCAGTGTGGGAAAGGAGGGTTGGGAAGAGAGACCATGAGGAATGTACCATGGTCCATGCAGGTAGAGATAGTGGGAAGGGAAGAGGAGATGGGTGTGGGGTCACTAGTTTCAGGAAGAGAAGCACAAACATTAAGAGAAACTGTTATAAGGGCCAGACGGTGAGCCCATTTGAACTCTTAGGCTTGAGAGGAGACAGGAAGAAATTGATGTGTTCTCCATGGGTCACTGGTGTTGCTGCACATCTTGTGAGCAAAGGCACAGGTAGCCTTTGTTGTAGATTGCCTTTTCAAGGATGTTTGTCTAGTGAACACCCTTGGATGACAGTGTTTTTCCATGGGCTAGAAAGTAAGTTTGCATGTTGTCCCATAAAATAAATGTAATATCTCAAAGGTCACACAGGCTTATTTGGAGCCCACTATAAAAAGGAAGCTCATGCTGCCTGCTGTGCTGACAGCAATGAAATCTTTGGTCTCTGACCCATGAGTCTTGTGTCTTCTAACATTCATGAGACTGAGGTCAGGAATACAGGCCAGCAATGACAATGCCCTCATGTGAAAATGTATAGGAATTAACTTTTGGCTTTTGAGTAATAGTCAACGTGCACTGAGCTCTTACTGCTTGCCAGTGACTGTCCTAAGCATTGCATGTGTATTACCTCATATGAGGCTCCAATGACTCACCCAGGGGTAATCAGCTCATATTTGAAAGATTATTCCAAAGGGCACTCTTAAGAGGTAGCTACTGCAAGGCATTAACTATTTTTACAATCAAAACCAGAGATTTTTGCTAATAGCATAACAGATGGGAAAAATTTCTTTCTATTGATAAACTATATGTTTAATATGTGTGGGTTGGCCTGTGATATTATACAGGCATCTTTCTGCTGCATGAGCAGGTAGAAGAATCTATAGGGAGCCCAATAGTTCTACCCTTTGGAATGATGCCCCAGGCTTGATTCTGAACTGACTCAGTCTAGCTAATGTTTTGGAGGGTTCTTGCTGCCTGTGTCCAAAGCTTGAATATTTCGACATTGACCTTGAGTGAGTGACCTTTTCATGCAAGTGCAATTGAAGCATCTGAAAGGACAGCTAAGAGTTTGTCAAGTTTACAGAATAGGTTGTGTTTTTCTGCTAGCTTGTTAATAATGTGTATATCTGGGGTGGAATCTATCTAGAAGGGAGGTTTTGGGGAAGAGACTATAGCCCCATCTGCAACTAATTGTTGCAGACTACGAATATTTACTCAAAAGGACATACTAATTGAAAATAACCAAATTGACTTGTGTCAGGCTCCAACTGTCACATAGGTGAATATTATTAATATCTTCATATTACAGATGAGAAAACTGAGGCACAGGGAAGAAGACTGTCTCCCCAAGGCCACACAGCTAGGAAATGCTAGCTCCAAGATTCAAAATGTCACCTTTACTTGTTCTGCTAAAGCAAAATGTAGCTGTCATTCTTTCCTCATCATGAAAAATTAATTTGCAGCAAGGAAGAAGTGGAGATTATATATGTGAAGTTTGCTATTTAAAATAGATGACTGTCAGAGGTCTGTATTTTTAGAATTCATTGCCAGGGGCAGATAAAGTTGTGCATAGGCCAGGCCCAGCCTTCCAGCTTTTGCTTGTCTCTTCTAGCTCTAGGGGATCCAAATATAGTTTTTAACATGGGTGCCTTTCCCTCGGGCTCATTCTGATCTTATTTTAAGGGCAAAGAACGCTGAGCTTGGCTTGGGTAAAATTGGAATTCACCTGCCTGGTGCTTTTTCTTCTTATAAATGTCCTGCTTCCAAGAAGGTAGGTTAACAAGACTTCTGTGGGAGATGCCTTCCCAGAGCTATTCTCTCTTCTTCCTTGATAAGGTTTCAAACACTTAAGTTTGGTCTAAGCCAGCCATGGAAAGTCCATCCTTCTGTGCTGGTGAGTGGTTTATAAGGGACCCTATAACCCAGTCCTGGCCAATGATGGGGAGTAAGTGAGCAATTCTGGACATGACTTTCCTTCTGATAAAAGGTAGAGGGCATTATGAGGAGGAGCCCCTTTTGCTCCCACCCTCTTCCTTTCTGCTTGGGTGGGACACTGTCATGTGAGGACTCGATGTCCGGTGCTGCAGTAGTCATCTTGTGACCAAGAAGGGAGAGTCACCAACACATGACGGTGGCAGAGCAGAAGGACAAAAAGAGCCGAGGTCTTTGGTGGCATTGTTGAGCTGCCTACCAACCTCCAGATGGCCAACCTCCAGCTCAACTCTTATGGGAGACTAACAGTATAAGCTACCTTCAGTTGGGCATCCATTACTTGTAGCTGAAAGCATTCCTAACCAAATAAGTGTTAATTAGTAAATGGCTAACTCTCTGAAAAAAGAGTCCACTCTGATGTTCAAGAAACGTGTCCTGAGACCTTGATTAATCCCATAGTCATAAATCAATGATAAGCCCATAAAATGCAAGAAAGTGTTACTAAAAAAAAAAGGAAGAGACTTTTTGTTCTAATCAGGGACACTTTGGTTGTGAGTGAAAAATTAACAAAAGGAATGAAAGTATTAGCCTAGTAAGTGAAAGGTGGAAACATAAGCTTCAGATACAGCTTGATCCAGGACTCAAATTTTGTTATTAAGTCTTGATCCGTCTTGCATCACTTAGTTCTGATCTTCTTTGACTTGACTTCATGTTCCAGCTCTGAGTGGTAGCAAAAGGCTGCCATCAGCTTTGGGGCCACAGCCTTTATTGTCGAGTCCAGCAGTAAAAGAGCAAGTTCCCCTAAAGGTCCCAGCAAGACTCATTATTTCCATAGCTGTGCTTGGGCTCCATGTCCCCAGGGGAATGTGATGCTTTGATTCAGACCTTAGTCACCTGCCTTGCCTTGCCTTGGCACATGGTAGAGTCAACTTCACCTGAAAGTCCATAGACTGAGGACAGGGAAATAACTTCTTTTCTGGAAGAAATCAGGCACTGTTATTGGAAAGTGGATGAATGTTTGGTTGCAAAATTGGAGATGTTCACTCTGTTCCCTTAGAACAGACTTAAAAAGTCTGTTTTCTGCTTAAAAACCATCTCTTTATTCAAAATTCCTTTTTTTTTTTTTTTTTTTTTTTGATAGAGACAGGTTCTTGTTCTGTTGCCCAGGCTGGAGCACAGTGGCGTGATTATAGCTGACTACAGCCTCAAACTCCTGGGCTCAAGCGATCCTCCTGCCTCCAATCTGATGCCTTCCCACCTCTGCCATTACCACTTCCCACATCCCCTCCAGTGGCTGAGACTGTGGGCACACACCACCACACCGTGCTAACTTTTTGATTTTTAGTAGAGACAAGGTCTTACTGTGTTATCCAGGCTGGTCGCAAACTCCTGGGCTCAAGAGAACCTCCCATCTTGGCCTCCCAAAGCTCTGGGATTTCAAGCATGAGCCGCTGTGCCTGGCCTTTATTCAACATTCAACATCCATGCACACACCCATGTTTTTAACTTCCATCACAAGCATTAGCAATCAGCTGCCTTTTCAGAATCATTTTTCTAGGAGTTTTTACATACAATGCACAGAGAACACAAGCCACATAGTTATTAATGCAGAGATGTCTACCGAGACCCTTGCCAGACTTATAGTGTACATGATTTAAATTCATGCCTTGGAAACTTACAAATTGGTGCAGGGCATACAGCTTCTGGTTTTACTCTTGAGTGGCTGGAAGGACAAGTTGGTGACCTGGCAAAGAACTACAGTGATGAACATTTTATCAAGAGTGACAAAGGGCCTCAGCAGAGAAGAAAGCTGGTGGCCTGACCCCATTTGTGACTTCATTTGCCACTCATTCATTGCAGAAAACAAGGAATGCCTCTTTCCTTGACAGCTGTAACAAGGCATAGGGTGTGTCTGGGAGGGGCCACTCCCCATACACATTTGTCCTCAGGGAGTTGCCACTAAAGACCCTCCCACGAAGCACTGAAGGCAATGGTGTCATTACATACTGCAGTGTCTTCCAGAATGTGGGACTCACACCAGGGGAGAAATACTTTATGGCATTAGGGACAACACAGATAAGCACTTCTTCTCTTGAATAGCTATTCAAGAATTCCTTTGTTTAGATTTATAAGAACTCCACATGGCTAGCACCCTACACTCTGATTTTAGTGCTGTTGTTGCTGAAGGCAAGGCCAAAGCAAATAGCTTTCTGGTATCTGTCTTATGCAGACCTCATTAATCACTGGTGCAGTGCCCAGATAGAAGGTAGACACAGTGGAAGTTGCAAAGAAAGACTGCAAAAGGCAGAAGTTTGGGAAACATGACTCTTCAAAATGCTTTTACATTAAAAATGTTGTTTGCCTTTCTATTAGTTTTCTGCCACTGCATAACAAATGACTACAACTTTGGTAGCTTGAAACAATATACATTTGTTCTCTCACAGTTTTTCCATGGGTTAGGAACTAGACCTAGCTTTGCAAGTCCTCTGATCAGGCTCTCACAAGGCTGCAGTCCTGGTGCTGAGCAGCTGAGCAGGCTTATTTTCCTGAGCTCAGCATCCTCTTCCATGCTCATGTGGTTACTGGCAGAATTCAGCTCCTTGTGGTTGGAGGGCTGAGGTCACTGCTTTCTTGCTGGATGTCAGCTGGGGGCTAGTCCCAGATCCCAAAGGCCACCCACAGTGTTCGCCATGTGGCCCCTGCAGAGGTCCTCTTTCCAACATGGTGGCTAATTTCTTCAAGGCCAGCAAAGGAGTCTCCCTCCAGTCTGCTAAGATGAATCTTAAATAGACTAACATAATAGTAGGAGTGACTATCCCATCCTTTTTACTATGTAGTATAAGCTAATCAAGAGACTGACTCATCGCATTCACTGTTCTCACACTCAAGGGACAGGGCTATGCAGGGGATGTATGCCGGGGGTAGGAATCTGGGGCCATCTTGGAACTCTGTCTATCGCAGCATTTAATTTCTCCCTGTGATAGTTAATTTTATGTGCCAACTTGACTGGACCATGGGGTGCCCAGATATTTAGTTAAACATTACGTCTGAGAATGTTTGTGAAGCTGTCTCTGGATGAGATTAGCATTTGAATTGGTAGACTGAGTAAGCAGATTGCCCTCCTGAATGTATAGATGTGCCTCATCCTATCTGTTGAGAGCCTGAATCGAATAAAATGTTGAATAGGAAAGGATTCTTTCTGTCTGCCTGCCTGTCTTCAAGCTAAGGCATCGGCTTGAGTCTTTTCCTGTCTTTGGACTTGAACTGGGACTATACCATCAGCTCTCCTGGGTCTGGACTTGTCAGCCTCTGTAATCACATGAGTCAATTCCTTATAATAAATGGCTTTATATCTACCCACACACACACACATACACACACACACAGACAGGCCTGCACCATGCACACACGCCATGCATACACACACACTATGCACATACACACCATACACACACACACACACACACACACACACACACCACGCACACATCCTATTCTGTTTCTCTGGAGAACCCTAATACTCTCCTATTCCTTTTGTTCATTCACCAAATATCCCTTTAGTGTTGCATATGCCACACACCATGCTAGGTACTAGATATACAGTAGTGATAACAGAGACCTAGTTCCTACATTTATGAAGTTTACATTCAATCAGAAGATAGTCCCCAAGTGAGATTTGTATGCTGGGCCCTCCACACAGGGTCTGCAACAAAGAGGATGAGCCAACTCTCAGTGCTGACCCCCAAGCACCTTACTGTGTCTAACATGTAGGGTGGTAGTTGATGTGTGCTGTGGATGGGCTGTGTGTCCATCGTGTACGTGGAGAACTGGGTGCTGGAGGTAACTTTCTGTTGAGGTTATGGTGGGAAGGTTGGGGTTTGAGCTGGCAGACACGTCCAGTATGTCAATGCAGGAGGGCCTCAGGGTGGCAGTCTCAGTGAAAGGACCATGGGGACTAGTCTTGATGTATACCCAAAGCAATTTTATGTAGCACATGCATGAGAAGAGCATCGCTTGAGAAAAATGTCTGTTGTCTGTCTCAAAGCACGAGAGCTGAATGAGGAGAGGCTGGTCTGGGTACAGGTAGAGATGCTGGTGGGCAGGGGCCCCTGTGAGTGTCCTCATGGCCCTGCCATGGAGCTGGCTTTTAGAGGAGGTGGTAGTTTGATGGGGAGAGAGGTCAGGAGAGAGGCCTGAAGGAAAATGCAGTTCATCACTTTCCTAGTTTTCTACCTCTCCAAGTCATAATTTGTGTATTATAAAGTGAGACAAAGTCCATTTGGAGAATTTAAAATATACAAGTCATACATTGATGTCAGTTCAAATTTGAAAATGTTTATTCTTTGGAAAGGTATAAGGTTGTGACCAGAATGGTGGCATTGGTTTTGGGCCAAGGTAGGGAAAAAGAGGGGGCGGTAGAGGAGGGTGGCCCCCAGTCATCCTGGCTGGGAACGGTGGGGGTGAGTGGAGGGACGGACACAGCTTACTTCTCTCTGATCCCTGGAACCTGTCCTTCTTCCTGTGGTTCCTGCCTGGGCTGTCAGGGGCCTGCTGAGCCTGGGGGCCAGGCCCCTGATTATGTCCCTTCACCCCAGGCACCTTGCTGTCTCCTTCCCGGTGTTTGTCAGTAGAGTGCTCCAGCTCATTTCTTGATGACATTTAAAACCCAAGCAAGAGGGAGATGCACAGACCCTTCTTGTGTACTTGGCCCCAAAGGGAAGCCCGGCTGGGCAGTTGCCCCTCTGGGGGATTTGGAGCTTGAAGTTTGGGCACACCAGATAGCCAGTGGGGGTGACTGGAAGGAGAAAAGTTACTAGTGCCAGAGTGATCAGAATTCAAAATCCAGCTCTGTTACTTGCTAATGTCTTGGTAACCTTGGTAACCTTAGTTACCTGTGTTGAGCCTCTGAGTCTTCACCTGCCCAAAAGTGGTGGTTTTGAAGATTTGATGAGGCAGGGAACCCAATTGACCAGGGTATTGTCAGCTGCATTATATGTACTCGCTGAAAGTCAGTCCTCACTCCTTCTTCTCCACTGGGGTTAGGATATTTTAGATCTTCTAAGCAGTAGCATCCATACTGTACACTTAACTAACACCCTTCATGCAGCTACGAGTTATCATTTCATCTTAGGTTCAGAAAGTTCTTCAGCATCTTATAGTCTCTTTTGCTAGAGGTGGAGGCAGGAGGTCATTGGTGGGAGATGACGGGGAGTCCTGGCTAGTAGAACATAGAATACCTGAGAGCAGAGAGTCTGCAGTGCCTGGGACTTTGTGGCTTGAGTACATGTGGTTCTGTGGCTGTTTGTGACACATGTGCAAACCTGTGTGCAAGGCAAGTGATGTGGTCTGGCTGTGTCCCTCCCCCCCACATCTCACCTTGAATTGTAATAATCCCCATGTGTCAAGGGAAGGGCCAGGTGGAGATAATTGAATCATGGGGGTGAGTTTTTCCTGTGCTGTTCTCCTGATAGGGAATAAGTCTCAAGAGATCTGATGGTTCTTAAAGGGGAGTTCCCCTCCACATGCCCTCTTGCCCGCTGCCGTGTAAGACGTCTCTTTGCTCTTCCTTCGTCTTCCACCATGATTGTGAGACCTCCCCAGCCATGTGGAACTGTGAGTCCATTAAACCTCTTTCCTTTATAAATTATCCAGACTCGGGTCTGTCTTTATTAGCAGGGTGAGAACAGAAACAACAAGTGTTTCCCATTGGCGTGTGGGCTGTAGGCTGCCTCTCAATTGCTTAGCTCAGGACGGTTGGGGCAGAGCTGGTTTGAGGTCAGAGGTTTGCTCTGACTCTCTGTTGACTGTACCCATTTAATTTTACTCTTTATTTTACACCATAAAGTTTTTTCCTATTGCTTTCCTCTCCTGGTCCTTAAACATGAGATTTGGTTTTGCTTGTTTGCTGCCTCTGGGAGGTGGGGCTTCTGATTGAGCAGCAGCAGCTGGCAGGAAAAAGCTGTCTGGCCCTTGGCCTTTAGCCACTGGATTTATACCTGAGCCTTTTCTTGAGAGCTTGTTCGGAGGTTCTAGCAGGGGAGCATAGCTACTCCTATACCCTTGACTGAAGATTGGTCCTCCTCTATCAGGGATGGTCTTCCTCTTGGAGCACATAGCTTCGGGAGGGATGCACATAGAGCAGTGAGGGAGGAAGGGGACACCTGCCTATCCAGTTCGATTGGCTGAACCAACTCTGGAGATCAATGGGGTGACAGATGTTGCAGCCAGATCACTCTCACATTCCTTGAGCCTTTTCTTGAACTTGAAACTGTTGATCAAAATGTTTGGTCTCAAGAATAGCCCAGAGAATGTTGAAACAGGCAGGTCCAGAGATTTTTCTGTAAAAACTCTTGGGGTAGAAGCAGGAGATCAAATTATGCAGGTGTCAGGCAAATGGCACTTCATGCAGCACACTGGGCAGGATGGAAAGTGTAGAATCAGGCAGCTTCGCAGGCCTGTGACCTGTGCAGCTGCCTGGGGCCACAAGAAAAGTGAGGAAATGTGTAAAGTAGAATGAGTGTTTTTATCACCTGAAAGTTGAGCACCCGTCTATGATGGCAGAGACTCCTGGAGTGGTTTCGTGGGTTTGGGGTCTCATCATTGAGGTTTCCTGCCCAGGATTGCTAATTTTGGGTGAAGCAAAGGGAACTCACTATGTACCAAACGCTGTGCTGAGGATAAATAGATGAGTAGGACCAAGAAGTCCGTGGCCCAGTGGGGAATGCAGACTCCTAAAGAGAAGAGTATAATATAAAGCAATGTGTTGGGTCAGGCGCAGTGGCTCACACCTGTAATCCCAGCACTTTGGGAGTCTGAGGCAGGCGGATCACCTGAGGTCCGGAGTTTGAGACCAGCCTGACCAACATGGAGACAGCCTGTCTCTGCTAGAAATATAAAATTAGCCAGGCGTGGCGGTGCATGCCTGTAGTCCCAGCTACTGGGGAGGCTGAGGCAGGAGAACCCGGGAGGCGGAGGTTGCAGTGAGCCAAGATCGTGCCATTACACTCCAGCCTGGGCAACAAGAGCAAAACTCCATCCAAAAACAAAACAAAACAAAGCAATGTTTTGGGCACAGGAGTTATGGGGTAGCGCAGAGGTGATCTCCAACCTTCTAGGTAAGGGGGTGGAAGAGTAAAGTTACAGGGGACTTCTGGAGGAGTCGATGCCAGAACCAGGTCTTAAAGGACTGACAGAGGTTAGCCCAGCAAAGGGTAGTAATGTAGGTGACTCTGTGTGTGTGTGGGCGTGTGTGTTGGTGTGCATATGCTGTGGGTAGGGATAATATTCTAGGCAAATGTAACCATGTGAACAGAAGCATAGAGGTAAGAAAGCATGGTGCATGAGGGAATCTATAAGCGTTTTGTAACTGCTGTAGCAGAAAGAATTTGGTGGCAACTAATGCTGCTGGAAGGACTGATTATGGAGACCTTTGCAGCTCTGTTTTGTTGATTAGGGCATTGCTCTGTAGGTGGTAGGGAGTTGTCCACATTATATAGCAAGGGAGACTGACTCTCAGAGAGGTTTGCTGACCTGCCCAAGTATGCATAGCTAATTAGTAGTAGAATTGGAATGAAGTCCAGGCCTGGCTGCCTCCCAACCAGGGTTGCCAGATTTAGCAAATAAAAATACAGAATGCCAAGTTAAATTTGAATTTCAGACAAACAACAAATATATGTATTTTAAGCATAAGTATATGCCAAGCATTATTTGGGACATACTTATACTTTAGAAAATTATTTGTTGTAATCCCAGCTACTTAGGAGGCTGGATTGGAAGGATCACTTAAGGCCAGGAGTTCAAGGCTGCAGTGAGCTATGATCGTACCACTGCACTCCAGCCTGGGTGACAGACCCTATGTCTAAAAAGAAAATAAAGAAAATTATTTGTTGCATAGATAAAATTCAAATTTAACCGGGGACCCTGTGTGTTTGTTAAATCTGGCAACCCGTCTTCTAAATCCTTTTGCTCTTTCTTCTGTCCCACAATGGTCCTAATGCTCTCCATCCCAGGAAGGCTTCACAGAAAAGGTGAGGTTTGGCACAAACTGAGGGATGAAGGGGAAAGGAACGTCCAGAATATGCAGAGTTGCAATTTAAACAGATATTAAAAAATAAGTCTTTCATGGTTGCCTAAGTCAGTGAGATGGGATTTAATGTGACCAGTGCTATTGCTCCACTACCCATTGCCTCCCGAACACCAAGTGGAGGATTCTTCAATTTCACAAACAAATGAGGAGGCAAAGAAGTAGATTCTTTGACAACTGGGATTATTTTGTCTTTTCTCATTCATTATGTTTCAGGAGCTTTAAAATCTTTCAAGACAACTTTAGGGGCAAACGGGGATGTCACTTATACTTTTAAGTGTTTTCTATGGCGTGGGAGAAAAAGAGGAATTCCCAATATGGAAGAGTGTATTCTCCAGTGCTCTAGCCACTTTAAATACTCTTCAAAGATGTGCCAACAAGAACAAGAATGAATAGTTTTTAAGTCTCCCTCATTATGTTCTTGCCTTCTTAAGACCTTAACGTGCTTGTGTCGGATCCAAACAGCTTTTTACTATCATCTTGAAACAGAATCATGAGGCATTTACTCTAGAATGTGGACTCTTTTTTCTTTTTCTCTAAGTAGAAATAACACACTATGGTTAGCACATGTGTCTCTCCCTTTTATGTGCTCCTTTTGATTATGTGTCCTGTCTCTCCAGGTCTTTGCAGTTGAAAAGGTGAGGCTTTCCTTATAAACGCTGGAGTCCCGCAGAAATGGCTTGGAAGGCATTCCCCCAGAAGCGTGTCTGTGGCTCTGCCTGGCTTAGAGTGGTCAGTGCTGTGGCATCAGGGCAGGTGTCTCCAGCACTCTCACCTCCAGGCTGTGGCCCATCCATCCATCCCTGCTGTATTGCAGTGTGTCTTTTTCCTTTGTTTGGAATTGTTTTCTACTAGGGCCAGAAAGCAATGCCTCTGATTTTTGTTCCTGGTGGTGTCAACTTGAGTGACATTCTTGGCTATTTTCAGCCCACCTGTCCTCATCTGTAAGTCACGTGTATTACTACCTACCTCTCAGGGTGGTTGTGGGGCCTGAACTCCAAATGCATGTCCAGCTTGTATTCGTTTCCAGGGGCCTCCAGAACAGATTGCTACAAACTTGGCTTTGAACAACAAACATTTCTTCTCTCACAATTCCAGAGGCTAGAAGTCTAAAGTCAAGGTGTCGGCAGAGCCACGCTCCTCTGAATGCTCTAGGGAGGAATGCTTCCTTGCCTCTTTTAGCTTCTGCAAGCTCCAGGTGTTCCCTGGCTTGTGGCAGCCCCAGTTCCAGTGCCTCTGACTTTGCATGGCTTCTCTCTGTGTCTCTGGTGTCCTCTTTTGTCTCTTCTAAGGACAGACTCATTGGCTTTAGGAAGTACCCTAATCCAGTAGGATCTCATCTTGATCCTTAATTACCTCTGCAAAGACCCTACTTCCAAATAAGGCCACATTCTGAGTTTCTGGATGGACCACACAGGTCATAGTGCCGTGCTGGTCTTTCACATAATGAAGTTCCCTGTGCCACCTCCGCCATCCGGGTGCATGTTAACTTAGCCAGGATTTTATGTAACCGTCCCAATCCCCTCTAAAGAATAGGCTATTTACTCAAGGCCTCAGAAAATGTCTTGGAGACTCCCTTGCCAGGTGGTTCCTGCCAGGTGATCTGTGCCAGATGCTAGGAGCCAGGGGCTAGAAGACAGTAGTCCCAGCTCCGCAGGAGCCCATGGTCTAGTGGAGGAGAGTGACACGTAAACAAGTAATTACAATACCCCTATTTATTAGGCGGGTGTGCGCCCAGGACTCCATCCAGAACAGTGCTTCCAGCGTGGTTCAAGGAGCCAGTCCTGCCCTGGCAGTGGCTGCCTGCTTCTCGGGCCTCACCCTGCTGGCCTCGGCAGCCAGAGTTGGCAGGTAACTCACAGGTTAATCTCTATCATCACCCTCATCTCGATTCTTGTCTCCTCTGTTTCTGGCCTCTATCTTTATTGGAAGCATCTCAGCTGGCTAACTGCTACTTAACATTTTTTTCCCTGGTGATAGATTTCTACACCCCTTTTCAAAAGACAAAACAAATTGTTTGTTTAACCTCCCCAGGAATAAGTGGGGTAGAGGTGGCGTGGGAAGGGAAACACACTTATTATTCTTGTGGGCAGAACTTCCTGGGTATTTCCAAAGAGATTCCTGACTGACTCACCTTATTTTATTTCCCCCACGTATTGAAAAAGAACTTACCTCTCTAATTCTTCCTTATCCATCTCCCTTTCTTCTCTTTCTTATTTTCTGCATCCCCACACACTTTCATTATAGAATGCGGCCAACTTACGGATTTATATGGCTTATTTTTGTATTTTTAGAGAGATCGGTGCATGGGACACAGTAGGTGTGAAAGATGACATTTGTTGATCACTGAGTGAATGTCTTGTTGGTTGAATGGGTTCAAGGGCTATGTTAGAAGCTTGGGCCTGTTTGGCAAGGCTAGGAAGAACCAGTCTTAGAAACAAACTCCTAAGGTTTGCAAAACCAGTGAGTACCTTGGAATCACATGGGTGGAAGATACTTTCTAGAACTGGAAATGCTCAGTGCCTCCTGAAGCTTCTTATTCCTCAAGTCTTGGGGGAGGGCTCAGCAATGGTCCTTTTCAGAAGCTCCCCAAGTACCTGACACTTTAGCAGACTTGAAATTCTGATGCCCAGGCTATACCCCAGACCAATCCAATCAATCAATCAATTAAATCAGAATCTCTGGGGTGAGACACAGGTGTTATTGTTTGGGGTTTTAAATCTCTGCAGGCAAAACCAATGAGTAGTCAAGGGTGGGGAGACCACTGCCCATGTCCTGGCTCATCCCGACTCTGATTCAGCAGGTCTGCATTTGAGGTCTGAAAATGTACATTTCTAACAAGTGTCCAGATGCTGCTGCTGCTTGTCTGAGAGCACACTTTGGGATCCATGGCCTGTCAGCAGAGTGACTTTCCCCTAGGTAACTTGCGGCTCTCGTTTTCTCTGTCTACTCTTTCACTCTCACCACCCTCTCCCTTCACCTCAGTCCTTCCTCGTGAACCTGGGACCCTGGCATTTCTTCTCAGTCCCCTTGGCAAGAGTTTGTCCACTAGCCTTTCTGCCACCAGCTGGCATCTGAATCAAGGGGACGTGTAGCTGGATCTGCAGGGGAAGAGAGACCTGCGTTCACAGCTTGACTTGCGTTGGTTTTCTTTTTCTGACTATCACCCTGGGTACAGGTACGATGAGTTTCCATGGAGCCAAATCCCCCCTTCCCATGGACTCCTCCTTTCTCCTGGAGAAGGCTGGATGGGGCTGGCCTAAGCCCCTAGGCCCCAGTGAAGGTGCTGTTAGCACAGCTCAGAGGTCCAATGTGGACATGTGCCAGGAAGCACTCACTGAGCCTAGACAGCTGTGGAGTGCTGACTGCTGGGGAGCTGGGGTAGGTTGGCTCTGGGCTGCATATTCCACAAATCTGGGGCTTTAGGAAATCAGGAGCACAGGGGCCTACCACTTGTGGATGTTCTCCAGGTTTCAAGAGAGACATATGGTGATACAATCTGGAAAAGAGAAGGGGACATGGAGAAGGGCTCTCTGTCTCTCTTTTGTCTTTCTCCTCCCAGGGTTATGAGTTCACTCAGGGCAGACAATTTGCCATCCAAATCTGTGGCCCAGAAGCCACTTAGTTTAAAGGACGTGATCTTGTAGTAATCATAGAGGCTTCTTGTGTCCAACCCACTTTTAGCCTGTACAAAAGCAGTGAATGTCAAAGCCTGTGCTCCTGGTGGAGCATAAGGCCCTCTTTGTTAGGTGCCAGCTTATCTGGGAGCACTTTATAATCTGAGGCAACACGCCCACTGCTCCTGCCTGTTTTTCTTGGGCCAGGCAAGCCTCAGCCCTGGAACCCTCTGTTCAGGAGTTGGGCCCTGTTTGAGGGGACGCCAAGATGAGCTGCTCTCCCAAAGAGGTCAGAGAGGACACTTGGAATGTCTCAAGGCTCCCAGGCCATGGGATGTCTTGCTTAGGTATCTTTTCTTATGGGGTCTCGGTATCCCTTAAGGCCTCCACAACCAGCATATGGCACCCTTGTGTTGGCCTGCCCAGGGGATCTGGCTTTGCTGTAGCAGAGTCCATCTGTCCTGAAGAAGCAGTGAAGATAACTTTTCTGAAAACAGGCCTACCGTTTGTCCTCCAGGAGGGCTGGAACTCAGGCGAAATAGCTTCAAAGAGTGTACCATCTTTAAGAGAAGAGGGTTCTCCCCTCTTCAAAAACACTTCCCCAGCCAGTGAAGCAGACAAATGATTGAACTGCTGTGTGTTTCCTTCCAGTTACTCTGCAGATGCCCGCTGCAGAGCTGCTGTGCACTCAGTGTTGGGTTGCGTGCTGCTGATGCCAAGAAAGAAGAAAAGACAGGATCTCTATCCCCCAGGGCAGCAGTTCTCAAACTTTTTAGTTTGAAGACCCCTTTTTACTCTTAAAATTGAGGACTCCTAAGAGCTTTCATTTGAGGGTATTTATCAGTATTTATCACATTAGAAATAAAAACTGGGAAATGTTTACCACTATTTTTCTTTCTAAGCAGCTTTATTGTGTTATAATTGATATAACAAATTATCCACATTAAAAGTATATAATTTCACTTTGAGAGGCCAAGGCGGGCAGGTTGCCTGAGCTCAGGAGTTGAAGAGCAGCCTGGGCAACATGGTGAAACCCTGTCTCTACTAAAATAAAAAAAAATTAGCCGGGTATGGCGGCATGTGCCTGTAGTCCCAGCTACTCGGGAGGCTGAGGCAGGAGAATTGCTTGAAGCAGGGAGGTGGAGGTTGCAGTGAGCCAAGATTGCACCACTGCACTCCAGCCTGGGTGACAGAGTGAGACTCTGTCTCCAAAAAAATAAAAAATAAAAAAAGTATATACTTTGATGTCTAGTATGCATATATACCCTTAAAATCATCACAACAAATCCACTGCTTCAAGAAGTTTCCTAATGCCCCTTTGAACCCCTTCCTTCAGTCCCTCCATGCTCCCATACCACTACCAGTAACCATGGATCTACTTTCTGTTGCTATATTTGTATTTTATAAGGTTTTATATAAATGGAATCATGTAGCATGGTGACTTTTTGCTTCTTTCACTCAGTGTAATTATTTTAAGATTCACTAGTGTTTTTGTGTATATCAGTAATTAATTTGGTTCTATTGCTGAGTAGTCTTCCCTTCTATGGATGCACCAGAATTTGTTTATTCATTTATGTTCTGACAAACACTTAGGCTGTTCCCAATTTGGGGGTTTACAAACAAAGCTGTTGTAAATATTCATTACGAGTCTTCGTATAGACATAAACTTTTCTTTTTGGTAAAAATCTAGGAGCGGAATAGTTGATCACACAGTAGACATATGTTTAACTTTTTAGGAAACTGCCAAAATGTTTTCCAAAGTAGTTGTACCATTTTGCATTTCCATCCGTAGAATGTGTGAGTTCTAGTTCTTGCCTGTGCTTGCCAATACTTGGTATGGTCTGTGTTCGTATGTCCCAGCCATTCTAATAGGTAGTTGTTTCTTATTGTGGGTTTAAGTTGCAATTATCTAATAATATTGTGCATCTTTTATGTAGATTTCATGTATATCATCTTTAAAGTGTCTAAGTCTTTTGCTTTTTAAAAAAAATTTGGCTGCTTGTTTTCTTGAGTTTTGAGAGTTTGGGGGTTTTTAAGTATATATATATATATATATACACATATATATACACACACACATATTTTCTGGATACAAGTCCTTTATCACATATGTTTTGTACAGTTTTTCTCCCAGTTTGTGGCTTGCCTTTCATTCTATTAATAGTGTCTTGAAGCTGAAGTTTTATTTTTGACGAAGTCCAATATATATGTTTTGTTATTTTTTGGATTGTGCTTTTTGCTGTCCAAGTTTATAAATGTTTGCCTAATTCGAGGTGCAGTGGACTGAATGTTTGTTTATTCTGAGTTCACGTGTTGAAATCCTAACTGTTAAAGTGATGGTGTTAGGAGGGTGGGGCCTTTGGGAGGTGATTAGGTCATGGGGTGGAGCCCTCATAAATGGATTAATGCCCTCATAAAAGAAACCCCAGAGAGATCCCTCAGCCCTTCCTACTTGTGAGGTCACAGCGAGAAGATGGTTATTTAGGAAGAGGGTCCTCATCAGACATCGACTCTGCCAGTGCCTTGATCTAGGACTTTTCAGGCTCCAGAACTGTGAGAAATAAATTTCTGCTATTTATAAGTCACTCATTTTATGGTATTTTGTTATACTGAGTAGACTAAGAGACAAGATGACAAGATTTTCTTCTGTTTTATTTTGGAAGTTGTATTGTTTTAGGTTTTACATTTAGGCCTATGATCTATTTTTATTTAAGCTTTTAAGTTAAACTTTTTATTTTGAGATAATTGTAGGTTCATATACAATTGTAAGAAATAATGCAGAGAAATTCCTTATACCATTTACCCAATTTTCCTCAATGGTAACATCTTGCAAAACTAAGAATACCAGCTGAGTGTGGTGGCTAATACCTGTAATCCCAGCACTTTGGGAGGTTGAAGTGGGTGGATAACGAGATCAAGAGATCGAGACCATCTTGGCCAACATGGTGAAACCCTGTCTCTACTAAAAATACAAAAATTAGCTGGGTGTGATGGCACATGCCTGTAGTCACATCTACTCGGGAGGCTGAGCAGAAGAATCGCTTCAACTCAGGAGGCAGAGGTTGCAATGAGCCGAGATTGTGCCACTGCACTCCAACCTGGCAACAGAGTGAGACTCTGTCTCAAAATAAATAAACAAATAAATAAAAAATAATAATATCACATCAAAGATATTGACATTGATACAATCAAAATACATGTTAAAAGAAAAACTTTAGTTGAATTAAATTTAACAGAGTTTAACTGAGCAAAGAAAATTTGCAAATTGGGCAGCCTCCAGAGCCAGAGTAGACTCAGAGACTCCACTGAAGCCACGTGGTGCAAGAAGATTTATAATGAGAAAAAGGAAAGGTACAGAAAATGGCAATGAGGTACAGAAACAGCTGGATTGGTTACAGTTTGGCGTTTGCCTTATTTGAACATGGTTTGAACAGTTGGCCACCTTTGATTGGCCAAAACTTGGTAATTGGCACAAGAGTAGGCTACAGTCTGTTTACAACTCCATTTAGGTTATATTCACAATGTACAGAGAAACCTTTAGGCCGGACTTAAAATATGTAAGGAGGCTGCTTTAGGATAAACTTCATTCAACACACAGGACACTTCCATCACCACCAGGATCTGTCCTGTTCCCTTTTACAGCCACACCCATCTCCATCTCTCTGCCTCCCACCTTAAGACCACGAATGTGTTCTTCATTGGTATAATTTTGTCTTTGCAAGTATGTTACATAAATGGACTTATGCAGTATATAACCTTCAGGAACTGGGCTTTTCTTACATAGCATAATTCCCTAGAAATTCATTTAAGTCATTGTGTGGTGTATATCAATAGTTAGTCCCTTTTTCTTGCTGAGTAATATTCCATGGGATGGATGGATCACTATTCATCTGCTGAAGGATATCTGGGTCATTCCAGTTTATGTGAAAAAATGTTATAAATAATGCTGCTATGAACATTTATTTGGATGTAGGTTTTTATGTGAATGTGACTTTTTGTTTTTCTGGGATAGATGCCCAAGGGTGTAATTGCTAGGCCACATGGCAGTTGCATGTTTAGTTTTATAAAAACTGAAAACTGCTTTCCAGAGTGGCTCTACCCTTTTGTTTTCCTACCAGCAATGTATGTATGATCCAGTTTCTCCATGTCCTTTCCAGCATTTGGTGCTGTCACTATTTTAGCCATTCTGGTAGGTGTATACTGATATCTCATTCTATTTTAATTTGTCATAGATCCTAAAGATATTTTCCCTATGTTGTTTTCTAAAAGTTTTATAGTTTTGTTTTATCTTGAAGTTCATGTTCCATTTTGTGTTAATTTTTGGATGAGGTGTGAAGTTTAGGTTATTCACAGCTCATTTTTTTGGCCTATGTATGTCCAATTGCTCCAGCACCATTTGTTGTAAAGGTTATTCTTCCTCCATTGAATTACTTTTGACTTTGGTCAAAAATCAGGCAAACATGTCTCTATGGTTTATTTTTGGATTTTTCTATTCTGCTCCATTGATCTATATGTCTGTTGCCCACACTGTCTTGATTATTGTAGCTGTATAGTAGGATAAAGTGCTTCTTCCCACTTTCTTTTCTTTTTCAAGACTGTTTTTAGCAAATTTAGGATCTGTTACTCTTCATATAAATTTTAAAATAAGTTTGTCTGACAGACACATGAAAAAATGCTCATCATCACTGGTCATCAGAGAAATGGAAATCAAAACCACAATGCGATACCATCTCACACCGGTTAGAATGGCGATCATTAAAGTCAGGAATCAACAGGTGCTGGAGAGGATGTGGAGAAATAGGAACACTTTTACACTGTTGGTGGGACTGTAAACTAGTTCAACCATTGTGGAAGACAGTGTGGCGATTCCTCAGGGATCTAGAACTAGAAATACCATTTGACCCAGCCATCCCATTACTGGGTATATACCCAAAGGATTATAAATCATGCAGCTATAAAGACACATGCACACGTATGTTTATTGCGGCACTATTCACGATAGCAAAGACTTGGAACCAACCTAAACGTCCATCAATGACAGACTGGATTAAGAAAATGTGGCACATATACACCATGGAATGCTATGCAGCCATAAAAAAAGGGTGAGTTCGTGTCATTTGTAGGGACATGGATGAAGCTGGAAACCATCATTCTGAGCAAACTATCGCAAGAACAGAAAACCAAACACCGCATGTTCTCACTCATAGGTGGGAATTGAACAATGAGAACACTTGGACACAGGGTGGGGAACATCACACATCGGGACCTGTCGTGTGGTGGGGGGAGGGGGGAGGGATAGCATTAGGAGATATACCTAATGTAAATGAGGAGTTAATGGGTGCAGCACACCAACATGGCACATGTATACATATGTAACAAACCTGCACGTTTTGCACATGTACCCTAGAACTTAAAGTATAATAGAAAAAAAAAGTTTGTATCTACAAAAAACTTGCTAGGATTTTAATAGGAACCATACTAAACATATCAATCAACTTGGGGAAAATTGTCATCTTTACTATATTGAGTCTTCCAATCCATGAACACGTGGTATGTCTCTTCATGTGTTGATTTCTTTTGTCAGCATTTTAGACTTCCCTGCACACAGATCCTATACATGTTTTGTTAAGTTTATACTTAGTATTACATATTCTTTGGAGTTATTTTAAGTGGTATTGTTTTTAATTTTGGTGTCCACATGTTCATTGTTATATATAAAAATGCAGTTGATTTTTATGTGTTGATTTGTATCCTGCAATCTTGCTGAACTCTTGTATTAGTTCTAGTAGTCTTTTCTGTAGATTCTTTGGGATTATCTCCATAGATAATAACATCATGTGCAAAAGGACAGTTTTATTTCTTCCTTTCCAACCTGTATGCCTTTTATTTCCTTTTCTTGACTTACTGCTATGACTAGTAGTACTATGTTGAATAAATGTGGTAAGAGCCTACATCCTTGCATTGTTTCCAATTTTAGAGAGAAAGCACCTTTCACCATTAAGTATGATGTTAGCTGTAAGTTATTTTTGTAAATTCTCTTATGAAGTTGAGGGAGTTTCCCTCTATTTCTAGTTTGCTCAGAGTTTTTATCATAAATGGGTGTTGATTTTATCAAATTCTTTAATTGTATCAACAGATATAATCATATGGTTTTTCTTTTAGCCCACTGATAGGGTGAAATATATTGATTTTTTGTTTGAATGCTTAACTGGCCTTGCATACTTAAAATAAATCCCATTCAGTCCTAGTGTATAATTCTTTTTATACACTGCTAAATTTGATTTGTTAACATTTAGTTGATGATTTTTGCATCTAAGTTCATGAGAGAGATTAGTCTATAATTTTCTTTTTTTGTACTGTCTTTGTCTGGTTTTGGTATCAGGGTAATAATGAGGTCTCCTAAAATGAGGTATGTATTCCTTCCTCTTTTTCTTGGAAGAGTTAAATTGTATTAAATTGTTATTAATTTTAGAAAAATGCTTGGTACAATTATTCTCGAGTGAAATCATCTGGGCTTGTAGATTTCTTTTTTTGGAGCTTTGTTAAATTACAAATTCAATTTTAAAAATGGTTGTATGGGCCGGGCATGGTGGCTTACGCCTGTAATCCCAGCACTTTGGGAGGCAGAGGCGGGCAGATCCCGAGGTCAAGAGTTTGAGAGCAGTCTGGCCAACATAGTGAAAAGCCCCATCTCTACTAAAACTACAAAAAATTAGCTGGGTGCAGTGGTGTGTGCCTGTAATACCAGCTCCTTGGGAGGCTGAGGCAGGAGAATTGCATGAACCCGGGAGGTGGAGGTTGCAGTGAGCCGAGATAATGCCACTGCACTCCAGCCCGGGTGACAGTGCGACACTCCCTCTCAAAAAAAAAAAAAAAAAGAAAAAAAAAAGATTGTAGGACTATTCAGGTTGTCTATTTCATCCTGATTAACTTGTAGTTTGTGATTTTCAAGGAATTGCCCCATCTCTTCTAAGTTGTCAAATTTATAAAGTTTGTCTGTAGTTTTTCTTATTTTCCTTTTATTGAATCTGCAGTGATATCACCTGTTTTGTTTCAGATATGATCATTTGTATTTTCTGCCTTTTAATCTTTGTCAGTCTTGCTAGAGGTTAATCACTTTTTGTTGACTCTCTCTCTCTCTCTCTCTCTCTCTCTCTCTCTCTCTATTTTTTTAGACAGAGTCTCGCTCTGTCGCCCAGGCTGGAGTGTAGTGGTGCGATCTCGGCTCACTGCAAGCTCCACCTCCCAGTTTCACACCATTCTCCTGCCTCAGCCTCCCGAGTAGCTGGGACTACAGGCGCCTGCCACCACGCCCAGCTACTTTTTTGTATTTTTTAGTAGAGACGGGGTTTCACCGTGATAGCCAGGATGGTCTCGATCTCCTAACCTCGTGATCCACCTGCCTCGGCCTCCCAAAGCGCTGGGATTACAGGCGTGAGCTACCGCGCCCGGCCGACTATATTTTTAACAACTAGCTTTTTGTTCCATTGGCTTTCTATTTGGTTTTCTTATTTTCAATCTTATTGATTTCTGTACTTTGTTCTTTCCTTCCTAATGATTGCTTCGTGCTTGGTTTGCTCTTTTTCTTTCTAGTAAGAGTTATGAAAAGGATGTTTTACTTGTAAGAAAGAGGACCTGGGAGGAATGGGTATGTTCTATCTTGGTGGAACCAGAAGTCAGTTGTCTTTTAAAGGGATTTAAATAATAATAAAATCTTACATATTTATACATGTAATAACCATTTATGATCACCCAAATTCCTTCTGCCTAAAGACATCTTTTAGCTTATATTGTGGAGCTGTCAGTAATAAGTTCTTTCAGCTTTTGTAGATCTGACCATGTCTTTATTTTGCATTCATTTTATTTTTAATTTTAGAATAATTTTAGTCTTACAGGAAATGTGCAAAGAGTTATGGGGTTTTAGAGAGGAAAATCACACAGGTTAAGTGTCACTTTTATCACATTATATAAAAGTTTCTGATATGGTTTCACTCCATGTCCCCACCCAAATCGGGCTAAGTTTGAACTGTAATCTCCAGTGTTGAAGGCAGGGTCCGGTGGGAGGTATTTGGGTCATAGGGGTGGGTTTCTCATGAGTGGTTTAGCACCGTCTCCTTGGTGCTGTTTTTGTGATAGTGAGTGAGTTCTTGTGAGATCTGGTCATTTAAAAGTGTGTAGCACTTCTACCCGCCCCTTGTTCCTGCTCCTGCCATGTAAACCATGGCTGCCTCTCCTTTGTCTTCTGTGATGATTGCAAGCTTCCTGAGGCCTCCTCACCCATGCCTCCTGTACAGCCTGCAGGACCTTGAGCCAATTAAACCACTTTTCCTCATAAATTGCCCAGTCTCCGGCATTGCTTTACAGCAATGCAAGAACAGACTAACCGTTGCATACAATCCACATGACTTATTACTACTGATGCTGACCTTAATCACCTGCCTGAGGTAGTTTGTCAGGTTTCTCCATTGTAAAGTTGCTCCCCTCTTCCGTTTCCTTCCATACTGTGTCTTTGAAAGGAAATTTCTTTGTGAAGTTCACACGTAAGGGGTGGAGATTTATGTCTCATCTCCTCAAGGGAGCAGTCTTTACGTCTTTACACAAATTATTTGGAATTCTTCTGTTTGGGAGATTTGTCTATTATCCCTCATTTATTCAGTTATTTATACCAATATAGATTCATGGATTTTTTTATTTTTTATTTTTGAGATGGAGTCTTACTCTGTTACCCAGGCCGGAGTGCAATGGCGCAATCTTGGCTCACTGCAACCTCTGCCTCCCGGGTTCAAGCAATTCTCCTGCCTCAGCCTCCCGAGGAGCTGGAACTACAGGCGTGTGCCACCACACCTGACTAACTTTTTTGTATTTTTAGTAGAGACAGGGTTTCACCGTGTTAGCCAGGATGGTCTCGATCTCCTGACCTCATGATCCGCCCACCTTGGCCTCCCAAAGTGCTGGGGTTAAAGGCGTGAGCCACTGTACCCAGCTGGATATTTATTTTACGCTCTGATTTGTAGCCCAGTTCTATGTTATTTATTTTGTTGACACCTTCATTTTGAAAGACTTTTTGCCAAATATGGAATTCTGTATTGACATTTTCTTTTAGTACTTTAAGGATGTTGCTCTACCGTCTTCTGGCTTACACTGTTTCAAATGGTGAATCTTATGCCATTTTATTTTTTGTTCCTCTATACATAACATGTCTTTGTCTTTGGTTGTTTTTAAGCTTTTTCTCTTATTGGTTTTAATCAATTTGGTTGTGATACATGTTAGTGTAGTTTTCTTCATGTTTGAGATTTGTTGAGCTTCTTGGATTGTGGGTTCATAATGTTTATTAAGTTTGAAAAGTTTGTTATTCAAATATTTTTCTGTTACTCACTCTGTGTCGTCTCCTTTAGGGACTTATGTGGTATGAAATTGTCCCAGAGCATACTGATGTGCTTTGTAAAAAACAAACAAACAAACAAACAAAAAAATTCTTTTTTTTTTTTAACAACAGTGTTTCATTTTGGATGGTTTCTGTTGTTATACCTCCAAGTTTATTAATTTTTCATCTGCTGTGTCTAATCTACCATTAATCCCACTCAGTGTAATTTTCACCTTTTAAATGCTTAATTTGGGAACTTAAAAAATCTTGTATGTCTCCATTTTATTTCATATGCTTAAAAAGCTATAATAACTGATTTAATGTGCTTCTCTGATAATTCTAATATCGGTGTCAGTTTCAATTGATTGATTATTCTCTTCATTATGGATCATGTTTTCCTGCCTCTCTGCATGTGTGGTAATCTTTGGATGCTAGCCATTGTAAGTTTACCTTGTTGGGTGCTATTTTTGTGTTACTATAAATATTATTGAGTTTTGTTCTGGAATGCAGTTAACTTACTTAGAACATGTTTCATTTGTTTGAGTCCTATGTTTTTTATTTATTTATTTAATTTTTTTTGAGACAGAGTCTCACACTGTTGCCCAGGCTGGAATGCAGTGGCGCGATCTCGGCTCACTGTCAGCTCTGCCTCCTGGGTTCATGACATTCTCCTGCCTCAGCCTCCCGAGTATCTGGGACCACAGGTGCCCACTACCACGCCTGGCTAATTTTTTGCTTTTTTAGTAGAGATGGGGTTTCATCATGTTAGCCAGAATGGTCTCGATCTCCTGACCTTGTGATCAGCCTGCCTCGGCCTCCCAAAGTGCTGGGATTACTGGCGTGAGCCACTGCGCCTGGCCAAGTCTTATGTTTATGACTTGTTAGGTTGGTCCAGAGCTTGGCTCATTCCAGGGCTAATTATTCCTTACTACTGAGGCAAGACTTTCCAGAGTACTCTGCACAATGCCTCATGAATTGCGAGTTGTTTTCAATCTGACTGGAGGGAACTAGCACTATCCTTAGTCCTGTGTGAGTACCAGGCGTTGTTTTCTCTAATCCTTTTTATTGTGCTTTCCCTTGTCTTGCGTAGTTTTCTTACACCCATGCACTGATTAGTCCTCTGCTGAATCCTTGAGGACCCTCCACAGATCTCTGGGCTTTTCTTTCTATGCAGCTCACTTCTCTCTGTCCTGTGATCTCTAGCTGCCTTGGTCTTCCTGGGCTCTCAGCCTTGTATCCTCAGCTCAGGATTTCAACCTCATGATGGCTGACTAGGGATATCACATGTCAGTTCTCCTCAGAAGGAAGATCAAAGTTACTGATGAATGGCCAAATTTTGAGAGGAAAATGGAGGGAGGAGAGCCAGGACCTGTCACAGCATTCATGTGGAGAAGCTGGGGTACACAGAAAAACAAAGCAGGAAAAATCAGGCTGGGATTGACCATGAGGAGCTCAGAGCCCTGCAGAAAGGGCAGATGAGAGTGCTTCTCTGGGTCCTCACTCCTCTGGCAATCTGCTGAGTGTATCCTCAACTCAGGGAGTCTGTGAAGCTCTGCCTCAGTTTCCCTTCTTGGTGCCACATCCTGCGGATTCTCTCAAGGCAACTGCAGGGCTCTCCTTGTTTGTTTCCTGTCTCTCGGGGATCATGGGTTTCTATTGCCTCATGCCCGGTGTCATGAAAACTGTTATTTCCTGTATTTTTGCCTGGGTGTTTGTTTCAGATACGAGAGTAAATCCACTCCTGTTACTCTATCTTGATTGGAAAATCTGTAGAACTTTAATACACACACACACACACACACACACACACACACATGCATATATATGTATATGTATATATATGTGTGTGTGTATATATATACATATACACATATATATACATATATATACATATGTACACACATATACACATATATATACATATATACACACATATATACACATATATATACACACACACATATATACACACACACATATATACACACACACACATATATATATATACACATATATATATAGTCAGATCTCAGTCTTGGGGATTCTGAATCACTAGTAGCTCTGAGGTGAGTGGTGAATACACCCAAATTTCTGAGTTTAAAAAACAAAAAATCATAACAACAACAGTAACCAGCATTGGTGATTCTTATGCACTGGCCAGACTCCTCTGCCACAGCAACTGAGAACTCTGACTATAGCATGATAATAATTGTTATTACTTACTAGACATTTCCCATGCAGCACGCCCTGTGCTAGCTATTTTACATGATTTGTGTAATTTAATTTTTGTAACAAACCATTGGTCAAGCTATTCTTATCAGCGTATCGCAGAAGAGAAAACTGAGACAGAGGATACAGAAAACAACCAAAACAAAGATAGCCTTTAGTTACCTAGGGCCAGTTATTTTTAGTCTTGCTGAAGTGTCCAAAATATTACCCATCTGCAAAGCCCTCACTCTCTGATATTTGAACAAAGCAGGCAGCTGCTTTCAGAATTATTTTTATTCATTATAATAATTTACTGGGTTTTACTAACTCTGTCCTTGTGCAATTACTTTAGCATTTAGGGGTATCTTTGCCTTTCTTGATTATGATATTTTTGTTGTTTCAGTCCCTTTAAAGAAAAATTTAAAAATCAAATAGTAAACACAAAAGAACATTTGTTGCACGTGTAGGAAATAAAGACTGTCTGTGTAGGACACAGCGTAGGAAGTAAAGACTGTTGCACATGTAGG
The DNA here is from genome assembly GCF_000001405.40 of Homo sapiens. Lineage (NCBI taxonomy): Eukaryota > Metazoa > Chordata > Mammalia > Primates > Hominidae > Homo > Homo sapiens. The sequence continues at coordinate 121,393,359 of NC_000010.11, read as the reverse complement.
AAATAAAGACCCGCTAGCCAGCTTACAAAAGAGTTGAATGCCTTTTTACAGCCATTTCAGGTGAGACTGAGACTGAGGTACTTTGATTCAGTGCACAGACTTCAAACCACACCATCCCAGGCCTCCAGTTTTTCTCATCTTTATTCTGAGCAAGCTCTCCAAAATGTTTTATTTGATAAGGTTTGAAGATCAAGGCCCCTTGTGAACAGGGCATGCTACCTCACATATTCCAGGGACCAGATGCTCTCAGAGGAATCATTTAACTGTTTGCAAAAGAAGGGGGGCACTTCTGGCTGTCACATTGCAAGATGCATAGTTAATAAAAATGGAAGTATCTCTTCGGGAAGAATGGAGCATATGTTACAGTCTCATGGTAGGAATAACTCAGTTTCTAGACCAAAAATCAGAAACGGTTTTGGAATTGCATCAGGTACTTCGTTCCAGTGTTCTAGTCAAAAGCGAAACTGTCCTTGACCGCCACCTTGCTCACAGAAGGGAATGTGTGGCATGTTTTATTTTTCTCTCCAAAGAAAGTTACCTGCAGGCATCATAAGCAGAGCTACAGGTGTGTTAGGTTGAGGATGGCACCCTTTTCCCAAACTCAGCGGTGAATTTTCTACCTATGTGCAGTCACTGCACCATCCTAGAGATGGTGATGGAGAGTCTTGGGGTAAAAAGAATCTTTGAATTCATACACACACCAAACCCCTGCATACACAATACCACTAGTTGTTCACTATGTGTAGGTGCTTTCAGGATTGAAAGCGTGAATCAACACAGTTTCTGAATTAATAAGTATTATATATGTGTGTGTATGTGTGTATAATCTTTTTTTCAATTAAGAGATAAAATGCTATTATAGGCTGGGCGTGGTGGCTCATGCCTATAATCCCAGCACTTCAAGAGGCCAAGGCTGGCAGATCACTTGAGGTCAGGAGTTCAAGACCAGCCTGACCAACATGGTGAATCCCCGTCTCTACTAAAAATATAAAAATTAGCTGGGCATGGTGACGCACGCCTGTAATCCCAGCTACTCAGGAGGCTGAGGCAGGAGAATCACTTGAAGCCAGGAGGCAGAGGTTGCAGTGAGCTGAGATCGTGCCACTGCACTCCAGCCTGGGTGACAGAGCAAGACTCCATCTCAAAAAAAAAAAAAGAAAAAAAAAGCTACCATAAAGGGCGTTTGTGAGGTTTTCTGACATAACATGGTTCCTCCGCTTAGAGTTGAGAACCACTGACGATATCATCTAGTTTTGCTTCCTGCTTGAATTCTCATGATTCTGTGACTTTTGGGTAAGTCTACTGTATGTCCTGGGCTTTTCATGTTTTCAGTGCTAAGGAATCTATCTCGTGTAAAAATCTGTTGTTTTTTTATATTTTGAGAAGAGTATGTCCATGGATTGTAAGCAAAGGAGCTTTCTCGAAGCTCACAGTTGGTCTTTGTTGAAGCTCTCATGCCATTTTTGAACCCCCCTTGGGTATTTCTGTGCTCAATGCTCCACTCATTGCTTTCATAATCTCCTAATTCCCCGACTATAGGATTATATCCAGTCTGCTTCAGTTCATCCAATGATCTCTGAACCAAAATTATTACACTCATTTATTGTCTCATATTAAAACTCCTATGTCCTTAGTCCAAACAATTTCAATTAGCTAGGGCTTGGGGGAATGCAATCTGATTTAATTAAGTTATACAAATCCAGGAGTGACAGTGACATTTATGTTCTCCTCCCTTGGTTCACCCTCTCACCCCGACTCCCTCTCTTCTTGCGCTTCAAAACGCTGTAAGTTTTCACAGGTGCCAATATTTTTCACAGTGCGTAGTTTTCACAGTATGTAGCTCACAAATCAGGGAGCACAGAGGAAGAAGAGGAAAGCTGTAGGTTGTTGACACTAGCTGATTTTTTAATAAGATAATTTGCTTGTGAAAGTCTAGGATCCCTTATTGGGATGGGGAAGAATCACATTGATTATTTATAATCATATAAGTTAATATTGAAAGATGGCTATGGTTTATATTATTACATAATTGTGTTAATAATTATAATTGTATTAATTCAGGAGTTTTCTGGAGCTCTTTCCTACTCTATGAAAACAGTGAACCAGGTAGAATTGGTAACAGAGCCTGATTCCTAGATAGTGTTTATCTATCAGTTGGGGGGTTGCATGGCTAGAGTGGGAGGCAGTGGGGAGATGTGAGAGCTCCTCTGCAGCAGGGGGCCAATCAAGAGGCAGGGGTGCCCAACGTCTCAAATCCTTGCCTACAAAACAGGGTGCAGCTTCCACCTGAGGCATGAGGCCTGGATTCTAGTCCCTGGGCAGTGGATGGAGCATTGCAAGCTGATTCTTTGTATTAATAAAATATGGCTTAGAAAATTGGAGAAGCTTGGGCTAAGGAGCAAAGTCAAGGCTCTGTGATTAGGATGAAGCAGCTATGGAGGGGTTGGGGACAGGGACATTGGAAGCCCAAGCATTAGAACTGGAGTCCATATCCTGGGTCGGCCTAATGGGAAGCATGACCCCAATGCAAGCCCTTGTGCATGACTGGCTCGAAAACAAAGGTACGTTCTGTTGCAACTCAGGTGTGGTTTGATGAGACTCTTGGTCTCCTTGGAGCTTAGAAGTCTATTTGGGCAGCCAGCAGTGTAAACAGACATTCAGAATGCAACATGGTAAAAAGTGCTAGAGCGTCATTGCCAACTACATTTGGAAAGTGGTGGGAGACCAGGAAAGGATAAGGCTAACTCTGCCTAGAGGCTGTTGGGAGAGGTTTTCATGGGGAAAATACTCCAGGAATTGAAAGAACAAGAGAGCAGGTGAAGGAAAAGACATTTTAGATCAAGACAGGGGAAGAATGAGGAGCAAGTTTAGGAGCAGCCGGGTTTGACTATGGATGGGCTGAATTTCCTGGGGTGAAAAGTTATAGTTCTTTTATTGACTATATTGATTTAGGAATTTGTGTCCTACTCTATGGGAGACCATGAGGAGGATGAATTTAAGCAATAAAACATTGTTTGTACAGAAAACTCATGTTGGAAGCATCTTGACCAGCAAACAATATCAAAAAACTTTGATGTGAATAATTTTTAGTTATAAAAATTAAAGTGCAGGGTGTGCAGTGGTGCAAATGCAAACTCCTAGGCTCAAGCAATTCACCCGAGTAGCTGGAACTATGCCACCATGCGCCATTTGAGCTGCAATACCAAAATGCCTTAGACTGGGGAACTTATACACAATAGAAATTTATTTCTCACAGTTCTGGAGGCTGGGAAGTCCAAGATCAAGGCGCTGGCAGTGTCTGGCGAGGGCTCATTCCTCACAGATGGCACCTTTATACTGTTTGCTCCTATTGTGGAATGGGGTCATATAGTTCTCTGGGGTCTCTTTTATAAGGGCACTAATCCCTTTCATGAGGGAACAGACCTCATGACCTAATCACTTCCCCAAGGCCCCACCTTCTACTATCAGCTTGAGGATTAGGTTCCAATGTATGAATTTGGTGAGGGTTGGAGGGGGGCACAAACATTCAGATCATAGCATCTTATAAGTGGAATAATACAGTATTTATCCTTTTGTGACTGGCTTACTTTATTTAGCATAATGCCTTCAAATTCATCCGTGTAGCATGGGGCAGGATTTCCCTCTGCTTTAATCCTGAATTATATTCCATTTTCTGTATATACCACATTTTGTTTATCTATTCATCCACTGATGAAGACTTGGGTTGCTTCTACTTTTTGGCTATTGTGAATATACTGCCATGAACATGGGTGTACACATATCTGGTCAAGTCCCTGCTTTGGTTATATACTCAGAAGTGGAATTGCTGGATTATATGGTAATTCTATTTTTAGTTTTTTGAGGAACCACCATACCAAAAGCCCTATTCATTTTTAATGTAGGGTTTTGTTGTTGTTGTTGTTAAATTTTAAGATGTTGAACTAATTTTAGGCTTTCAGCAAAGTTGCAAAAATAGTACGGAGAGTTTTCATATACCTCTCACCCAGTTTTTCCTATTGTTAACATCTTACATAACCACAGTGCAATGAACGAAACCAGGAAATTAACATAAGAACAATGCAATAAACAGAACTGTAGACTTTATTGGAATTTTACATTTTTCCACTAATATCCTTTTCTGTTCCAGGATCCTATTCAGGATCTCACGTATTTATTTATTTTTTCTTCCAACTTTTATTTTAGGTTTAGGGAGTATATGTGCAGGTATGTTATATGGGTAAATTGTGTGTTGTGGGAATTTGGTGTACAAACGATTTTGTCACCCAGGTAGTGAGCATAGTACCCAATAGGTAGTTTTTCTGTCCTCATTTTCTGCCCACCTTCACGTAAGCCCCAGTGGCTATTGTTTCCCTCTTTGTGTCAGTGTGTACTCAATGTTTAGTTCCCGCTTCAAAGTGAGAACAGGTGGTATTTGGTTTTCTGTTCCTGCATTAATTCACTTAGGATAATGTTCTCTAGCTGCATTCATGTTGCTGCAAAGGACATGATTTCATTATTTTTTATACTTGCATAGTATTCCATGGACTATGTGTACCACATTTTATTATCCAGTCCACCATTGATGGGCATCTGGGTCGATTCCATGTCTTTTCTAATGTGAAAAGTGCTGCAATGAACATATATGTGCATGTATCTTTATGGTAGAATGATTTATATTTCTTTGAGTTTATACCCAGTAATGGGATTGCTGGGTTGAATGGTGGCAGTTCTGTTTTAAGTTCTTTGAGAAATTTCCCAAGCTGCTTTCCACAGAGGCCGAACTAATTTACATTCCCACCAGCAGCGTATAAGTGTTCCGTTTGCTCTGCAACCTTGGCAACATCTGTTATTTTTTTTACTTTTTAATAATAGCCATTCTGACTGGTATAAGATGGTATCTCATCGTGGTTTTGACATGCAATTCTCTAGTGATTAGTGATGTTGAGCATTTTTTCATATGCTTGTTGGCCACGTATTTGTCTTCTTTTGAGAAATGTCTATTTGTGTTATTTGCCCATTTTTTAAATGGAGTTGTTTGTGTTTTGCTTGTTGATTTGTTTTAGTTCTTCATAGATTCTGGATATTAGACTTTGGTTAAATGCATAGTTTGCAAATATTTTCTCCCATTCTGAAGGTTTACTCTGTTGATAGTTTCTTTTGCTGTGCAGAAGCTCTTTAATTAGGTCTCACTTGTCAATTTTTGTTGTTGTTGCAATTGCTTTTGAAATCTTTGCCAAGAGCCATGCCCATAATAGTATTTCCTAGGTTTTCTTCTATGGTGTTTATAGTTCCGGAGTTTGTTTAAATCTTTAATGCATCTTGAGTTGATATTTGTATATGGTAAAAGGAAAGGTTCCACTTTCAATCTTCATATGGCTAGCCAGTCATCCTAGCACTATTTATTGAATAAAGAATAGTTTTCCCATTGCTTGTTATTGTTGACTTTGTTGAAGATCAGATGGTTGTAGGCATGTGGCTTTATTTCTGAGTTCTCTAACCGGCTCCATTGGTCTATGTGTCTGTTTTGGTACCAGTAACATGTGTTTTGGCTATTGCAACCTTGTAGTATAGTTTGAAGTTGAGTAGTGTGATGCCTCTGGCTTTGTTCTTTTTGCTTAGGAATTCTTTGGCTATTCAGGCTCTTTTTGGTTCCATATGAATTTCAGAATAGTTTTTTTTTAATTCTGTGAAAAATGACATTAGTAGTTAGGAATAGCATTGAATTTATAAATCTCTTTGGGCAGTACAGCTATTTTAACAATATTGAGTCTTCCTATCCATGAGCATGGAATGTTTTTCCATTTGTTTGTGTCATCTTTGATTTCTTTCAGCAGTGTTTTGTAATTATAATTGTAGAGATCTTTAACCTCCCTAGTTAGCTGTATTCCTAGGGATTTTATTCTTTTTGTTGCAAATGGGATTGCATCCTTGATTTAGCTCTCATCTTGGACATTATTGATCCTACAAGTGTTATTGATTTTGTACATTGATTTTTGTATCCTGAAACTTTGCTAAAGTTGTTTATCAGATCAAGTCTCTGCTTTGGGGCAGAGACTATGGGGTTTTCTACACATAGAATTATATAATCTATGAAGAGAGTTAGTTTGACCTCCTCTCTTCCTATTTGAATGCTTTTACTTCTTCCTCTTGCCTGATTGCTCTGGCTAGATTTCCAGTAGTATGTTGAATAGGAGTGGTGAGAGTATGCACCCTTATATTGATTGTTCTCATTCTCAAGGGAGGATCGTATGTTTTATCCAGTTGTTATTTCTCTTAATCTCCAATCCATGACAGTGTCTCACTCTTTCCTTTCTGCCATGACCTTGATACTTTTGAAGAGTACTGGTCAGTTATTTTGTAGAAGGTGTCTTAATATGGGTTTGTCTGATATTTTGTAATAGTTACAAAGCTATGTATTTTTGGAGCACATACGACGGAGATGCTGCTGTGTCCTTCTAAGCACATCCTATCAACGCATCCTGAAATCAATATGTGTTGTTACTGGTCATACTAACTTTGATCACTTGGTGAAGGTGGTGTCTGCTAGGTTATTCCACTTTAAAGTTACCATCGTTTTTGTAGTTGGTAAGTATCTTGGAGTGATTCTTTGAGATGAGGCAAATATAGTTTTTCCTTAAACTTTCACTTCCTAATTTTAGCATTCATAAGTGCATCTTACCTGTCACAGTTTTTACTGTGATGTTTGTCTAATGGCAATTTTCTGTTTCCCTCTTTTCTTCTGTATTTATTAGAATTGTTCTGTAAGGAAGAGCTGTCCCTTCTCCTTCATTTATTTGATTACTAATATCACTATAGACACATGTATTATCTTATGGGTTAAAATCTAATACTGTGTTTTTTATTTTGCTCAAATTTTTCCAGCTTTGGCCATTAGGCCCTCTTTCAGGTTGTCTCTTGTTTTTTTTTTTTTTTTTTCTTGACAAGTCACTGTCTTTTTCTTTGAGTACATCCTTATTTTCTGATGTTCCAAGCTCATCTCATACATCACTTCCCTCAATCCTGGAATCAATTACTTCTCTAAGGAGCCCTGGTTTATTTCACTGGAAAATGATGTTTAGAAACCAATATCTGGGTGATAAGTGTGCTCATTGCTACTAAAGTGTCTTTGCTTCTGGCCTCTGAACAGAGCTGGGAAGTATATGTATGCTAACCTATGCATATACATGCATCTATTCTTCTGTATTTATCTGTGTCTTTGTATACATAAAATAGTCTCAGCTTACTAATACCTCTGATACCATTCTAACAACATGAGGTTTATTCTAACTTTTCATTTTTCCTTATTTGTAATTTTTTTCTCCAACAATGATAAACCTGCCTTTCATCTACTATATGCTTATTTGCTCAATTCTAACATACACATAAAACAATTTGAAATTGCTAACCCATGCCTCTCTGAGAAACACATTCACCAGCTAGACTGTAGTATTTCTGTACAGTTTTGTCTTTAGCCTTATAGTTTCTTTTTTTTTTTCCTTTTTTTTTTTTTTTTGATGGAGTCTCGCTCTGTCGCTCAGGCTGGAGTGCAGTGGTGCGATCTCGACTCACTGCAAGCTCTGCCTCCCAGGTTCACACCATTCTCCTTCCTCAGCCTCCCGAGTAGCTGGGACTACAGGCGCCTGCCACCATGCCCGGCTAATTTTTTGTATTTTTAGTAGAGATGGGGTTTCACTGTGTTAGCCAGGATGGTCTCAATCTCCTGACCTCATGATCCGCCCACCTCGGCCTCCCAAAGTGCTGGGATTACAGGCGTGAGCCACTGTGCCTGGCCTAGCCTTATAGTTTCTAATCAAGATACTGTTTTCCAAAGTTATTCAGGGTAATTTTCTTCTTGCCTAGCAGCATGGTTATGTAACACATATTTGTAATATAGCTAGGATCATTTGTTACTCTTTATATTCAGTTTTGGATTCCTTGTACATCTTGGCTGGTTTTAATTGTTTATTTTTTTCAGCAGGAGGAGGCCATTTGAAATAGTACTGTGGTTCTCAGATTAAGTGCTATATCAAAACAAAACAAAAACAAAATCCAGAAATTTCACTTCTTCCTCATTCCTGGCAAACCATCCCCTTGACCTCTTTTTTCCTACTCCTCTCTCATCGCTGGTTACCAGGCTCTTTGGCTTTTGGTTTCAACCCCTCTTGCTTACTATTACTTTTTTTTTTTTTTTTAAACAAATGAGCAGATAACATGAGCAGCTATTTTCTTACAGTCTCGTTTATGGGTTGAATTGTGTCTCCCTCCCCATTCATATTTTGAGCTCCTAGTCCCCAGTACCTTAGATTATGACCTTATTTGGAAATAGGGTCATTGCAGATGTAAGTAGTTAAGACACTAGAGTGGGCCTTAATCTAATATGACTAGTGTCCTCATAAAAAAAGGGGAAATTTGGGGCCGGGGTGTGGTGGCTCATGCCTGTAATCCCAGCACTTTGGGATGCTGAGGCGGGTGGATCACCTGAGGTCAAGAGTTCGAGACCAGCCTGACCAACATGGTGGAACCCCGTCTCTACTAAAAATACAAAAAATTAGCTGGGTGTGGTGGAGGACGCCTGTAATCCCAGCAACTCTGGAGGTTGGGGCAGGAGAATTGCTTGAACCTGGGAGGCAGAGGTTGCAGTGAGCTGAGATCACGCCATTGCATTTCAGCCTGGGTGACAAGAATAAGACTCCATCTCAAAAAAAAAGGTGGGGGGCGGGGAAATTTAGACACAGAGACATGCACACAGGAAGAACACCATGTGAAGATGAAGGCAAAATCCAGAAAGTTCACTTCTTCCTCATTCCTGGCAAACCATCCCCTCGACCTCTTTTCTCCTACCCCTCTCTCATCCCTGGTTACCCTGGTTTTGAGCTTGAAACTGACCCAATAGTCTTATAGACAGTACTTTGAGCTAAACATAGAAATTGACCCTTCTGTTTTTTTAAAGCTGGAAACTTACACTTGTTTTATTTGAGTTCCTTCCTTAGGAAAGGACCCTCAGGTCTCTCAAAAAGTATCGAAAAACTGAAACTCACCGGGTTACTGCATCCTGACTGTCAGACACCAGACTCCTCATTTTTGTCCTTTACCCCTCCCGAGTTCCTGTTTTCCCACACATTGTTGCATTTCTTCCCTGCTATAAACCCCTAATTTTAGCCTGTCAGGGAAATGGATTTGAGACAAATCTCCCATCTCTTTGGCTGCAGCACCTGATAAAGCCTTCTTCTTTGGCAAAAATCATTGTCTCGGTCATTGGCTTTCTGTGCAGTGAGCAGCAGGACCTAGACTGAACCCCTGAAACTTTGGTAACAAGATTAGAGTGACACCTCTGCAAGCCAAGGAATGCCACAGATTGCCAGTATGCCACCAGAAGTCAGGAGAAAGGCATGGAACAGGTTCTCTCTCACAGCCCTCAGAAGGAACCAACACCTTGATCTCTGACTACTGGCCTCCCAAACTGTGAGCCAGCAAAGCTTCATTTATATTTTACAGCCACTCCCCATCCCTCGCATTACTGCTTGAGCTCTGCTTCCTGTCAGATCAGTGGTGGCATTAGATTATTTATTTGTGATTTTGTTTGCAAATACAATTCTCACAGAAGCATTAGATACTCACAGGAGTGCAAACCCTATTGTGAATTTTGCCTGCAAGGGATCTAGGTTGTGTGCTCCTTAGGAGAATCTAATGCCTGATGATCTGTCACTGTCTCCCATGACCCCAGATGGGACTATGTAGTTGCAGGGAAATGATCTCAGGGCTCCCACTGATTCTACATTATGGTGAGTTGTATAATTATTTCATTATATATTGGAATGTAATAATAATAGAAATAAAATACACAATAAATGTAATGCGCTTGAATCATCCTGAAACCATCTTCCTTGCCCCCAGTCTGTGGAAAAGTGGTCTTCCACAAAACTGGTCCCTTGTGTCATAAAGGTTGGGGACTGCTGGTTTAAACCACCCAGTTTGCAATATTTTGTTATAGGAGTGTGTCCGGAATTGGTGGGTTCTTGGTCTCACTGACTTCAAGAATGAAGCCGTGGACCATCACAGTGAGTGTTAACAGTTCTTAAAGGTGGTGTGTCCGGAGTTTGTTCCTTCTGATGTTCAGATGTGTTCGGAGTTTCTTCCTTCTGGTGGGTTCGTGGTCTCGCCGGCTCAGGAGTGAAGCTGCGGACCTTCGCAGTGAGTGTTACAGCTCTTAAGGCGGCATGTCTGGAGTTGTTTGTTCCTCCCAGTGGGTTCGTGGTCTTGCTGGCTTCAGGAGTGAAGCTGCAGACCTTCGTGGTGAGTGTTACAGCTCATAAAGGCAATGTGGACCCAAAGAGTGGGCAGCAGCAAGATTTATTCCAAAGAGAGAAAGAACAAAGCTTCCACACCGTGGAAGGGGACCTGAGTGTTGCCACTGCTGGCTTGGGCAGCCTGCTTTTATTCTCTTATCTGGCCCCACCCACATCCTGCTGATTGGTAGAGCCCAGTGGTCTGTTTTGACAGGGCGCTGATTGGTGCGTTTACAATCCCTGAGCTAGACACAAAGGTTTTCAACCTCCCCACCAGATTAGCTAGATACAGGGTGTGGACACAAAGGTTCTCCAAGTTCCCTCCAGAGTAGCTAGATACAGAGTGTCAATTGGCGCATTCACAAACCCTGAGCTAGACACAGGGTGCTGATTGGTGTGTTTACAAACCTTGAGCTAGATACAGAGTGCCGATTGGTGTATTTACAATCCCTGAGCTAGACACAAAGGTTCTCCACCTCCCCACCAGACTCAGGAGCCCAGCTGGCCTCACCCAGTGGATCCCGCACTGGGGCTGCAGGTGGAGCTGCCTGCCAGTCCTGCGCTGTGCGCCCACACTCCTCAGCCCTTGGGTGGTCGATGGGACTGGGCACGGTGGAGCAGGGGGCGGTGTTCGTCTGGGAGGCTTCAGCCGCACAGGAGCCCACGGAGCCATGGGGACGCTCAGGCATGGCGGGCTGCAGGTCCCGAGCCCTGCCCCACGGGAAGGCAGCTAAGGCCCGGCGAGAAATTGAGCACAGCAGCTACTGGCCCAGGTGCTAAGCCCCTCACTGCCCGGGCCGGTGGGGCCTCCCCGCAGCTCCGAGTCCAGGGTCCGCTGAGCCCACACCCACCCGGAACTCGCGTTGGCCCGCAAGCACCGCGCACAGCCCCAGTTCCCGCCCACGCCTCTCCCTCCACACCTCCCCGCAAGCTGAGGGAGCCGGCTTTGGCCAGCCCAGAAAGGGGCTCCCACAGTGCAGCGGTGGGCTAAAGGGCTCTTCAAGTGCCGCCAAGTGGGAGCCCAGGCAGAGGAGGCGCCAGAGCGAACGAGGGCTGTGAGGACTGCCAGCAGGCTGTCACCTCTCAGTAGTTACAGCAAAAATTATACCTTCTCTCTCTCTCTCTTTTTTTTTGTATGATGGGTAACATGTTATGGGTACATTTTTGCTTTTTGCTTTTTTCTACTTGACAGTATGTCCTGGAAATCATTCTGTATATAGAGATCTTTAAAAAAAATAGCTGCATAGTACTCCACTGTATGGATGTACCGTGGTTTATCCAGCTACTCTTTTGTGTATAAACATTTAGGTTGTTCCCAATATTTTGTAATTACGAAACATGCTGCAATAAATGATCTCATGCATATGTACTTTCAGATTGTTGAAAGTATCTGTCTTTAAGGTAGCTTTCTAGAAGTGGGATTGCTGGGTAGAAAGGTAAATGTCTATGTTGCTTTAATAGGAATTGCCAAATTTCTCTCCAGGTGGGTTGTACGAATTTGTACTCCCACCAGAAATGTACAAGGAGGCCTCTTTCCCCACAGCCTGACCAAAAGGATATGTTGTCATAATTAGAAAGTTTTGTCAGTCTGATAAGTGAGAAATGGTGCCTAAGAATGTTTTAACTTGAATTTTTCTAATTATAGGTGAGTTTGAACATTTTAAAAATTTGTTCGAGGGTCAGTGTTAGAACTGTATGTGCCTGAATTGTCCATGGTTTTTCTTTCCCTTTTTTTTTTCCTATTGGATTCTAGACCTTTGCCCACAAATTCAAAGAGGTCTTCATATATGAGCAATATTAGTCCTTTGTCCATGGTATATTTTGTGAATATTTTCTCCCAGTTTGTCAGTTGACTTTACATAACAAACATACCCTAAACAATTTTTTAAACTTTTAGTATCCAACTCTGTGAAGCTTTTATTTTATTGCCTCTTGATTGGAAGCATAGGTAGAAAGCTTTTCCCCTTACCAAGATTAGCCCTGTTTAACCTCGGTTTAGATTTCCAGATAGGCCATCAACAGTCTGGATTAGGTCATTGACTAGGAAATGGATTGTACCTCTCACTGTTTCATGGGATTCATGCAGTGGTCTGGCCAGCCAGGTGAAGCACACACCCAGTTGTTTATAACCAAATTTTACGACAATCTCCTATTTGCATACCCAGTGCACAACTGCATATGATCCACAATTGCTCACTCAAGAGGCTCCAACACGTTGCATGACACCCCAAGGGAGCACAATTACTTGAATTAAAAGGCACCTTTGGATTTTGATGTTAGAACATGTTCCTAGAGAGTGGATAAATGTGTTCTCTTCCATGCAGATGAGAAACTGAGGCAAAGGGAAGATTAGTTGACTTGAAACGGAGAATACAAGGATTTTTTTTTTAAACTTTTAGTCTTTAAGTCTGGGTTCATAACTCTAAGAATATAGGTTGGGCTTTCCTTAATAAAAAAAAAAAAGGAATTTGATCTTGGCACTTGAAAGCCAGTGTTCTTTAAAGCCCGTTTCAATCCTCTAACCATTTTCTGCTTCCTCCTTCATCAAATTAGGGAACCCAGGCAGAGTTTCAGTGATTATATTGAGTGCATTAGGTCATTTGTGCAGTTCATTCAGCCATCCTTATCAGGACTCACTATCTTGCAGGCAATTTTGTTTTAAACTGATGCATGCGCCTCATTCTCATCCAGTAAAAATCTCTAGGGATGGAGCCCAGATATCAATATTAAACAACTGCCACCAAAACTTCCCAGATGATTCTCATGTTCCCAGATTCTAATATGCCTACAGATCACACAGGGATCCTGCCAACATGCAGATTAAACCTCGATAGGTCTAGGGAAAGACTTGAGATTCTGCTTGTCTAACAGGCTTTCAATGGAGGCAGGTGCTGCTGGTCCATATACTGCACTTTGAGCAGCAAGGCTAGACGTAGACCATACTGCAAAGCAAGTTCATGGATGTGTTTGTTGAATGGCTTCAGTTGTTAGGACTGACAGAGTGGTTGACTTGAGGTGAGAGGACCTGTTCCCTGGAGCCATGCCTTTTTCACTGTGTGTGTGTGTGTGTGTGTGTGTGTGTGTGTGTGTGTGTATGTGTTGAGACAGAGTCTCGCTTTGTTGCCCAGGCTGGAGTGCAATGGCGTGATTTCAGCTCACTGCAGCCTCTGCCTCCTGGGTTCAAGTGATTCTCTTGCCTCAGCCTCCTGAGTAGCTGGGATTACAGGTGTGCACCACCACACCTGGCTAATTTTTTTTGTATCTTTAATAGAGATGGGGTTTCACCATGTTGGCCAGGCTGATCTTGAACTCCTGACCTCATGATCTGCCCGCCTCGGCCTCCCAAAGTGCTTGGATTACAGGCATGAGCCACTGCGCCCAGCCTTTCACTGTGTTTTATTTTATTTTGTATTTCAAAAGCTGAGGAAGGCCTTGCCCATGAGGTCTGGTGCTATGGCACAAATCCTTGAAATCCAGCTCCATAGCAAGGTGTAGCTCAACTGTGTAATACACACTGGTGCTTCAGCATGTGCTTTTCAGGAATGATAGATACCCTGTTCCCTTTTGTCTCTCTCTGCAGAATGTGCCCTGTGATGAGCCATGTAATTGCAGTTGGAAGGTACCTTAAGTTATCCAGCCCACCGAACAGAGCACAAGCTTAGACCCTCTGCAACACCCTCCATCCCCCTCATCAGCAACAAAAACAATGGAGGTTTCAACATGAAACAAACCTGGGGCTGCCCTGTTTGATTTTTCAGGATAACCCAATGGCAGCCCCTTCAAACAGCCTGGGAGCTGTTCTGCTAGTTTTGATCCAAGGGGTGATTAGTGGTTAATGGGCCCTGAAAGACATCTTTCTTTATTACTGTTGCAGATCACTGTTGTCTTGATATTGATCTTTTCCAATTTTCTGTTTTATCCTTTGAAATGCTCAGAACACAGCCTGGCAACGCATCGCCTGCAGCATTCACTTTGTTTAAAACTCATTTCCTTTTGCAATTAATGCAGGGTATATTTCATTGTTGTTATTTCGTTTGCTTTTCTTTTAGGTCAGAGGCCTGAAATAAATGAGAACGTGTCATTTTAAAGGCAGGTGGCAGATAGATGAGAACTTAGTTTGAAAATAGGTTCAAAACTTCTTGATAAGATATCAGTACCAGGCTCAACCAGTATATTTACCAAGAAGTTGTCCTTCTTGATGTGGCAACACAGGAGAAAAAAAAAAGAAATGTCAGATTTGGGAGCTTTAGAAAGTTGATGTAACCAACCAGGTGAATGATAATTTTGTTGATGGGAATGTCTATAATCTAAAGTATATTTAGGAGGTCTGTATTTATGTTCAGACAGGATGAGGTAAGTAATGTCATAGTTTGTTCAATGGATAGTGTTCATACCTTTGATCGCTTTGCTTGCCTTGAGGCACCCACTGTTACTACTTATGCACTTTGAATGTGCTGGGAGCTGACAGAGGGGTGAATGAGAGGTCCCTGGGTTCTGGGGACGCAAGGTGTAGGGCAGGAGCCCCCTGGTTAAGAAAGGAAGCCACGTGTCAGAAGTGGGGGAGGTTCTGAGGTTAGATCACAGGCAGCTGCATAAAATCAAAACATGACAGAGCTCAATGTCTTTGCAACAGGACCTGCGCAGCCCATGATGACTCCGGCACCAGAATACATGGCCTGTCTTCCATTTATTTACACTCCAGCTAGAGAAGTTGTCTTGTGTTTGGGGCCATGCTGTTCCAAAGGTACATGTGTTGGAACTCTAGAATTATTCCCAGAGAGGGAAGGTGCCCACAGGACAAGGGTATGGGAGTGGCAGATGCGTGCGCGTCTCCCCTAATGCTCCCTCTGAGGCCTGTTTGCAGCAATTGAACTGGCAGGAGGAATTTCCTGCAATATTTCATTGTTCTTTTTCTCCTGAGTGAGTATACGTACATTTTGTTTGTTGCCCAGAGGGAGAGGTAAGTTATTTGACTTCTGTTGTGATTCTGCTGCAAAGCCAGGCAGGCTTTGTAGATACACAAAGAAAGGTGTACCCAAAGGGTTAGGAGAGTTTAGGGAAGGGGGAGGAGAGATTCAGCCCCACCAGAAGGGGTTGGGGCAAGTCTTTTTGAGACAGTGAGCATGGGGATTGGGCCTTGGAGGACAAGTATGGCTTGGACAGGTAGTGTGTGGGGAACTTGAGAACCAGGTGGAACAGCTTGAGAAGAGGCACCAAGGATGCTAAAGCTAGGCTCTGGGAAGTGGACACAGAAAGTATGGGTGCATGCAGAAGATGACACCGTGTGACTTTCCAAAGGCCTTTCTGCCATCTTGGGCAGTTTCCACTTTACTCCAGAGGCTGTATTAGAGTGAGGACACAGAATGATGGGATTCTGTTGGAGCGGGAGAGATGAGGTGGGCTGTGACTTGTGAGGCTGCCGTGGTGCACAATAGAATAGAATGGATACCGTGGGTGTTCAAAACAGTGTATTCAATATTATATCATTTGATATTTGAAAACCTCCCCCCAGAATAGATTATTTTAATTATATGAACAACAGGAAGTAAAATGCTTATGCCCTTTTGGGGCTGGGAGAGGGAAAGGGGGAGGAGCATGTCCTCCTGGCTGGGCAAAAAGGCTCTGCTGACGGAAGGGGGCTAAGTTTGAGATCAGAGAGAGGACCAGAGAGAAACACTGTGTGGCTGTACCAGAGACTCCAGTGGGGCTGAAGAAGAATGCAGAGAGATGGCCACTGCCTATGCAGCTGATGAGTTTGCACCCTAGTTCTGTTTGGTGGAGAGTTCTTAACCTGTATTTGTGTCATGGACCCCCTTAGCAGCCTCAGAATAATATTCTTAAGTGCATGAAATAAAGTGCATAAGGTGACATGAGAAACTGATTCTATCCAAACAAAATTACCGAAAAAAATTAAAAGCACAATATGTGGGGCCTGGCGCGGTGGCTCACGCCTGTAATCTCAGCACTTTGGGAGGCTGAGGTGGGCGGATTGCCTGAGGTCAGGAGTTCAAGACCAGCCTGGCCAACATGGTGAAACCCTGTCTCTGCTAAAAATATATAAAAAAATTAGCCGGGCGTGGTGGTACACGCCTGTAATCCCAGCTACTCGGGAGGCCGAGGCAGGAGAAATCACTTGAACCCGGGAAGCAGAGTTTGCAGTGAGCAGAGATCGGGCCACTCTGCATTCCAGCCTAGGCGGCAGAGTGAGACTTCATCTAAAAAAAACCAAACAAACCACAATATATGTCATTTTATTGAAGACATTAAATAAGAGCAACTCATTCATGTAATTTTGGAATAGTGATGAGTACAAATGAAATGTGGATATTTGCAACAACTATCATGTAATATGAAGTAATTTAGATAGCTAATCTTACTAATATTGTGGTTTGCTGCTTATTTTCATAATGCAGGAGATGCCAATTTTCTGTTAGGCATTAGGGAAGATACAGATGTAATATTTTTGTCATCCAAGTTCATGGACCCTCTGAATTCTGTGAACTCAGGTTAAGGTCCCCTGGAATCCCTTAGCCAATCCATGCCTTTTCCTAGACTTTGGAGGTTGGGAACAGGGACAGAAAAACAGAGTGGTCAGTCATCCCTGCTGACGGCATTACTCAGATAAATCAAGAACAGTACTCAGACTCTTCTGGTCCATTATAAATCATGGGAAGAAGGATTCAGCAGAAGTTTGTGTGGGAGTGAGGGGAGGACCTGAGGGAGAAAGCTCTAGGTGACAAAGGAACTAGAGTTTAGGTAACTCATGGCAACCCCGTAGACCCTAATGGCTGTGGGACAAGAAGATGAGTAGGTATGCCCTAATGCACGTAAAGCACGCTGTAAGGCATATGCATTTATTATAAAGCTTCTCATAACATTTGCTGTGGAGAAATAGTATTGGTGAAGCGTTGCATCTCTAGATTTTTGAGATGTCATTGAAATATCGTTCGATGACAATATTCTCATTTAGAACCTCACCCACAGTCTATTTTGGGTGAAAAAACATTGTCCACAGCTTGAATGTAGTTAAAGTTTCTCCCGCTTAATAACCTGGCACTTCATTAAGGATATGAGAATATGTCAAGAAGACACTAGTTTTAAAAGTGTTTAGACTATAAAACTGTAATCTCTGCTGTTATGACAGGCGACCGTGGTTACCAGAGCCCTTTTCTGTTGACACAGGATGGTCCTATGAGGCCTTATTCCAAGTGAGAATGATAATGGTCATTTCCTTGATAACCTGGGCACCAAACACAGTAGAGCCTGGGGCGACTTTAACTGTTTTCTTAGGAGAGAATTTCAAGTGGGCCACATGGTTGGGCCATGAAATCAGACTCATTTTACTTTGTTTTTTCTGACAGCTTGAAGCTCAGCACAAGGTAGTGACGTTTAAACGTGAATTTGCTGGAATTCAAAGGCTATCTGAAAGTATTGCGACTATGACTAAAGATGTCAGGATATAGTGTGAGGAAAATGTGTCACGGTGCTTACAAATAATTGTATTTACCCCCTTTTGGTCTGGAGAGGAGATGGCATGAAAGATCCATGTGCGTTGGTGCTGCATCTTAGCAGACAGCCTCATAAATCAGACTCTTCCTATGGCTGTTGTCTAGCCCTTGAAAACAGAGCCCCAAACGATACTAAATTGTAACTGTCTTGTGCAGAAATTGCAAGTTCTTTGTGAACCGCACCCTTTCTATTGTGTTCTCCCTCCTCTTTGAGAGTCTAAAGAGCAGAATTACTGGCATTCTTGTTAAGAACCAGCTGGGACCTAAATTGTTGAGCTGGATGCTGCTTTCAGTGGTTGTCTGCAGGATTTCGTGATGAAACTTTCAAAGTTCCTGCGCCCTGAGATAGTTGAGTATTTGCTTCCTGACGTGGCTGCAACAAATTTCCACAAACTTGGTGGCTTAACACAATATAATTTTATGTCTCACGGTTTTGGAAAAGACCAGAAGTCTGAAATTAGGGCGTTGGCAGGGTTGGTTCTTTCTGGAGGATCTGAGAGAGAATCCATTCCTGGCCTCCCTCGTGGGATTCTGGTGTTTTTTGGCTTGTGGCAACTTAACTCCAACCTCTGCGTCCACCATCATGTCATTCTTTACGTGGCCTTCTCCCCTGTGTCTGTGTGGGACAATCTCCCTCTCCTTTTACTTATAGGGACACTAGTGTCTGGATTTAGGACTCACCTAAATCTAGGATGATCTTATCTAGAGATCCTTAATTAGAGCTGTAAAGACTGATTTCCAAGTAATGTCATATTCATAGGTACCAGGGGTTACTAGGGGTTAGGTCTTGAACATATTTTGGTGTGGGGGGGATACCATTGAACCCACTTATAAGCATCCCACAAAGAAGAGGCAGTAAGGTATGGGGCAAGGAGCATGGATTTGGAATTAGAGCAACCGATTTGAATCCTAGCTCTGCCACTGTGAGGCTCTGTGAATTATTTACCCTTCCCAGCTACCGTGTTTTCATCTATGACTCTAAGATAGGAGGCTGAACCTATAGGTTTCTGTATGATTAAGGAAGAAGAGGTAAAGCATGCACCTAGTACAGAGCCTGGGACATAAGGGAGCCCAATAAATGGTAGCTAGTCTTACTGTTTTCAAGGCCAGATACAGTGTGGGGCAGCCAGGGTTTGGTCTTCTCTGTCCTCACGTGAAGGTTACTGTGTTTTGACTTGATATGGCTACGATTTGGGTGTGTCCAGTAGGTTATAAAATGGAACCACTTCGTGTCACCTGGATGAGGAGACTCCTCCCCTCTCTGTTATTGCTGTCCCTTCTGGTGCCTTAGGGGTGGAGTTGACCTCGATCCTGCTCTGTCCTCGGCCACAGCAGTGCCTGAGGCTTGTGCTGATCTAGACCTAAGTCTGGAGATGGTCAGACGCATGTGCGCGCGTGCACGCACACACACACACACACACACACACGCACGCAGAGAACATGTACTCTAAGTTACGGGCAGGAAGATACAGGTCAGTGTCAGTATGCTAAAACTCAAATCATCAGTTTTGGCCAACTTTCTATAGTACCCTCATGGTAAAATACTAAAGTTCCAGTCAACAGTTTAACCTATTTAATTATAGCTCAGGGTGGATGGAAGGGATGAGTGATTTTGTAGTTAACATCCTGAGAGGATCAATGAGATTTTGCCAGCATTACCAGCAGTGGCACCTGGACAAATGATTTAACTTCTCTATACCTCAGTTTCCCCATCCCTGATAGAGGGACAACCTTCCCCATCTGATATGTGGCTTACATGGTTAATGAAGGTAAAAAGCACTGGGTTAAGGCCTGGCACATAGCAAGGGCTCTCCATGTGCCAGTGAATGTTGTTAATGTTGCTGTTACCATGATTATTCTTCCGGGTGTCAGGACCATGGAGATCTTTGCATCTTTGGAGGGAGGATTTCTTTACTTTGGTTTTAAAAAGTGAAACCGAAAGGACATCTAGGTTTTGTGTTTTTTCAAATGCCTTTCCCATGAGCCACTTATTTTGTGGGCTGAGCATCTTCAGAATTGATGATGGGGCTTTCTAGATTAGATTCCAGGGAGAGGGGATAGACTGGGGTAAATAGGATAATTGTGAAATTTGGGGCTGAGGTGAGTAGGCAAGTAGAAATTATAATCAGTAGAGCTATTCCTTTTGCTTTAGAATGTAAGACAGCAGCATTTAACTTTTAAAACTGGGCTTTAGTTTAAGCTTTAAAACACACAAACTTTATTATTCTTTTCAACAGAAATAAGAGCACAGAAAACAACAAAACAGTCACCTACATACCAACATCAAAAGTAATCATGATCAACTTTGGGAGGCAGAGGCGGGTGGATCACCTGAGGTTAGGAGTTCGAGACCAGCCTGGCTAACATGACGAAACCCTGTCTCTACTAAAAATAAAAAAAATTAGCCGGGTGTGGTGGTGGGTGCCTGTAATCATAGCTACTTAGGGGGCTGAGGCAGGAGAATCACTTGAGCCCAGGAGGTGGAGGGTGCAGTGAGCCAAGATCACCAAGGTCACGCCACTGCACTCCAGCCTGGGCAACAAGAGTGAAACTCTATCTCAAAAAAGAAGAAAAAGGCCAGGCGTGGTGGCTCACACCCGTAATCCCAGCACTTTGGGAGGCCGAGGAAGGCGGATCATGAAATCAGGAGGTCGAGACCATCCAGGCTAAGACAGTGAAACCCCATCTCTACTAAAAATACAAAAAATTAGCCGGGTGTGGTGGCACGAGCCTGTAATCCCAGCTACTTGGGAGGCTGAGGCAGGAGAATCGCTTGAACCAGGGAGGCAGAGGTTGCAGTGAGCTGAGATTGTACCATTGCACTCCAGCCTGGGCGACAGAGCAAGATTCTGTCTCAAAAAAAAAAAAAAGAAAAAAAGTAATCATGATCAAATTAGTTTCTGATCCCATTAAAGGAAATAAACAACATACTACAGATATAGCTGAAGTTCAATCCTTTATCTACCCTTTCACAGTCAACATGCTATGTCAATACCAGGTAGTTCTTTAACTATTAATATTATCACTATTATTCACCTCCAGGCTACAGTTCTACCTCTTGGACTTGATATACATCATTCTTGTGTATGTTTCTAACTGTAAGTGTCTATGTATCCATAAGCAATAAGTATTCATGTGCTTTTCAACTTTACATGGATGATGTTGCTATATATAAGTCTAGTTCATTCATTTTACTTGCTAAATGGAATTCTATGATATGGCTAAAATATAGTGCATATTTACCCATATACCTCCTAAGCCCCGTAATCCAAAATCCAATTGGTATGACTTTTGAATGTTTTCTTATTTATTGCTAAGATGCTAAATACCCCCACATGCTTTGTTAAATTCTTCCAGTGTTTGAGGTACAGCTTGGTTTTGTTTTCCTTTGCTTAGAGCTGTGATGAGCAGCTTTGTACACTGCACGTGGTGGTGCATGTGTGTGAAAGTGTCTATAGAAGCGGGATACTTGGAGCGTGGGATGCACAAGGGAGAACATCTTCAACTTCATTAGGTGTTGACAAGTTGTCCTTTAAAGTAGTTTTGTCATGTTTCTGCCTTTAGACCAACAGTGTGGTGGCATTCAAAAACAACCTTACAACCTGGGCAATATAGTGAGACCCTGTCTCTAAAAAAATAAAAATTAAAAAAAAAAAAAATTAGCCAGGTTTAAGTAGTGCATGCCTGTAATGCCTGTAGTTCCAGCTGCTTGGGAGGCTGAGGCAGGAGAATCGCCTGAGCCTGGGAGGTAAAGGCTGCAGTGAACCATGATCGCACCACTGCACTCCAGCTTGGGTGACAGAGCGAGACCCTATGTCAAAAACCAAAAACAACCTTAAATATTTTTGTGAAATGAGTTGGTGAGACAAGCATTTAGCAAAATTTGAACAGAAACATTACAAATCTCACATTTTTGAATTTCAAATAACATCTGAACTTACTGCCAAATGTAATATATGCCCCTAGTTTTATACCATAGCTTTAATTTTGCTAGGCTTATAATAGAAACCTCCAAATTAGTATGAGTTTTTGAATGTGTTTTTCATTTCTTGCTAAAATGCTAAATACCCCACATACTTTATTAAATTCTTCCAGTGTTTGACTTCAAAGAGAGAAGTGCTTCGTATTAATAAAACAAATCCAGACTATTGCAAAGAGTTTAATCTTTTACAGCAAAGCTAGAGGAAGGGGAACAGTATATAGAGCCCAGCTAGGTGGAAGACATTTCAAAGATGGCCAGATATTGTTTCTCCTCTTCAGGAATTTATAATCTATTTGTGGGTAATAGACTATTTGACATAAAATGATTAAGCAACGGCTTCATAGCAATGTATTAACAAGTACATGGGGGGCATGTTTTCTATATTTTATGATGGAGGAAATAAGAAATAAGAAAGGTAGAGCAGAGTAGAGTTAGCTTGAAAGGATCTTGTGGGAAATTAATAGCCATAGAAGGAAACTCACATAGTGTAATAGGAAATGCCATTTATTATCTCCACCTGCATTGATTAATAGGTTCTGGTGATGTTGAATGATTCTAAACCTGTACATTCTTGAAGGAAGGAAATAGAGCATTGCTGGTGTTGACTACATTTCAGGGTGACTCTTACCTTCTTTCACTTAGTGGAACCAATGGGCTTTTTTTTTTTTTGAGACAGAGTCTAGCTCTGTCGCCCAGGCTGGAGTGCAGTGGTGTGGTCTCGGCTCACTGCAACCTCCGACTCCCAGGTTCAAGCGATTCTCCTGCCTCAG
Organism: Homo sapiens; assembly: GCF_000001405.40. Taxonomy (NCBI): domain Eukaryota; kingdom Metazoa; phylum Chordata; class Mammalia; order Primates; family Hominidae; genus Homo; species Homo sapiens. The sequence continues at coordinate 121,370,813 of NC_000010.11, read as the reverse complement.
CCTCCCGAGTAGCTGGGATTACAGGTGTGTGCCACCACGTCCAGCTAATTTTTCTGTATTTTTAGTAGAGATGGGGTTTCACCATGTTAGCCAGGGTGGTCTTGATCTCCTGACCTCGTGATCTGCCTGCTTTGGCCTCCCAAAGTCCTGGGACTACAGGTGTGAGCCACTGTGCCTGGCCTATAGCCAGAACTTTTAACTCCCCTTTCCACCCTGGGGACCAAACTTCCTGCTAGTGAGTTACTGCTGGGGCATCTGAGCCCATCATCAAGCCCGTGTGCAAACCTGAAAGCGTATCCTGCGCTCATGTTTTCAACAGTCTTAGGCAGCCCATGGGGAGCTCAAATGTCACTTAGAATTGGGAAGCAAAGCCACCTTTGCCAGCGGAAGATGGCCAGTGGGCCAAGAAATAAAGTGAAGCCAAGTGGTCTATGGCTGTAGGAAGTTTGTGCTTTGGTGGTGCCTATACTCGGGGCATTTTGGAGGTGGAACTGTGGCCCTAAGATGTTTATAGGCTTTCTTCCAGAAGGAGAACAAGTGTTCTTGCCGGCAAGTTAATGTTTCAGGGTGATAAGTGATGAGTTTCACATCATATTTTGCTTTCCAGTATTTTTGCCACACCATGCCATTTCTGCAATTGAATCTCTTCATTGTTTTTCTAGTACTCGTAAAGCGTCAGCACTATTTGACATTTTCAGCCAGAGAATTCTTTGCCGGGGCGGGGGGCTATTCTGCACATTTTAGAATGTTTAGCAGTATCCCTGGTCTCTACCCAACTAGATGCCAGTGGCACCAACACCCCCCGATTATTATAACAGAAAATGTCTCCAGACATTGCCAAATGACTCCTGGGGGGCAAAATTGCTCCCTAGTGAGAACCACTGACTTAAGAGTAATTTCTGTAGTCCTTTCCACGGCCAGCAAAGCCTCTAGCTTCCTCTTTGACTTTTCTTCCAGCTGTCTCTCCTGGTTCATTACATCCCTCTGTTCTTTGAGCCAAGCTCATTCCCTTCTTAGTGTTTCTGCTCAAGGCAAACAGCTCAGCCTGGAAGGCACTTTGCTCAGATCTTTGCACGGCTGATGGTCTCCTCCTTATCCTTTAGGCTCATGCCAAAGACCTTCTCTGCTCTTGCTATTTAAAGCCACCTACCTTACTACTATAGTCTGTCTTTCTTTCTCTTTTCTTTTTTCTTTCTTTCTTTCTTTCTTTCTTTCTCTTTCTTTCTTTCTTTCTTTCTTTCTTTCTTTCTTTCTTTCTTTCTTTCTTTCTGGGTCCTCTTATTTATTTCCTTTATCATGCTTATTCTTACTGGAATTATCTAGTGTATTCCTTTGTTTTCTTGTTTATTTTCTGTCTCCTACTACAGTAAATTTAAGTAATTTCCCATATGGGAGTAAGCTTCTAAGAATAGAAACCATGTCTATTTTGCCTTTTACTATATCTGAAGTCTTACACCTTATTGGCACTCAATACATTTCAGTTGAATGGAATTATGAAAAAAAATGTTGGTTAAAGTAGACCACGTAACTACATCTTATACCAGGTTGAGACTTCACTGAAGGATGGTGCTGAAAATAGACCACTAATTGAATGGGGCAGACTCACCTGGATGATTTTTAGGTAGTGACTTGAAGATTTTACAAAGCCCTAAATTCCAGCATACCTTGTGTGTGTGTGTATGTGTGTTTGTGTGTAGTGCCATAGCTCATCAGTTTTTGTGACCATGCCAGCAGATCTCTAACATATTGTAGTCCTTCTGGGAGTCAGAGGTCACTCATGAAGCCCAACTCATAAACTCCACTGGTGAAAGATTTGCGTGGGGGGCAGGTTCCAATTCCTTCCCAAGCTCACCGTTCTCATTGATTCTTTTCTGCAGGTAATTCCCTAAATGAGCTTATAGCTTATAATGCAAAGAGCAACAGAGTTGTTGTTGTCTGCTGAGCTCTTAGCAGTTCCAACACAGTCAGCATTTAGAGGCTGTGGTGCAGGCTCTCATTGTCAGACAGAGAATGCTCATCAGTTTCAGGTTGAGGTGCAGAAGTGGGAAGGAGAGTCACATTAATAAAAGCAGCAAAAATGAAACTGCAGCATGGGGCGGTGAAAGAGTTGGATTTTATTTTGTTTTCACACATTAGGTTCTGCTTATAGCAGACAAGTACCAGTGAAAATGCTCTGAAAAGAGGCTTTGTGTAGGAGCTGGACGTTGCTCCATCAGATTTGTCATTTCAGGAATGTCGCCAGATGTATTGACTTACTAGCAATTGCTTTGGTGCCATCTGGCCTCAGGGAGGCTGTGTTCGCGATGGAAAAAGCTGAACAGAAGAAATGAAATTTGTTCATCATGCCATTACTCTTGCTGGTTGTTTAAAGAAGGGAAAAAATGTAACTTCTTGCTGGGGGGTTGGGATGCCATTTGAAAATATAAGGTTTTCAGGAGTAAGAGTTCCAGAACTCCGAAGTCAGTCGTGATGTTTACATAGAGACTTGAAGGCCAGCCCCCTGCTGTCATATTGTGTATATATATTTTGTTCAATGTAAAACTCTTTGAGACCCTACTGTTCTGCATGGAAAAAAGTTAACCCCTTGCGTCCTGGCCACTTGAATGACCTTCCTTTTAATGTCTCTTGGAATGTCACCAAACCCTAAGCTTATATTCCATGATAGGGATTTTTGCTTAACTCCAGCTTATAATAGTCCAGTTGTCACCTGGTACAAACTGTTTTCCTGCACAGAGGGGCATCTCCAGGAAAATCAGATTCAAATTGCTTTCTCTCCATGTCCTTAGGCCCTCCCCACTTCATGGTTATTTTTTCGTCTTTAAGCATTGCTTCAATCAGTTTACCCAATGTAGGGGGTGATGAGGCTGTATAAGTATCTCAAACATTTGAATTCATATGTTTTTCAGGCATAAGGGGAAAAAGCACTATCATATATTCAGAACCATCTACATAATTTGCAGAGCCTAGTATAAAATAAAAATGAAGGGCCTCTTGTTCAAAAAATATTAAGCATTTCAAGAAGGCGACAGCAGAAAATGAAGCCAAGCATGGTACCTTCTGAGCACAGAACTCTGTGTGACTGCATAGACCACACATTCATGAAGCCTGCCCTATGTATTTGTTCATTTTCCACCCTTACTCCTCTAGGAAGAAGCTTCCAGGACCCATCCCCGCTCCTATCCTTCTCAACCACCCTGCTGGTTGTGGCTCATTTAGCCTTCAGGACTCGGCCAAATTGCCCTTTTTCTCTGGATCCGTCACCCCCAGCCCTATGCTTCCCTCTTTCATTATACCTTTAATTGTCATTTTAAAAAATTACATTAATATAAAACTTTGCTACTATGTGCTGGGTACTGGGGGTTCAGAGGTGTTATTTTCTTCATTCATTTCCTCACTTATGCATTTTTCTCTTTCATTTCACTCCTGTCTTCCCAGTATCCCTCCTATACTGACTCAGCTAATGCTACCTGTCCAGGAGGGAGAACGTCTGAAAGCAGGGCCTGAGCCGAAATTACAAATAAATAGCTGAGAAAATAAAAGCAACTGTCAACATTCTGGAGTGATTTGTGTACGTACTGTTAGCTAACTAAGAACATAATCCGTTGAAGGGAATTGCAATGTATTCTAAATTTTGGATTTTCTAGTTCAATTGTTTTTTCTTCTTTCCTTCTTTCTTTCTTTTTTTTTTTTTGAGATGGAGTCTTGTTCTGTCGTCCAGGCTGGAGTGCAGTGGCTCAATCTTGGCTCACTGCAACCTCTGCTTCCCGGGTTCAAGCAATTCTCCTGCCTCAGCCTCCGGAGTAGATGGGATTACAGGTGCCCACCACCATGCTCAGCTAATATTTTTTGTATTTTTAGTAGAGATGGGATTTCACCATGTTGGCCAAGCTGGTTTCGAACACCTGACCTCATGTGATCTGCCCGCTTCAGCCCTCCAAAGTGCTGAGATTACAGATGTGAGCCACTGCGCCTGGCCTCAATTCTTAATAGTAATTATTATCATTTTATAAATGAGGGAACCAAATCTCAGAGAGGGAATTTGCTCTAGGTCATAGAACTACAAAATTCAGAGATAAGATTTGAATCCAGGTCAGATTGACTCTTAAACTCCTGCTCTGTTATCTGACCTAAATCCTACAATCTGAACATGTAAAAATGGATGGAGGGTGGAGGGTGTTCCAGGGGCAATTGTGTCCGGAACTGGTGGGTTCTTGGTCTCACTGACTTCAAGAATGAAGCCGTGGACCCTCACAGTGAGTGTTACAGTTCTTAAAGGCGGTGTGTCCGGAGTTTGTTCATTCTGATGTTCGGATGTGTTCGGAGTTTCTTCCTTCTGGTGGGTTCGTGGTCTCGCTGGCTTCAGGAGTGAAGGTGCAGACCTTTGCAGTGAGTGTTACAGCTCATAAAGGCACTGTGGACCCAAAGAGTGAGCAGCAGCAAGATTTGTTGCAAAGAGAGAAAGAACAAAGCTTCCACAGTGTGGAAGGGGACCCGACGGTTGCCACTGCTGGCTCGCGCAGCCTGCTTGTATTCTCTTATCTGGCCCCACCCACATCCTGCTGATTGGTAGAACCCAGTGGTCTGTTTTGACAGGGAGCTGATTGGTGCGTTTACAATCCCTGAGCTAGACACAATGGTTCTCCAGGTCCCCACCAAATTAGCTAGATACAGAGTGTTGATTGGTGCATTCACAAACCCTGAGCTAGACACAGGGTGCTGACTGGTGTGTTTACAAACCTTGAGCCAGATACAGAGTGCAGATTGGTGTATTTACAATCCCTGAGCTAGACATAAAAGTTCTCCACGTCCCCACCAGACTCAGAAGCCCAGCTGGCTTTACCCAGTGGATCCCGCACTGGGGCTGCAGGTGGAGCTGCCAGTCCCGCGCCATGCTCCCCAGTCCTCAGCCCTTGGGTCGTCGTTGGGACTGGGCGCCCTGGAGCAGAGGCGGCGCTCGTCGGGGAGGCTTGGGCCGCACAGGAGCCAAAGGAGCAGGGGGTGGGGAGGCTCAGGCACGGCGGGCTGCAGGTCCTGAGCCCTGCCTTGCGGGAAAGCAGCTAAGGCCCGGCGGGAAGTTGAGCACAGCAGCTGCTGGCCCAGGTGCTAAGCCCATCACTGCCGGGGCCGGCAGGCCCGCCGGCCGCTCCGAGCGTGGGGTCCCAGAGCCCACGCCCACCTGGAACTCGGGCTGGCCCACAAGCACCGCGCGCAGTCCCAGTTCCCACCCGCACCTCTCCCTCCACACCTCCCCGCAAGCTGAGGGAGCTGGCTGCGGCCTTGGCCAGCCCAGAAAGGGGCTCCCACAGTGCAGCGGTGGGCTGAAGGGCTCCTCAAGTGCCGCCAAAGTGGGAGCCCAGGCAGAGGAGGCGCCTAGAGCGAGCGAGGGCTGTGAGGACTGCCAGCACGCTGTCACCTCTCACAAGGACAGAGTGAGAAAAGCAGCTGGGGAGTCGGGTATAGGAAATGTTTCTTGCTTTGTACTTTATCTCACATTAAGTTATATTTATTATCTCTTGTTCTTTTTATCTCAATCCTTTGAGGTATGTAAGGAAGGCATAGTTTATTGTCTTATTCCTGCAGCATTAGTCCACATCCCAATTTATTTGGAAGAGTTCCAGTGTCAAATATTCTCCACTGCCTCCCCAGGCTCATCCATGCTTGCCAGACAGTGTGTCCCTGCTTTTGGTTCAGGAAATCGGTCATCCTAGGTACATAGGCAGGACATTTGGTGTCCGGGGCTCAGTCTCCTGTCCCTGTAAAATAAACCCTATGATCTCTCCTTTCAGCTCTCACATTCTAACCTTCTAGGGAATACAGGGATGGGCTATAGAAGTTAGAAATAAGAGAAGACAAGGAACTTTATCAAGTGTGTTGGTATTTTTATTTCTACAGGAGAAGAGAGTGAATGACTTGTGGTAGATAAGTGAGTGGTTTTCCTTCCTCCATAGTTTATTTGTAAAACTGTCCCTTGCATTTGATTTGAACCACAGATGTCTTCCAAACCTAGCTGGGCTGACTTCACCATGAAAGACAGGGACCAAGAGCCATCACTCTGGCAGAGGGGCTAGACTTCTTTATTTACTGCAGTGCCAACGGACAAAACCAGAACAAGCGGGTGGAAGCTACAGGGAGACGGTGTTCAACTTAATAAGGGATGAGAGGCCTCCCCACAGCAGCCTCTGATGGCGGAAGTCACCTTGTGTGAATGTATGTGGTGCTTCAAGCACCAGGTAAAGATCTGTTGTTAAGGATGTTAGAAGCTGTTTTTTTTTGTTTTGTTTTTTATTTTTGTTTTTTTTTTTTTTTGGAGAGGGAGCTTCAAGAAAGCTGTAGGGACAGGAAGATACCCCCTCACCCGTACTAGGAGTTCTAGAACTCTTCGTATGTTTAAAGGCTGACAAGTATTACAAACTTCTGTAACAAAGAGCCCTCAATAAGCCCCTGTATTAGTCTGTTTTCACACTGCTGATAAAGACATATCTGAGATTGGGTAATTTATAAAGAAAAAGAGGTTTAATGGACTCACAGTTCTACGTGGCTGGGGAGGCCTCACAATCATGGCGGAAGGCAAAAGACACACGTAGTAGCGGGCAAGAGAGAGTTGAGAATCAGTGAAAGGGATTTTCCCTTATAAAGTCATCGGATCTTGTGAGACTTATTCACTACCAGGAGAACAGTATGAGCGAAACTGCCCCCGTGATTCAACTATCTCCCACTGGGTTTCTCTCACAACACATGGTAATTATGGGAGCTACAATTCAAGATGAGATTTGGGTAAGGATTACAGCCCAACCATATCAGGCCCCCCACAACATGAACACCAACAAAAACAAATGCTGAAAAAGTCAGACGCTTGAAAATTTCGGATAAACTATAAAAACCTCCTTTCTGTTTAATTGTTCTAGATTTATGGTCCTGTCTCTCCCAATATCAGCCCCATTCCATCTTATGCTGTCTGGTCCATGGTGGGAACCATTTGGGAAGTGAAGAGAGAGGTTGTACTTCTTCCAAATCTTTTCCCACCCTACATCCTATTAGCTCCCGATATGTTTTTTGTCTCCTGATACTCTGTACCCATTTTAGGTTTCCTTTGGGAAGAAATTCATGCTCCTGGCTGGGATGTAGAGCCAGGTTTCCTTGGCTCTGCAGCCCAGTTCACAAAATGACAAGACATTGCACCCTTGATCATAGCAAAAAGCATGGTAGCTGAGACACTTGGGTCTCACATCTCAGGTTCAAAAAAACAGAAATCCTTTGTGTGTGTTTGTGTTCTGGATAATCACATTCAGATGCCTCTGCTGGCATATGCTGATGGTTAAAGTAAAAGTCCTTGTTTGGTGACAGAGGCCAGACCTCACTGGCTGATGTGTGAAGTCACGTGGACACGCCCAGTGCATTGTGAAGTGATCGCTGTGAAGGTCTTGGGGTAAGGGGGCGCTCAGTGATCTAGCCTTCTAGGGGTCAACCAGGAAGCCTTCAAAATTGTAATTCTTGTTGGAAAACTGTTCTACGATTGTCGAATCTTTCCTGATGGTACAGTGCTGCGTAATGAACATGATGAAACTTAAAAAATTGTGTTCCTCCTAGAACTTCTTGGGCATCAGTTTCTGTTGTCTTTAATGGTAAACAGTGCTCAGGATGTGAACTGAACAGACCTCGGCATGACTTTTTTGAATGAAACCTTGTCACCACTCCAGCATGGAGCTAAGTGGGCAATCTCTGGATAAATGGTTCTGAATCCTGGCTCCTCTACTAACACACTACATTTCTTTGGCAAATTACGTGTAAGCTCTTTCAGCTTCAGTTTCCTCATCTGTAAAATGGTACTAATAATTCTACCATCCTCACAGAGTGATGTGAGGACTTAATTGGGCACCTGGTACAGTGTTAGGTGAAGGTTCAGTGCTCAAAAGCCTTCATGATTTCATTATCGGCCTGTTGCTGTTGGTCACCCTCAATCGCCCCTGCCTTTTTAACATTTTTTTGAGATGGAATCTCACTCTATCACCAGGCTGGAGGGCAGTGGTGCAATCTCAGCTCACTGCAACCTCTGCCTCCCAGGTTCAAGCGATTCTCCTGACTCAGCCTCCTGAGTAGCTGGGATTACAGGTGCGTGTCACTGTACCTGGCTAATTTTTGTATTTTTAGTAGAGTTGAGGTTCCACCATGTTGGCCAGGATGGTCTCGAACTCCTGACCTCAAGTGATCCACCTGCCTCGGCCTCCCAAAGTGCTGGGATTACAGTCATGAGCCACCGCACCTGGCCAATCCCCTTTTAAATGAAGGCAGTGTACAGGTAAGAAATTATGTAAATCAAGAACTTGGGTTGTTGGGTTCTACGGAATCAACGTGGTGGTGAGGACCTTATTAAAGCCCTCTTGATGCCATTAGAAGAGAAGGGAGGAGAGAATTCAAGGCTGTGCCTGAAGAAGGCCTCTGGAGGTGGCACTGACAACCTCAGATAAATCTCCATTCTGCCAAACTGGGCTCCCAGGAGCGCCTCACACTTGAGCACATCACATGGCTTTTATCTAAACTCTTGGGTATGCAAATGGAGCTTTGATTTCACAAGAAGGCTTTCTGGAGCTTCCTGCTCCTGGTCTGGGCAGCAGCGTGAGAACAGGCCTCCCTGTGTATTTTGGCAGGGGTTGGCCGGAACAGGGAAACAGGGTGACATACAGAACTGAAGAATAATATCGAAAGAGTGAAGTGATACTTTCGGAATCTCAAATTTTTTTGTTTGGGTTCATTTCAAATTTTGGGCAAAGAAATGGTTATGCTTCTGCATGAAGGGAGAATTGTGGGGCATTATAGTTACACAACCCTCTCCTTCATGTGTTAGGTAAACTCTTCCATGCAATGGCTATTTCAAATTCGTTCTTTTTCTCAGTCTTTATCTGCACCCCCAAAATAAAATCCTGAGTACCAATTAGAGTTTCCTGTATATCCTAACCCTCTTAGGATTTCCAGTGAGGGTTTTCAAGGAGACCCATGTTTACTGAATGCAGATATAATTTTGGTCTTAGGAAGTGACTGACTCATATGATATACTTTCCCTTCATAGAGAGCCCAGCTGGGCTAGCATGAACTAGGGACAGGTGCTGACCTTTAGGATCAATACATTTGTGGTCTGGTGAGTTATTAATATTTTTAAATGAAATCAGCTGGATGAAACAAACTTTATTCCCTTTAGAGTGAAGCAAAGAGTGACTTTGTTCTTTGATTTCTCCCTGGAATGTTCTAACATTATTCCTGATAGGATGGCTATCCTCTGATACCTTTTGATTTTTTTTATTTTTGAGATGGAGTCTCGCACTGTCGCTCAGGCTGGAGTGCAGTGGTATGATCTCGGCTCACTGCAACCTCTGCCTCCCGGGTTCAAGTGACTCTCTTGCCTCAGCCTCCTGAGTAGCTGGAATTAACAGGCATCCACCACCATGGCTGGCTACTTTTTGTATTTTTAGAGACAGGGTTTCACCATGTTGGCCAGGCTGGTCTTGAGCTCCTAACCTCAAGTGATCCACCTGCCTCTGCCTTCCAAAGTGCTGGGATTACAGGCATGAGCCACCACACCCGGCCTGATACCCTTTTAAAAACAAAATTCCATCTACCAATTCTCCTAATCAAGTTTATCGGAAGGAAACTTTTTTTGGAAATCTAAAGATAATCATGTTTGGCCGGGCGCGGTGGCTCACGCCTGTAATCCCAGCACTTTGGGAGGCCGAGGCGGGCGGATCACGAGGTCAGGAGATCGAGACCATCCTGGCTAACACGGTGAAACCCCGTCTCTACTAAAAATAAAAAAAATTAGCCGGGCGTGGTAGCGGGCGCCTGTAGTCCCAGCTACTCGGGAGGCTGAGGCAGGAGAATGGCGTGAACCTGGGAGGCGGAGCTTGCAGTGAGCCGAGATCGCGCCACTGCAGTCCAGCCTGGGCGACAGAGCGAGACTCCGTCTCCAAAAAAAAAAAAAAAAAAAAAAAAGATAATCATGTTTTATCCTGGGGCCTTAGCTAAGTTTGTCAGATATAACAGTTGTGAAATGTTTTCTGGAGTCTGAAGACATGCTTTCACAGATATATTCAGCTTTAAAAAAGTATTTAATGAAACAATGAGAAAGTGGAGTCTAAATTAGGTTTCTTCTCCCTGTATATACCACTTTCAAAAGCTTTTTGGATAAAGTTTAAATGAATTCTTTTAAATATTGACTTATCCTTTTCAATGAATGTTCTATGTTCTGGATTTCCAAGGATTAGAATACTGGGGGCTTCTTTTGATGATAAGAGAAGAATGCGCCTTTTGATATTTACTGCACACGAGTGTGTTGAGCACCTACTGTGTACTAGGAAGAGTGCTTATTCTGTTTCCTCTATTGAGAATGTTTTCTTCCAACTTCTGCATTAAATGAATTTCTTTTTATCTTTTTTTTTTTTTTTTTTTTTTTTTTTTGAGACAGAGTCTCTGTCTGTTGCCCAGGCTGGAATGCAGTGGTGAGATCTCACTGCAACCTCTGCCTCCGGGTTCAAGTGATTCTCCTGCCTCAGCCTCCTGAGTAGCTGGGATTATAGGCATGCACAACCACGCTCAGCTAATTTTTGTATTTTCAGTAGAGATGGGGTTTTACCATGTTGGCCAGACTGGGCTCGACTTCCTGACCTCAAGTAATCCACCTGCCTCAGGCCTCTCAAAGTGCTGAGATTACAGGCGTGAGCCACCACACCTGGCCCGTTCTTCCTATCTCTTTAGAAGGGCACTTTCTCTGAGAAAGTGCCACACATCCCTTTCTTGCTTGTGTGTGTCTTTGAGACCCATTTGCACCTCAGGTTCTAGTGCCTGCAGGCTTCTTGTTAGTTTGGTGTTTCTGTTGTTCCCTAGGGCTGGGGACTTTTTAGAGCAGGAAGTTTATCTTTTCTCTGCTGCTGCTGCCGCCTATTTCTCTTCCTTGTTTTTTTCTTCTTGGTTCTCATGTTGTACTTCTTGGGTACTCAGAATATGTTTATTGAATGAATGTTGAATGATCTTCCAAACAGGCATTGAATAAATGGATTGTCACCTCTTAGGATGGAAGGATGCTCTTAACAGGTAAGAGGACGAAGGCTCACACTGGCCCAGGTGCTTTGGCTGCCTCTGGGGAGTGCCTGGGTCCACAGCCCTCCTGGGTCTGGCGAGGCGGCAGACCAGCAGCTCTGAGACTCGACACACACACTGCCTCTTGCAATGGAGGGTGGTCTGCCTACTGTTACTCTTGGTTTCATTCAGTGTGGCTGTGTGCTGAAAGAATTAGTAGTTGAGTTTATTTTCGTATTGGGTGGTCTGCAACATGGATCACCACAATCCATAAAGCCCCACCAATGAAATCAATGAACGCCCTGGCAGTGGTGTGAATTATGAACCTAGAAGCGATTCCTGCCTTGGCTTTGCATGTTCCCTTTCCAATGAAGGAGGCTCATGTTAATTTCAGTCCCATTTCTGTCTGAATTATCCTGGTTCTTAGTAAGCAGGATCTGAAGTAATGACATTTTACCATATGCAAAACAGATAAAATTGACAGTCAAGGGAGGAGGAAGAAAAAAAATGACCTTAAAAGGGAAAAAAACAGTTCCTCTTTTTTTTTTTTTGTATTTTAATTTTTAATTTATCAGGGCCTGTTGAGGGTGTGGGGAGAGGGAGGGCATCAGGATAAATAGCTAATGCGTCTAGGGCTTAATACATAAGTGATGGGTTGATAGGAGCAGCAAACCACCGTGGCACATGTTTATGTAACAAACCTGTGTGTTCTGCACATGTATCCTGGAACTTAAAATTAAAAAAAATTTTTTTAATTTAAAATTTTATTTGTATTTTTCTGTTTACATGACATTTACAAAAGGATGAGAAAAAAGGAATATATGGCTTCCTGAAGGTGCTGTGCTGTCTGCTTCTGAGATCAAAGTCCACTCCTCCCAACATCCCAGACCCATTTTTCGAAGCCTGCCAGGACATTCCTGAGACACCTACATGACCACTTGCCTGATCATGAAACTGTCCTGTCACTGTGGGTGACGGGCTGTTCCTAGATTCTACTCAGATGCCCACTGTGGTCAGTTGTGACCTCCATGGCGAGATTTTAGAAATGGGGGAAGTTCTCACCCTCCCAAGCAGCCATATTGGCCCATCAGCTTCCAGAACAGAAGCCACATCCTTCTTGTGGCATCTATGGGAAATCCAGAGCCATTCAAGGGCATCAGGCAAAGTGGTCATTCCCCTCGAAACATTCCTGAGCTGACCAGACCATTGCCCATGCACTGCGACCTGACTCCTGGCGTTGGCCCTGTGACCTCAAAGCTCTCAGGCTTGGTAGACAGTGGTCCAGGGTTTCCTCAGCCTCAGTCCAGAGCTGCCTGAGCAGTGACCATAACAGGAGGAGCTTTGCCTTCGTGTGACAAAGGAGAGTGAAGTCTCAGATGAAATGCTGTGTGTGTATTTATAATAGTTCTGATTTTAATCATTGTAAAGATCTTCGTTATATATGTATATATGCACACATTTTTAAAGTACAGATATATGGCTTCTGAGTGAGATTTTATTTAAAGAAAGACTTCCTCAGTTTTAACAAAGAAAAATTGAAAATCCCTGTTAATATTTAAAAGGGCTATTTATTAATCTATTTACTTTTTATTCATTCGTTTAACAAACAGTGGTAGCTGGGCTCTAAGGGTGTCACAAATATAAACTCATTTAATCTTCACAAACATCCCGAGAGGTGGGTACTCCTGTTATCTCCATTTTGCAAATGAGGAAACTGAGGCAAGAGAGGAAAATAGAGCTCTGGTTTGTGACTGAGCTGGCCCTCACCCTGTCTGGCTGAGACTGCACTTCCACCCCCCAGATGTCACAATGATTCCCCAGGTCAGACCTTCCTGGGCTGTCCTGGGACAAATGGCTTCATCCATCCTGTTTGCCACAGGAGTCGGCTCTACCCTGTGATCTCCAAGGTCCCAGTCAGCACTGATGTCTGTGACTCTTAATTCAAATGACTGGCTGCTTGACTTACTGTGCATTTGACACTGTGGCAGCCAGTGAGAAGGTCACGAGGGGAGAGATTCAAAGATTCAGAGAAGTGCAGCAGATGTGGGTGTCAGGCCTCAGGCTTGACTTGAGACAGCGCCTGACAAAGGCCAAGCGGCTATTAGATGGTAATGAACGTGGGCCACTGTGGACCACGAGCAACCTGAACCAGATGTGACACAGCTCTTAGAAACAGAACGTCTGCATTCCATTGCCTGTCAGCAGGGATGGGAGAGCCAGCAAGTTAGACTTTATCTGAACTGCAGCTTACCATGGTTATGCTTCCATTGGACTGTTACATTGAGCAACCCTTAGAAATAAGAAATGATTTACTAACTGCTAAGTAGTCAGTTGTAGTCATAAGCTGTCTGAGATTTTATTAAAAATTACAACAGATTTTATGAATATAATGAAATAGAGACTAAGTAGAGAATCAATAAATGTCTCAGCCATTTTTCCTGTGTAAGGGATCACTTACATTGTTACACTCAGGTGCCTTACTTATGGTTGGGGGGGAGGATTATCCTTTTAAGAGGCACAAAAAGCTTTCAAGTGACTATGTTTCTGAAGGCTATAATGAAAAGAAATATGTCTTAAAATGACTTCTACATATTCACATTTTTATGATGTTGCTTCAGTACAGAGTTACCCAGAGAATGGTTTTTAGTCTAGACAAGCATTGTACCATTTTCTGTGTGACTCCCAGAAAGTTTGAAGTTGAGCTCCAGCATAACTTGGGAAAGAGGGTTGCAGGGCTAGATATAAGGAAATTTGAGGAAAAGAGAAATTTAACATTTTCTCTTTAGGCTGAAATCTCTTCCATGGATGGCACTGTTGTCGTGCTGGGCCCGTTTTTACAGGAATCTGTCAGGTGGCACTTGTGATTTTACAGAGCCTCAGTGTGGCTCTAGGAGCCCAGGCTTGGAGCTAGCAGATGGGAAAGTGCCCTGCAGCAGCAGTCCCCAACCTTTTTGGCACCAGGGACCAGTTTCATGGAGGACAATTTTTTCACAGACCGGCAGTGGGGAGTGGGGGATGGTTTTGGGATGATTCAAGCGCATTACATTTAAGGTGTACTTTATTTCTATTATTATGACATTGTAATATATAATGAAATAATTCTACAACTCACCATCATGTAGAATCAGTGGGAGCCCTGAGCTTGTTTTCCTTCAACTAGATGGTCCCATCTAGGGATGATGGGAGACAGTGACAGATCACCAGGCATGAGATTCTCATAAGGAGCATGCAACCTAGATCCCTTGCATGTGCCTATCACAATAGGGTTTGCGATCTTATGAGAATTTAATGCTGCTGCTGATGTGTTGGGAGGCAGAGCTCAGGTGGTAATGTGAGCAGTAGGGAGTGGCTGTAAATACAGATGAAGTTTCCCTTGCTCACCCACACTCACCTCCTACTGTGCAGCCCCATTCCTAACAGGCCATGAACCAGGACCAGTCTGTGACCCAGGAGTTGGAGACCCCTGCTTTGCAGGGCTGACCTACACGAAACAGACTAGAGAGTTTGTGGATGGGCAGGGGATGGTGTGTGGACAAAGATTTCCATGTGGAGAGCAGGATTTGTGATGATATTACCGTCCAAAGGGGAGGTGCTCCACAGCCACTCAAGAGCTGAGCCTTGGGGCCAGATATTCAGTAAGGAGGCTAAAAATTAAAAAAAAAATAAAATGATTGTAGCAGAATATGAAAAGTGCCACACAGGAGTATAATGTGTGGAGGAGGGCCATGGCCAACCGGGATTTGGTGACCCAGGAAATTGTTCATAGGGCAAGGAACATTTGAGCTGGACATGAGGGGTGTGCAGTGGTTTGAAGCGTGACTGGGATAGTTAGTGAAAGGCATCCCACCTTCAAGTCTAAGCCCCAAGGATTTCTTTGTAAAGAAGTGAGGGAAAGGGCCATTTGATCCTTCAGGTAACTTCTGGGCATGGGAAATGGAGTCGGATGAAGGGAATTCCATGATTTCCCAATTATCCTCGTTCCTTCATCATTGTCTCTTTCCTCTCCTTTCTTATTTTTATTTTTATTTGTTTTTTGAGATGAGTTTTGCTCTTGTTGCCCAGGCTGGAGTGCAGTGGTGCAATCTCTGCTCACTGCAACCTCCATCTCCCAGGTTTAAGTGATTCATCCGCCTCAGCCTTCCGAGTAGCTGGGATTACAGATGCTTGCCACCACACTCTGCTAATTTTGCATTTTTAGTAGAGATGGGATATCATCATGTTGGCCAGTCTGGTATCAAACTTCTGACCTCAAGTGATCTGCCTGCCCCGGCCTCCCAAAGTGCTGGGATTACAGGCATGAGTCACTGCACGCAGTCTCTCCCCTCCTTTCTTACAAAAGTATTTATCGAGGGCTGCTGTGGACCACAGCTGTAGGCCAAATCCTCATCTCACGTGGTGGAGCAGTTGGCCCCCAATGCCCCTCCTCCTGTATTCACCACAACGTGTGGTCTCCTCTCACGCTGTACCAAGGCTGGTCTGTGGGACCAATACCACATGACAGAGGTGATAGAATGTCACTTCTGACATTAGGTTATAAAAAGACTGCAGTTCTGTCTTGGGTGTGCTCTTCCCCTCTCAAATCACTTGCTCTTGGGGGAGGCAGCTGCTGTGTCAAGAGAAGATTCAGGCAGTCTCTGCAATGGTCCACATGCAAGAAATGAAGATTTCCTGTCAAAATCTCGTGAGGAGCTGAGGCCTGCCCACAAGCCCATGAGTGATCCTGGAGGTGGAGTCTTCTTCCCTTCCCTTTTTGGGCCTTCAGTTGAGACTACAGCCCCGGCCATCGGCTTAACTGAAACCTCATGATAACTCTTGACCAGAATCACCCTGCTAAGCTGCTCCCAGATTCTTGACTGAGAGAAATCTGATATAATAAATGTTGATTGTTTTAATTTGATAAAATTTGGGATAATTTGCAATATAGCAATAGATAATGAATATAAAGTCTAACTTCTCTTATTGTCATTAACTTTCCTGTTCCTACTTTCTAAAGTCTACAGTGGCTAATCAGGTATTTGGTTGCTTAAAGTATTGGCCTTGAATTTGGGCAAGAGAAGTCTGGTCCCAGGCCCCAGGCCCCAGGCTTTTGTGAGCCTTACTCTGGCCTTTCTGCTGCCATGCCTCTTTCCAGGGACTGAGAATCTACAGGGCAAAGAGGACTGCAGCCTGTCCTGCCTGATGTATCCCATCTGCTAACCATTCAGGTACCTGGATTCTTTGCCCAAAGGCAGCCAAATCTGCTTCCTGGACCTGGTGGTGTCATCTCTTGGCTTGGCCTTCTGAGGATGAACTATGCTGCTGGTGGCAAACCCAGGTCTGTGGGTGGTAAAGGATGACTGTTACTGTAGATCTGGGCAGATCTGGGATGTGTGAGCTAGGGCATGCAGTGTGTGAGCACCATGGTGTGGACTGGTGATGCAGGGAGGAGAGAAGAGGGCAGGCTTCAGGTCTGGTTCCTCTTCTACATTCTGGCAAGAAGCTCAGAAATTTTTTTTTTTTTTAGACGGAGTCTTGCTCTGTTGCCAGACTGGAGTGTAGTAGCGCGATCTCGGCTCACTGCAAGCCCTGCCTCCCGGGTTCAAGCAATTCTCCTGCCTCAGCCTCCTGAGTAGCTGGGACTACAGGCTCACGCCACCATGCCCCAGCTAATTTTGTATTTTTAGTAGAGATGGGGTTTCAATATGTTGGCCAAGATGGTCTTGATCTCTTGACCTCGTGGTCCACGCGTCTCGGCCTCCCAAAGTGCTGGGATTACAAGTGAGCCACCCTGCCTGGCCAAAATTCAGAATCCTGAATTCAAACTGGGCCTTCTAATTCATTATGTAGGCATAGTTGTCAAGGGAGGAGAGAATGGATTTTATGTAACAATTTGTTACTATCGTTTATGACTTTTAAGTGTTTAGACTTCTGGAATTTGTACCTCCATTTTACTCTTGTTCTGAGCCCTATCACTGTTACAGTTGGTCATAGCCACTTGGTGTCAAAGGGGTTTGTAGAAAATAGTTCTTTGAAACTGGATCTAGTCAGTTTCCAGGTAAGAAACACATTTCTACTTCTCAGAATCTGAGAGAAAATGGAAATGAATCAAGCTTGCATTTTTGTCTTTAACTCTGTCTGCATCTGTCTACATAGCAGTTACTTCTCTATCTGTCCATTCCATCCACCTGTCTATTCATCCACCTACCTGCTTACCTACCTACCTATTTAAATGTACCTTTCTCTTTTAGGACAATTTTTTCTTCTAAGAAATTTTCTCTGCTGTGTACATACTTTTCATTTCCCTTATAGCCACCTCATCTATTTCCTTCAGGGCATTCTTCTTAGGGATTGCCTTTTAGTATTGGGCTGGCCAGCCAAAGCCGTTAGGCACATTGGTGACTATGTGGGATTATTGGATTTATGAACTCAGTATCTCTGCCATTTCCAATGAGAAGAAAACTTCTGACTTCTCCATCATTTTGTATGCTGGAAAAATGCTTCCTTCCTGACTTGATCATTTACTGTGTCCTGTTATATATAGACTCTATGTTCCTTCCATTCCAGGAGTTGACACATTTTAGTGGTCGAAGTGATGGGATCTATATTTCTGTTTATATTTTTTTTCACTTGTGAAGCTCTTTGTTTAAATTATTTGTATGTGGTATTCTAGCCACCAGGGAAAAGATAGAGGGAATTATTTTCCATTCCAACTGGAACTGGGATCTTAAACATAAACCATATTGCACTTAAAAATGGCCCCTCGAGCTTTATCATGCTCACAGGAATCTTATCGCATTCTTGTGTTCTAATGAAAGCCAAAAGACTGGCTGGCCATTAGTAAAATCAGTGACCATTAAACAATGCTCAGGTTACCCGACCCATATCTTTCCTTTCCTAAAGTATTTGATAGCACCATTTTAGTAAATATGATACAGGAGAGCAATTTTCAAGTTATTTCCTGATATCTAAAAGCATTTAATAATCTACAAGTTCAAGATTATTTTGTAGTTTTCTCAGTGTGTGTGTGTGTGTGTGTGTATGCATATACACACACAAATGTATTACTTTTCCTTTAAACTGATTTTTTTTTTCCTGAACTCGTCCCACATGCCTTCTGGCCAGGTCAGAATGGGCTTGTCTATGAGAAATGCTGGTTCTGCAGCAGTTGTGGCATCACAGTCAGCACAGAGGGAGTGTTCCAAGTTATCAGCATAACTCTAAAAGACACGTTTATTTAATCTTGACTCGTAGGACTTAGGCCATCAAGACCCTCCTTCTCCTTTGCCAGCAAAGTAATTGCTACCACATTTAACTCTAGGAACGTGGTACCATTTCCCTGCAATTGTGGTTAACTACGGAGAAATCCTGAGACACATAAACCTTGGTTTCTCTGAGACATATACGTATGTCATTGAAATATGAGCACTTGCCTTTACAATGGTATCCTTTTAGAGAGCCAGGATTGTCTGAGCCTCCTTGGAATGGTTCTTAAAAGACTTTGGCAGTGCTGCAAACTTTTTTTCTTTTTTTTTCCGGAGGAGTGGGGGTACAGATTAGGGAGGGAGAGAGGCGAACAGGTGGGGGTGGGGGGACGGGTTATTATTTTTTGTCAGGAATCTGGCATTATTCAGTGGAAACCATTTAGGCCCATTTTTAGGCAGGGGCCTTAGAGTCTGACCACAATTGAAACACTCACCCTGTACACGTTCCAATTTGTTGGATGGGTTTCCAGGGGGAATGTCTTCAAAGTGTGGCAACTGATGACAAATCACTGCATTGAGATCAAAGCTTCAATGCTCTATCTGTTGACACCTGAGAACATTATCAGAGGGAATATTGAACTGTCAGCAGCAGATGTAAAAGAATTATTTACTGGAGACCCAGTGAATTATAGGGAGCTAAAAATACAATCATCTGTAAAACCAGCTTCTAAACTTCTAATAGCTTCAGTCTGGCCTTCCTTGCAGCCACCATCTTGGATTTATAGTTACAATTAGGGCATTGATTTGTCTCTTTCGTGGCGCAGTTGCATGCGTTTCCTCTGGGGGATGCCAGTGGAGCCGCCATTTCCACATTCAATTCACTATTCATTTGAGTTTCCAAAAGAACCATAAAATTCAGGAAGTAAACAGACACTACGGAGAGTATTTCTGCTCCAACATACACATGTGTATGACACCACATCTGTCTGACCATATTTTTCTTTTGGAAATTTGGAAAGCACATTCATAATAACTCAGTTCTTCCGCATGTCTCAGAGTTTCCCGGTAAACAAGCACAAGTCTGTTCTGTGCCTACATAAGATGGGCTAAGTTTGTCCTCCTTTTAAATGTGCAGCGTAGGAAATTGAAATGGTCAGAAACTACCTGTTTGATAAAGTGGCAGAAGGTTAGAGCAAAGAGCAGGGTCTGAGTGCCTGAGTGCAGCTTTAGGAAGCTGTCATTGATTCTTCCATTCTACAAATGTTCATTGAGCACCTCTGTATTAGTCCATTTTTACACTGCTGCTAAAGACATACCTGAGACTAGGAAGAAAAAGAGGTTTAATGGACTTTACAGTTCCATGTGGCTAGCAAGGCCTCACAATCATCGTGGAAGGTAAAAGGCACGTCTCACATGGTGGCAGACAAGAGAAAGAGCTTGTGTGGGGAAACTCCCATTTTTAAAACCATCAGACCTCGTGAGACTTCTTCACTGTCATGAGAACAGCATGGGAAAAACCTGTCCCCATGATTCAGTAACCTCCCACGGGGTCCCTCCCACAACACATGGGAATTCAAGATGAGATTTTGATGGGGACACAGCTAAAGCATATCAACTTCCTATGCGCCAACTCCTGGGATGAACAAAATCAGCAGACTCCCAGATTTTGCAGACTTTACATTCTAGTAGGGGTGACAGACTTTAAATAAATAATCAGGCAAATGTGTAACTATAAACTGTGATAACTGCTATTAAAGTTAAGTACAGGATGCTCCATAAGAGCAAAACTGTGAAACCTTACTTAGATTCTCAGGATTTGGGTGAATTTAAGAACCACCCTTCCAAAAATGGCATTTAAATTGAGACCAGAATGTATAAGTGGCCAAGGAAGACAGGGAAGAACTTTCTAGGCCAAGGGAAGGGCATGTACACAGGCCATGTTGTAGGGATAAACTAGACCCGTCGAAGGTCTTAGCTGGATCCCAGAGTGAAAGATACAGAGAGTGAGGGGCTGGGCCAGGATAACAGGAGATTGGCTGTGAGCAACAAGTCTGTCCCAAGCAGAGACATTTCTCACCTGCTGCAAAGAAGAGGATGAGACCTCCTTTCAGTTTCTGTGAATCTTCTCACCCAGTTTTGGAAAATAAAATGCCCTTAACACAATTTAATACAAATATTTTTTTCTCTACTGAAACTGACTGGGAATACCCAACCCACTGCTGATAGAAACCACTTTGCAGTGTGTGTGTGGGGACTTCTGACTTATTGTTGCAGTTATTCTATGTCTGCTGTTGATTGTACTACAATAGTCCAAGAAGAAACAAGGCTCATGTTGGAGTTGATCTTCTGGGAAAATTTGCAACAGACCTCATTCAGTTTTGTTTAGATTTCTTCATGTCAATAAAATATAAAAATTCCTTCAGTTATTTTGAAATACACAGATTTCAGAAAAAAAAATGTTTTGCTCATATCCTAGGGGCCAATGCCATTCTCAAACTTTTCAGACAGAGGCTTTCACGGAGACCATTACCAAAGACATTCCAAGTAAGAAAATAGGAATAAAATGCAGCTCCACATATCTCTCTTCCACCATTGTGGTCAGTTCTCCAGGAGCTTGGCCAGATCACCTTGGAAGAAGAAATCACTGGGAGATTGTGAGTAAAGCAGCAATCTGACCTTGATTCTCTGAGTTGTCTACCATGTGAAGGGATAAAAGAAACTTTTACTCTGCCAAATGTCCTACCAAAATGCTGTTTAAAAGGGCACAACATTGGCCGTGAAGAACTCCTTTCTGTTTGTCTATTCAACAGGTATGTAGTGAAATTTGCCACGTGCCACATACACAGTTTTTAAGAAAAAATGAGTTCATAGTACGACAAAACTTTTATTTATTTATTTATTTATTTATTTATTTATTTATTTATTTATTCCCGAGACGGTGTCTTGCTCTGTTGCTCAGGCTAGAGTGCAGAGGCACTATCTCGGCTCACTGCAACCTCTGCGTCCTGGGTTCAAGCAATTCTCCTGCCTCAGCCTCCCAAGTAGCTGGGATTACAGGCATGCACCACCGCGCCTGGCTAGTTTTTGTATTACTAGAGGTGGGGTTTCACCATGTTGGCCAGGCTGGTCTCGAACTCTTGACCTCGTGATCCACCTGCCTCGGCCTCCCAAAGTGCTGGGATTACAGGCATGAGCCACCGCGCCTGGCCAAAGTACACGAAGTATTTCTGGCTTTTTTTTTTTTTTTTTTGTGAGACACAGTCTTGCTCTGTCGCCCAGGCTGGAGTGCAGTGGTGCGATTTTGGCTCACTGCAACCTCCACCTCTTGGGTTCAAGTGATTTCTCCTGCCTCAGCCTCCCTAATAGCTGGGATTGTATTTTTAGTAGAGACAGAGTTTCACCATATTACCCAGGGTGGTCTCGAACTCCTGAGCTCAGGCAGTCCACCGGCCTTGGCCTCCCAAAGTGCTAGAATTACTGACGTGAGCCCCCATGCCTGGCCAAAACTTTTTTATGTTTTATGTGTAGTTACATATTGTAAACACTGTTTCACAGCCTGAAATGGTCTCTGAGAATATCATTTTATTAGAGGCAGAGTGTTCTATTGAAAGGATGTGCCACAATGTCCTTTTCTAAGGGACCTCTCCTTCACTCCCCCAAGAAAAGATTCCACCCTGTGTCTACAGAGCTTACAATCAAATGAGGACATAAAACCCAGGTTCTTCCACCCAAAAGTTGGATGAGGTAAGCATCACATTGACAGTTCAGACAGAAAAGAACCAGAGTTCGCATATTCCCATATTGCATATGCATAACTTTTAGGATTAGGAAAAAGCCTGTAGAGGAGTGTAAAACCAACAAAGATACAACCCCTAAGGCACCCATCCCTCCTTCCCCATCCAGTCTGCGAGTTTCTCATCCACAACAGTCTGTTCATTGTATCTGTAGTAGTCAATCCCTCATTCTCAGAAAGTCATTTTCCAAATAAAATATGGGCTCAGATGTAGAGATGGGCGGTAGAGATGCAGTGGGCAAGGGGAAGAAAGGTGGGGCAAGGGGGAAGAGGGGAGAAAGGATCGGCCAGAAGGAATGTCAGGTGAGGGTTCATGGGCAGGCATGGAAGAGGGAGGAGAAGAAAGAGACCATGGTGGGGACAGGAACACAGCATGGTCAGGGGTCATGCGTCGGGAAAACCATGGTCTTATTTCATGAGGGTCATCTGAGCCCATATGTTATTTGGAAAACGACTTTTTGAGAATGAGGGATTGACTACTACAGATACAATGAACAGACTGTTGTAGATGAGAAACTTTCAGACTCTGGATGGGGAAGGAGAGATGGGTGCCTTAGGGATTGTGTCTTTGTTGATTTTTACACTAATCAGTGGGCTTTTTTCCTAATCCTAAAAGTCATGCATATGCAATATGGGAATAGAGAAAATACAGAAAATTATGAACAGGAAGAATAGCTCAAAATCCTGCTGTTATGGGATGACATCTGTGGACACTGCATTTGAGTATACTTATTGACACATGCATGTGGGTATTGACATATAGTCATGTACATCATTTTTAAGAAAAAATGAGTTCACAGTACTAAAACTTTTTGTTTTATGCTTAATTACATATCGTAAGCATTGTTTCATATTCTGAAATGGTCTCTGATAATATTTTAATAGCTGCGGAGTGTTCTATCAAAAGGACGTGCCACAATTTCTTTATTCATTCTCATTTTGTTAGGTATATATGTTTCCTTCAAACTTTTGCTAATATACATAACCATGAGATAAATACCCTGGAACATAATCCCTCACTGTTTCCTTAGAATGAATTTCTGGTTGTGTAATTACTAGCAGTATAAACATGTTCTAGGCTTTTGGTGCACTATATTAAATTGTTAGGGCCCGACTGTTGACCTGCTTGTTCTTGGATGGGAGTAAAAATTTCCTCATTTGGTAAGCTTATTTCTACCATAGGGATACTGTTTTTATGCTCTTCTCCCAATTTCCCAAACCAGGAATAAATTCCAATGCTCGAAAGTATGGTTGTCTTTGCACTTTTAACAGATCATATAGTAAATCTACCTGGCACGATGGATACACAAAATGTGGTACATCCACACAAGAGAATATTATTCATCCATAAAAAGGGATGAAGTTCTGATATGCTACTACGTGGATAAACTTGAAAACTTTATGCTAAGTGAAAGAAACTGGACACAAAGGTCATATATTATATGACTCTGTTTATATGAAATATCCAGAATAGGCAAATCTATAGAGACAGAAGGTAGATTAGTGGTTGCCAGGGGCTGCAGGGAGGACCTCCTGGGTAGAGGGAATGAGGAGTGACTGCTTGATGAGTATTGTGTTTCCTTTTGGGGTGAGGAAAATGTTTAGGGGCTAGGTAGGGGTGATGATGGCACAGCATTGGGAATGTGCTAAATGCCACCAAGTTCTGTGCTTTGAAATGGTTCTGATGGTAAATTTTATGTGATGTGAATTTTATCTCAGTGAAAAATCTGTTGTGTGTGTGATTGCTCAGGGAACCACAGCAGGGAACATACGAAGGATCGATCATAAAGGCCCTCTTTATCTGGCTACTACCATATCCAGTCCAGAGCCATGGAGAAGAAAAGTACATTCCTTTTGGAAACAGAAGAAACTAGATCAATACCTTTATTCCAGTAGAGGACAATTATTTTTCTAGTAATTCTCCAGGTAAATTTAAAGATAGCACATTTCTCATAGCATTTAATTTGTCTTCAAAGAGACTTTCTAATAGGACAAATCTAATTTTCTCAAAATGTTTTTTTTAAAGGCAGCCAGAAGGGCCAACATTTCAATATGGTGGTAGGATGCTGTTTATGTAAAGATTTCCCCAGAGTCCATGTTACTGACTTGCTTGTAGAAGTTCATCTTTGCAAAACCTCTCCCTGATCCTTTAATGGCCTATTTCATAAGGGAATGAGTTACTGACTATAAACTTGGCTAGAGAGAGTCTCTGGGAATTAAAACCTGAATGTAAATTAATAATTAGCTCACCTGGCCTCAATTTTCAGAAGCAAAATATGTTCGCACATCTCTGTAAGAGTTGCCAAATAGCTTGCTCATTGGAAATCTCCTAATTATAGGGAAATGGTATTAAATCTTTTTCTTTCACTATCTCTGAGATGTAAGGTTTTTTATGACAGTTTTGGCTTTGTTTATGCATTAGAATTAGTGTTTCTGAATGTTTAAAGTTGTTGACATAAAATAATAGTATTTTGTCTGAAAAAGTGAATAAAGAAAGAAAAATACCTCTAGAAAATTCCATTAGAAGGTAGTGATGGTGAAAACGAAATTTCCATTAGTCTTATTCACAAAACCTAGGGGACTTCTGAAAGGTGTTTTAATAGAAAAATCTAGCTCGAGAGACTTACAATTAAACCCTAAAGATGAAAAAAAATTAACTCCCTCATCTTTATAGTTACTAGATTTGTGATGAAGGAGAACCTGTGTGAAAGATGAGCCCTCCTCAAACAAGGACTGAGTCATTCGTTTGCACCTTCATTTATTCAATAAACATGTTCTGCACAGCATCCATCTGCCTTACATCATTCCAAGTTCCAATGATCCAAAGACTGAGAGAGAGTTTGATATCATGGTTCTTATTGAGAACTCAAGGGACATAGTAGTAGTGATACACAGCAGATAGAAATGTGCCCTATAATTAGCATAAGAAATCCTACATAAAGGGCAAATGTATTTACTGGTTGGGGAGATTGGAGAAGACTTCTTAGAGAAAATGACGATGGAGTTGTCCCTTGAAGGGTAGTTGGTCCTTTAGTAGGCAAAGATGAGGGAGAGTATTTTATGTGGGGAAAGTAGCAATGTATGCAAGTAATGACAGTAAGTGGCAGAGATTCTGGTCTGCTCGAGGCATGATGGCTACTGCCATCTGACTGACACGGAGCTCCTGGAAGGGCAGAGTGGAATATGAAACCAGATAGGTAGGGGGCAAAATGGGGCACAAAACGGAAAGCAGGGGTGGCTCTGGGTCATGAGGCAGAAATCAAGTTACGGGCATTGTTTTGGGAGGGGCTCATCAGATTGGCTTCTGGATGTTGCTTCTCCCGTGGGGCTGCTAAGGACACTCACTGTTCCCTTGGTCAAGCCACTTTGCTGTACTTGCTTCTCTTTCCCCTCTGACAAAAATCCCCTTACGTGGAGGAATAAATATGACATGTACGAAGAGCACTTGGAAGTCTTGAACTTAAAAGGCACTTCTTTTATTTAAAAATAAAACAAAGCACTTCTCATGTTATTTGGGGCTATGATTCTGTAGTGAGCTGAAAGAAGTAAACTATTCTCTGGCAGTGAATTCCCCTCCAGCATCTGATGATTTAAAGCCAAACAAGGGAGAGCTACATTGACACCGGGAAAATTTCATCCAAGCACCTTTATGTTTTTTGGAGCGGGGGTCATGTTATACATATTACTCAAACTGGACTGGGTGGTGAAGATGCACATTGGGTCTTAGAGAGGGTCCTGGCGTAAGAGGAAGAAGGCTTGAGCAAGGAGGGGCAGAGAGAAGCACCCGGAAGATATACCAAAGGCTAGTCAAGCCTGAGCAGGGAGGACGACTGGCCTCGGGGTGGCAGCAGGAAGAGCAGCAAAGCAGGTGCCACCAAGACTAGAGGACTTTCTTTACACTGTTGGTGGGACTGTAAACTAGTTCAACCATTGTGGAAGTCAGTGTGGCGTTTCCTCAGGGATCTAGAACTAGAAATACCATTTGACCCAGCCATCCCATTACTGGGTATATACCCAAAGGACTATAAATCATGCTGCTATAAAGACACATGCACACGTATGTTTATTGCGGCATTATTCACAATAGCAAAGACTTGGAACCAACCCAAATGTCCAACAATGACAGACTGGATTAAGAAAATGTGGCACATATACACCATGGAATACTATGCAGCCATAAAAAATGATGAGTTCATGTCCTTTATAGGGACATGGATGAAATTGGAAATCATCATTCTCAGTAAACTATCGCAAGAACAAAAAACCAAACACTGCATATTCTCACTTATAGGTGGGAATTGAACAATGAGATCACATGGACACAAGAAGGGGAATATCACACTCTGGGGACTGTGGTGGGGTGGGGGGAGGGGGGAGGGATAGCATTGGGAGATATACCTAATGCTAGATGACGAGTTAGTGGGTGCAGTGCACCAGCATGGCACATGTATACATATGTAACTAACCTGCACAATGTGCACATGTATCCTAAAACTTAAAGTATAAAAAAAATAAATAACATAATAAATTTATTGATTACTCTTCCAATATATATATAAAAAAAAAAGACTAGAGGACTTTCCTTTGTTTCCAGAAAGGCCTCTGTATGAACTAGGAGTCTTCAAAGATGGCAGTGTAAATTGTGTCAGTAATTGCCAATGAGTGGCTAGTGAAGATTCAGATTTGCAGTTTAGTTTTTCCTTGGTCCACATGGGATTACTGGTAGGTCTGTTTTTAACCACACTCAAAAATTCTCATTTGCCATCCACCTATCAATCCATTCATCTGTCTACCCATCCATCTCTGAACACTGTAGATAAAATGCTCTCTCCAAATGGAAGTGTCATTATATGCTTGCTTATTTATTGTCCTTACTCTCCCACGTGTGCCTTAGATGATAACTTCCATGAGAGTTCAGGCCCTATCTGTCGTATTCACTCCTGTGTCCTCAATACCGAGGAAACCACCTGGCACACAGTAGATGCTAAATAAATATTCCTCAAATAAAGGTACTATTAATAACTCATTATCATTTTGTAAGTCATTCACGAAACATTATATACCACTATGTCCTAGGCTTTGAGTTAAATTCTGGGCATGCAAAAATGAATGTGATGTCCTTTGCACTCAAGAAACTAACACAGTAACAAATATTTTCAATGGTAGTGATATAGATAGAAGGAAAGAAGAAATCACATTTATTAACTACCCCTATGCATTAGATACTGTGTTTGTTGTCTTCCATGTGGCGTATTCTTCTTGTACCACTTTTGTAAGGCATGAAAGGCATGATCCCCATTCTATAGGTGAGGAAACAGAGGCTCAGAGAGATAAAGTGACATCTCCATTGTTAACAAAAAGTGCTGTAAGAATACAGAAGATGATGTGGTTCATTATACTGGAGGAAGGGATATAGAACTAGTCAAGGAAAAACTTTCATAGGAGGTGACAATTGCACTGAGACTTGAAAGAGAAATAAGCAAGATGGCACCCAGAGGAGATGGAGGAGGAGATTCTCTGGCTCTTCATTCCAGCAGAAATACACAAAAGAGCAACACCAGTTTCAAAAAGGAAAATCGAGAGGGCCAGGTGGATAGATCACAAGGTCAGGAGATGAAGACCTGGCTAACACGATGAAACCCCATCTCTACTAAAAATACAAAAAATTAACCAGGCGTGGTGGCAGGTGCCTGTAGTCCCAGCTACTCGGGAGGCTGAGGCAGAATGGCATGAACCCAGGAGGCGGAGCTTGCAGTGAGCTGAGATCACACCACTGCACTCCAGCCTGGGTGACAGAGCGAGACTCTGTCTCAAAAAAAAAAAGGGAAAATCAGTGAAATATGTAGACCATCGGGAAGGAGGGGCCCTACCAGCTAGTGCACCTGAACATGAAAAACAAGATGCCTGTTCCCTACATATCTAACATTCTGTTTCCATGGTGGTGTCTTCCAAGAAATGACTTACTTTGCCACTGGACTTCTTTTTAAGGACAGTAGTGATCACGGGGAAGGGGAAGACCTGTTTGTCTTCCCAGAAATGGATTATGATCTTAAAATTAGCAGGCTGAGTCAACATTCTCAAGTGTTGATGCCTGCAATCAACAGATGAGATTTCCCTTAAAGAAATCATTATCTTTCAGAATAGAAGAAGGCACAAAACATTTTTAACTCATTAATTTCTGGTTGTTCCATTCTGCCTTGGACAGTAGTCTTTGTTGGGTATATAACCATAAAATATATATCCAAACAATCTCCCCCTCTTCCATCTCAAAATTATGTGGGTCATTGCCTTGCCCTTAACTCCAATTTGACAGCCCCACTTTGGTGTGAGAAGAAACTAACAGTATCAGGTTTCTTGGCCTTAAACAGTTAATTCATCTCACATGGTTGAGCTGCTCATTCCCAGGAAGTGCCTGCCCAGGCTCAGAACAGGGTCAGACCCAACTGTCACTGGGGGTGAGGGCTCTGGGCAGCAACAGATGCTCCCCCTTCCTGCCTCTTCCCCTCTAGAGAACACCAAATAGTCAGATAATTAAAAATGTTTCGTGTGTTCATCTTCCATAATCGAAATACCTGATATACCATAATGTTATTAATTTAAATATGTGGAGCTGATGTTAAGAATCTGGAGAAACTTCAAGAAGTCATATTTGGGGGATGATTTCCCCAGGTTTAAAAGAGATGAGTCAATCCAGAGGTTAAAAAACATGTATTGTCATTGGCAGATCGGAAACAGCTGGGCACGGCGGTTCACGCCTGTAATCCCAGCACTTTGGGAGGCCGAGGTGGGTGGATCCCGAGGTCAGGAGTTTGAGACCATCCTGACCAACATGGTGAAACCCTGTCTCTACTAAAAATACAAAAAATATCTGGGCATGGTGCCGTGTGCCTGCAATCCCAGCTACTCGGGAGGTTGAGGCAGGAGAATTGCTTGAACCTGGGAGGCGAAGGTTGTAGTAAGCTGAGATTGTGGCACTCCAGCCTAGGTGACAGAGTGAGACTCCGTCTCAAAAAAAACAAAAACAAAAACAAAAACAAAAACAAAAACAAAAAGCAAGCCCATCTTTACATCTCGCTCTTCAGATTCCAGCTCCAGGTATCAGTGTAGATCCTCACATATCTTTGTGTTCCCGGCAGTGGCTCAAATGTTACAATTGTTTTACTGAGGTGTCCATTGGTATTAAACCCTTCTGTATTTGATCGTTTTGATTGGCTTTCTCCTTCTGAACTGTGTTTCTGTAACCAATTTACAGGACTCCATATTCAATTGCAACTGCACCATGTTGTGGCCAGCAGAGCCCAGAGTTTGAGATCCGGTAGGGGCTTTCCCTTCACCATCAAGTTTGCTTTTGTGTCATCACCCTAGGAAGCCCCCTGGAGTCCACCTAGAGTCACTGTCTTGGGATCTGTCCCAAATAATGGGAAACAAGTTGGCAATACTTGAAGAATAGATCAGTCCTGCAATGAGCTCTCCCGTTGGCCTTCAATTTTCTGGGTAACCAGAAAAAGCAAATTGACTAGTTTTCTTTTAGTAGGAATTCTGTAACCTGTCAAAATGCACACATGTATGTATATACATGTATCTATGTGTACTATATGTATATATATCATTCGTCTAGGTATATATCTATATCTATTTTTTCCCTCTCTATTAAAGACATCTTTGCCAGAAGAGAAACTCTTGAGAAAATCAGTAATGCATTGATTCCTGGTTGACAATGGGGATTTAGAATGCTTTCAGAACCTATTGACTATTTCCAACTCTAAAATTTGTAAAAATCAACCCCACCAGCATCTGTCTTGAACCTAACATTAATCTTCAAAAAGCCTTTCCCAATAAGACCTCTAAAAGGGGTCATTTTATGACTTGCATCCTCAGCCTTCTGGCTTTGCAGTGATTTGTCTCCCTTTCCCATAGGCTGGTCTCACCCCATTCAAATTCTTCTCCCCCCACCTTTATAAACCCGCTGAATGACAATGGGAGACAAAGTGGACTTCTGCCCCCTCCTCCACTTGTCTTTTTCCACTCTCAGGATTTGTAACTCTGGGCAAGAGGGGAGGTAAAGTGCAGTAGCGTTTTGTGTCCCCTCCTCCCACCTCCAGGCTGCCGCCCAGGAGAGCATAATGCGGTAATAAAGACACCACTAAAGTTTAACCCGTTTGATTAAACAAGTGCAATGGGATGAAGACACCAGAGGACTTTATTTAAAAGTCTACCACTGGGACAGGGGCTTTGGGACAGGCTGGCCCTTTTCTTGTCTGATGCTCAGTCCTGGAGAGAGGGTGTTGAGCTGTTTGCAGCATTGTCTCAGTGAACCTAAATATTCCTCCTCCAGCATTATGTGAAGCGGATGCCTGAGCCTTTCAGAGACTGAGAGGCCACTGAGGGGGGTTGGGGGATTTGCCACTTCAGAGGAAGGGGAGGGAGTGAGCCGGCTCTGGGAACAATGGGGCTGGGGGCTTTGTAACTCAGAATCCTGTGCCCCTCTGAACTCTCCTCCTCTGACCTCCCCAAATTAGAGCAAACAATGGAATTGTGGGAATGCCAAAATCTAACAGCTTTGCCAGGGTTTTTGCATTTCTGCTTGAAGTCTTGTTTCCAGATGGAAGAAAGTCAATGAAAGGAGGGGGTCTTCGTGTAGGGTAATCCATGTTAGGCCACAAGAAATGGGGTGATGGCTCTGTCAGCAAGTGGTGGTCATGATCCTAAGAGTTTCTGATTTTCTTTTAGTCTTTTGAGATCACTGCCTATTCCTGATTCCACAACAGTCTAGGAAAGACATTGCTTTGAAGCAGAATTGAGTCTGCAGATCAAAAATGCTTTCAGTCATCATTCAATATTGGCAAAATTAAGGAGTGCTGGATAGCCCCTAAATCAGTCTTATTAAAGAGCTGACACTTAAACTTCTCCCAGCCAAAGTATTAGGGAGTGTGGGGGATGGGGGGATCCTACTTGGTTATCAGTGTTTGGATTTTCAGTGAGTTTAGCTTTACTCTCTTCACATCAATTTCTGATTGAAGAAATACAGAGAACTGAAGTTTCAGATTAACTCCTTTCATGCATTATAATGGTTAGTGGTGGAAGAGCTGCAGAAGTCTAGCTTTATTTGGAGAAGTAGACCCTGAGACTTTAAATGTTTCTGCCTGCATAAAAGTACCCAACCGCAGTGGAAATTGGGATGAAACCTATAGCTTTGCTTCTGATGTCTTTCCATAGCTGTGGGGTTTGAATTGAACAGAAAATCTAGAGCTGTCTTTTTAGAGGACATATACTTCCACTTTTCAGTTTTTTTCCAAGCTAGAGAAATGCCCACATTTTCCAACCTCAAAAGGATATTTTGATTCAGGTCTGCCCAAAGTTTGCTTGGGGATGATGAATTTCTTATCTTTGAGGGTTTTGCTACTTCTCGTGAATATACAAGTAGTTTATTGCAGAGCACTCCATGGTGATTATACTGATTGCGGGTGACTGATAGCAAACTGTTTAATCCCAGTTGACGTGGATTTTCTGCTTCTGGGCGGTATGTGTCTGTGAGTACATGCTCTGAGACTTGAGACAGAAATTTCTTTCTGATAGCCTAAACCAAGTGGGATTTAGAAGATAAGTCACGTTGAAAATAAACCACACAATACATTCTGTCCCCTCTGATCACTGATTTTTTTAAATCTATTTTTGATTTCTTTCTGTTCTAATTCTTCAGTTTTCTTAATTAAAATTTGATTTATAATTTCAGTTACACTTTCTGAAAAAGGTAGTTGTGTTTTGGGGGCAAGTTTGGAAACAAACCTAACTGGTTCTTTGGTTGAATATATTTGCTAAGGGTGAGGTGTAGTCACTGAAAACAACAAAAAAGAAAACTCCAAAAAGCCAGGAGAGGACTGGATCCTGGGGGGAGAGAATGTCTGCTCTGGGCTTGCCAGGCCCCATCTGGCTTAGCAGGTACCACGCTGGGAACTGCACTTAAAGAGGAGCTTTGCCAAGTCAGAGTTGGTGACAGAGAGGGGTTTCAGCCTCCTGGTGTTTTTGCTTGACCCGCAACAGGATTTACATATTGAATGTTTTTCACTGAGCTTGGACTCACAGAAGTCCACACTCCTCCCTGTTGCCTTACAGCCAGTGCTTGTCACTGATTGCTGTCACCTGCCTGACATCCAAAGGCATTTGAGATTCTGCTAGGCAGAGTTGCAGGCACTGGGGATATATAATTGTGGACAAGGCCCTTGGCCTTGAGGTGTTTGTTGCAGGATGCAAGACTGAAGCTGAACAACCGAGCAAATAGTTACCAGCATCACTTCTGATAGTGCTGTGTGCTCTCTAGAGACTAGTAGAGGGTGCCGTGGTAGAGGGTGATAGAGAAAGAACTTTGCGTGGCATGGTGAGGGAGGGTGACATTGAGCCAAGCCCCGTGACAGGGAATGGCAAGTGCAAAGTCAAGCAGCTGGAATGAGATTGCAGAAGTCCAGTGTGGCTGGAGCAGAGTGACAGGGAGAACAGAAGGGACGACAGTGACAGTGCAGCGGTGGTCCTTGAAGGCTGCAGTCAGGCTGTGGAAGCCGCAGGAGGAATCCTGAAGGGGGTTCTGGGCGTGGTACCCAAGGTTGGACCAGGTGCCTGTTGACATCCCTTCTAAATCTGATTCTGAAACTCTGACTGATGTTTGCGTGGCCCGTATGGAGACTGGTTGCCAAGCTTTCCATAAAACGAGAGCTTGAGTCTTGCAGAGTTCCTTGGAGAAACAATAATGATAATAGTAATAATGGTGGCAGGAGGAAACTTGAGAGGTGCTATGTTTATGGCCTTGATGGTGGTAATGGTTATCCCCAAACTCATCGAGCTACATAATTAAATATGCACAGCTTTTTACATGTCAGTTGTACCTCAACAAAATGGTTAAAATGAAAGAAGAAGAAGAAGTAATGTGGCTGCAAGCAAAAGCTCCAGCCCTGTTGTGCACACAGAGAACAAGTGTATGCAGAGGGTAAATGAATTGACTCAACTGGACAGTGGGCAGCACCTGAAATAAAGCCCCACTGTGCTGGCTCCTTGTGCTCCAAGTGCCGTACCACGTCTTCTCCCCTGTATTGCCTCATTATTATTCACTTAAGTGGGTGTGATCTGAAAGGGAGCATTGTTTCAGAATCAATAAGGGGCTGAATTCGTGTAGTACAGTGAATGTCTGCGCTTCAAGCACCTCCTTATCACCAGCACACAGTAGAGGACAGGTCCAAATAAAACACATTATCAGGCTTTGTTGACTTTCCAGGCCCAGCAGCTGTATTAATGGAGCTCTTTATATCCATTCTCTTTATGAACCGGGTTTTCTCACTTTCATTTCTCTGGGAACTTCTAAATAAAGCTCTTGCTGAAGAATGACAAGGGTGTTTGAGTGGAACAGTTGAACAGAAACCATTTGCTCGCTGGAGTTTTCATACTTGGAAAACGGGAAAAAAAATATATTACCAAAGACCACCCCCGTTCTAAGAAGGAAGGGAGGGGTTTAAATGTTTACTCTATGGCATTCTGTATCATGTTTAAATTGACCATGCTAGGCTGATGCACCGAACATTAACTTCATGAGAAGGTTTTCTCTAAATCTACATGTCTGAAATTAAAAACTTAAAAAAAAATTCACAGATGCTTTTGCACATGGAATTCTACTAATTGTCTATCAGATTTAGCCTGTGCATGGATATGGTGCTATAGTAATTTTGGAAAGAGGTAGATTATCAGCATGATGCTATTATGTAAAACTTTTAATGAAATTCTTACGCTTACCTACTTTCCGAGTAGGTTATTTTTATTACTGCCTGGTGGGTACTTTGAAGATGAATGTAGTT
The DNA here is from genome assembly GCF_000001405.40 of Homo sapiens. Taxonomy (NCBI): domain Eukaryota; kingdom Metazoa; phylum Chordata; class Mammalia; order Primates; family Hominidae; genus Homo; species Homo sapiens. The sequence continues at coordinate 121,336,938 of NC_000010.11, read as the reverse complement.
TCAAATAGTAACAATTCTATCAAATTCAAAATGAACCTGTTTAGAAACTTTTTTAAAATTCCGTTTTATGGACCCATAAGCCCGATCCTTGCCTTCTGTGTTTTGCTTGGCTTATATACCATTTAAATATTTTATGAGTCAGCTTAAAAAAGCAATTTTAAAAGTAAAAATCTGGGTTTCTAGCTTCCCTTGAAATATCAAAAGATCTAGCGACACTGGGTCTAGCCAGGCCCTGTGCTCTTTCTGAATCCACCATTTCCACCACTCCCTATTGTCTCCCTGACTCTGAGGCTGTCAGTTTGTAATTTATCATAACTCTTGTTTTTCTTAGAGAAATATTTCTCTTTCTTTACCAAAAGTGGAAATATAGAAAATTACCCAAATGAGCATATGCTTAACAAAATGTGGAGCGTGCTGTGTTTCATATGCCAATATCTGGTGGCCAGGTTCATTTGCAATGCTCCCTGGGTCCCTGAATTCATTTGTATTTGTCACCTTCATACCTGTGTCCCTCGTGCTTGAAGTACTTTCTCCTGCCTCTTCCTTGAGTTCTCGACTGAAATGTCATCTCCCACCCCCACCTTCCCTGATTCCTGTGAGAGATTAGTTGGCTCTGCACGTAGAGCCTACTACAAGGTGTTTGCCACGCCTTCTTGGAATTTCATGTTTACACGTCTGTCTTTGACTCTAAGTTCAGTGAAGTCAGGAACTTTCTTTTCGTTGTCATAACCGTGGTTCTAGGACATATTCGATATGCAATAAATACTTAAAAACAGCATTGAAAGATGTTACCCTAGTCTGGATTTTGAATAAAAATGTAATGTTATTTCATTTGAGTCCTTGTAACAACCTTTTAAATCAATTCATCATAATTTCAACACGAAGTGACTGCTTCTGGGAAGAAGACTTTTCCTTCTTTTAACTCGAGAGCAGAAATTGGTCTGAATAATTGTCGTAGGGATAATATCATTTGTGCAATAAATCAATGGGTGCTATTTACTTGCCAGGTGTTGATGTCAAGGCTACAGATTCTTGGTCTCATGAAACCTTTACTAGTGAGGTAGAAGGATGCAGACGACAGCATGTGAAAACAAACACGATGTGTTTAGGTATTGATAAACACTGAAATTTAAACAGGTAGGCAAACTAGAGAATGACTTGGGGCGTTGGCGGGGGAAGGTGGAGATGAGAGGCTTCTGTAGCTGATGCTGTCAAGGAGTGCCTTTTCCCTACTGCCTCCCACCCGCCTGCTATGAACTGAGATTCTAATGGTAAGAAAACACTGCTTGAGGAAGATCTGGGGGAAGCGTGGTCCAGGCTTAGCAAAGAACAAGTGCAAAGGCCCTGGGGTGGGAACACACTTTGTATATTTGAAGTAGCTTGAATTTAATGAACAAGGAACTTGGTGTGAGATGAGATTGGAGGAGGAGGTGGGGCTAAGGCAGGCAGGATCTTATGGGCCACATGGGAGCGTGGATTTTTTTTTTTTTTTTCCCTGTTCCAAGGGATGCTGGGCTTTTCCCAGACATGCAGGCTCCACATTCCTCTTGGAAGACCGAGTGGAGTCCCGGAGTTATTGTGGGCTTGAGAATTAAACAGACCTTGGCTTGAATCTCCTCTCCACCTTCTACCAAGCATGATCTTAAGCAAGTCTTTCATTTCTCTGAGCCTCAGATTCCAGCTGTAAAATAGGATTAATGCCTTCAATGGGATTTATTCATTCATCCCACAAATACTGATTGCATTTCTACTATGTATCCGGCCCTGGATATCTATCTGTGAACAGGACAGATGAGGCTTTCCCTGCATTTGTGGAGCTTACGGTCTACTTGGAAGTGATAGTCAGTTAATGAAAGCATTATGAATAAGATAACTTTAGGTAGTGATAAGTGCTATGGGGAAAAGACACAGAGCAATAGATAAATAGTGAGTGGGAAGGAGCTAGTTGACCTACTTAGTTGTCCCCATTTTACTTTTAAGGACACTAAGGATCAGAGAAGTTAAATGATTTGCTCAAGGTCACAGAGCACGTAAGAGGCAGAACTGGAAATCAAAACCTGTCTTCCTGGTTCCACAGTCCTTATTCTTTCCCAATATTACTTCATTGATGGTTTTACTCTCCATGAAGTAGAGTAATAAATTATCTACCTTGTTTGGATGACTTAGAGATTTGAGAATTAATGCCTAGACCATCCGGGGGGTATCTGCTTGATGCTGTATTCTACACTACATATGCTGACATAGGGCTTCAGTGTTTCTCTGGAATTATGTAGTCACTAACATGACTGGGACGGAGGAGTCAGTTTGCACTGATTTTCTGTTCCCAGCCTGAAGTCCAAGCATTGCCCTTGCCCCACAACTTGAAAACAATCACAGTGACTGACTTCTGTTGTAGCCTTCATGGTTTCCAGGGCACATTTATGACCAATACTCTGATACTCATGCCAACCCTCTGAAAAAACATTATTTATCCTGTTTTATAGACGGAGACCGTGCGGCTCTGAAGAGTAGTTAAATGACTGTTGGAGCTGCGTAGATATCAAGTGGCTAGGACAGGACTTGAATGTGGTCTTCATGGTCTAAATCCTGCTTATTCCACCCACTGTCTTTCTCTTAGTGTCCTTCCCACCTCCATCTACTCTTCTCCTTACACCCAGGCCCCTGGAAGAGTACTTTACAGTCCTTAATAACTGCAGTTTGATTTGATGGGTTTGTTAACTACAGGGTGGGATCTAATCTTGGAACTCGATGCCCCCCATGTGAGTTGAATCAATGCCTTACCTTTCTTGGGCATTGTGGACACTTTAAGCATCCTGTGGTAGGTGAGAAGGACTTTTTGATTCAGGGAACCTTTCCCTGAACTTCATCTAACAGCAGGTTGGTCCTGGTCTTAAGAAACTTGCCTCATTCAGAGCTGTTACTACTCTTGAAAGAGTTATTATTAGTAATTTTTTTTTCACAACATAAAACAAGTGAAGAGGATTCTCCAATGTGAAGGGTGGATTTGGGGATTGGGCTGGGTGCCCTTAGGATTCTAGGCTCAGACTCTCTCTGGGTTCCCTCCTTGCCATCTGCCTGGTCTCCCCTGGCTCTTGTGAGTTTAATCTACTCCCTGGCCAGGAGATGTCAAGTTTTGAAAGGCTGTGCCAGACTCTTTTTGTCTCCTTACTCCCTCTTCTTTCTTGTAGCATGTCATTCATAGCCACAGCTGCTGTTACCTCCTCTGAGCAGGGGAGTCACAAACTTAACTTCGTTCCATCAGAGTTTGCCCTTTGCCTGAATATCTGATCATCTACTTGATATTGTCTCTTTGATCTCTTGAAGGAAACTCACTCAACTTGTCCAAACAGATTTTTCACTCCCCAAACCTGTTATTCATCTAGTGTCTTCTATCTCAGTGAATATCACCACTATTCATCTCATTACATAAGCCAGGAGATGAGGAATTCACCGTTGACACCTTTCTCTTTTTTATCTATCCCTCATATTGAATCCAGCACCATTTTAGCTCCTAAAGAGCTCTGGCATGTGTGTGATTCTCTCTCTCTCTCTCCCCCACTACTACCCTGGTCCAAGCTGCTCTGGGAACAATCTTCCTTCTGTTCCCATCCACCACACAGCAGCCAGAGTGGTTCTTCCAGAGGATAGATTTGATCATGTGACTCCACGGCTTAAAACTCTCCAATTGTTTCTTATTTAGAACAAACATGGAATTTATTGACTTGGTCTACTGGGCCCTGTTGAGTCTGGCCACTTCTAGCCTCTGTAGCCTTGTCTTAAACCACTCTTCCCATGCCCTCTCAATTCTAGCCAAGCTGATCTTCTTTTCTACACCACAGGCTCCATGCACCCCGTTCCCCCTGTCTAGACTCCTCATTCGCTTGGGTGAGTCATACTCATCTTGTAGTTCTAATTCCTTATTACTGCCCAGGCATGCCTTTCCTGGCTGGGCTGAATCCTCTCTTACAGACTCTCATAACATTGCACTGCCACTTGGTAGTTCCTCTTAAAGTTACAACTGAGAAATTTTATGTATGTGATTATTAATCTCCCTCTTCCACTAGGCTGTGACCTCTGTGGGAACAAGAACCCTGCCTACTTTTGCCCCCACTGCCAGTATAGTAGTTGGCCTTGTAGATTGAGTAGAGGTCTCCTTATTGGGGGCAGTCAGGAGTTGCTAATTTCCTCTGCATGTTTTGGATGGTGTGGTAGACTCAATCCCAGATAACTCAGTAGGGGTAACTGGTCTGAACTACCACCACCATCATCACAACCATGGGCACCTTCACCAGTATCTCATCATCATAATCACTACCACTGACACCATCACTATCATCATCATCATCCTCCTCCTCCTTGTCATTACTACCACTGGCACTCCCACCACCACTATCATCATCATCCTCATCACCACCATCATCATATCATCATCATCATCATCATATCATCATCATCATCATCACCACTCCTTCATCATCACCACTCCTTCATCATCACCATCATGGTCATTTTAGCCCTTGTGTCACAGTAAGACAAGTTGGTATTTTTGCATTATGAAACGCAGCCAGTCATTTATTAATTTCTTGGGAATATCAGAGTTCTGATAAGGTTTATCTCAGATATTGATATTACAATATTTGTTGAATTTTTAACTAAAAAAAGTGCTTTTGTTTCCTGTCTCACAGAATTGGGTCTTCAGATTGGAAAACATACAAATCCTTCCATGATTAAGACTTGGGATCTCATTCATTCATTAAACAAACATTGACTGAATGTCTATTGTGAGCCAGGCACTGTTTTAGGTGCTGGGAATACAGTGCCCCCATGAAACTTATAGAAGGAAATGAGCAACAGACAAATCAGAAGACATGTTAGGCATGTAAATGTTACAATGAAAACAAAACAGAGTGATATAATAGAGCCTGAGGAGGGTTACTTACAATTGCATAGTATGTTAGCGTTTTTGCTATGTGACAAGTGACATTAAAAGCTCAGTGGCTTGTGGCAGCAAGGATTTTTTTGAGGGCTTCTTGTTTATTTATGGGCTCCTCATTCACCTTAGACAAATTGTGACTGGCAAGTATGTGAGCCTGTACTTCTCACTGTGGTTGTCAGCAGAGTAAGTGGTTGAGTAGAACCATTAACAGCTCTTAGGACCTCAGCTCAGACCTGAGCTGAGGCCCAGTGTCCCTTACGCCCATGTTCCTCTGGCCAAAGCAAATCACATGACTGACATTAACAGAGAGAAGAAGCTGCTCTGCTCAAGGGGACAGGCACTGCAAAGATATCTGGCAAGGATGTGGATGTCTTACTGGGGAACAAAGAATTGTGACCCATAATCTAGTGTATTTCAGAAGGCTTGGGAAGCCCTCAGAGTAGGTGGCATTCGAACTAACACCTGAACAAAGAGAAAGAATCAGCCCTGTGATGATCTTGAGGACTAGTTCCAAGCAGAGGACTCAGTTGGGAGAAGGTCCTATGGCAGGAACAGACTTGAAGGAGTGGATGAAACAAGAAGAATCAAGTATGACTGGATGGGACTGAGCAAGAGGAGGCTTGGAGAGGTAGGCAGGTGCCTGGTCATATGGTCACGGTGCTCAGGTCTTGTAGGTCACAATCTGGAGTTTGGGTTTTGCAATGGGAAGAATGGTGGTGGGGGGTGGGGTGACACATCTATTTGTATTTTCAAAACTCTGGCTGTGTTTGATGTCTGTTGCTAGCAGGTAAGGCAAACAGGGCAGGCCAGCTTTGAAAACCTACATGAAGAATGACCTTAAACCTCAACGGCTTGTCTTTCTGAAAGATTTAAAGATGATCTTAGTAAACTGCAAGACAGTCTAGCCCCGGCTTTAGTCCTTCTTCCTCTTGCTGAGTGTGGACTCTGTTTCTCAGGGCTGGCCCTCTCCATGGGCCACTTGACTTGTCCTGGAGAAAGAGTGAGTTCAGGGTGGGCCCCCGATATGCTGCACACCACTCTGACACGACCTCCTAATTCAGAGCAGAAGTCTCAATAAGGAATCACTTTAGAAGAAAGGCTGTGCTTTAATTTATTGTTTTTTCCCTAAAGTTTAAACATTCTCTGCACTTGAGTGGCTGTTGCTTATGCATCTGACTTATTTAGGCAATTTGCTATTGTGTGTGTGGTCCAGTCCAGCCTGTTTCAGTAAAGTGTATGTTAGATGCTTGGAAATTCTCCAGGGAGCATTTTTTGTGTGTGTATGTGTGTGTGTGTGTGTATGTGTGTGTGTGAGAGAGAGAAGAAGGAGGAGGAGGAGGAAGGGAGGGAGAGAAAATGGATGGAGGAAAAGAAAGAGGGTGAGAAGAAACAGGGAGAGGAAGTGAGGGGAGGGGGGAGAGGGAAAAGAGGGAGAGAGAAGGAGAGAGAAAGGGGGACAAGGAGGGAGAGAGAATTCTAACTAGCATCTCAAGCATGATGTTCACAGATGAATAGTACACATTTAATTTGAAGAAACGATTCCTTTTCTTACATTTTGGCTATTGTCAGTCATATTGCAAGCACACTGACATGGTTTAAATTAGCATTGTGGAAGCAATATACTGCAGAGGAGTGCGTGACTAAATTATTAAGAGCGATCTGTGAGGATCAAGCACGAAACCATCTCAGCAAATAGAAAAACTTTATATGGTGCTTTTTGCCAGCTGTGTCCCTGGTCATTGAGCACAACATGTAACAGTTTGCCCATGGACTATTTTGGGAAAAACAGTCGTTTCATCAAGGGTATGGCTTGGGTTTGAAATTTTGTTTGGATCACTTGCCAAGAAACTGGCTTCCAAAAATCAAATATGAAAAATGTTAAGAGAATTGGAAACTAAGGCAGGGAGCTCTGCTTGCCAAATTTTAACTATTACTAACCTGTTAGAAAATATGATCGCAGGCCAGGCGTAGTGGCTCACGCCTGTAACCCCAGCTACTCGGGAGGCTGAGACAGGAGAATCGCTTGAACCCAGGAGGCAGAGGTTGCAGTGAGCCGGGATTGCACCACTGTACTCCAGCCTGGGGGACAGAGCAAGACTCCATCTCAAAAAAAGAAAAAAAGAAAAAAAATACTATCACAGGTACAACATAATGTGTTCCTGGGCTACAATTTCTGTAATGCTCTTCTAGATGAGAAATATCAGAAGATTTAAAAGTAAAAGGGCTAAAATGAAGTCTTGGCTTTGTCACTTGTGAATGGTGTGGACTTGGGCAAGGCATCTCACCTCTTTATTCTTTAGTTTATTCTGTCAACTGAGAGTGGTAGTGTGTACTTCCCAGGTTTTTGAGGAAAATAAATGAGATCATCTTTGTGAAAGGCCTCCTTAAAGTTTCAGGTGTGTGCAGATATGTATGATAACTTTTCTTCATGATATCAGTGAGCAGAAGATCATCTCTGAGCACTGTAATTATAGAATTAGGAATTAGGAAATAAGAATTTCAACATTTTTGAAAATCCCTGGGATTATTTAATTGAATAATCAAAGAAAATAGCCAGGGCAAATGTGTCAACTCCAGCCCTTGGGGAGTGATGGGAAGATGATGGGAAACAGATTGTAACCAAAAAAAAAAAAAAAAAAAAAAAAAAAAGAGAATAAATCTGCATGAAGTTTAAATATGATGTTGTTTTCAGTCACGTAAACCAATAAAGCACTTTGAACCCTTATCTTATTTTCATTTCCACATATTATAGGTCCATCAGCTTGTGATGGAGAGCGAAACACCAGGTTAGGAGCAGCTACAGGTATGGGGCACTGGGAGGGTGCTTGCCACAGATGGGGGCGGACCTGAGGCAGGTGTGAGGCCTCAATGTCAGATATTCCCTGTATCTCAAACACGCAGGAGCCCGCCAAAGCTCCTGCCTCCCAGCACGACGTAATCACTCAGGATCTGTTTATTGCATTGATGAACAAATGAATTAATGGAGATGAAAGGAGGAATTGGGGATCTAGATCAAAATCTGCTCATCCCTCAAGTCCCAGTTGATGTCCCACCTCATTGGTGTGCCCATTCCACCTGGTTGGTGTCCTCTCCACCCTGATTCTCACAGCTTCTACCATTGGCAGAATCTCTTGGGCTATTCTTTACTTCATTCGGCTCATTTTTAAGAGAAGAGGTTTTGGGTATTTTTTCCCCTACGATGTCAGTTGCCCTTTGCACTGAAGACACAAAGGAGAAGGAGCGGCGTCCTCCACTGTCATTGAGCTCACAGCCTCGAGGGCACAGAGGGTATAAAGCTCAATAACCAACATGTTCCAGTGTTATACAAATGGCCAACAAGCCCATGAAAAGATGCTCAACATCTTTAGCCACTGACAAAAAGTAAATCAAAATCACAGTGAGGCCGGGCACGGTGGCTCACACCTGTAATCCCAGCACTTTGGGAGGCCGAGGTCAGGAGTTCGAAACCAACCTAGCCAACATAGTGAAACCCCATATTTACTAAAAACAAACAAACAAACAAACAAACATTAGCCGGCTGTGGTGGCATGCACCTGTAGTCCCAGCTACTCGGGAGGCTGGGGCAGGAGAATGGCTTGAACCTGGGAGGCAGAGGTTGCAGTGAGCCAAGATCGCACTACTGCACTCCAGCCTGGGCAACAGAGTTAGACTCTGTCTCAAAAATAAAACCACAATGAGGAACTACTTCATATCCACTAGGATGGCAATAATAATAATAATAATAATAATAATAATAATAATAAAAAAAGAAAAAAAGTGTTGGTGAGGATATGGAGAATTGGAACCCTCACACACTACTGCTGGGAATGTAAAATAGTGCAGCCACTATGGAGACAGTTTGGAGTTTCCTCAAACATTTAATCATAGAATTAGCCTATGATCCAGCAATTCTACTCCTAAGTATATACCCTAAAGAACTGAAAACAGCCATTAAAGAAATACATGAATGTTTACAGCAGACCTATTTACAATAGCCAAAAGATGTGGACATCTCAAATGTCTATCAACAAATGAATAAAAATGTGGCATAGCCATACAATGGAATAGTATTCAGCCATAAAAAGGAACAAAGTGCTGATACATGCTACGACATGGATGAACCTTGAAAATACTATGTTAGGTGAAAGAAGCCAGACACTAAGGGTTACATATTGAATGATTCAATTTACATGAAATATCAAAAATTGGTACATCCATAGAGACAGAAAGATTTGTGGTTGCCAGAACTGGGGGCAGGTGGGAATGGGGAGTGGCTGCTTAATGGCTACGGAATTTCCTTTCGAAGTGATGAAAATTCTTAGAATTAACGGTAATACATGCACAACATTGTGAATGTACTTAATGCCATTAAATTGTACTTTTTTTTTTTTTTTGAGATGGAGTCTCACTCTGTCACCCAGGCTGGAATGCAGTAGCGTGATCTCAGCTCACTGCAATCTCTGCTTCCTGGATTCAAGCGATTGTCCTGTCTCAGCCTCCTGAGTAGCTGGGACTACAGGCACGTGCCACCACATCCGGCTAATTTTTTGTATTTTTAATAGAGTTGGGGTTTCACCATGTCAGCCAGAGATGGTCTTGATCTCCTGACGTCGTCATCTGCCGGCCTCGGCCTCCCAAAGTGCTAGGATTACAGATGTGAGCCACCGCGCCCACCCTAAATTGTACATTTTAAGTGGTTTTATTTTATATCAATTTTACCCCAATATATTAGTGAAAAAAAATACGGACAACTACTTATGGTTTAATGAGGACTATATGAGAAGTGTGGTCCCAGCACTGTAGGGACATGGGCGGAGAGAGACTGCCCCTGTCTAGGGGTGTTGGAAAGGACAGGTTTGTGGAAGGAGATGACCTCATCTGTAAGGATCTTGAAAGAAGGGTGCTCCACGTAGAGGGAGGTATGAGTATGGAAATGTGAATAAGCATGATTTGCTTTTGAAACATGAGACCTCTTACCTCTTGCAAGGTTGGCAAGTAGAACAGGCTAAAAATGGCGTAATGAAATTAAAAGAGCAAACTAACATTTATTGGGCATCACTATGGGCCAGGCAGCATGTTAAGGACTTTGTGTCCATTAGGTTAATTCTCCCAACAATTCTAATTTCTTTTTTTCTTTTTGTTGAGACAGAGTCTTGTTCTGTTGCCCAACCTGGAGTGCAGTGGCATGATCTTGGCTCACTGCAACCTCCACCTCCCAGGTTCAAGTGATACACCTGCCTCAGCCTCCTGAGTAGCTGGGATTACAGGATGTGCCACCACACCTGGCTAACTTTTGTATTTTTTTTAGTAGAGACAGGGTTTCACCATGTTGGTCAGGCTGGTCTCAAAATCCTGACCTCGTGATCCGCCCTCCTTGGCCTCTCAAAATGCTGGGATTACAGACGTGAGCCACCGTGCCTGGCCAACTTTAATTTCTTTTTCCAGTTTTCATCACTGATGTAGCTGGTGTGAGAGAAGGCAATTTGTCCAACGTTGTGTGGAATCTTCATTTGCACAACTATATCTAAAGAGCACACACAGAGGTGGGTGTTTGTAAAAAGATGAGCATGAGGTGTCATCCCTCCTGCTTAATGCCCCTTTATAAATTCCAACCTGCATTCAGGGATGGCAGGAGAAGCTTAGTTCTTAGAACCAAATATAAATGTGTGTGTTATCGATCTCCTGTGTGTTAGGTTACAGGAGACAGTTGTGAGATGGTGCTACTTTTTATTACAGTAGTAAAAATAGTTAAAATATGTTTAAGCAGACCTAGACCAGACTTCGGTGGGTCACAGGTTCAACAGAACACAGTTTGGAAACCACTGCTCACATTGTTTTATCAGACACTATTCAGTCTTGTTCAATCATATCATGTAAGTTTGCGAGTAGATTACAATCTTACTGTGACTCACATATGAGTCATTTCTCAGCATGTTACCTGTAATATGTGTTCAAAAATTTATTGTTCAAACACAAGGTTATTCTTTTGTCCTCAGGACTCCTGAGAGTCAAACCTGATGAGTTGATCATTTCTCCAACTCATTGTATACTTCTGTAATGTCTCTTTATGAGCAATTTCCCTTTTGACCTTTGTAACTGCTGGAAGATTCTTTATAGTTCTCCTATATCCCTCATATCATCGTTAAAATATGTTTCATTTTAGAATGATTTTAGATTTACAAAAAAATTGCAAAGATAATAGAGTTCCTGTATACCTCACACCTAGTTTCCCCATTATTGACTTTTTTTTTTTGGTAGAGTCTTGCTCTGTCACCCAGGCTGGAGTGCAGTGGCATGACCTCAGCTCACTGCAATATCTGCCTCCCGGTATCAAGCAATTCTTCTGCCTCAGCCTCCAGAGTAGCTGGGATTACACACATGTGTCACCATGCCCAGCTAGTTTTTGTATTTTTAGTAGAGATGGGGTTTCACCATGTTGGCCGGGCTGGTCTCAAACTCCTGAACTCAAGTGATCTGCCTGCCTCAGCCTCCCAAAGTGCTGGAATTACAGGCATGAGCCACCATGCCTAGCCGACATGTTTTATTAGTGTGGTACATTTGTCATAACAAATGAATTAGTATTAGTATATTGTTATTATTAAGTGCATGTGCTATTCTGATTTCCGTAGCTTTCATCTAATCTCGTTTTTTGGTTTCAGGATCCTATCGAGGATCCCACCCAGGATCTCATATCATGTTTAGCTGTCATGTCTCCTAAGGTTCCCCTTGATAGTGACAGTTTCTCAGACTTCCCTTGTTTTCAATGACTTTCCTCATTTTGATCTGAAATACTGGTCAAGTATGTCATAAAATGTCCCTCAATTGGAATTTTTTTTTTCTGATTTTTTTTTTCATGCTCAGGGTAGGGTTATGGGTTTGGGGGAGGTAAGGTGCTATTCTCATCATACCGTGTCTAGGGTACATTCTATCAACATGACTCATGGCTGTTGATGTTGACATTAACTGCCTGCTGAGGAGTGTTTGCCAGGCCTCTCTGCTGCAAAGCAGGTTACTCCTTTCCCTGCTTACATACTGTGCTCCTGAGAAGGAAGCCACCGGGTAAGGTGCACACTGGAGTGGAATGTTATGTTCCACCTCCTTGAGCTTTAGACCAGGGGTCCCCCACCCCTGAGTCACAGACCAGTACTGGTCCGTGGTCTGTGAGGAACTGGGCGGCACAGCAGGAGGTGAATGGCAGGTAGGTGAGCATTACCACCTGAGCTCCGCCTCCTATCAGATCAGTGGCAGCATTAAATTCTCATAGGAGCGCGAGCCCTACTGTGAACTGTGCATGGGAGGGATCTAGGTTGCACACTCCTTATGAGAATTTAATACCTGTTGATCTAAGGTGGAACAGTTTCATCCTGAAACCATCTCCCCACCCTCCTGATCTGTGGAAAAATAGTCTTCCATGAAACCAGTCACTGGGGCCAAAAAGGTTGGGGACTTCCGCTTTAGACCATCAAAACATTTTCTCCTTTCTGTTCTCAATGAAGGAGGGCATTTGGCCAGTACAAAGGAGAAATGTCTACCTGGGAAGTGGGGGCTGCTGTTCACTGCATCACTGACCTCTATGTGCTACATACCATTAGTGCCCCCTGCCTTCAGATGGGACAAAAGTGCCCCAAGACGTTTCCAAATATCTCCTGGGGGGCAAGATTCTCCCATCTCTAGCCTCTGGTTGAGAACTACTGCCTTACAGTAAATCGTGGTACTGAGATGACACTGCAAAGAAAGATCTAAAAGTTACATGTATGTTAAAATAGAATATTTCTTCCCCAGGCACAAAACTGGGGAATGCCCCCATTCATGAGTTAAACTTGACAGAAAACTCAGGAAATATATATATTTATTTAGTTTCAAAGTACTGCCCAATTCCAGGGACATAGAACACAGAATGAATGGTTGTGTTTTCATGCATGCAATTCATAGGATACAGCATGAATGGTGCCACCTGAAATTGTGCAAGGCAATGGCCCTGAATTTTCAATCCTAAAGACATTTCTAGCATGCTTCTCCCTTTGTGTTAGTCAGGAGGGATAAGGTTATGCATGTTAACAAACATCCACCACATTTTAGTGACTTAAAATATCTAAGATTTCTCATTCAGGCTACATGTCCTATGAGGGTCACAGATGATTCTGCTCCTTACAGATATTCAGAAACCCAGGCTGTTGGAGGCTTTGTCTTTCATGTTATTCAACAATCTTTATAGCAGAGAAAAGTGAGTGCTGCAGTATCTTACACTCATGATTATATCTTTCTGGAAGGGACAGTCATCAGACTGCACACTTTTCATTGGTCAAACCAAGCCACAAGGCTATGCCTAACTTCAAGAGACCATGAAAAAACAATCTCACCATGTACCTGGAAGGAGGTGACTCAGGGTTCTTGTGAACAGCCCTAATAACCATCACAGCTTTGAAATTACAAAACATGGTACTATCATGACTAAGCTGTTATGGAAGAATCAATATATAAATAATTCATCGGATGCCATCCTGCCTTCATGACAAGACCTCAAAAATATTTGTGGAATAAAATGGGCATCTCAAAACATCCAGAATTTTTTCAGGGAGAGAAAAGTTACAAAAGGAGTCATCAGCATAGCAGATGTTTCAACCAAGTCTAAACCAAGATTTGGGGTTTGTTTGGGTTTACAACTGTGTCATGACTTAATATCCCATGGCTAAATATAATGTCTTAATATTTATCCCCATTGGAGAAAGTGGTGGAATCGGAGTTTGGTGTGAAGGTTTCTCTACGTGTGTCTTTGGGAGGAAGGTTGGAGATGGTAGTGACCCACCCCCTCCTTCCCAGCCTGCCTCCATGGACCATGAGGTCTGAGCCCTGGTGAGAGAGAAAGCTGCAAACGAAGAGCTGAAGGAGCTGTTTCAACAAAGCACTTGTAAGATTCTGAACATCAGTAGTGTGGCTTAGGTGCTTTGATGGTGATGGACCACTGTAGACTGCAGAAGAAGAGTCACCTCCTCCTCCCTCTGTAGATATGCAATTAGATCCCTCAGAGTGGGTGTGACATCACCCTGGCAGTGAAGGGGAAGGCATGACAGATGTGCCTTCCTTAGGGAGAAGTAGGAAGGCTGGAATGAGGAGGTAGGTGACATGCTCCTGTGGTCTCTTGGAAATAACTGCAGAAAACCAAGGCAGAGGGCTGATTTCTTGCAGAGAAGCAGGTGAAGTTTAAGAGTCAGCAGAATCTGGGCATTAATTTAATATAATCTCATTTATATCCAAAGACTTATGAAGCCTGGGGAAACTCCAGTTATGAGACAAAGACAGATTTTAAAGAGCACATGGAAGGAAGGGACCGGGCTAAAACGCTGGCTGATAGGAAGCTCTGTTAGTGGGAGCTCAGTAAAAGGGTTATTTAGGTGTTTTAGGTTTTGGTTCTCCTTGGGCTTAATAGCTTTTGCCTGCTATTGAATCCCAGTGCTTATGATAATATGGAACTTATGTTAAAAAAAAATGAGTCTAGGGGAGTTTAAGTACTGTATTGTCAAACTAAAGTATCGTTTAGAGACAGTATGTGTGTATATAAGTGTGTGTTTGTGTGTAGAAACACATATAACTACCACTGAGGTATGTTTGTACTGCAGTATATGTGTGTGAAATTATCACTATGGGCATGTCTTGGCTTATGCATATTTGCTTAATGTGTACCTTTCACTTACAACCCTTCATAAACATAGGTACCCTGCTGTTTAGAAGAGTGTGGTTTGGGACGTGGGGCAGCACCCTGGGCTATCATCCAGCAATGAAGTGAGATTGCTTGTCTCCTGGGAATGGTGAAACATTCCCTTCTCACCCACCAGGTTTCCAGGGCTAAAGTGTTGTTTGTGATGATTTGATGTTTATTCATGTGGTAAGGTTTATTTTTGTTAAGTGCCTGTGAGTCAACAGCTATACTATACTCTACCAGGAGAAAGCAGCCCACTCTCTAGCATACATCTTTCAAATTTACTTGGGTGAAGAAGGAAGACCCCAAAGAAATGTCTTTGAAGTCATCTGCCTCCAGAAGAAAGATTGATTGATGTTTGTCCTCAGAACTACCATTGTTGATGTGCACAACAACCCAAAATAAAATTTGCAACATAATGAACCTAGGTTGATGGGCTAGGAGAAGAAGGTGAGGATAGAGGCAGGTGGGGACAGGCACTTTTTTTGTTCAGTGAAAGATGTAAGTATTGTTAAGATGAAGAAATAGACGGGGAGAATGTAACTACGGATCTTAACAAGTTAGGAGCAACTACCAGAAAACAAAACTAGAATGTATAAGTTCCTCACAGGTGGAAAGTTTACCCAATGGAAAGCAAGAAACAAAAAGAAAAAAATACACAAAAGAAAGTGTAATAAATAGAGAAAAAAGTAAAATAAGATGGCAGAAGTAAATCCTAACATAACCATAATTGCAATACATATAAATTGACCCATCAAAAGACAGAAATACTCAGATTGGATACAATATTAAGATCCAGCAATATTTTGTCAGTAAGAGAGTAGTGATGGACGGCAATCTGGTTAGGGTAATAACAAAAGGATAAAAAAAATTACAGTTGACCCTTGAACAACATGGGTTCGAACTACATGGGTCCACT
The DNA here is from genome assembly GCF_000001405.40 of Homo sapiens. Lineage (NCBI taxonomy): Eukaryota > Metazoa > Chordata > Mammalia > Primates > Hominidae > Homo > Homo sapiens. The sequence goes on along the minus strand of NC_000010.11, from coordinate 121,321,386 downwards.
TATGCACTGAATTTTTAAAATAAAAGTTACACTGAATGTGCCTGCCTCTCCTGCCTCCCTTCCACCTTCTCCACCTCTTCTGCCCCGCTTCCACCTTCTCCACCTCTTCTGCCCCTTCTGCCCTTTCTGCCTCTGAGGGGCAGGACCAACCCCTCCACTACCTTCTTCTCCTCAGCCTATCTAACATAAAGATGATGAGGATGAAGACTTTTATGATGATCTACTTCCATTTAATGAATAGTAAATATATGTTCTCTTCATTTTCTTAATAACATTTTCTTTGTTCTAGCTTAAAGAATACAGTGTATAAAACATATACAAAATATACATATACAAAATATGTGTTAATAGCCTGTTTCTGTTATAGCTAAGGATTCCAGTCAACAGTAGGCTATTAGTAGTTAAGTTTTAGGGAAGTCAAAAGTTACATGTGGGTTTTTGACAGCGTAGGGGGTCAGTGCCCCTAATCCCTGGATAGTTAAAGGACCAACTGTAGTAGGGAAATGTGAACCACAAGAAAGCCATGATAGCAATATTTATATCTGATGAAATATGATTAAAAACAAAAATCATTTAAGGGCAAAGAAGGATGTGACATATTTATAAGTGTAGCAATAGAATAATATATAATCATAATGAACATAAATGTACCTGATAATATTGTCTTAAAAATATGTAAAATGTCAGTCAACTATGGGAAGAAACGGGTAAGTCAACAATTGTGGACAGAAATTTTAAAACAGCTTTCTCAAACTGATAGGTTAAGCAGACCAAAGACAAGCAAAGATATAAAAGATCCGAATAATACAATAAGTGGAGAAACCAGTAGATATGTATGGAATTCTATGCCCAACAAACAGTAAAGGTACATTTTATTTTGAGAATGGATTATTCATAAAACATTTACAATTTACTAGGCTACCAAGAAAAGTTCTATATTCCAAAAAGAATCCTGTTTAATATATCATATGTTCAATGATAAAGATGCAGTAAAATAAGGAATCAGTTGCAACAGAAAGCTAAAAAGTAACCCATGTACCTGAAACCCAAATAACTTGGTTAAACAATGATTAACAGAAATGATGAAATATTTAAAACTAAACACAATTTTTTTTTTTTTTTTTTTTTGAGATGGAGTCTCGCTCTGTCACCCAGGCTGGAGTGCAGTGGCGTGATCTTGGCTCACTGCAACCTCCATCTCCTGGTTTCAAGTGATTCTTCTGCCTCAACCTCCTGAGTAGCTGGGATTACAGGCACACGCCACTACGCCTGGCTAATTTTTGTATTTTTAGTAGAGACAGGGTTTCACCATGTTGGTCAGGCTGGTCTCAAACACTTGACCTCATGATCCTCCTGCCTTGGTCTCCCACAGTGCTGGGATTACAGGTATGAGCCACTGTGCCCGGCCCAGAAATGTTTTAAAAACTATCAAAATTTGTAAGACAGCTAAAATAGTAACCAGTGGAAAGATATAGCTTTAGACACATTTATTTGAAAGCAACAAAGACCAACAACAAATTATTTGTGTTCAAATGAAGAAGTTGGAAAAGGAACAAATTCCCCCCAAATTTTGTTCCCCAAAAAGAACAAAATTTATTATAGAGATATAATAAATTTATGATAAAATTTAAGGTACACTAAAAATAAGATTAATAAAACCAAAATCTAGTACTTTGAAAGCATCAATAAGAGAAGCACTTTCTGGCAGGACTGATCGAGAGAAAGAGAAAATAAGCAAAATTACAGAATGAAAAAGAGGGAAATAAAATAGACACAGCTGAGAAAAATATTATGGAAGAATATTATGAAAAACTATCCAATATATTTGAAATCTACATGAAATGGAAACTTTCAAGGAAAGTTTTCCATGAGAACTATATTTCTGGAAAAATACAAAATGCCAAAAATAGTGAAAAACTGGAAAAATTTAATAAACCAATAAACAATAATGAAATTAAAAATGGTGATAAAGCTCTTTATTCCACAAAAGCCCCAGATCCAGTGGTTTTATAAGTAAATTCCACCAGTGTTAGAAAATAAACAACTCTGGGAAATAGGAAAATGATGAAACATTAGAAATTATTTTATGAGATTATTGTATTTTTTATTGCAAATTCTGCCAAGGACAGTACAAAAGGCCAATGTGATTTTTGAACATATAGGTAAAAAATGCAAAATGAAATATTAGCTAATGAAATTTTAGAAAGTGAAAGTAACAAACAGATGATCATGGAGGGTTTAGCCAAGAAAAGCAAAGATGGTTCAACCTCAGAAAATGTATTGCTAAATTAATCCACAAAAGAAAAATATCTTGATCATCTTAATAGATACAGAAAAAGCATTTTTATAAAGTTGAACATACATTTATGTTAAAAGTCTCTTAGCACACCATGCCTAGAAAAGGACCTTTTTAATGTGGTAAAGATTTATGCCCCTAACCTACAGTAGACAACATACTTTAGACTTTGAAATCATCTCCTTTAAGATTAGAAACATATGCTGCTGCTACTTAATACAGTATCAAAAGCCCTGGACAATTCTAAGATAAAAACAAATAAAACAATGTCAGTCTAATGGTTGGGAGGAAGAGTATTAAATTGTCATTTGCTGATGATATCTCAATGGAAATCTGTCAAAATCAGGAAAATGATTAGGGAGCTCAGGAAATCTGCAAGACACAGATCAACTTGGAAGCATTAATTACATCTCTCCCTACCACCAGTAACCAGTAAATAAAAGACAAGATGCCTTCATAATGGCAACAAAAATTATAAAATATCTAGAAATTAACAAGGAATACATAGTATCTATGGACAATATTTTAAGAAAATGTGAATAAAAGGCAAACTGTACCATGTATATAAATGGGATGCTTTAAGATGATAAACATGCCAATTCTCTCTATACTAATGTACAGTTTCAGGGTGATCCAGAACAAAATTCCAGTGGATTTAGGAATGAATGTAAGAAAGCTATTCTGTATACAGAAGAGTATAGGTCCATGAATAGCTAAGTTACTTTGGAAAAGAAGCAAAAGAAGGCAAATTTCTGTGATCAGATATTAAGATAGAGTATGCAACTATAGAACTAAAAACTATGTGTTAGTGGTACAAGAACAGAGAAGTAGACCAATTGAACAGAAATAATTTATAACTGATACCTAGATACATGGCAGCTTGAGATGATAAAGGTCAATGGGCAACAGGACACATGATTTAATAGAAGGTGTTAAGAAAATTGGCTCACAATACAAAGAAAAACAAAGCTTAGAGCCCTACCTTACACCATATACAAAGTAGATTCTTGATGGATGGAAGACTTAAATGTGAAAAGTAAAACCAGAATGCTAATAGAAGAAAATATAGGACCTCCAGGAAAAGAAGAACTTTAACATGACCTGAATAGAACAAACCATTAGGTGAATAATTGATGATTCTGATTACACAAAGCGTAAAGACTTTTGTTTTAAAAAGACGATATAGAAAAAGCTAACAGACAGATGAGAGATTAGGAAAATGTATTTGCACTGCCCAGGACCAACGAGATAACAATATCTAGAATGTAAGGGACTCTGCTGATACACAAGAAAGAGAAAACTTTAAAAATTATGACCAAAGGATATGAACAACAGTTCCTAGAAAGGAAATGTGAATGGCTAAAAATATATATAAAGAGATGCTTAAACTCTCAGTAACACTCAGATAAATGCAAATTAAATTAAGAATGGGAAAACATATTCTACCTATTTTAATTGGTAAAAATTATATCCAATTTATATCCATGGGTTAGCAGTACATGGGATAAAAGAAACCTTTGTGTCCTACTGGTGGGAATGGGAACTGATCCGGTATCCTGGAGAGCAACTGAGGCAGGGCTTACTTAAATGGTTGTTTCTGCTAAGGACTCAGAATTCCACTTATGGGTAATCTCAGAAAAAAAAATCCTTGCATAAATCTAGAGGAAGACATGGATGCACATGTTTGCTGCTTACTGTTTGTGTCATAAAGGAAATAGAGTTAACCTGTGGTCCATTTGAAGGGAAATCATTCAGTAAAATGTAGTGGATGGGCGTCATGAAGTAAAACCCAGTAGATAATAGCAACAGGGACAGATCTCTCAAGCATACCACTGAATTTAAAAGGGGAAAAATGCGATCCTTAGTCCAATGCCATTTATATAAATTTAAAAATATATATACACACAAAACAATTCTACATTATATAGGGATACCTACAAATTTGAGGATACATATTAAATGCATTAGAACTGTTGCCTGTGTGGGGAGGAGATTGGGAGTAGTGGATTCGAAAAAAAAAAAAGTCAATACACAAGTAAAGTAAGAGAGCAAACTTCCCTGGACCAATGATGATACTAGGCCATAAACCCAGGCATAAGATAAACTCAGTCATCTGCATTTGACATCTAGAAAGCAATGACTCTACATTTGTACATTTCTGTCCATGTATATGTTCTTTCTTTTTTTTGCCACCAAACATGGACAACTTAAAATGAGAGGTTTTTAAACTTTGAAGTCATTATTGAAAGAACTAAATTTCTGGTGGTTGTAATTTGGAGGAAACTAGTGGTCTACATCCTTCATTTAGAGAGGTCAAGTCTAGTGCTCATCACCTGTTCCCAGCACCAGGTTTTACTTGGCCTCCCATTTTTCCTACAGAAAAATTCCGTGGAGACCTTCTGTTTTCAGAATCAAGGCTTTAGGGCCGGCACTCCCACCCCCACCTCACCTACACAGACTTTCTGACTTTGATTGATGCTTTTCCTCTCATCAAGCTGCATCAGTTATATTAGCAACTTTATGGGCTGATATCTGACCCCCTGGCAATCCCTCCCGACAAATGTATGTTGTCACAGGCAACCAGGTCCTCAGACAATGTCCAGGTTTCCCAGATAATAACTTCTGAAGATTTATTTTTTTTCATTAAGATTCTGTTAGTTTCCCTAAATTTTATTTGTAACATGGTAGAAAGCAGATTAATTGAAAGTCAGTGACTTTCTCTTCTGAGATGGCCTTTATCCCCTCCTAAAGTAAAAAAATAAGTACTTATGGGGCCTCTGATAGGCTAGCTCTTCTAACTCCTGCCTTAAGCTTAGGTTGCAATTATCCCAGTGTCCTATTTTCAGAAAACCCTTGGACCTAATATTTTCCCACCTCCATTTGGCCCCCTCATGAGGGTGCTTCCATTTTATAGTGACCCCACATCCTCTACCCTGCAGGTTTCAGCTTCGGTTATTATTTTGTTCTGTGAGGACACAGAGCATCTGGAAAAGCACCTTTGTTCAAACAAATGTTCATGGTCCTGAAGCCTACTAATAGTTCCCCAAGCAATCTTTATTTCTTTCCCTAATCAATTTCTGTTATATCAACTTTGCAAATCATGATACTACTGTGGAAGGTTGCAATTCTAGGTATTTAGCAGATTTCCTAATAACAACCCCATTCGTTACTGTGGGCACACATGGAGTTCGTCATCATATATACTGCATCTCAAGAACTCAATGTTTTTCTTATAGGTCTGGTGTTGACTTAGCCTCTGTCATTCAAGTAAGGTCAGTAGTAGGAGATGCTATTTCACAACAAATTGCCAATCTCCCGAGTAGTAGAAATGTGTCATTAAGGCAGAATACTCCATCTATTAAAGTATTAAACTTTGTTATTTCTCCCTATGTCAAGTTCAGGGGTTGTAGAGGTCAGAGCCTTTAGTGAACACACTTATGTCATATGGGCCTTGGGTAGAGTCATTGAGAATCTTGACAGTTTCCATTTCCATTTGTCATAAGCACATCTTTGTATCTAATTACATTTATAAAAATATATAGAGGAGAGGGTGTTTGAAAGGCACCCTCTCCTCTATTCAGTTGGGAGGCTTTGAATAAATTAATTCACCTCTCTAAAAAGACTTAGTTTCCTACCCTATGAGGTGAGGATTCCCTCATTCATTTAGCAAGCACTTATTAATAACTACTATGTGTGAGGCAGATGGTAGGTGCTTGGAATGGAATTGTTAACAAGAGAAGCAAGGTCACTTCTGTTGTGGAACTTATATTCTTGCTAAAATTTAAAGTAAAAACAAAACAGAAGGCTGGGCACGGTGGCTCACACCTGTAATCCCAGCACTTTGGGAGGCTGAGGCGGGCGGGTCATGAGGTCAGGAGATCGAGACCATCCTGGGTAACACGGTGAAACCCCGTCTCTACTAAAAAAATACAAAAAAATTAGGCAGGTGTGGTGGCAGGCGCCTGTAGTCCCAGCTACTCAGGAGGCTGAGGCAGGAGAATGGCGTGAACCTGGGAGGCGGAGCTTGCAGTGAGCCGAGAATGCACCATTGCACTCCACCTGGGCAACAGAGCAAGACTCTGTCTCAAAAAAAAAAAAAGTGATACAGTGCAAATATAATAATACTTATAGTGCAGTTATAAAACTTATCCAATGGAGATGTTGCAAGGGTCAGAGACATGCACCTCTGTAGTTCTTGGTACACAGTACGTGCTCAATAAATGGTAACTACTTGGGTTGAAAGAAGAACCATAGTTAAAGGCTGTCACTTTTTCCATCCTTGTTGAGATACCAGTGGGCATCACGGTGAGGATGCTGCCAACAACCTTAAAATGGTGCTGGCGTGCCCATTGAAACTTTTTCATGGTAAAGTGTTAGGAGAGAAGTTCTACTGCCCGTTGGCTTCCTAAGACAGAGTAAGAGTGAGTGGGGACAGGTATGGAGGTAGGTAAAACTCTACCAGTCTGTGTAGTAGATCCCACTTGGCACCTACCCTCTCACCCTACCTACTGCACTGTACCCAGAGGAGGCACTGGGATTATTTCCCAGCAAGTGTCAGAACAGTGCGTGGCCATGGTTTGAGGCTCGCTTATGATTAAATCGATGCATGCGTGCAGCAGGGTGGGCAGGAGGGAGAACAGGGAAGCATCCCCTGGGCCAGTGCCCTTCCTCTCAACTCGCTGAGAATCGTGGGCAATCCATTTCATCTGGCCCAGCCTCTGCTTCCTGGAGCTAATAGTAGGGAATCTTTTGGAACTCCTCCAGTTGAGACATTACAATTCTAAATTCAAGGAGATTCTCATCTTCATCCCTGTAGGACTCATGCTTTGGAAAGGAAAAAAGCTCCTCTGATGGTTGGGATTGAATGGGCCTCGCCATTCACCATGGCCTGGACCAGTCTGTCTAGAGCCTTGACTCTTCCTCTGTATTGTGCAGAAGCTTGGCTCAGGTTCTCTGCTTTATAAAACAACATCCTTTGTAGCCACTTGGTAGACTGAGTCTATCTCTGTTTGCCATGCTTTGTGGTCCTTTTGGAAGGGACTGTGAAATAGGATTGAAAGGCACGTAGAAGGAAGAAAAATAGAGGTGGTGTGGCTCCACAAGTCAGCAGAAATCAACTTTGAATTTCAGAACTACTCAGTGGAGCAAAAGCCAAGTAATTGGAAATAAATCAAGATGACTGAACACATTTCAATATTATCCTTATTTAAATATTTGTTACATTCATTACAGCACCGAGGCCTATTGACCTTTTCCTGGGGACGCTGATTCTTGGGTTGTTGGCTTTCGTTTCCCTAACATAACTAATCACTTGAACTCCCTGGCATTGCTCTTGGCCATAAAGCTCGCAGGGTAGATATGTGGGGGAGACTAATGCCTTCCCCGGCTGCTGATCTGTGCCTGAGCTGGCTAGGTCTGTGAGCCTCGAAGGTCCAGGAAGCCAACACAAACACGCTGATTCCCCTGAACTCATTAAAAAGAGTTTGGTTGGGTTAGAGAGAATTCCAATTATTGCTCCTGGAAAACACAGCCGGGTCTAACAGTTCAGATATGTGACAACAGACTGGAAGCGAGTGTTCCTTTTTCAGAGAAACAAAATGTTGACTCTTGTAGGAATCCTATGAGAGAGAGATTTTTAAATACTCAGCACAAAAGATCTTCAGGTTGGGTATTCTGACCGGTACCTGGGATGTGAAGAAGGTAAATTCATTAACCAGATTGTATTTCAGGCCAGAAGAGGAATGTCCTACGTGAACGTGATTTAACAGCTCCATCGCCTGGGGCCACGTGGAATTCTTGAAGCAGCTGTGTCAGACATCCGAGTCAAGTTGGGGCATGAGTGACCTCTCAACATCTAATGGAGCATTTACTCCTTGTAAGTTTATCCTCTAATTTTTAAAAAATAGTGTTTGCCGACATACAGCCTTCATTAAGCTGCCAGAGACTTAAGATAATCGCAGGAAGCTCTGCACAGATAAACCCAACATGGTAGTCAGGGAAGAATGGCACTTAGTCAATTAAATCATTAATGGATATTTGAAATGCCTTCATAATGGGGCGCCAATGCAGTCCACACATTAAAATAAAGGAGAAAACATCTTATCTCATTCCATGGTTCTTGTTGGGGCCAGAAGATTCTCCCTTGAACTTAACTCTGTTTATAGATGGCAAGGAGCGAGGTTTATTTGAACTGGTTTTGTTTTGAGTTTGTGTGGGTTTTTCCTCTCAGCTACAGAATGTGTTCTCTGAGTTTCTGCATCTCTGAGCCTGGTTTTTCCTTTCTGTAGCAGTGCCAGAGTTTATCACCGCTCACTTCTGGATCGTGTTAATGCTGCAGTCACTTCCTGTCTGCAAAACAATCATTACATTCACCAGAGTTCTGGGTGTTACAGGCCACGTGGGGGATTGTTACGCTGGGGGTTGTTACCTGAAATGGCTAAAAAAATGTTTGTAAAAACTTACAATAAGATGCTCACACTGTTTGGAGAGAAATATTGTTCTAAGTTAAAAACGTGCCCATCAAATAAATGGGAAGAATAAAGCAGACCTCTCAACACCAAATGGGGACGCTCGATTGTACCTAAGAGTGCAGTGTGGAGCCATCTCTCTCTGCCTCACTGCAGTGGGAATTAGCTTATAGATAGTGGGCGTGAAATAACAAAGTAAGTCAATTAACATAAAGCAATGGTTCTCATATTTTGGCAAACATCAGAATCACTGGGAGAATGTATTAAATCTTGCATTGAGCACCCAGTCTCCCCAGAGTTTCTGGTTCACTTGGGCATGGGTAGGATGGGCTCAGAGAATCTGCATGTCTAACAGCTTCCCAGGTGATGCTGCTGTCACTGCTGGTCCAGGGAGCACATTCTGAAAACCACTAATATTACATAAAAGGCACAAAGGGCCTTGTCAGTTGAGGTCAAAAGGGAAGGGGACTGAAATTCCATGCTGGACATAATCCTTCGATTCTCTTGTCCTGTTTGAAGGAGAAAATATCTTATGAAAGATAATTTTGTTGTTGTTTTAAACGTGAATGCAGACATTCCTGGCTTTGTGGAAGAGAACAAAGCGATCTCTATACAAATGAATCCTGTTTGCTTCCTGATCTTTGCTATACAGTCAGGGACGTATTCCCTTAAAGTGAAATTCCCTGGGAGAGCAAAACAGGAAAACTTAGGTAAGAAAGAGACTTAACGATGTTATGCTCATGGCAGTCTGGTGCAAGATCCCGGGGTTGGTGCATTATCTTCTTAATACTGTGACCTCTCCTTCCAGCCTCTTGATGCCTGTTTATTCTGCCTCAATGCTTGCCACTTCCCTTATCAATAGAAATTTCTCCTGTTTCTGTAGATTGATTCTTTATGACACATCATAGAATTTAACTCTTCACTTGTCTATGAGTTTGTGAATGCCTGACACTAGTAGACATTTAATGGATGACTTCATTTGTAGAAAGCAGCACCTCAGTCTTTTGCCACTCCTTGAGAATGCTTTAAATTTAAGTCCTCATATTATGTAAAGTAAATTAGTGCCCTGGGTTATCAATCCCCAAACATAAAATTGCCCAGAAAATGCATTTATGATCAAGGTGAAACTTGTGGCAATTTTCACTTGCCAGTGTTTTCAAGTAAGAACAAGTAAGAAAATCATGCAATGGTGAAACCAACAGATAATTGTACTGCTTAATTATCTTTTTTTTTTTGAGACGGAGTTTCGCTCTATCGCCCAGGCTGGAGTGCAGTGGCGTGATCTCAGCTCACCGCAACCTCTACCTCCCGGGTTCAAGTGATTCTCCTGCCTCAGCCTCCCGAGTAGCTGGGACTACAGGCGCGTGCCACCATGCCTGGCTAATTTTTTTTTTTTGTATTTTTAGTAGAGACGGGGTTTCGCCATGTTTGCCAGGATGGTCTCGATCTCCTGACCTCGTGATCTGCCCACCTCAACCTTCCAAAGTGCTGGGATTACAAGCATGAGCCACCACGCCTGGCCTTAATTATCTTTTTAAATTGATACTCAGGAGTTCTACTGGGAACAATTTGAAACAGGAGTTGTCTATGCTTCCAAAATTAAGTGGGGGGATGGGAGGGGAGGAGGGAGGGAGGGAGGGAGGGCACGCACTTATGAATTATTTCCTTGAAAAAGTTTGAAAGGAATTCGCAAAATATAAATGATTCATTATCTTAGTGATCCAAAACATGTCAGCAAGTGTGTCGGGAATACATATCATATTCTGAAGTTGTCATTAAATATTGGATTGAGCTATAGATAAAATCACGCGTCTCTGACTGAGGCTTAGCAATTGGAAAGGAGCAAGAGTCAGATATAGCTGAGGGTAACTTTTCCTGTGCAAGGCAGAAAAAAAAGGAAATTAAGTAAGGCTTTTCTGTCACTTCAGGGTTCCCTCTTTGGCCTGAAAGACTTATCAGCTGCTGGCACTTCTAAAGACTACAGCAATTGTCATTTTCCTCCCTCCGTTGTTATTTGCTTTTTTATCTCCTTTTCATCCCTGCCTCTTCTCTGCTCTGTCTCTTTTATAGAAGGGCTGCCATGAAGCTGGCCTCCTGGCTTTCCTCCCCTGTCCCTGCAGGGAGCCACATGTGACAATCCTCCCTCACTGCCCTATCCACCTGTTCTGAATAGTCTCACCCATAACGCCTTGGGCTCCCCGTGCTTCCTCGTAAATGTGCTCAAAAGGATAATTGTGGTTTCTCAGTTACAAGCTCGATATGAGGTGACAGTTTAGTGGTCAGTCCAGCTGTAATGGGAGTTAAAATTATCCACGCTTGTCTGCACTTGTGCTTACCCAACTGTACAGCTCTACCTTTTTCCGGCTGATTTAGCCTTCTGTCCCCTGTGGAGCGTACAGCCTGAATCCCTTGGCCTGCTCGGAAACTGGCTCCCTTTGCCTTTAGGAGTTTGTTAGGCCACAGGGATAATGAAGAGGTCTGGTGTGTTCAGATTTATGTCTTTGATGCATTGCAAGAAACCATTGTTTTTAATGTGACAAAATAACTACTTGTTCCCCTCGTAGGAGGAAAAGTATTTTTAAATTATATTCTCTTCTCTGAGTGAGTTCCTTCCCTATTTGACCTCCAAATTTTGCTCGAGGTAAAATTTCAATCTTTGAATAAACCTCGTTGTGTAATTATTATCTGGTTAAGAAGAACACAGGAAGAAATGGAAATATTATTAAGAGGTCTATGGATTCGTGAAGTTATTAGGAACTTTGTGGTTTCCAATACTGCCCTTCAGATTCCAAGAGTGATCATGCTTAGGCTCAAAGTACAGTACTGTCTCAAAGATTCTTCGAGGAGGAATATTTTCCTAAGTTAGAGAAGTGCAGACTTTAAGCAGCTTCAGTGTGTGCCGTCCAAATGGGTTCCCTTATCTTCCTCATTCATCTGTTCAACTGCACTTTTCTTCTGGAAATCCAATGTGAATTTTAATCAGGAAATGAGAAGCGGCACAGGGTGCAGTTTGTGGATTAAGCCACATTGACTCCCTGAGTAGGAGAAGCCTTAGTGATTTTGCAGAATGTATTTTCGCTATAGCTTTATTAGGGCTTTGTGTGTAATATCCTGGAATCTCTGGATGAACATAGCCCCGAATCCTTCCAAATGTTTTCCAAGGCAGCAATCCTCCAATATTTTCTCACTTTCTCAAGAAAAGAAGTCAAATTGCCTTGTGTGATATTCATTCAGTTAGTCATAAGACATACCATGTGTTCAACATTGTGCTAAGCAGTGAAGGTACAGGAATGAGTCAGACAGTTTCTACCTCCAAAAAATTTGCTTTCTAGTGTTCTGGGATGCAAGATGGAAGAGGATGTACAGGGAACGGTTGTCCCCTTCCAAAGAGGAAATGGACAAACCTAGTTTGAAATGGAAAAGTTGGGTTGGAAAATTTCCTAGAGAGGCTGATTATGTCATGAAAGATGAGACAAGGAGACAAGGAGTGGCTTGCCAGGTGAAGGGGCAGGATGAGCAAAAGCTTGGAGCCTGAAGTCACCTGGTGTGTGCAGGGAACAGCAGGGAACCTAAAATATTGGATCATGTGTCTATTTGGTGAAGGTGGCTGGAGAAGTAGTGGGGGGGTCAGAGAGTGGACAGCCTTGGATGCCATACTCATGAACATTTCTTACTCTGTAAGTTTGAGCTGCTGAAGTGGCAAACAATTATTTGTGCACTTAGTAGAAGAAGAAAGAAGATTTTCCTTTCAGTAGAGATCTTATATCCTCTTTCGCTCTAATGAAACACACAGTCTATTTTAGGTTAATCTATAAACTAGAGAAAACACAATCAAAGTCAGAATGCATTGCATCCCCCTCCTCCACACACACTGGAATTCCAAAAATAGAAGTTGCATTTCTGTCGGATTCTCTGTGCTTCCAACGCTGCCTGTGTCAGGAGTGAGAACTATGTAAAACTGAGAGCAGTGGCTGTAATTATAATGGAAGCTGATGCATCCTTCATGGGCTTGATCTCAACGTGCCTTGATGGGGCCGAAGCCAGTCTGTTTCTACGCATAGTTAGAGCCTGGCTCCAATTCTAGCAGATTTAATAGCTCTTCATTTATTTTTCCAGTCTTCAACAACATGCTTCTATATAATTGTCTTCACATCCCATTACCATTTTCTTGAATCTTCCCTGAAGAGGAAAACCAACACACCAACCCAACATTCTGGCTAAACATTGGCAGATGCCTTGTAAAGAAGTTTTATAAAACATACATTAAGCAATTCAGCTGAAAACCTGTTGTAACAAGCTATTTGATTTTAATGAACTATCCCCACTGAAGGGGTTTTGTCATATTTACACTAGGTCTTTCACTAACTAGTCTCTTTGTAAGTCCAAAAAAGAAAAAAAAAAGGCGAGTCACTGCCCAGGAGAAAGACAGAAACACAAAGGGCAACATTCCTTGCTTGAAGCTATGCACTGTATACACAGTAGATGAATGAAGAAAGGATATGTGAACCCTCAAGTCCAAACTCTCTGTCTGTCAAGAGTACTCTCATGTGGTTGAGGATTGGCCAGGCCATGGAACCCAACAAGAGATGCAACCACAAACAGCACTGATGCTTGCCTCATATTAGTGGTCTTTCGATATTGGTTTGATACTTTATCGTAATTCACTGTATATGAGAAAAATAGTCATTCAGAAGTTAAAAATCACGTTTTGAGTTTTTTCTTTGAGAAGGTAAGTGTCTCCCTGGAAGCAGTATTATTCCATCCATCACTCAGTTATTAGTCATTAGCAGCAGAATCAATGGTATAAACCTAGTGACTCAACACTCCTGGGGTTGAATTCAGCCCAGGGATGGGTTCATTACTTACATAAAAAGGCAATGGTTCTGGAATGGGCATTGGTCATGGTTCTTGTTATGTTTCCTATCAAGGTGTGTATCTTAGCAAGAGCTGACTCTCTTAGCAGGAGGCCATCAGTCTCTTTCTAGTTTATACAAGGAACAACATTCCAGGCACGCAGCCAGTTGAATAGGGGTCTGTGTTATACATGGTCTCAGCACCCAGGGAAGCATTTGTGTATGTAGATGTAAATTTCTGTACATATACACAAACTGTGCCTTGGCCTTAGTGCCCCTGAAAATAGACCCTTAGACAAAGATTTGTATGCAGATGGCTTATTGAAAAAGTGGTCCCAGGGAGCAGAAGGGAAGGATGGAGTGGAAAAGGGAAGGAGGGCAAGTCAGTAAAGAGATATATGTTACTGAGTTGATCACTGTGTAGTCAATGGTGACTGAGGCACCATCCTAAGGGGTTTCCTAAGGAGCCTTAGGAAGTGTGCTCAAAAATGTCTGCAGAAGCAATGTGGAGGGATGCATCGGCCTACCAGCTCCCCATCTGGCACTAGCCAAGGTGATCACATAGGCTGTAACTCACCTGCAGTTCCTGGATGTACATGCATGTGCTGGGTCCCACCCCAGGGCATCAGAGAAGGACCAAGGCAGAAAGAGGTATGAGGTTAGGGAATGATTAGGCACCATTAGGCTGCCCCTAAGTGCAAGTGGACTGCGCCTGCACTGAACTGATCATTGCAGAGGTACCTGGAGTAAGAGGTTGAACGAGAAGATTTCAAGAGGTTCGCACTCAGGAGGTGTCTGACACTTGCCGTAGTCTATCCAGTGCCTTCCAAGATGTGCAGTCACTGGGATTTGTGGTTGGTTAATGTCATCATTATATCCTGCCTTGGTCTAAGACTGCAAATTAATTGAAGAGAAACGCCCTGCCACCTCCCCTGGTCTGGGTGAGGCCTTTGTTTTCTGGCGAGATTCTGTTCTCTAAGGTTATAAGAGCTCTCTTAGAGATCTATCCGTAGTCTTGGCCTAAAATAGAAAAGATAATTTTTCCCCAATGCTTTTTAAAAATTGAAGTATAATTTACATTTAGTGAAATGCACAGATTCCAAGTATTTAGTTCTGTCCGTTTGGACAAATGCAGATACTCATGTAACCCACACCCCTGGTAAGATATAGAATATTTCCATCAGTCCAGGAAGTATCCCTGTACCTTTTCCCAGTCAACCCCACCACCCACTCTGGAAGCAGTCACTGCTTTGATTTCTATCATCATCTATTAATTTTCTCATGTGAAAAACTCCATATAGATGCAGCCATCTGGTATGGACTATTTTGTGTCTGGCTTCACTCAACATAATGTTTTCACTCAGTACTCAATATAATGTCTTGGGAATTCATCCATATTGCTGCATGTTTCTGCAATTTGAACCTTTTTATTGCCGTCTAGTATTCCATTGTATGAATCTACCACAATTTGTTTATCCTTTCTACTGTTAATTGACACTTGGGTGGCTTCCAGTTTGTAGCTGTATGAATAAAGTTGCTATGAACAAGTCTTTTTGTGGACGTGTGTTTTCATTTCTCTTGGATAAATACTTAGAAGACTTCTGGGTCATAGGATAGATGTCTATTTAACTATATAACAAAAGTGTTTGTAAGATTTGACACTCCTGCCAGCAACGAATGAGAGTTCTGATACCTCCCTATCTTTGCCAATATCTGGTATTACCAGTCTTTTCCATTTTAGCCATTACTGCTGATTGTGTAACAGTATGACATTGTCATTTTATTTTATATTTCCCTAATGACTAATGACAGTGAGTATTCCTTCATGTACTTATTGGCCATTTGAATATTTTCTTTGGTGAAAAACCTATTCAAATATTTTGCTTATTTTTTATCGGGCTGTTTGTCTTTTTATTACTGAGTTGTATGAATTCCTTACATATTCCAGAATCAAGTTCTTTATCAGATGTATATGTTGCAAATGTTCTCCTCCAGTCTGTGGCATGTCTATTCATTTTTTTAAAGCGGTGTTTATTGATAAGCAAAAATGTGAAATTTTGACTGTGTTCAATAATTGTGTTTTTCTCTGATGTGTATTGCTTTTCTGTGTCCTCTCTAAATGATATTTGCCTACTCCAGGGTCGTAAAGATGTATTCCTAATTTTTCTCGTAGGAGCTTTGTATTTTTATGAGGCATATGCTGGATTGTTTTAGATAGTCTATGCCAATTTATTTTATTTTATTTTTTTACCAAGAAAAGTTGGTAGTCACTACTTGTATTACTCATGAACACTGATGGAGACATTAACTCCCAGATTGATACATTATGGAGACCTCTGAAAATCCCAACTAAGTTCTTATATTTACATTAAGATCTGTCCCTGGATGGTGTATGAGTTGGCTTTAGGATGGGAGGGAAGGGATTCTGATATGTTCTTTGCATTTACATTTGGCGATGCTGTTTAATCCCAGTCCATATGTGCATGTCACCATATGTCGGGTCACTGTGCTGTGGAAACCTGACTTATGTTAAATGCCTGTGTTGACACTTCTTTTTCTAAATGAATGGGCTTTTTATTTAACTGGTGGTTGCTGACTTTGTGAGGGCTGCCAGGTCATTAAAATGATGTTTGTTTGAATTTGGCAGAATGAAAAATTGGAGTTATATTTACCTTTTTTGGTTCCCAAATCTGTTCTCACCACTCACCCTTAACAATACTCTTTTGATTTCATGAAGAAGCCTTTATACAAAAAAATGAAATGCAGCACAGGTTCGTGGTATGTTCTAGGCTTTGTTGGTGTGTTTGTCTCTCCATTCTCCAGCGCCTGCAAGTGAAGAAGGTAAAGAGGCCCTGGATTGAACAAAGAAATTAAGAACAAAAGTATGTTTTCTGGCATTGGGTATTAATTGTACAGATTGTCATTGAATACCAGCTGGTCATTAATTTATGCATGCAGGCAACAGCTTAACATTTGGGTCGTAAGGGAAAGATCACTTGAATCAAGAGGTTTGAGTTCTATTCTCAGTCCTGCCTCTTAATAGCACGATGATTTTTGGCACGTCATATGTCTTCTTTGAGTCTCAGTTTTCTTATCTGTGAGATGGAAACAATCATAGTAGTGTGATAGAGCAGGCTAAGCTATACCGCAGTAACCGATACAATTCCAGATCCTTGTGACTTAGTCACAAAGCGTCATCTTTTTTCCTTGAGAAAAATTTATTTATTTAATTCTTGAGCCACTCATGCTTGTGTTCTGCAAGATCCCTCTTCCATCTGGTGAGGACGATCAGAATCTAAGTCAGAGATCAAAGCTCTCTTTATCTTCTTGCCATCTCATCAAGGGGCTTCCAAAGTCACCCTAACAGAGAAACGGGAAGATAGAGGAAGTACGCTTCCAGTTATCTGCCTGGACTTGGAAGTGCCACTCACTATTGCTGTTCTTGTTCCGTATCCCGCAAGGGAGTCTGGGAAATGCAAGGGAGCCCGTGGGCTCTCTGGTGAGCACTTCCTGTCTCTGCCACGTGTGTCTCATGTATGTTCTGTGATACCCAAATGAGGTGACAGATTAGAGCACATTGTAAATAATTTATGAGAATTCTAACAGGATTATATTACTTTATATCCTATTCAAGATCTGAGCTCATTTAGATATGTTTGCTGGCATTTGTACACACTCACCATTTTTTATTGTTTCCCGGCTTTGAAGTAGAAGGAGCAACCTTTTTTTTCGGGGTCGGGGAGTACTGAGTCTTGCTCTGTCGCTCAGGCTGGAGTGCAGTGGCGCGATCTTGGCTCACTGCAACCTCCGCCTCCCGGGTTTACGCTATTCTCCCTCCTCAGCATCCCAAGTAACTGGGACTACAGGTGCCTGCCACCACGCCCGGCTAATTTTGTTTTTGTATTTTTAGTAGCGACGGGGTTTCACAGTGTTAGCCAGGATGGTCTCGATCTCCTGACCTTGTGATCCGCCAGCCTCGGCCTCCCAAAGTGCTGGGGAGCAGCCTTTTTTTAAGGCTCGGCAGATAGGTTCTTTACTCTTCATTCTTTTGCACCTAAACAGCATGTTAGACAACATTTGATTGGACCAACAGAGAACAAACAATTGGAACGAGTGGAAGATTTCAACACAAAAGAGTTTTAAAAGAAATGAAAGGGTCTATAGACATTTGAACTACTGCTAACAAGCCTTGCCAGTTCTGCTTTAAGGACGATTAAGATGCCTCCATAAGGAGCACTGTCGTTTGCATGTAAGCTGTGTGCTGAAGTCTCTCTTGAGTGGCTTAAGTGTGACTCCCAGCAATCTTGTTTGCATTATTGATTTGTTCAGTGAAACCACCACTCAAAGGGAGTACAAAGGTAGGCTTCAATGCAGCCCCAGCCAAATTATTATAATTCT
Source organism: Homo sapiens (assembly GCF_000001405.40). NCBI lineage: Eukaryota > Metazoa > Chordata > Mammalia > Primates > Hominidae > Homo > Homo sapiens. The sequence goes on along the minus strand of NC_000010.11, from coordinate 121,303,372 downwards.
GGAATGAATGGAATTTGAAATAATGAGGTTTAATTTTACTTTGCCCTGGAGGTTTCTATGTAGCATTGTGAGAGAAAAAAAAAATTTGTTTTATTTAAAAAACACACAACTTTCATTGTGTTCAAACGTGGAGTTCAAAAACAAGTCAATAAGACAGCCTCATGGTACAATGAGACTTGTTCTGTTGTTAATTTTACTGTTCAAGGCATTTAACGCAAAAGAGTTGGCTTTTTTTTCTCCCTCACTATTTGGCTCATTTAATTTTGAACTTGCTGCTTATAAACATAACCACAAAGTCACTGTCTTTGTTATTAATTTCTTGTTTGATTTTCTAAAGCTCTGAACCATGGAGTTTGTGTGCAGTGTGTATACTGGAAGTCTTTATGAGGCAGGGTGATTCATGTATTAGTGGGCATGAACATGTCCGTAACCCAGAGAAGCCTCCCTAGACCAGTTATAACTATTGCTCTTGTTTTCTTTTTACACCACATCTATACAAAACACGGCACACGGAACATGTGTTCCCAGATGTGGACAGTGAGGGGAATATGGGTGATCTTCCTGCCCCACTATCCATTTCTTCTTGGAGGTTAGGTGGCATCCTTCCTACCTTATGTATGGGCTTCGTGGGACTGTCAGTTGGGGGACCCTGCCCTCTCTTGGCCAAGATACGAGCACATAATAATTCTAACTCAGTCAGGATGATCTCTCCTGAGAATGTGCATATTGACTACAAGGTTGGAAGCTGTTTGAGTTGATTCTTTCTGACAGTTGCCCCCTAAAGAGGCAGTTGTTATTTTCTTCTACCTGGACTCCTGACGGTATTTTGATTCTTCCTTCTCGGATGCCTGGCATTTCACCCCTTTCTTCAATTCCATGTGTTCCCCCATATCTTCCCAATAACTTATCTTTTTGCTTAGATTACCTCTAGTTGGTCTCTATTACCTGTAAGCAAGAATCCTGTTTTAGTATATTTATTTGCATTTGCCTAAGAATTACAGAATTTCAGTTGGCTGGAAACTTAAACCCAAAATGCATTTGAAGTGAGATCTGACTGGTTGGTCAAGTTCTTTTACTGTATTATAATTTTGCATATTAAAAGTGGCCAAAAGAACCATTAACTGAAAATGGAAAATATTATCCCCCGGTTGTCATATTTAAAGTAGAAAGGATCCTCTTCATTGAAGATTTATGGACTCAACTACTTAATAGACATTGCCATGATCCTATCTCAGAGGCCTCAGACCCAAAATGCCCAAAACATGATTCTTAATTTTCCCCAAATTTGCTCCCTAGGGACTCAAACAGAGGCGAGTTCAGGGTAAGAAATAAGTCCTTGTTTTCAATCTGTTGCGACTTCTCACCTGGCATCCTTACAAGAAAGGTGACATCCAATAGAATAATTTAGGGCCATATTTTTTCTGAAAGCTTCTAAAAGTTTCTATCTATCAATAATTTTCTTCACTGTAATTGCATTATTAAATTTGGAAAAGAGGAAAAAATCATTCTTAATCCTAGCACCCAGAGATAGCTCCTGTTTTGGGGTGATTCCTTTCCATCCCAACTTTTCATTTTGCTTTTCACTTAACAGCGTAAACTAATCGGTCTCTGTTTGGCAATACAGTCTTCATAACCATCTTATAAAGAGCTGCATATTATTCTCTTAAGTGGCTGTTCTATATTTACTCAATCGTTTTTCTTCTGGACATTTAGACAGGTTTAGTAAATATAGAATACTCGGATTTTATACTTACACTTGCCCTGGTAGAAGAAAAATTTAGACAGAACTAAGACTTGCCATAGTGAGGGATTTACAAAGCATTTGCAGTTTGTTTTGGTTTTTTGGCTACTAGAGACAGGATTGCTCAGATACAAATGGTAATTACAAAATAAATATCTATACTCCCCAAATAGTGGGAAGCTTTTAAAATCCAAATTTGATGCTTACCCATGAACATTTGAAAAGATAATAGATTTCTTTGTGTGTGTTTCTCCTAGCCTCTAGGATTGGTAGGATTTTTATATCTTGTCTTTAATTTCTACCATTGGGTTTATTGGGTTTAAGTTTTGGATCTCAATCCCTTTGGATTTACTTCTGCTCCTTCCCCTCTATTTCAGCAGAAAGTGATTGTGTTTGGGTTTCCATTCTTGGAGGGCTATCCTTGGTCCGAACTGTTTTCATTTATTTTATTTAAAAATTACAAAGACATTTCTAGTTATATTTGGTTTTGCAATTCATTCCTCCCTCTGTTTTACAAAAACCATAAAACCCACATTGTCTAAAAATGCTGTGTTGAGCAAAATGGATTCAGTCGTCCTTGGAGAGCAGAAAAGGATGGAGCCAGTATGTGTTCTAAACATTTCCAGGGAGATTGTCTCTTTCCCAGAATTGGTTTTAGTCAAAGGCTGCTGACCAGTTGTGCGATTTCATTTGGGGTCGCTGACCCCGGGCCCTACTTGAACTTGACTCTGGATGTCATGCGGGCATCTGCCCTCCTCATGTCTGCACCCTCTCCCCTCTCAGCTCTGCACCCTCTACTCCTGCTGGTCTGGCCCCTGCTGTTATTTTTTAAGGACCCGAGCCATAAAAAAAACAACTCTTTGGATTTCTGAATGAACATTTTTAATGTTAAACTTGGTGGTTTCCTGTCACAAAAGCACAGACTCAGTGAATTCTGATTGCTCTGCAATGTGGATCTATCTTTTCCGGTTAGTTTAAACATCCTCATTCCCTTCTATTACAACATTTGATCTTCCATGTTCAGAATCTGCAAATTCTCCCAACAGTTTGTTTTCAGCAGATTATCACTGACTGGCCTTTTATTTTTCAATCTGAGGAAAACGAAGTGGAAAGTGTGGGTTTTCTGGGGGTTCCCCCCACGTCACCCATTTGCCTTCATATTTAATTGAGGACTGTTATAGACAGAGCTGAGTGAGACTTTCTCATGCAAGCTCTTGCTTCTGGTAGGCACTTGTGCTCTCAATGATGTTGGACAGAATCCTACTTTCACTGTGTTAAATTTACAGGTGTTACCATCTGGCCACAGGTCAATAGCAGTTGTAGTCCCAACCCAAGACTTAGGAGAGAATTTTTACAGAATTTGAGTCTTGCCCCCTCCACTTCACAATCCTCCTTGCTGTCTTCTACCTCACCTTCCCTGCCCAGAGTTAGGGATGGAGAAAGAGAAGGAGGAGAAACCTATAGGTGTATTGCTTACCACTGTGGTATTCATGGGTTGGAAACTATCCATGCCCAGCGGGCCCTTAGGTGACAATAGGGCATGCTACTCCTTTGGGAGACACTTTTGAAGACTGAGCACCAATTTTGTATCACCTGTAGTGCTTCTCACAGTGCTCTGGTGAATGTTTCCTAAGCCTGCCCTTTTCTGCTAACCCATGAACCAGTGGAGGATGGAGAGACATCTCTACCAGCAAATGTTTGCTGTGGGAATAAATATTTGTTGAGTCATCGCCGAGTATCTCCCACTCACCCTACACTAAAGAGGAAACGGGGCCTACCTGGTTTCCTTTGAGGAGCTTCCCGGACATTCCATGGGCCTTCCTTCCCAGCAGCCTCCAGTGTCATTTTCCTAGGGCGGCTGCAACACATCACACAAACTGGGTGGCTAAGACAATGGAAATTGATCCTTTCACAGTCCTGGAGGGCAGAAGTCTAACATGAAGGTGTTCTCAGGGCCACTCTCCTTGGGAAGGCTCTCAGGGAGTAGCCTCCCTTGCCTCTTTTGGCCTGTGGAGGCTCAAGTGTTCCTTGACTTGCACCTGCTTCACGCCAATCTCTGCCTCTGTCTTTACATGAACTTCTCCTCTTCTCTCCATTGTCTCCTCTTTTCTGTCTTATAAGGGCACCTGTCATTGGATTTAGGGCCCATCGGTATAATCCAGGATGATCTCATCTTGAAATTATTAACTTAATTATATCTGCAAAGACACTTTTCCCAATAGGGTCACATTTGCAGATTCTGGGGTTTGAGATGTGGATATATCTTTTTGGAGGCCACTATTCAGTCCTCTGCATCCCCCACGTGAGTTGTGCCGAGGGGCCTGAGTTTCAGAGGTTCACAGTCTCATCTGAAAGACCACACCCTTGGTTGGATTGGATTTGGGTTCCGCCAAGTAAACATTCAAGGACTAGGACTGTCTCATGATGCCTCCTCCAATTCCAACTACTCTTTCCTATTTGTGAAGAGGAGCTGTAAGACTTTGACTTTTCATCTGCCTTTGTTTCCAGTCAATGCCACTAGTTCTCATGTGGAGCCTCTTCCCCAAGAAACAGGGCCAACAAAGTCAAACATCTGAAGTAGCTGTTAATTACAAGTGAATATGCAACTGGAAAAAAATGCCTTCTTATTTAATAAGTCATTACTTAATAACGTGCTATTTATTTATGTATAGACGGTTTTGTAAAATCTCTTTTACTTTAGCCAGTATTTGAACTGGCCTAAACATTGATGCAAGAGTGTGATATCCTGCTCTTTTTCAAAGATAGTTTTTATATGTTTTATGTCAAATCAAGTCTCCTTCCGGAGTGAAATTCTAAATATACCACAGATACAAGGTGGGCAGTTTCTTTGGAGAAGCTATTATCTTTTGCTTATTTCCCTCATCACTTCAGTAATTTTTTTTGTTTGGCTTAAGTCAAGTCCCAGAAATACTGAATCAACCATTAAATGGGTTTTCAAGACTGGGTTCATGAAGAATTCCCTGGAGCTACCTGCTTCTTGCCCTAGAAATACATAAATTTGAGTCTACCATCTCATTCTCACTTAAAAATCTGGGCTTTTGTTCTTTAGACTGTAAAGGGAGAGGTGGAACTGATGAGAATTGTAGGATGGGGGTCCCAGCCTCTTTCCTCACTGACTAGTGACCTTAGATATGTCATTTCAACTGCTCTGGGCTTCAGCGTCCCCCTCTCGCATTGTTCTAAAACTGCCAACCTCCTCTAACTCTGAACAATCAAATGCTTCTTGTGACTCTAAGGTGCATTTCTAGCTCTAAAGCTGTTTCTATGATTGATATCTTGATCTCAACTGCTTACAAAACTAGTTTGGAGGTAGGAAATTGATAATCTGCAAAGTTACCCACCATTGTCCATGTATTCGGCCCTTCTCCAGAAGTGGAACTTGTTTTAGAGTGCAGTTTAGAGCTTCACGTGGCTTCAGTTGGGAAAAATCTTGGGTGTCCTTACCCAGATCTTAACTAATCTACTTCTTCATCTGGGTTTGTCATATATGAGATGGCTTCTCACAAACAGGAAGTTGTCTAAAACTTTAGTGGGAAGGCTGTATTAATCAGTATACTTCATGTTAGCTGCTTTGATAATAGTCCCCCAATTTAAGTGGTGTAACAATAACATTGTACAGCTTCCTCACACAAAGTCTAATGTAGATATTCCTGGTTGGTTGACTCTACTGGGGAGATTGCCTCTTTTCTGAGCTGTGCCCAGGCTTCCTCCATCCTTTGATTTCACCTCACAGCCCATGCCTATGGCCTGAAAGAGGGAAGTGGGGTGGGGAGTGAATAAAATGGCACTAAAATTCATGCGGTCTCAACCAAACTGCAAAGGATGTTGGGAATGCAGGCTTCCTGGGTGGCCAGGAAGAAGACGCAGGTTTGGTGAGCATGCCGTATTATCTCTGCCACAGAAACTCTGCCTCCTACTTTGAAGGCAGGAAGAGGTAGAGGCCAAATGATTATCTTTAGCCCTCGTGGTATAGCTGGATAGATTTCAGAATAAAATTTGTAATTTCCATAGTGCTCCTGAAGACATTGATCCAAGCTTGCCCTGTCATCATTCTATACCACAGTGACATTATTTAACCCAAGACTGTGGTTTTAGTCCTTAATTTGCATCAGGTGCTCCCAGTGCCTCATGGGAAATAAGTTGGGTGACTGACAGGCTCTGCTCACTGAGGGTTACACTTCCCTGTAAAGGGCAGCCAACCACATTGTAAGAGGACAGAAGGATAATAATTGTGAAAATGGTCAACAGCTATTAAGTGCCTACTATATACTTGGCACCACAGTAGGCATGCTTTAGACCAACCTTATTTAATCCTCTCATTTAGTCTTCAGGCTTCACTCTTACTGAGTAGCTTGGAAATGGACTATGCAGGCTGATTTCTAAGTGCTTTTGAGGAAAAGAGCAATTATAATTCCTTTAAATGCAATCTCTTTGAGAACAGCCATTATTTGGATGAATAAGTTCTGACAGGTTTGTGAAAACATTGCTCACATGATCATTGCATCCCATCTCAAGTGACTTGGTGGGGGCCGGGGGCTGGCCTGTCATCACTTCTGTGAGCAGATGGGACTGTCCATCTGCTCTACATTTTCATCGTTGCCTGCTCAGCTGGCAAGTTTGCAGGCAGAACATTGTGGGATGGCCCTGCCTACCTAAGTGGACAGAACTGCCTGTCAAAAATAGAGGATCTCAGGATTCTCTTGGGAGCTTCATATTTTAGGGAGCTGTGCTTTGGGGGACCCTGCAGTGGCTGGGAAGGGTGGTATTAATGGGCTGGATGCTTTCATAGATGAAATTAACACCTCTAAATACCTTTCCTTCTCCTAGAAGAAGGTCTGGCTGGGTCTGAAGCTTCTCCAACAACAATGTGGACTCCATGTTCATTTTATTCAGATTTATCCTACATAAATGTGTGTGGTTGGGAGAATGTCCTGAATCCTTCCTTCTGCCCTGCGCAGCTCTAGAAATGGCCCAGGGAATTTTGTGGGGCTGCAGTGGATTGGAGTTAGAGGGCATCAGCTGTTGGAATGGACACCTAGTCTTTAGATAATGGGCACCTCTAGTGCAAACAGTGTCCTTATTTGGGGTGAGCACTCAAAAATAATTTTAGAACAGCTCTCAACCAGAACTTTATGCCACCAAGATAAGGGGAGATATTTCCTCGTATCTGAGAGCCCTGCCTCCATGATAACAAAAGCCCTAGGATTTAGAGTTGAGGTCAGAATCTGGGCTAATAGCTTTATTAATTACAACTTCTCAGTAAGTCATTAGGATTTCAGATGAAAATGGGCTAAAGCAAAAAGTATTTAAGATGTACAGTCATGGCTTTTAGTTTCTGAAAAATAGATTAAAAATTTCTTGGTTCCATTCAGTTGTTCAAGGAGGGGAGGGGAAAGGCAGTATGGCAAATGCTTTCAGGTCTTTGTAGGAGGATACGCCAGATTTGAGCCCGTGCACCAGACTGCATGCGTACATATTCTCCCAGGGCTTTTTGCTCAGCTCCATGAATGTTACTACAGTGGCTTTATGGTTCAGCCTTGGAAATGGAGCTGCCAAAGGAGACAAACTCCATTTTCTATCCATTCACAAAGGAGCCAAGCTGCTGGGTTGGGTGTTTTGAGGAGCCAGTCAATCCCAACGAGACAAGATTAAAGAAACGCCATAGCAATTGACATTCACTCCTTCTTAAAGAAGGAAGTTGGTGGGCCACCGTTTTACTTTTTAGGGACATAAACTCTGTGAGAGTGACATAAACCCTTCTCTCTGTTTTCTGATCATCATCCAGGTTCTGTCCTTGGTCTTAGCCTCACATTCTTCTGCTCTGACACCACCAGGGCCAATTTCCCTGCCCCCAATATATGTTTTGGGCCTGATGTTTGTAGGATAATCAAATAGAGCCATGAAACAATAATAAAGCGTGTCAGTAAGGTTGTTTGACTTGAAAGTCTTTTGCTAAATAGCCATGGTAGCCATAAACTGCTGGAGGTAGGCTAATGAGGATCATAAAATTTATTATTGAAAGTATCTATTATCTTCCCAAGAAATGCCCTCTCTTTATCATGGTCGTGCTGATTACATTTCCATGGTTAAAATTTCATTATGGCCTGTGTTTTGCTCAAGGTCCCACAACTCGCCCAGAGCCGAAGCCTGTCAGCTGGGAGCTCCTTTAGGGAATTTGATTTTATTAATACTTTACGGGTAGTGGCCTTTAATTAATGTTAAATGAAAACGGGATTCTAAAAGCATCGCAGAGGACTTTTCACTTGGGTGTCAAAATAATTTACAGTGATTAACAAGCTTTAAATCACCATTACTAGAGATGGTTTGAATTCCATTTTGATCATGAGGCACTGACTACAATATGTTTACAATTTTTTAAGAAATGAGAAACGTAGCACTGTGCTGAACACCCTTGACTTAGAGACACTGTGAGGGGTGGCTGTTAGAACAAGAGCTGTGTTGGTGGCCGCGTCTGTGTCATTATGGGATGCCTGATTAGGCTTTATTTATCCATCCCTTTTTTCCTTCTATCCACCCTGTTCAACACACACACACACACACACACACACACACACACACACACACTACACACACCCCTACTCTGGAGAAAGGTGGAGTAGAAACAAACAAAAGCTATTTAGAGGCATCATCTCATCTAGTTCTCACAATAACTCTGTGATGTAGGTCTTATTATTCTCCTTTTATAGACAAGGAAAGTAAGGCTTACAGTGGTTAGTGACTTGCCCAAGATCCTCAGCTGGTAAGTGTCAGAGAGGAATTTAAACAGGGGCTTGCTAGTATCCAGACCCAGTGTCTTGTATTGTTTTTCATGGATTAGCAGATGAAATTTCAAAACCCTGCTTTCCTGATAACAAGGCTCACAGTGGCCTGAGATTCAAGGCAGGTCTCCACCTCCATGAGGAACTAGAGGCAGGTCAAGAGATTAGGGGAGACGTCCCGTGAAACGTATTGGGCAAGCCCAATGGAGAGAGAATCTACATCACCGTGGCCACTGTGGCACCCCAGCAGCCGGGCACCCCTCCCTCTCCAGTACCCACAGGCTATTGGCTCTAGGAGGCAATGCTAACTGTTGGTGGTGGACTTTTACAAATAAAGACAGAAGTCCTGATTCCACCAAGTCAGGACTGGATAATCTGTTGTAAAACGATGATTTCTTAACATTCTTCAGCATGGCCACTCTAATGTTCTCCTTTCTATATTGTCAGATAACACATTTTAAATTGCCCTAAAGTATCAGATAGAAGAGGAGACGCGAATCAGTTCTGGCTTATCCTTTCCTGGATGTGCCGTGCCAAATTTTCGCCCAGCCTGCTTGGCTCCTTGCCCTGACCCTCTCCCTGGGGTGTATGGTCCCCTCCAGCCTTCACTGCAATTCTTTTCTCTCTGAGGGATGTAGATCTCTTCACTGAAGACCTGAGCTCAAGCATAACTAGGACACTAAATAACAGGAAAGCAACACCAGCCACATTTTTTAGGCAGCTTCTAGGTGCCAGGCACACTGCTAAGTGCTGCAGGTTCATTACCTTACTTATTCTTCATGGTAGCCTGTTTCTCCTATGTCTGTTTCTCCTGCTAAAAGCATGCAAAGGCATCTATGGCTACAGCCCCCCTACCCTACTTAGGTGATCATGAGTTTTTAATGATCTTCGTTCCTTCTCTCCAAGATTCTAGAGCCTAGAGAGGTGGATGACAAGAACAATGAGGCTAACGTAACTGGGTTTCTCTGTGGGCCAGGTCTGTAGGTAGATGCGTCCTGTCCTTCCTACCTGGTCCCCAGCATCCCCACTGCTGCAGAAGACAGGGTGGTATACCAGAGAAATTGACATTGCCAGAGCAATTGATGGTGTTGCCCCATCTCACTCTGTGACGGAACTGGGGCTCTCATCACAGTTGTCATTTCACATCCCTTTGTGTGATTATTGGATGAATGTCTGCCTCCTCCCGCAACTGTGACTATAGGATCCAGAAGGACAGGGACCTTCCTCTTGGTTTGTGGATGTGCTCCCAGAGCCTGGGGACATCTGTGGCTTTTGGCTAGCCCTCAGGGGTAGCTTGCTGAGTGCATGCATGTGTGAGTGAAGGAGTGAACGATGGGGTGGTCCCTGGTGGTAGCTGTGGTTGGGCTCTGGGCGGATTCTTTCTGGGCACCTCTCGGGTGCTACATGAGGTCAGCTAATGTCATCTCATTCCCATGCCTGTTCTTTCTAAGACAACTCAGTTATCTGCAGAGAGTAATGCAAAGAGATTACGGGGCTTTGGGTTTGCGGCAGACTGACCACAACTTGCAGCCACAGCGTATCTCCCAGGACATAGGAGCTGCAGAACTCCAGAGCTGAGTAAAGTAAACGTCTCCATAGAAACTGTCTGCTTAATTGGTTGAACTTTATGATGGGTGCTCCTGGAGAGGCCTTGTGATCACAAACTGTATTCTCTCAGGTCCTGGGATCTGGGGGTCGGCCGTAATGGCTTGCTCTGTGATATTCCCAGCCCCTTGCCACGCAAAGCACACACCTCCCTCTGCCTGTTTGTGTGCAAGTGTGTGCATCAGTGGGCATGTGTGTGCATCTGTGTGTATGTCTGTGTGTGATTGAATATGAACCTGTGCCTATGTGTGTGAGCATGACTGGGGAAATGTATGTATCAGTGTGCACACAAGTGTCTGCGTGTGCATGTTTGGTGTGGCTATATGTGTCTTTATGGGTGGGTGAGTGTGTGTCTCTCTGCATGGGTGAATGTTTCTTTGTGGGTGTACACATAACTGTGCATGTGTATTTGTTGAAGTATATGTATCAGTGTGTGCACGTGTGTCTTTGTGTGCCTGTATATGTGTCTGGATGCGCATGGGTGAGTGTGTATGTTTGAGGGAGCCTGTACACGTGTGTGCCTGTGTATGTGAGCATGTGTGTTTGTGTGTGCTCGTGTGACCCTATCCCCTGCCCCCACCGCCGGGGAGGGGAGAGAGGCCAGTCTCTGCTCCCCATCTCTCCACATGTTGATATTATCGCCTCAGCTTCCCAAGTCTGGCAGGAGATGCAGAATTAAACACAGACGCTCTGGTGCCAAAACAAAATTGTGAAAGATTTGAAGCCCCCATTCCCTAAACTTGCAGCCTATCAAACTGGGAACAAGCCCGGCTTTGTTTTATTTCCTGCATGGAACGGGGGTAGCACAGTCTGGAGCCACATTGGTTCTGATAGAGGAGCTGACTCCAAGCCAGGGAATTTAAAATTGCTGAAACCCAAAGCAGAATGGAGACAGCAAGATGCGATGGACAGAGAAGAAAGCATCTGTGAGGGGGAGAAGAGACACCCGAGTTAGGAAGGAGGAGGAGGTGGCAGCCCAATTTCTGAGAAATAAAGGCGTACAAAGAAAACAAAAAAAAGGGGGTCCGAGGAAAGGAGCCAGGCAGAGGTGGACACTGACCCGAATGCAGAACCAGCTTGGTGGGTGGTGAGCACAAATGAACAGAGGTAGAGGAATGGGGTCGGATGAAAAGTGTTCTTATATCCAACCCTTAATTTCGTGGCTGGGGAAATGAAAACCAAGCCGGGAAGCCACTTCCCCAAATCACAGGGGGATCTGGGCCCAGCAGCCCCGTGCTTCAGTCTTGCACTGTCAGGCCAGTTCTCCCCTGCACATTGAAGCCACTTGCGGGAGGAGATGACTGGCTTCTCCTGGGTTTCCACGTGTGTCCTGGTGCCTTGCTGTCTCATTACTTCACCTTTTGCAAACAAGTTTTCCTCTTTTCTTTGGAGCCTCTGCTCTTGTATTGGCCTTCCCTGAGTTTTCTGGTTTCATTTTAATAGTAGTGTTGGGCATGGTGATGTCAACCAAGTTATGTATTCACTGATTTTGACTAGAGTTTCTTTTATTTTTTTCTCCCCGTTTGTCCACCCAGAGGCAGTTGATGACAATAGTTCTCCAAACCTGCTGATCCCAAGGTGGCAGGTTTCCCGGTCAGCTGTGGCTCTGAAGTAGGAGGGGTTTGCAGGAGTATCACACACAGCTGTAGAAGGAACAGAATCAGAGCTGGAGAGGGAGAATTGCTCCATGGCCATGAGTGGGTGTCCTCTCAAGCGGAGCCCCGAGTCCAGTAGAACTTGAGGCTTTTCGCCAACCCACGAAGTGCAGATGGTAACGCTTGCTGTTGTGTCCCTGAGACTATATAGGGCCTAGTGTCTGGTTTATGCCCTTGCACTGGGTCACTCTCACCCTGGAATCACCCGGCTGGGGACTGAACCTCTCCTGCCACCACTCCAACTCCTCCTGAGACACTCACCTCCTAAGACACTCACCTCCTGGAAAGGCCACATCTGTTTGCCAAGGACAGAGGCACCTTCTTTGGTCCAGAGAGCTGCAGGCTGTGGTTTATTTCGCTGGCGACCTCTTCATCACCAGGACTGTTCCATAGAGTGCTGTGGTACCCGTGAAAGCCAAACTTCTAAGCTTCTCAAGTTCAAATGATAACTTCTCTCTGTTACCTTTTGTCAAGAAAACTTTGGATTATGAATCTCCGTTATGGGGGCTCATAAAATGAATTGGGGTGCATTCATAGAGTTGGAACACTCTGGAGCCACTGAAAAGAATGCGGCAAAGCTGTAAAAAGGAAAGATGTCTGTGATATCATCTATATTCTTTTATGTTGTTAAGTGACAAAATCCAGCTGTAGAGGAGCATGAATTGTTTTATTCCATGTTTATTACATAATGAGTGTAGTGTCGGGAAAGCCATATACCAAATTGTTCACAATGGTTATCTTGGGGGAGTGGAGCTTGGGAACTTGTACTCTTTGCTTGATGCATCTCTGCTTTGTCTCTCTCTTGAATCAGCATGAATAATTTTTTAAAATTAGAAAACCTTCTTATTAATATGGAGGTAAATATTGGGGCAGTCCAAGATGGCAGCGGTCTCACGGTGAGGCCCTTGTTTTATGGGAAGAACATGAAGGTAGGAGTTTAAGAAACCCGATTTTTCTCTTAACCAGGGGTTTTTCCTAATTTTTTGTGCCATGATCCCTCAGGACAGTGTGATGAAGTTTTTGGCTCCCTTCTCAGAACAATGCCTTAGGGGCATAACGTGAAATACGTAGAATTACAAAAGAAGCCAAATATATTGAAATATAGTTATCAAAATACTTTTTAAAAATTTTATGATATAGTAATATATGTGTATTAAAATATAAGATCTGGCTGCAGGTCTAATAACGATTTAATTTAAAACTAGCCATGAGCATAAGTGATATTTTGAGAAATCTGCAACAGCTGAATATTGCATGAAAATGTCTGTGACTTCTGGTGACAAAGTCAGATGTGCTAGTGCTACTGTGGTTTGTCACCTTCTTCATAAATGAAGAAAATGCTAGATTGTAGTTAGAGGTAGTGAAAATAAAGACGTAATTTCCCATCCAATATCATAGATCCCTGTTTAAATTTCCCAGCCTAACATCTAATGTTCTTAACTGGCTGGGAAGTGTTGAATAATATTGTTCCCGCCCTCACAGTCTCAACTGTTTCATCAGTAAAATGAGGGGCTAAGTGATGGCAAATGTGTATGATCTTACATGTCAACTGTGATTGATTGGTAGTGACTTGGTGAGGCATTTTGAGATCACCTCTGAGTTCAATTGGAAAGGATGCCAATTGGAAAGGATGAATGATTGGTGATGTCTGCCATGGGTACTAGATGGGGGAGAGAGCAAAGCGTGCATGGCGTACATGTCCATTCCTTGACTAGATGAGCCTGTGGCCCCTTCCACCTCTGATATTCTACTATGTATGAAAGTAATTATTCTCTTCTGATTCTAATTTAACATATCTCCTGTCCAACAACAAGAGCAACAACACAAGCATTGGTTAGCCCTTCCTGGGGGCTTTGTGTGTGTGTGGCATTGGCACTACCAACTCTACCCCTGTGGACCAAGTCTTCTGATAGACTTTTTATTAAGTAAAATTGTAAGCATTACCTCCAGTTTCAATGATAGAATGGTTACTGGGAACAGATTGTCTAGGAAGAAAACACAAATTAGTAAACACAGTCTTACAAATGAGCCATCTGGAGATTTATTTACATAAGAAAAGAGGAAGGACTTGGTATTTTCATGCTGGGGTTTGTTTCTCTTGCAAGTAGCCACAGGGGTGTATTTATCACGAGCACACATTGAGCTTTTTAGTGAAGATCACTGAAAGCATGAAAAAAAAATGCGCATTTGGTTGGTTATTTGGGAAATGGGAAGGAAGAGAAGGGAGAGAGTAAGAGAGTCACACATACACATATGCACACAAAGTTTTTGAATGAATTTTAGCATATAAGATTTCAAAATAGTTACAATATTTCACACCGTGCTTTTGAAATTTTATATTATTCCCAAAGTGCTAAATGAGAAACATTTTTCTAAAACAATATCAAAGGTGGAGGCATTCAGCTATCACGCAAATATAGAGGGGCCACGAATAATGCTGAGGGGACCAAAACCTTGACACCAGTTGACCAGCAGTGGGAACAGTGATCCCTTGACCTCAGAGAGCTCCCTGGGTGTCAGACCAGCTCTGCAGAACCACTTAACCCCTCCTGCACCTTGTCCTTTTATCCACTAATACTAAATGCCAAAAACTAAAAAACCCAAATTTGTGATACAGTGATATATGTGCTCTTTCAATGCATTAAAATACAAGATCTAGCTGTAGGTCTGATAACTACTATCATTTAGAATTAGCAACGAGCCTAAGTGTTATTTTGAGAAATCTGCAACAACTGAATGTTACGTGAAAACATCTGTGGTTTCTACTGGTAATAGAGTCAGATATGCTACTGATGTGCACAGATATGCTATTGCACTGTGCACTTACTGTGGATCAGTGAAACAACATATCTGTAAGTGCACAGTGAAATAGTTCTCCCTTCTTAGGAATTTCGGCTACATAACCTCTCTGGCTTTACGCTCGTACCAAGCCACCAGGAGTATTCATCAGAGCAAAGAAAGGAAGATAGCACAGAGAAGATAAAAGAGGGACAAGGAGGATCCCATAGGTGAATGAACTCACCAAGCCCACTCTTTTCCCTCTACCCCTGCGTTAGATGAAACCACACAGGTTCAAGTTGCATTGCCTGCCGCACCTGCAAAGGGACAGCCTGGGTAAAAATAGCCCCACTATATCTGGGCAAGCACTCTTTGGCCAATAAAATACTAATAATAAGACAACAGTTGGACTGACTTTACAGAAAGATAGCTTTCTGCTTCTGGACTGGGCTGGGTTGTAAAGTATCTTACATGATTGCTCTGGAAATTGTATAGCTCAGGGCAGCAAATCTTTATAGGGGCAAGAAGAGGCAAGACAGAAAGGGCTGAGCAGGTCTACTGCCTCAGGGCTCCTGAAGTCAGAAACCGCTGCAAAGAGGACAGGAAGTGAAGTTGGAAGTTTGAAGAGTGAATGTAGCTGGAAGGCAGTCAGCAATTCAGAGCCATCAGCATGGAAGATAATTACCTGCTGACAGGTCTCTGATGTGTACCTGGATGGGTGTGTGTGTGTATGTGTGTGTGTGTGCATGCACACATGTGCAAGCTCTGGTTAACTGTGTCTCTGCAGGCAACTTAAGAGCATATTCCACACCCTGTATCTGGGCAAGAGGCAGGAGGGCTCATAAATAAAGATCCAGAACCCTAAATCATTGTATTGTGAACAAATCTTCAAAACTTGAAAATGTGGAAGAGTAAAAAAAAAAGGTGAAATATGGGAAATGTTTGGAACAGATAGAACCGGAGAAGTGCTCTGTGTCAGTGCCTGGTTTGGAGAGGTTTCTGAAATGGTCTCTGCAAGAGTGCATGATGAACAGATCAAATGATGAAAGGGAATTATATGAGAGGGAAAACAGGCAGTATAGATGGCAAATACTTGACCAGGCTCTGAGGCTTAGGCCCTCCATGGCTCTTTCACTGTAGAAACTCAATGGGGATCCATTTTTCAGGTAAGCAACCGGAGGCTGAGAGCAGGTCAATTGCCTAAGGCTGCACAGCTAGTGAGAGATAGACCTGGGATTTAAACCTACAGAGCGGGGCTCCAAGGTCTGCCTTCTTAGCTGTTACTTAAGCCAAGGTCATCTTGATCTTATGGAAATGACAAAGAAATGTGTGATAAAGTAGAAAGGGAACTGGAGGAGGAGAAGACCTCAGCTCTTGAACCTAAGGATCTCCATAGCATTGGGAAAGTCGTTATTTCTGTATGCTGTTCCTGACATTATCATCATTATGGTAATTGTCACCAAGCAATGGGTTCCCTGCTCAATGCACATAGAATCCAACACTATGGCACTGGCTTTTGACAAAAGAGAAAGCTTTCTTGCAAGGTTGACTATCAAGGAGACAGGAGGAAACCTCAAATCTGTCTCCCGGAGCTGGGGTCTGGGGACAGGTTTTATAGGCTGAGAGTAATTATAAGGGAGCTAAGGAAATGCAAGGAGGCATGACCTGATTTGGGCTATGCAGAGAGGTGGTGCTGGGTCCTTGACTTTTAAGTTCATACTGCAACAAAAGGGGGCACCCCTCACTTCTTAATTTGGTCCCCATTTCTGGGTTCGGTACTTACATTTCACATGTGCTTGAATTTTTCTTTCCAGCCTGCTCCAGGGTCACTAATCAGGCATGCTGGGTTCATCTGCACATGCTCAGGTTACTGTGACTTGTAACCTGGGGGGTCTGTTGCACTTACATCATTAGGAGGTATCAATACCAATATGTGGAACAAGAATAAGAAAACTGTGGCATTTTGTTTCTCAAACTCTCTAGAGGATATTTCTGGAGCCCTGAAAGTGACTTCAGACAATAATGAAATTTGATGGCCTCCTAGCTCGGTGAGTCCAAACATGGAGGAACTACTCATAATGTCACAAAGTTGTCCAGATGCTCATGGCCTGTGGTTGTATGTTCAGTATCCAATGTTGATGAAACCTATAATGTCAAAAAGCTACTCTAAATGAGGAAATGCTTTTAAATGAATTTGTCTGTTACTGTTAGGACGTCATCTATACATATTTGAACACAGTCATGTACACATGGAAGTGATGACATGATTTTTCAGATCATGGTCTCCTGCTTCCTGGGCAAGTGAACCCTAGAGGTTAGTAACCACCCTTCCAGGTATATTTCAATCTTAAAACAAGAGAGGAATGGATGCTTTTAAAGTAGGACAGGTGCTTGTCTCTTTAGCCTCAAAAGCACCTATTGACTTTCTGTATAATCCAACCTTTGACCATGCAACCAGTATGACTTGTTCAGGAATAAAAGTTGAGCCAGAGGAAATGGTGGTCTAATTTAACTATTAAGGATGTCAGGCCAAGAGTCTGGCTCTCAGGGGAGGTAACAGATACTACTTGTACCATTAAAGTCATTGCAGAAGACATGGTTTCTGAGTCAGGCAAGTGAAGACATCAGTTTGGGACCTCATTTTCCACTCGCAGTTCCTATTACTGAAAGCCTTCATTGGTTCTTTTATGATGGTAGTTAGGAGAAAAGTGATCTTTGGCAAAATGAAGTCTGCTGCTCTACGGAGGAGAGTTACATAAATGCATTCTTCCCCACCCTTCCACCTCCAAAAGCACGATTAGCTCTGCTTAATTCACCCTGCTCTTTCAGTCCTGATGCCAGGAGCAGCAAATTCCACAGGCACTTGGTAGGGTTTTATCTGATTGTCTCTCTTAGGGACTGACATAGTGTAACTCATTGCTGATGGAAATGAAAGGTAATGTAATACCGATATTATGCTACTTTTCCATGGGGGTCCATAAGCAAGAATCATGCTTATTATCCATTCATCTTTTTCTGAAATTTGCAAAATTTAACCAGCCAGAACACATTTGTGTACCCTGTCATCATTTTAGAACTGGCACTGGAATTTTCCAACATTCCTGGTATTTTCCATTTCAGTGCCAAATGTATTTCTTTTTCCTTAGAAATGAATTAGCTCTTCAATTTGCAGATATAAAGGCAGGCAATATTATGTCTTCCTATGTCTTGACATATGGAGCCTACCCATGGAAGGCAGGGATGTGGGTGGTTTTCTCTCACTTCTGCTATTATGTGAACTTGAATGAGACTATATTAAGAGTGGCAATTCTGTCCTCCTTCATAAGGACACTATTGTGCATTTTGCTAAGCTTTCAGAGACAGTGCAAGAGACGGATTCAACAATACTTGTGAGTAGAATCTAGTAGGTTTACAGTTCCAACTTGTTTTGGGGCTCAACTGCTGGAAGACAGCCTACAAAAATAGCAATTTACAGGAAAAAAAAGTGGGTCCTGAGGCATTTGGTCGGGGCAGACATTAGTTTCATTTAGGGCTTAAACCAGCCCACAGTTAATTGTAGGTCTCTTGCATTAGCTTGTAGGAGCAGTAAAAGCATGTAATTCGAGCTAATCTGATGGGCAAATGAACTAGGTGCTTGGTGCCAAGTGAGACCGTGAAACAAAAGGACACATGTGTTTTCAGGGGAAAAAAAAAAACAACCCAACACAACATAGTTTCAACTGTTGCACATGTGAAACTCTGGAAAATTCTTTGGGAGGTTTGTCGTTTTAGAAAAGTATCTTGAGAGAGCAGTGGCTGAACCTCTGGAGCCCAGACCCTCTCATTACCTGAGCAGTGAAGCATGTGGCCTGGAATAATTGGTGGGGGAGCTTTCAGAGGAGAAGGTTTATTTCATCTGATTCTAAAGGTCTGCTTTAGAAAGCCCGTCTGTCATGTGGGTCTTAGCATTTATTTTGCCTGATTCATTAGAATCAGCCCAGGTTCCATTCCTGTCAATTCTGATTTAACTGGTCTAGGGTGGGGCTCAGGAATAGTGCTTTGGGAAAGTCTCCCCAGATGATTGCAATTTGATGATGGTCGTTAGGATTAAGAAACCTCAATCTAGTAGCAGATATGGCTTAAGGAAGTGAGCTGATGGTTGATGTTAACAGACTTGATTAAAGTTACCTGAGAGGGAAATGGTGCAAGGACAACTGCAGGGATGTAAGTGGATATTTGGCACTTTGAAATGATGCCACCTTTGTGGGCCACATAGGATTTGCTTTCCTGGGGAATTAGTATACTGGTGGTTTTTCCAACGTCATTCGTGCATAGACTGACTTCCTCAAAGCATACATGTAACGTGACCTTCAACAAGACTGGCTCTCATTTATTCCATGCTGGAGCAAGTCCCTCAAAGGAGACTGACCCTTGACTCTTTTTTAAAGGTTGAATCTCAGAATAGTCTTCATTGAAGGGAAAGCAGGATGAAAAATGCAAAGAATGCAAATATTTTTTATTTCTCATTTTCTATGAAAATACTTAGACCCTGAGCCCTAGGTGGGGTCCTGTTGTCCTTTTCCTGGCGTGGCTTTCCTCCTGGGTGGCAAGGTGTGTGTTCCTGTTAGTAAACTGGTTTTAGGATAGTAAAACAACCAGGCAGTTTAATCATGTAAGTAAGAAATTATCCATTTCAGTAATATGTTAAATCAGTAAGTCAGTGTGCTTTGAATACACCTTGCTAATTTAAACCAGTTACGTAAAAGGTAGTGTTAAAATCAGACCTTTTGTTATTACCATTAAAAGAAAAACTTTATAAGGGCATTAAACAACTACCAAAAATGTGTAGCTTGGACTAAACTTTGGGATTAGAATCCTCAAAAATCAGGGGCAGAAAATTAAATAGTAACTCAATCATAAGCTGTTATACATTCTGAAATGTGAGAAGTCTTTAACGTATTACTGATTAATAGGGTACATCACAAAGGACTCTGAAAAGAGGGAGGTCTTGTCTATTGCAGACAAAATATTAATCCCATGTTAGAGAAACAATGAGTATATTGTCTTTATACTGTCGACATTATATGGAAGGTGGAAATTGGCGAACAGGACTAAGTCATAATTACTGTGACTTCATATTGAATTAGCAAGTCATTTGTAAATGTAAAAACTGATTCCACTGGAGACCATAACCAATGGCTTCAGTAGGGTTCTCAGGTGTGTGGTTAGGGATCTCAGATTCAGGTGAGCCAGGTATAGGAAATACAATGGTAAACGTGATTTCTTAACAAACGTTGAAAATATTAGCAAAGACACGCAGAGGCAGGCACGCAGAGGCAGGAGCTCTGTGAGTTATAACTTTAATAATTTTTTGCCAGTGTTTTAATTTACATGAGTTTCTCAGAGGGATATGGGCAACTGGCCTGAGAGCGCCCCCATTCCAGGACGCAAGAGCAGCTCTCTCCTCCCTTCCTCATTCAACAGATGTCCTCAGAACACCTCTGCACCAGGTGACAGCACAGGCAACAATTATGGAAGCAGAGCTCTATACTGGTCAGGGTTCTTCAGAGAAACTGCACTGATAGGCTGTGTTGCGTGTGTGTGTAGTATCATATATCTACGTACTATAGGTATATACGTACTCCATATATGTACTATATGTATATAGTTTCAAGTATGTGTGTGTGTGTGTATATATATATATGTATATATAGTCATGCATCAGTTAACAAAAGGGATATACTCTGAGAAATGCATCGTTAGTTGATTTTATTGTTGTGCAAACATCATAGAGTGTACTTACACAAACCTGCTACACACCTAGTCTATATCATATGACTTATTGCTCCCAGGCTATAAACCTATACAGCATGTTATGTACTAAATACCATAAAAATTATAACACAATGGTAAGTATTTGTGTATCTAAACATAGAGAAGGTACGGTAAAAATACAATGTAAGTGATTAAAAAAATGGTATACCTGGCCAGGTGCGGTGGCTCACGCCTGGTATCCCAGCACTTTGGGAGGCCGAGGTGGGCGGATCATGAGGTCAGGAGTTTGAGAGCAGCCTGGCCAACATGGTGAAACTGTCTCTACTAAAAATACAAAAATTAGCTGGGCGTGCCTGTAATCCCAGCTATTCCAGAGGCTGAGGCAGGAGAATTGCTTGAACCCGGGAGGTGGAGGTTGCAGTGAGCCAAGATGGCACAACTGCACTCCAGCCTGGGCGACAGAGTGAGATTCCATCTCAGAAAATAATAAAATAAAATAAAAATGGTGTACCTGCAGAGGGTGCTTACCATGAAGGGAACTTGCAGTACTAGAAACTGCTTGAGGTGAGTTGATGAGTGACTGATGAGTAAATGTGAACGCCTACAGCATTACTGTGTACTACTGTAGACTTTATAAACACTGTACACTTAGGCTACACTAAACTTATCAAAACATTTGTATTTCTTACAATAAGCTAAAGTTAATTTTTTACTTTTTAAACTTAATTTTTTTAAATTTTTTACTTTTTTGTTATGACACTTAGCTTAAAATATATGCATTGTGCCGCTGTACCAACATATACAGTATTCTTTATATTCTTATCCTATAAGGTTTTTTCTATTAATTTTTTTCACCTTTTGAACTTTTTTCTTAAAAACAAAGATACAAATGTACACCTTAGCTTAGGCCTACATAGGGTCAGGATCATCAGTATCACTCTCTTCCACCTCCATATCTCGTCCCATTGGAAAGCCTTCAGGTGGAGTAACACGCATGGAACTGTCGTCTCCTGTGATAACAATGCCTTTTCTCAAATACCTCCTGAAGGACCTGCCTGAGGCTGCTTTATAGGTAATTTTTTTTAAATGAGTAGAAAACCTATTCTAAAAAAGTATAGTAAATATATAAACCAGTAACATAGTTGTTCATTATCACTATCAGGTATTATGTACTGTATATAATCGTGTGTGCTATACTTTTATATGACTGGCAGTGCAGTCATATAATATGATGATGATTGCACCATCATCACCACAAATATGCAAGTAATGCCTTGTGTTATGACCTTGCAACAGCTATTATGTCACTAGGGACAGGAGTTTTTCAGCTCGATTATAATCTTAGGAGGCCACCATTGTATATGCAGTGTGTCATTGACTGAAATATCATGTAGCACATGACTTTCTCTCTATATATATTTATATGTATACAGTCTCTTTCTCTTCCTAGAGAGAGAGATTTAGTGTAAGGAATTGGCTCACACAATTGTGCAGGCTGGCAAGTCCAAAATCTGTGGGGTGGACCAGCAGGCTGGAGACCTAGGGGAGAGCCAAGTTTCAGTTCAAGTCAGAGAAGGCTGTAGGCTGGGAGAATCCTCTCTTGCTCAGGAAGGTCTGTCTTTTTTCCATTAAGGTCTTCAACTCTTTGGATGAGTCCTACCCACTGTAAAGCAGATTAAAGGATGATCTCCTTTACCTGAAGCTACTGATTTAAGTGTTAATCTCATGTAAAAAATACCTTCACAGAAACATCTAGAACAATGTCTGACCAGCTATCTGGGTACCATAACCCAGCCAAGTTAATACATGAAATTAACCCTCACAGACTTCTTGTTGCCTCCCGGGCAGAGTGCTGAGCCCCCTGGCCCACCTTGCCAGTCCATGCTTACCCCTCTTGCACACTGTTCCCAGGGAATGTTTGCTGAAGCTCCTTCAGGGCTGGTCAGACTAGTGAGTTACCAGGTGAGTCTCAGCAGACAAAAGAAGGGGCTTCTGATCTTTCACATGCAATTTCCTCCCAAGAGATGTAACGGAAATTTAAAAAGAAAAATCAGCAGTACGTATGTGGAGTTCGGAAAACAGAGCCTCTTCTGTTACTTCTATTGTCCAGAAAATTCTTCTCATGGCCAAGTCTGTCACAGAACCACAGCTTGACCCTCAGCTAAAGATCCATATTTCCTGTCCCTGTTTCTTGACTGGGGGTCTCTGATGGCCATTATTTTGACACAAATAGCACAAGTAAAGTATGGTTGGTAGTAAGCGTGCCACTTGATTAATGAAATAGTTTCTCATAAAATGTGTACGGTTGGCTTAATTTTTAAAAAGACTGTGGTAATATTTTAGCAATTTGAGAAAATGGAGAAAAAAATGAGTAGGCCCACCATGCTAGCACAATGATTTATACTTTTATATAGTCTCTTCTAATCCTTTTTCCATATAAATACATTTGCTTGCATAATTATTATAGTGTACATTTTTATATATTTATTATGACTATATTTTTATTCTTTCCCTATTAACCTTATATCATAAGTACATTTCCATGTCTTTTATACTTAGTCTTTTTGGAGACATAACATTTCATCAAAAGGATGTACCATAATTTAATTAACCAATTACTGTTGTTGCATGTTGATGCTGTTTCCAGTTGTTTTTTGTTTTTTTTTTCTATTATAAATCATGTCACAGTGGTTTGCTTTTCTTTAGGATAAATTCCTAAAAACAGGGATGACTGAGCCAAAGAACATGAACATTTTTTATGGCTCTTTTGGTGCATACTATTTTTATTGGATTTGATTGGATTGTGTGCATTTCAATAAGGGTTGTTGTTGTTGTTGTAGCTTTCTTTTTTGTTTCTTTGGTAAGGGTCTTGCATTCTCACCTCTCATTTCCAACACTGACCTCTGCAGCCAAGGCAACACATAGATGATGATTACAGCTCCCTGACTGCTTCCGTCATATCTTTCTGACAAAAATATTCTTCAAGGCTAAAAATGTTCATGCCCAGTCCTAGCTTGAGAGAGATTTATAGCATGGAAAATCTGAGTATAATTTCTGCAGCCATTTTTCAACCGAGAGTGGAAAAAAACCACATTTCACACTTAAAAGGCAATTTGGGATTTATTTTTGATTCTTTGATAACTCAGGGAGACTTTGAAATGCTTAATATCTCATTGTTTCTCAACATAATCGAAGAAGAGTCCCAAGTTGAGAAGTTTAAGAAATGGTAGTTAGAACAAACATTTAGAAGACAGAGGCTAACGGTACTATTATCTCTTTAAAAAGAGTTGATTTGTATTTTTGGTTGCAATATTTGGAATTTCCTATTGGATATCAATGTGGCATAGTGGTCTTTTGTTTGGTGGATTCTGTTAAATATGTTTTCAATTGTCATTTTGATACAAGCAAGTAATATATTTTAAGAAGTAAATTTAAAAATCGATGTTAGGTGTGGTTTTAATTAAACTTCAGTATAAGGTAGAGGAGTGAATTATATTTTAGGAAAATTATTTATACTTGAACCCATGTCTTTCTGGACAGCTCGTATAAATGGGACCATATAGTAGATGGCCTTTCTTAACTGACTTCTTTCACTTAATATTATGTCTTAGGGGTTCATCCATGGCCATAGCATGTATTAGGTCTTTGTTCCTTTTCATAGCTAACTAATATTCCATTGCACAGATGGAATATTAGCTATAGCACTGACTAATATGCCACATTGCATTTATTCATCAGTTGATGGACATTTGGACTTGCTTTCACGTATTGGCTGTTAGGAATAATGCCTCTGTGAACATTCATGTATAACTCTTGGATGGATATATGTTTTTATTTCTGTCGGATACATACCTAGGGGTAAAATTACTGGGTCATGTGGTAACCCTATGTTTAGCTTTCTAAAAAACTGCCCATATGCTTTTGCGGTTCACACATGGAGATGGATGAGAGACGATGCTTAGGGTCAGTGGGCAAAGGGAATAATCCAAGGTGGGGATAAGAAAGTCGGGTGGCAGAGGAGTTCTTCAGTCCAGAGAAGTTTTAATGTGGATGGGTTTTTTGGTTTTTTTCGTTTTTTAATTTTTTAAAACTTTAAGTTCTGGGACACATGAGCTGAATGTGCAGGTTTGTTACATGGGTATACATGTGCCATGGTGGTTTGCTGCACCTATCAACCCGTCATCTAGGTTTTAAGCCCTGCATGCATTAGGTATTTGTCCTAATGCTCTTTCTCTCCTTCCCCCCACCCCCTGACAGGCCCCGGTGTGTGTTGTTCCCCTATCTGTGTCCATGTGTTCTCACTGTTTAACTCCCACTTATGAGTGAGAACATGTGGTGTTTGGTTTTCTGTTCCTGTGTTACTTTGCTGAGGATGATGGTTTCCAGCTTCATCCATGTCCCTGCAAAGGACATGGACTCATTATTTTTCATGGCTGCATAGTATTCCATGGTGTATACATGAATGTGGATGGTTCTTTATAATAAACTGTTCACTGCAGTACTCTTCAGTTTTTAAGAGTATCTGTGAAATGTTAGAAGGGTGCTAATGTTCTGAAAGATTCGGCATGATCCGCATATGAATCTTCCTGTAATTCTAAGTGCCTAACTTGCTTGTTAGGAATTAGTTTTTGCAATGGACAGCAAATACCACAACCTCCCAAACTTTTTTTTTTTTTTTTTTGAGACGGAGTCTTGCTCCATCGCCCAGGCTGGAATGCAGTGGCGAAATCCCGGCTCACTGCAAGCTCCGCCTCCCAGGTTCACGCCATCCTCCTGCCTCAGCCTCTCCGAGTAGCTGGGACTACAGGCACCCACCACCACGCCCCGCTAATTTTTTGTATTTTTAGTAGAGACGGGGTTTCACCGTGGTCTCAATCTCCTGACCTCGTGATCCGCCCGCCTCGGCCTCCCAAAGTGCTGGGATTACAAGTGTGAGCCACCGCGCCCAGCCCGAAACTTTCTTAATAAGTACCCTCTTGAGCCTTCTAATAAAAACAATTTCTGTGCTTGCCTTTAGTTAAATATGTTATACTAATGTTGGTGTCTTGAGACCCAATAAGGAGCACCAGTGCTTCATCGAATGTTTGAACTCTCCCTAAATTCTGCTGCTGTGTGTGAGGGTCATAATACAATTGGTTTATTTTAAGCAAAATCCTTTTAATTATGTGGGAGGGAGTGTTTTGAGAACACTTCTGAAATGGACATTTAATAAACTGGATAAGATATACTATAAGCATGTTAATGTTACTATCAGATGAATAATTTTTTAATTTTAAACTTTTCAATAAGAATACCTTAGGAATTTGATTGTAGTCTTAGTATTAAACCTAAGATGGTTAATTCAAATGAATATTGCCCATGAGAATCTCTTTTCCTCTCCTCCAGTAGAAAGATGATATTAGCTTGTGTAATTATATCCCTAGGTGGCATTAACCACAGAATTGAAGGTTTGGTTTCCTTCTGGCAAACAAGCCTTGGTTTTTGACTTGATGCGTGTACAGCTCTGTTGTATAATCATGCTACATGTGAAGGGTGGAAATTAGAGTGTAGGATTGCTGATTTATATTCCATGAACTGAGTTTTCCTGTGCCAGCCCAGAAAAATCTAACCATTGCTGAAGTATTCAGTTTTTTCGTGGCTTCAACAGACCTTGTAAGTGATCCAGGAGGCAGATTTTGGTACATTCCAGCACAAGGTCTAATTATGGATGTAATGATTGGTGAACATTTAAAGCGAAAGCCTAAATACTAAACCTGGAACTTCTTTTTTTAAATTAAAAGGTCAGTAACCTGGTGTCAACATTTTTAGACAGTTTGGGTTATATCTCTAAGAAATAATCAAAGTCGGCCAGAAAAAAACAAATCCAGACCATTTCATTGCTTATAAGTGGAGAAATCCAGTTGTCTTACATGTTGTAACTGACACGACTTGACATGCTCATTTTTTTTAAGTCTTTGGGTTTTGAATAATTGCTTCTTGCAGAAAGCCTGTATTTTCTGTACTCTGTGGTTACCAAGCTGTACTTGACTTTTAAGAGAGTCAAAGGAACGTATCCTTGTGAGAAATTGCTGCTTTGTGGAGTACAAATGAGAGGTTTCATGATCTTTGAAGCTGGGAAGGCCAAATCTGGCTTAGAAAACCCATCGCCAGGCTGTGTTTTATATTCTTCATTGCTTTCCTAAATTGAACTGTCCTTGTGTTGGAGCTGAAAAAAGAAGATATAGGGGAGAGGCAGGGTTTGGTTAAGTGATTTTTCCCATCTGGTTCAGAAAGCAGATAATTTGCCTTGCATTTCGGTCTAGCTGGAGGGCAAAATGGCAGGCTGCCCCAGCATGCCCTAGACCAGGACTTCTCACCGGGGACAACTTTGCCCCCCTTGGGACACTGGACAATATCTGGAGATATTTTTGGTGTCACAACTGAAGGTGGGGGTGCTACTAGCATTTGCTAGGTGGAGGCCAGTGATGCTGCTGAACACCCTACAGGGCAGAGGACAGCCTCTCACAATAAATAGTGCTGAGGTCAGATGCCGACCTGAAGGCATTGCTTCTTAACACCAGGTGTGATGTTTCCTGCTCTGCTGTTCACAGAGGGACAGACAGCAGAAAGTGTCTTTCTTCCGACAAAATGCTCTTTATTTGGCACCTCATTTCTTGGCACCACTCTTAAACAGCCCATTGGAATAATAAGACACACGAAGCAAGCTCCTTACCTGCAGGAGAGGTGCAGAGCCCATGGAAAACACATGCACGCACGGACATGCACACGCACACACATGTGCACATGGACACAGGCACATGCATGCACACATGCACATGTGCACACGTGCACACCTGCACGCATGTGGCTGGTAGCTCATGACTTTATCTTCTTCCCTCACTGCTAAGCATGCTGCTGGCAAGATTCTTCAGGCCTGGATTTATTTTCTTCCTTTCTTTGTCTAATGTTTCATAAAATGTGTTTGATTTTCTTCCTCTTCTCCAGGTTCTTTCTTCTTCTTGGTTGTTAAAAAATATGTTTTTGGTGAGGAATTCTTCTTTAAGCCTTCACCTTTCTTGGAAGGAAAACACTTTGACAAACAGATTAGAAAGTTGTCCGAAGTCATCATAACCTCTAGTCTGTTTGGTACCTTGTGACGTGTGAGTATTTCGGTTTTCCTTAGCCGTGTCTGTGGGGAAATAGAATGACCCTCATCAGTTTTTTAGAGTCAATATGTCCATGCCTTCCGGGGGGTCAACTGTTATCCGTGAAGAAGTGTATAACCCAGACTGGTCATTCCCCTGCTTCTGAGCCCCTACTTGGCCAAATGAGCATCATTGATTCCTGGGGTTACTCTAGACAAGAACAAGGTGAATAAATGACATTCATACTAACAAGCTCTTGGCTCCAGCTGTTCTTCCTCTTCCACTTTTTAAATAAAAGCCCCAGAGAGAATGATACAGGCTAAAAGGATGATTGTCCACTGAGTTGTGTCAGGAACTGGTGGCTGATGGGGCAAGGAGAAGTTTTGGGACCTGAAAGTCTTCTTCATCCCCTTAATGAATTGGGCCAACCCTGTTCGTACTGTCATAATCAGCAATATCTATTGCCTACCCATCCTAATCACTATGAAGAATAGGAAAGTGAAGTAAGCATGTTTTCTGCCCTGTGCTTTGTACCAATTATCTTATTTAATTTTAAAATAACAACCCTATCAATGGAGAACGGTTATTATCATCTTGGTTTTGCATATGAGGAAACAGACTTAAGAAATCGAATCATCCATCAGATGTTATAGAACTACTAAGTAACTATGTGAAGATTTGAACTTGGGCAGACACTTCTATAGTTTCTGGATTCTGCCATACAGTAGGAGCTCAATGAATGTCCTCTGAGCTGAAATTTCATCCATGCACAAAGTGAAGGCATATTTATATGTACATTTAACTTACGATTTCATAGGCACACACTGGGCAAACTCCCAACTAAGTTTCAGGGATGTACGTCATGTGTGAAGTGGCTGAGGAGGCCCTACCCTTCCCCAGCGTGTTCAGTGGTGCCTCTAGGAAGTGACCGTGTTTTGCTCAATGAGCAACTCTGATACTTAAAGATAATTTTCCTTCTTGGGCCCTAAAGGTGAACCATCTGCTTCACTGTGGTGCTCAACTGAAGAAATGCACAACGGCTTCAACACTGGAGGAAATCTAGTTAGGTTGCCTTCATGGAGACCTGGCCTGCCACTCCCCTAGACACAAGAATGGTTTGGAGCCGCAGCATCCGGCGGCTACTGGGTGCTCAAAATGTGGCTAGTTAAGATGTGCAGTGTAAAATACACATTGGGTTTTGAAGACTTCATCAAAGAAAGGTGAAATATCTCATTAGTAATTTTTTATGTTGATTGCATGTTGAAATATTTTGGATATACTGGGTTTACATAAAATATATTATAAAAATTAATTTCACCTGTTTCTTATATTTCTAATGCATCAAGCAGAAAACTTAAAATTACATATGTGGCTCTCATTATGTTTCTATTGGACAGTGGTTGGCCATTTAGTGCATTTTCAAGGAAAATATGAGTATATACGTTAACTTTACAACCTAATTCCCCCACCCCAGCTGAAAATGCAACTCCATTATAAGGGTCAAAATAATTCCAGGGAGCAAGTGCTCATTTCTATTTACACAAATGAGAAGTATACTGTTTTAGTGAGATTCAATTATTATTATTATTATTATTATTTTTTGTGATGGAGTTTCACTCTTGTTGCCCAGGCTGGAGTACAATGGTGTAATCTCTGCTCACCGTAACCTCCGCCTCCTGGGTTCAAGCAATTCTCCTGCCTCAGCCTCCCGAGTAGCTGGGATTATAGGCATGCGCCACCATGCCCAGCTAATTTTGTATTTTTTAAGTAGAGACGGGGTTTCTCCATGTTGGTCAGGATGGTCTCGAACTCCCAACCTCAGGTGATCTGCCCGTCTCAGCCTCCCAAAGTGCTGGGGTTACAGGCATGAGCCATCACACCTGGCCATGAGATTCAATTATTAAGGTGAGTTCTTGTAACCAGCGATGATCAGACTGGGAATTGCATTCAGGTTTATCTGAATTCAACTCTGGGCTCGTTCCCTTGTGGTTAATGAGAAGGAAACCCAAAGAAATGTGGCCGCCCTTTTGGCTAAGTACACATCGAAGCCACAAGCCCACCAGATGAGAGTTTTCTTATCATTAATGTTTATTTAAACAACAGAGGTTGCAAAAATTCCAATGGAGTGAGGGTTCTGATTAGTTGGTTGTTATTTAATCCATGTTTCATGGAGTATATTAATTTTTAATTACTCGATTTTTAAATTACTTGTAAGGATTAGGGAACATAAGAGAAATAGCTATTTTAAAAAGGACAACTTTTTAAAACATTGTTGAATGAGCTTATGTTTGTAGTTTATCACCCTAGCATGGATTGTATTCTTTAGTCACCATCAGAGGGGACAATGTTTTGGGGGCGGTATGTCATTTTGGTTTTGTTCCATGGAAGGACAGAAGTTAAGAGGGTTTTCTTAGGTTAAGAGGGCTTTTTTAGCTGGCTTCTTTCCAGTCCCCCACTACAACCTGCCTAAGGTGTATGTCCACACAGCACGAAGTGTAGTTGACATTTGGCAGCTATTCACTGGCTATGCTATCCACCAAGTGGGTGGCCGTCGTTATTGTTTGTTTGCTTGTGTTTAATATCCAGCCAAATGTGAATAGAAAACAGCATGTGCTCCATAACATTTTGAACTGGGATCCTGACTACCACCCAGGGGATACTCAGCCACCAGGCTGCCGCCAATGCTCAATCTATTTTATTATCTCCTGCTCCGGCAGAGAATCCTGTATCTTATCTGAGTTATGCAAAGCACCAGGGCAAAAGAGCCAGAGGCCTTTTCCTTCTTCTTTCAGGATATTAATGGTTTTGATTTTGGAACAATCAAAAAGGCTGGAGAAGCCATTTGAACACGAAAAGCTCAAGTCTCAGTGTAACAGATCAGAGAAGGCCATAGAAGTAGCTGGTGGCAGACAGAATTAGAATCCAGGTTTTCCTACTCTCTACATTGCCAATGTCCATCCCATCTCCAGAGTGGTTGGTGCTGGGCTGGCTGGCACCCATGTCCAAAGTAGTGGCAGGGAAGTCATGCTGGACCCTTCTACACATGTCTCTTAGCAGCAAGTTATTAACTATCATTTGAAAAAGTGAAAATAAAATATCTGTATCTCCAGTCCTGCCTGACCTCCCCAGCCCCAGATGGACAGCTTCAGCCAACTGACTCCCATCTGATGGTGTGGTAACAAGAATAGCAGTGCCTGACCCAGCACTTAATACATGCCAGATATTGCTCTAAGTACCTCATGTGTATGAACTCATTTAATTCTTATATCAGCCCCATGAAACAGTCACTATCATTATTCCCATTTGACAGATAGGGAAACTGAGGCATGCAGGCCAAAGCGATAGAGCTAGGGAAAGATCAAAACAAGAATCATGAATGCAGGCAGAGGGCAGCTTTGGAGTCTTCTTTTAGCCACTAGGCTGTGCTGCCCACTCCAGGAAGCCCTCAAATGGATTGGGTCCAAAACCGAGCACCTGTCTTTGTCCTCAGCCAGCTCCTCCTCTTACAGCCCCATTTCTCTAAGTTGCCACTCTCTTTGTCTGGAGTGGAGGGTGGGGTAAAACCTCCTGTCACCTACAGATATTCAAAATGTTGCCAAGTTTCACAGATGCTCCCCAACCAGAACTTTCCAATTCTTCTTGCTCCTTTCCACCACCAGAAAACTCAGGTGCGGGTTACAGCTTTGGATAAGAGTATAGTGAGGGCATTCAGGTTGCCCTCAACCCCAGAGACAGCCTCCTGTCCGGCCTCCCGGCTGCCTGTCTCTCTCCATCCCACTCCTTCCTATTCCAGTCAGAGAACTGACCGCCTGAGAAGCAGCCCATAGCACTTCGGTAAATACACACTGTGGGTCCCACACCAGCTGTGCATAAGCAAAACCCTGCCATAACGAGGCTGTGAATCTCTATTTTTAACAAATTCGCCAGGTGTTCTGATGGGCAGCCCAGTTTGGGGGTCACTTCTCGTTTACGCTTCCTCAGTGTAGCTCCCGCAGGCCCTGTCTGTCCTGCAGGATGTGCGCAGTAGCTCTCTGCTCTGGAGTGATTAACATGCTCCTTTACTTGCCTGTCCTAAGCGCTCCACCTCATGACCAGGAAACTTTTCCAATGCTGTTTCTAGTGGTTCTTCTACTTGTACCTTGTACTCCAGCCACTCGAAATGGCACATTTGGGGTGGGGGGCGGTGGCGGGGAGCTGTACAAAAAACAAGAAGAGCTGTCATAGTCCGCATGGTTCAGCCACCGACTAGGGGTCTTCCCTGAGTACAGGAATTTCCACGCAGAGACCTCGTGAGGGAGTGTGGGGCTGCCTCCCTGGTGAGAATAAATGATGTCTGGGAGCTCTCTAGGACCTGGGAATGCTTGTGCCGAGTAGAACTCTTTCTCAAGTGGTGTTTAGACATTGGTGTTGATGACTTTCTATGTTGTTTTTGCTCAGGGCCCAACTCTAAGGGGGAATAAAAGTTTGTTTTAAATTATGTTATTGCAAGATTAAGGAGTGTTACGTTCCTAGGCTCAGGATCTCCAAGGGGCAGAATTCCCCTCTGTTAGGTCCTATTTCACACTCCTCCCGCTCTGGACTCACGTCTGCCTGCGACAGTTGCTGCCCCTGGTGATCTCCCTGTCCCCAAGGATGCAGGGGAGGCTCTGGTTCTTTGCTACTCCCCACAGCCCATTCTTCTGCCTCTGTTGTCATTTGTCAAGACATGGGCTCCATGGCACAGCTCTAAGACACCATCTGCAGCTGGGGAACGCACTGTCTCTCTACCTGATTTTTGGTCAGTCTATGAAGCAAGCTGTGACTGGCTTGTCGGAGGTGACACCTCCTCTCCCGTCTTCTTACCTGTTGCACTGTCAGAGGCAAACTCAGTCATAGAATCCCATCTCCCAGGTGCCCCTTTCTCTCTGCCTGGATACCTGAGCGCACAGGACATCAGCGCTCTGAGCGCCGCATTTACTTACCCATTTGTTCATTCATTCATTCATTCATTCACTCATTCATTCACTCATTGTGTACTGAATGCCCAGCTCTTCCTGCAGGCACAGTAATGACTTTCTTTCTGCCTCAAAGAGTTCCTGAGTGCAATAATTCCTCTGCCTTTTAAAATCCATGCCTACTTCATGCAGTAGAAACGCATGTCCTCTTTTATCATTGGTCAAAACAAAAAAACAAAACAAAACAAAAAAACAAAAAAAAACCAGCAAAAAACTATTGTGACTAAAAGCAAAGCAATGATAATTTTAGGCTGTGTTTCCAGCTTATGAGTTGCTTTCTGTTCCCCCTCTGACCTCCTCCACAGACTCTTCCAAATTCAAGAGCCTTCAGAGTATGACAACCTGGATTTGTTTCCTCTTCTCCAAAACATCTAGAACTAACTAGGAAATGTCAGGGCCAAGGTGACCCAGCACATGGCAGGCACTGGTTAGTGGCTGAGTAAGGACCACTTCATTTTCTAGCCTACCTGAGAAAATGAAGCCCAGTTCATTTTCTTTTTCTACCCAGATAGATACTGGATTGATAACAAGTACTTGGAATGCCTACGCCATGTCTATCCCCTCAGTATTTTTGGGTCTTTGTTAAACTCTTTTTGTGTGTTTCTTCCATCTCCTAACTAGATGAGAAGTCTCTTGAGTACAGGGCATGCCCTTTTTTTTCTCTCTGTCTTTTCCATGGAGCCTAGCACCATACCTTGCACTTACTAGATGCCCAATCCATATGCCATGATGATTAGGAAAATAAACACCCAAAAAATTGATGTTAAAATGCCTCAAAGATCCTCCCTTTGAAACAACAACAGAAAGCATACTATTTATTTTTCCCCCTGATATTCCTATTTTCTTAACTAGGAAAGGGTGCACAATGTCTTTGATGAGACAGGTTTGGCCCTGTGATGCCCGTGGATGTCTGCTCTCTTGCTGCTGTGATTTTGAAACTGGAGCCAAGGCTATTTCATTGGTCTTGGGGGGCTTGGCTGCTGGAAGCCTCCCCAGCTCCTTCAAAGGGAGCAGCATACTCCCTGGGATGTGGACAGTAGGCTTCCTCAGGTCCATCTGGGAGAAGAGCTTTGGCTGCAGAAGGAAGCAGGGTTGACCTCATCTCCTCCGGCAGCACTCAGCACATCCCTGTGGAGAGGCCAGCCTGTGACCTTGACCGTGACACCTGGCAAGACATCCTATCCTGTGCTTTTCATGACCCATCCATGCTCCAGGTGGCTTCCCAGGTGTGAGAGAGGGAGACAGGAGGATCCAGCCAGGGCTCTGGTAACTCATACAGGTTTTCCTTAGCTGCTATCCCCTGTCAGGTTTTATGGCAATAGAATGTCCCTCCTGGTCCATCTCATTTTTCTTTTATTGTCTCAGAGCCCTATACTGAATACTGTCTTTGGAACTTCAGGAAAACCTCACCAGCACCCAGGAACTAGACTGAGGATACTTATCTTAGCATCTGAGACTAATAATAGCTCACATTCATCGTAAGGAAAACATTCAGCCTGGGCTAGGCACCCATTGCTATATTATTTAATTTATTTTCAATAATCTTTTGGGACAGATAGGATTATACCCATTTTATCACGTAAGATATTTCTGATGACTCAAAAATTGAGCCATCCTCCCTGAGTCACATCGCTGGTGAGCAGCTAGGCTAGGATTTGAACCTATGTCAGTCTGACTCTACAGCTCTTGCTTTTTTCTGGATACTTGACTAAAAAGCAAATTAATACCGTAAATAATATTGCAAGGAGATTGCTTCATCTACTAAAGAAAGCAAATGCTTCCACAGCATAGAAACAAAATTTATTGCTAGCCAATTGATATATTAGTCACAAATCAGATTACATTTTTCCATAAAGCATTTACTAAAGGAGCTCTATGTGGCAGTGATGTTAGCAAAGTATGAATTATTTTACTACTTGAGAGTTATTAAACTACTTGTCGTTAAAAATAATTACTTATTCAGACTTTCTTCTCATTCAGACTGGCACTTTCCTGGAAGTACTTGGAGTTAACACTTACTATCATTTGCTAATTCATTGGGCCACAAAACAATCACTTTGGCTTGACAATATGCTAAGTTGGCCCTAGCTCTGTTTATAAAAAATTCTGATGGGTTTAGCTCCCCTGCCTGAGGATTAATCTCGACCCCTTCCAGCTTTATCTCATCCATTGGTTTGCTAAGCTTTTCTTCCAGGTTGTGTCTGGCACAGAATATGTGCTCAATGAACATTTGTTGAATAAATGAAGCAATGTCTTCATTTGTAACACTAATCAAAATGTTGAACAGGATAGGGCTGAGAATGCGCAGCTCAACCTCTTTGGTCTCTACCACCGCCCGGACACTAGCCTAAGACAGTCACTCGTGACTGCTGGACCCAAGCCAATGTCCTTGTTCAATTTTCTTGTTTCTCTTTCTGTTTACCTCCACACTTCTTCCTTGGTTAAGTTCCAGGACAACATTGTCACCTTTTATTTTTTTTAAACCACCCTTTCTCCTCTCGCAATCTTTTTTGCTCTCCTTCTCCTCTGATTAATCCATAAATACTGGGGTTCTTACTAGCTCTTCTCCTGGCCCCTTTATCTTGTATGTTCTGTCCCCGGGATGGGGTCTCGTCCACTTACATGAGTTTTGGGACCGCACCTAGGGTGATGGTTCCCCTCTATCTCTCTTGCAAGTTTCAGAAAAACATTTTCAGCTACTTAC
Source organism: Homo sapiens (assembly GCF_000001405.40). Taxonomy (NCBI): domain Eukaryota; kingdom Metazoa; phylum Chordata; class Mammalia; order Primates; family Hominidae; genus Homo; species Homo sapiens. Next base: position 121,268,217 of record NC_000010.11, on the reverse strand, counting down.
TATCTTCTAATTGCAAAGCCCTGGAAAAAAAAAAAAACAGTTTCCCAAACCAACTTGCCATTTCTGTCTCGTCACAAACTGGAGCTGCCTTTTGTATTTTCTAGCTTGGCCAGTGGCATCAGTAAATCTCCTAATCTAAAAACATAATTGGGTAGAATGCCTTTCTTTCCTTCTCTGCTCTCTGGTTACCATCTAGTTAGTCACGAACTCTTATTGATTTTTTCCAGAAATGTCCCACAAAGCCAGCCCTTCATCATCCTGCTTCTAGCAGTGGCTGCTCAAAGCGGTCCGTCTGTCTCAATTCTCTTTTCCATCAAGTTCATCCCCCACTGGCTGCCAGAAAAGAGGATCATGTGACAGTGCATGGGCCAATAGCAGTTGCCAGTCTCAGACTCCTCCCGACTGAAGGCAGCCAATGGTTGACTTTGTATCTCCTCTAGACTTGTTAGTGACCAATGAGGAAGTGACCTGGGACAGGCTTCCGGTATGGCAGACACCATAAAAGGAAGACACAGAAACAGGTTTGCATCCCTGGGCTGATCTCTCACCTGCCTTCCATGGTGTGGTCCTCAGGTCAGCATCCGACAAGCCGTGAAGACAGAGCAGGATGCTCAGGGGGGCTTGCAACCTGCTTCCTCGACCCGACTCCTTACTGACTGGTGCAAATGGTCTTCCAGATGGAACATTTGTTTTTCTTGGTTAAAGGAACTATATTGCCGCTGTGTGCATGTGTGTATAAATTAGTGTGTGAATGTGTGTGTATGTGAGCATGTGTGTGTGCATGTGAGTGTGTGTGTGAGAGTGTGCATGTGTGTGAGTGTGAAAGCATGTGTTTTAATCAGCAAATTCAGAATGAGGAAAACCCAACCCCCGTGGCCTAGAATAGACTAGGTCAAAGTGAGACCAAGATTTAATCCACGGGAAAAACCTAAGAGAGAATAGAGTGCTTCTAAATAGGAACCACTGGAAAGAGTCACTCCTCTACTTAAAAACCTTGGTTCTCTCCTTGTTGTCTATAGGATTGAGTCTGATCCTTTGTCCTGGGGTCAACGCCTCTAACACTGGACCTTGGCCCTTTCTCCAGCCTGACCTCTATCTATTCCACCCCCTGCAGCAACACCTGCTCTTTGGATTTTGTTTTGTGGCACGTCGCATGGTTTCCTTTAAACACTTTGCCCTCCTTTTCCACCAAGTACACACCCTCTTCTTGTTGAACTCAAATATCAGTCCTCTGTGAACTTGACAGAATATGTAAGGATGTCCAGTTAAATTCCAGTTTCAGATAAACAACAAATACTTTATTTAGTATATGTCCCAAATAAGTTATTCATTGTTTATCCAAAATTCAGAATTAACTGGGAGTGTCCTGTGTTTTTATTTGCTTTTTCTGACACCTTTACTTCTGACATTCCTTCTGCCTCAATGTTCCTAGGACACAGGGTGCACAAACTCCCCATAGCTCCTCTTCCATTGCGGTGGTTTATTATTTTGTCAACTGTCTTTCCTACCAGAATTCATATTCCTGAGGCAAGAATGCTGCCCAGTCACTCACCCACTCAACATTTCTCAATCAGGTGCTATCTGCCAAGTGCTGTGCTAGGTGTGAGGTACCAAGACAAATACGATCAGGTCCCTGATCTATAGCAGGGGTTGGCAACTTATGACCCTTGCCCAGATCCAGTCCACTGCATGGTTTGTGCTGGCCGGGGACACTGCCACGTTCATTGCTTTGCATACTGTGTGTGCTTGCTTCCATGCTACGGTAGCAGAGTATGTGGTCTCTTGGCCCACAAAGCCTAATATGTTTACTATCTGGCTCTTTATAGAAAATATTTGCCAACTCCTGGTCTAGAGAATCTTACAGTCTAGTGAAGGAAGGCAGACATAAACAAATAAAACTAAATTCATCTTTCATCTCCGAAGCCTCACATATATCAACGTGTCGTCTAGCGACCACCTATATGAGAACCACCTGGAGCCTCACCCAGCCAACTCTGATTTCTGAGCCTGGAGAATCTGCCCTTTTAACAAATCTTACAGGTGATTCTTCATGCTAAAGTCTGAGCTTTGCTGACTTCAGTGCCTACCACGTTGTCTGGTGTGTGGTCAGCCCTGATAAATGTTTGAATGAATGAATGGGCAGAAAGTGTCTATTAATTGATAGTATTTCAATTCTGTATAGAAACAACAGAACCACTGGCATTGTTCCATAAAGTTAGGATTTCAGCCTGTAATGTTGTAAGTGGACTTAGCAAAATTTACCACCAATCCAGGCATGATGCTGCTGAGCCTCCTGCGGAGAAAATGCACACAAGGCCATTCTCCCCAGTTGTCCTGTGCAATATCATCATCCTGACGGAGCAGGTGAGTGGCTGCCTCTGATTCTTGAGTGGCTGAGTAGAGCCATCCTTTAGTATGGACATCCAGCTCCTACCTCTGGGTCCATTTCCCAGAGCTGTCCTGCACTGCATCACTCACAGTCACATAATCAAAATAAGCGAACTGGTTCCTTCATGTCCCCAAGCTCAGAAAATGTTCTGTCTCCTTGTGGTGCAATGTGATGGGCCGACAGAAAATAAATAAAAACGTATTCAACCCATTAGTATTTGGAAGGCAAACATTTCCTAGTGAAAATAAAGTCTGCGACTACATGTTGAGACAGATGTTCACACTTGCTACTCTTGTTAGAGCACTTAAGAAAATAAATTCAAGATAAGAGAGGCATGGGCATTCCTGGGGCCTGTGTGTTCTCAGCTCTTCAAGTCCTTGCAAACAGTCTTCAGGGTACAAAGGGGATAAAATATAGAAATAATTTTCCCAACAATCCCACCTAAATTTTCTCAATTGAGCCAATAATTGGGGCAAATGGGATTTTAAAAAATTACATAATCTATATATAATTAATTACTTTAATGGCCTTCTTTGTTTTGCATACAAAGATTTAATGTTCTGCCAATGTGCTGGCATAGAAAGACGTGTTTGGAATACACCTTATATGGACAGCAATGAACTCAGCCAGTTTGCACTTGTTTCTCCCGTCTGGGTTTAGGCGCAGCCACACAAAGAAATTTAACTACAATCATCCCAAGATCATTGAAATATCTGGGCTTCATAACTGCTTGAAATTTTCCTGTGATAGAAATGAACTTTCCCAGTCCATTGTTTTCATTTGATGAATTTAGTGGTTGTGGATGTGTTTATTCAAGTATCATTGACATATTTTAAATAAAATGACATTTCATGAGTGATTCAGCTTGAAGTGTATTTAAGTAAATGAGAACTGCTTTCTCTCTGACAGGATTTAGAGAAAAAAATAAACTCCCAAATATTACTATATTTATAATCTTTGATTTTCTTTTATTTTTTCTTTTCTTTTCTTTATTTTTATTTTTATTTTTTATTTTTTTGAGACAGAGTCTCCCTCTGTCACCCAGGCTGGAGTACAGTGGCGCGATCTCGGCTCACTGCAAGCTCCGTCTCCCGGGTTCACGCTATTCTCCTGCCTCAGCCTCCCAAGTAGCTGGGACTACAGGCATCCACCACCATGCCCGGCTAATTTTTTGTATTTTTAGTAGAGATGTGGTTTCACCATGTTAGCCAGGATGGTCTCAATCTCCTGACCTCGTGATCTGCCCGCCTTGGCCTCCCAAAGTGCTTGGATTATAGGAGTGAGCCACTGTGCCCAGCTGTCTTTGATTTTCTTTTAAATCCCAAAAGCCTGTGCTTTATAACTTCTTTGATTCATATATTCCGTGTTTGTTGGATGTATTATATTCCAAGCAGTATATACTGCACCTTCCCATGCTTGATCTTATTTCATGTGAAAACTCTCCTCTGCCTACTTATTGTATTTTCATATTCATGAGCTCAACATAATTTTTTCTTTTAAATATATTTGTAATGAGTTCATGTTTCTATTTTTGTACTGCTGTCAATTATCAAAACACACCAAGGAGGGAAACCTGAATTAGGAATTGTCTTCTCACATTTATTTTAGAAAAGAGTCTTAGAATTGGTGACTAATTGTACCAGCATGGGGCTTATTAGCAGGTTAAAGCCCTGTGTAGGTGAATCTTTAAAGAAGGCCAAATGAATTTCTTGTGCAAATTTAAGGTTTACCAAGAAAAAAATAAACCCTTCTGTAATCATGCTGAGAAGAGATCAGGTGGTGGTGTACATGTAGGACACAAAATAAATACAAAAGGCAGGACCCCCTTTCCATTCAGCTGTGTTTTATTAATAAACCTCTAACCATCATAAGTTGCTGGGAAAGCTGTCCAGATGTTTGCAGCTCACCCCTCTTGTCGCCTGGGTCACTCCTGCAAGAGTTGCAATTTAGCTGATTTCAACACTACAGTAGCTTGATATAATTAAAGACTCAGTAGGGTGTGTTTTTAACACTATTAAGTCATGAAGGACTTTTCAGGAACCAGGAATGTTCCTTCATCGCAGTAAAGAGGGCAACATTGTCATAACACGAAGAAACCAGGGAGCTGCTTTTTAAAAAGAGTTAATGTACTCGGTGACGAATGCAATTCTGACATCAATTATGGAATCAATAAAAAAGACTGCCAGGTCCACGGAGCTTTCTTTGCCCTTTCTTGATAGAAGGTAAGACTGCAGCAGGGTCAACAAGACTGTGCTTGCTTAACCAAAGCAATAAATTGTCTCTGTCAGAATTGGATTTTAAAAGATGTTCTAAACAATCTTTTTTGGTGCTGAAATCTGTTTCTGAGCTCAATTTACCTAATTCCTGAGAACAACAAAGGCTCAAACGAGGATTTTTGTTCCACCTAAACTGCTTTTAAAATAACATATAGATATTGCTCCACAAATCTTTCAACAGCTCAGTCCTGTGAGTAAAATATGAGGCAATGGAGGAAGGCTGGGGCTGAAAGAGAATCTAGGAGCAACCGAGTTGCTGAGACAAAAATGAAGAACAGTATAGCGGCACCAGAAGGCATTTAAATAGATTGAATGGCTCAGAAGACGTTCTGAAGCTACTTTCCTGAGGCTAGGCCATGTTCAAGGTCCGTGTTCAAAACAAACCCGTGTCAAGGATGTGTTCTACCCTAGGGAGCTGGCCTGCTGTCATCCTGCAGACCTTCCCACCCAGCACCTTGAGTGGGCCTGGGCTCTCTTTAAGCTTTCAACAACCCCTCTGGGAGCACCAGGGGAGGGTGTGTGTGAAGACCTTCCACATGCTCTGTGATCGTTTATTTAAGCTTGGTTTTACTATCTAAGTACTACAGCAGTTAACGATCAGACTCAGAGACAAGTCTCATAAATCAAGACAGTGGCCTTTAAACTCCCCACTCCTTCTGTTCCGGTAACCAGGAGGGAATAGCATACCATAAGAATGGGTCGAGTGCCTCTCATGGAGCTGTGTGGGGAACCCCAAAGTTGCCATCGACATGTTACAGTGAAATGTTCACAGGAGGTGATGGGGGGTGTGTGGTCAGAAAGAATCAGGAGCCTTCTGTGTTGTGGTCACATGATGCCCACCTCGGGAGACCTAAACCGCTGTTTGCCCAGATCTGGAATGTTTCAGGCATTTTGAGGTAGCCCAGGGGGTGAAAAGGACCCAAAAGAGAGTCACAAAACTATGATTGAAGGTTTCAGGAGCAAGAGTAGTGTGCAAGTTCTAGGTCAAGGATGTGAAGTGTGGCCTGGTCAAAGGCTGACTTGTGATTATTGTCAGCAGAGAAATATTTGAAGGGCCCAGACAGCCAGGTGAGGACAACGTTGTTTTGTTTCTGCACTGCCTGGGAGGGGTGCAGACCATGAATTATGTCCATTAGGCCAGGGAGTGTTCAGTATGGCAATCCAGGCATGTGTCTGAATGAAAATCCAACTGGATCCTGGACTGGCTTTGGCAAATTAAGGACTTGTTTTCCCCTGGATGCCTGGCCTAAGACTAAATTCACCCCATGGGAATGCCTGTTTCGGGCTGTCATGAAGAGGAGCGCCCTGATCTAATTGAAACCTTGGTTCCTGACTCGATCCAATTAGCATGCCTGGTTAGTTGAGTTCCTTTGGGGACTAGAGGATTCAAGTGACCAGAGGCAATGGAAAGTTCCCATTTTGAGCTGGAAGTAAACCAGATGTTGAGAATGCGACTGGCTGTCAGTGTTGATCCTGGTTCACATGAGATGGCTCCTTGCAGATGCATGGGCTAATCAAAGCCAACTGGCTGTCTGGTTTTATATAGACCTGGTCCTCTTGTCTAATCGCCGCCCCTTACCAATAATGACTCAGCCTTTAAACAAGCTTAATTGTAATTCAGCTTGAGGATTCACTAATCTTTTACTGAGCACCTACTATGTGTCAGGCACCACGCATGAGACATTTGGGGTATGCATGAGATGCTCTCCATAGCAAGATCTTTAAGGCCACACACATGACCTGGCCTTGACCTAGCTCTTCAGCCACATCTTGTGCCACCTGATGCCTTTGGTGCTGCAATCACACTGGTCTCAGGGCCTTTGCATGTACTGCCTCTCTACTTGGAATGCACTTGCTCTTCCCACAGCTGCATGCATCCCATCTTTCAGGACACAAGTGCCTTCCCTGAAATACCCCTTCTAGAGTAGATTCCCCACCCAAGCGTCCAAGAGACAACAATAGTAATAGTAACTATTACATCCTAACCCTACTTATCCTATTTTCCCTTTGTATCCCTTATGATAATTTGCAATTCTTTTACGTTTCTTTGCCCAGTAAAGCATATTGGCTTAGAGTGTGAACTGTGGGGTCAGATTGCCTTGACTCAAATCTTGACTGCAATTCCCTGGCTCTGTGTCTGTCATTAAGAACCTCAGTGCCTCATTTCCTCATTTGTAAAACAGTATTGATAACAATAGTTTCCTTTTCATGTCACTTAAATCCATTAGTTTCTGTCTTATAGTCTAGATCATCTGCTTACCACAACATTAATTTATCTATGAATAGACAGAAAGTAACTCACAAGACAATCTCAAAAACTTGTATTCTTAAACTATGATTATTAAAATAACTATCTTTATCAAGTGGAGCAATTTACAACTACAAAATTGTTGTAAATTGTGCCACTATAAAATTGTGGTAAATTGCTCCACTTGAGATTTTGCTTGCCTGTAAAATATATAAAAATAATCCAAGAATTGGGAAAAGATGGTTAATTTCCAAGCTCACTAAGCACAGCCTGAGGTTATGCTTGGCCCATGGGTACAGATGCACAAAACATCTGAATTCAAATGTTTCAGCTTAATCCCGGAAAAAATCGGCCATTTTCTAGGATGTAATAATTTACTAGTTCAAGATAATTAGAAGAGACACGGTAGTTAACACTTCTAAAACATAACAGGTGTTAACAACACTAATGAACCATATCTTACTCTCATTATTAAAAACTGTAATGGGTAGTATGATGAGTAGCTTAAAACAGGAGTCAGTAATTTTAAAAAATTAGGGAGTGTTGCAAGAGAAGTATAAAAAGTTGCAGGCAATAGGTAATTGTTTTACAAGGGAAGGTATATATGTAGAATAGTTTTGAAAGGCAAATCTTGTGGTGAAAAGTGTTCATTTAGTTAAGAACTGAGGATTGATGTGGTTAGCATGTGATCATATGGTGGCTGTGGTCATGGGAATGACGTGACATATTTCTAATACTTTCACAAGCAATCTAGAACTTCCTTTATTCCTTAATGTAAACATCTTAAGTAATCTGTGTTGTGACTCAGATGATGCATATATCAACACAATATCAGATAATGGAGACTCTAGCTTTCTCTCTCTGCCATTAACCCTCAGGTAGCCAATGTGGTTGGCAGTTGGTGTTCTGCTGAATTAAAGAGTTCAGTTAATTAAGTTTCCATATGTGCCCTGTACAGATTCTGAATATGCAGGGTCTGCACTCAATAAAATTCACGGAACATTAATGTTCTGCCGAACAGAATTCCATTCTTAAATCGGGAATTGTTTTAGGTGCTTGTAATTTTTTACATTCATCATTGTGAGCACAAGCAATCATTCTGATATGGAACTGGTTAGTAGATATTTCGACTTGATATATTGGACAAACCTATTGTTGCTGAGATTGGATATAGGGTAAACGGTGATAGAATAGTTAATGCTTAGTGAGGTAAGAACTAGTATTAGTCTCAATACGCACATGAAGTAACAAGACCCAGAGTGGAGAAGTAACTTGCGCAATGACAATCTTTTTAAGTGGTAGTGCTGTGATTTGAACCCGGGCAATCCGGCTCCAGAATTCCCATCTTTAAACCACTGCACTATGCTGACTTTTGGTTTGGGTGGTCATTTTTGTGGTGGGTATATATGTAAGGGAATTGGATAAAAAATTACTTGAGTTAGCAAAATGTGATAATGATGTGTGTTGTCTATTTTTACATGATGTATACATGTATGTGTGTATATGTTTGTATGGGCCAGACTTTCACCTTCTCAAATGGGTGAGATTATATTTCTTATCTTCTGACTGGAAATCCACTATTAATTATTAAATATTTTGGAAAGGCTGGTTTGCAAATGTATGAGAAATTATTGAGGTAGAAGGCAGGGAAGAGGTGAAAGCACCTTTCCATAAGACACGCCTACTATTGTGCCGTGTCATTTTATCATTGCCATGGCAACACTTGGAAATCACTTCCTTTTCCAAGACAATAACCTGATGACCTGGAAGTTACTGTCCTTTTTCTAAAGATTTCTACATGCTCTGTCTCTTAATTTACATGTAATTAAAAATGGATATAAGTATGACTGCAGAACTGCTCCTGAGCTGCTACTCTGGGCATGCTGTCTATGGGGCAGCCCTGCTCCACAAGAAGCAATACCTCTGTTGCTATAACACTGCTGCTTCAATAAAAGTGCTGTCTAACGCCACCAGCTTGCCTTTGAATTCTTTCCTGGGCAAAGCTAAGAACCCTCCCAGGCTAAGCCCTAGTTTTGGAGCTCACCTGTCCAGCATTATTATGATGCATGCCAGTTGTCGTTACAGATTACAAGTTTTGTAAATTCGTAGAATGATGGCTACCTTCTTTATATTTCTTTGAGTGTTTTAAAGTAAACTTTAATTGAAGTGGAACATATATATAGAAAAGTGGACAAATCATAAGTGCATAGTTTGATCAACTTTTACAAAATGAGGACACTCATGCAATCAGAACAGCTGTAACCAGTACCCAGATCAAGAAAGAATATTAATGACCCTCTGGATAACCCCCTCTTCCCAGGCCGACTCTCCAAAGGTCAGTTACCCTGACTGGTATTGCCAACAATTAATTCGCTTGCTTTTGAACTTTCTATAATTGGATTCATACAGGATGTATTCTTTGTTGTATGCCTCATTCTGGTGGTGAAATTCATTCATGCAATTGTGTGTGGCAGTAACTTTTCACTGTAGTACAGGGTTGCATTTTGGAGTTTGGTGTTCTATTTATGTCAATTGATACATAGGTATTCTCCAGATCTCTATATCTATAGTCAAGTTAGTTAATTATTTTGTTAATATCTATGCCCTTACCCTTTTTTTTGGTGGGGGGTCTGGTTGTTCTATTACTGAGAAAGGTGTAATAACATCTCAATTATGGTCTCTTTTATAGTCTACTATGAGTATGAATTTGATATTCTCTTAATATCTTAGAAATGTCTGTTTTACATTCAGTTTTTTCATTCTTAATCTTTTTTATTGAGGTATAGATTACATACAATAAAGTGCACACATCTTAAGTTTATAGCTTTATTCATTTTTATATATGCACACACCTGTTTAATCAGATCAAAATATAGAACATTTCTAGCCTCCCAGCAGACTTTTCTGATGCTCCTCCAAGTCAATAACTACTTCCCCAGAGGTAACCAGACAGCCTGACCTCTAGATTGGTAGGTCAGACTAGTTTTACCTATTTAGAATTTTGTCATACAAATGGAGTCACACATTAGGTACTCTTGTTTGTCTCTTCTTTTGCTTAGCATTTAGTCTGTAAGCTTCATCTATGTTGTTGTATATAGCAGTATTTTCTATTTTTATTGCTTTATAGTATTCCATGGTCTGATACTACCATAATGCATCTGTTCCACTGTGGATGGTCACTTGGGTTGTTTATAGTTTTGGGGTATTGTGTATGGTACTTCTGTCAATATTTTCACTTATGTTTTTGGAGGACATAGTGTAATTCTTTTTTTTTTTTTTTTTGAGATGGAGTCTCACTCTGTCACCCTGGCTGGAGTGCAGTGGCACGATCTCGGCTCACTACAAGCTCCGCCTACTGGGTTCACGCCATTCTCCTGCCTCAGCCTCCCAAGTAGCTGGGACTACAGGCGTCCACCACCACGCCTGGCTAATATTTTGTATTTTTAGTAGAGACGGGGTTTCACCGTGTTAGCCAGGATGGTCTTGATCTCCTGACCTCGTGATCCACCTGCCTGGGCCTCCCAAAGTGCTGGGATTACAGGCGTGAGCCACTGCACCCGGCCAACATCGTGTATATGCCTGTAAATAAAATTGCTGAGTCATCAGGTAAATGTATCTTTGGCTTTAGTAGATACTGTGGGGAGTTTCCTTTACGGTAATACCATTTTATACTCACCAGCAGTGCCCCATATCTTCATAAGCACTTGGAATCGTTAGTCCATTACATTTCCCCATTCTGGTGGGTGTGTACTTTATTTCATTGTGGTTTTAACTTGGGTTTCTTCAAATTATGACCAATAATCTTAAGCAAATTTGCATATGCTTATCTTTTGTGAGTGCCTGTTGTATCCTTTGCCTGTTTAAGAAATTGGTTTGTAAGTCTGTCTTCTTGTTGCTTTCTTGGAGTTCTTCACATATTCTGGATACAGGTCCTTGTCAGATGTTTATATTGCAGATATCTTCTTCCAATATGTTGCCTTGGATATCTTCTTCCAATATGTTGCCTTTTTACTCTCTTCATATTTTATTTTGTTTGTTTTTTTGAGAAAGTTCTTGCTATATTGTCCAGGCTGGTCTTATCTCCTGGTCTCAAGCAATCCTCCTGCCTTAGCCTCCTCAGTACCTAGGATTACAGGTGTGAGCCACTACACCCAGACTTAATGTTGTATTTTGATGAAAGAAAGCGATTTATTTTAATGAAGTTCAATTAATGTTTCCTTCTATGGTAGTGCTTTTTATATCCTGTTTAAGAGATGTTTGCTTACCCCCAAATCATAAGATATTATACTATGTTTTCTTCCAGAAGCTTTGCTGTTTTATATTTCACATTAGATACAGGGCCTATCCTAAATTAATTTTTATATAGGATATGAAGTTAATTTTTCCAAATGAATATCCAAATTACTTAGAACAGTTTACTGAAAGCAATGCCCTTTTTCCATTGTACTTCAGTAGCCCTCCCATAAATCAAGTGATCATCTATGTGAGTGTCTGGTATGGTGCCTTATTCGATTCTGTTGTTTTATTTGGCTACTCTTGTACCAATATATCCTATCTTAAATACAGTAGCTTTATAATAAAACTTGATGTCTTCTAATGTAAGTTCTTCAATTCTATTCATCAAGATTGTCTCTAAGGCCTCAATTTATGTTGATTTTCATTTCAATATAAATTTAGAATCAGTTTATTAACTTCCACAAAAATACTTGCTGGGATTTATTTAGGATTGCATTAAATCTATTCGTTATTTTGGAGAGAACTTACATGTTAACTATATAAAAGTTTTCTAATTTAAGGACATGCAATCTATTTACTGAGGTTTTCTTTATTTTCCTTAGCAATGTTTTGTAGTTTTCACTGTAGAGTGCTTGGATAACTACTTGATTTATACCTAAGCATTTACTGTTTTTAGATGCTGTTGAAATGGTATAAAAATACTTTAATTTTTATTTTCTAATTGTTTAGCCTTTACTTTTGAAGGACTTTTTTCTTTTTTTTTTTTGTGCTGCATAAGAAATTCTAGTTTGACAATATTTTTTCCAAGATGTGGAAGATTTCATTTCATTTCATCTGGCTTCCTTTATTTGTCCTAGAAAGTCAGCTGTCTGTCTTATTGGTTTTTCTTTTTATTCCTTCAAAGATAATGTGTCTCCCTGCCACATCTTCATTATTTTTGATTTGTCATTTGTTTCAACTGATTTACTGTCATGGACCCAGATGTGATTATTTTCTTCTTTGCATCTATCCTCCTTCAAGCACTTCTTAGATTTATGGCTTGATGTTATTTTTGTTTGGAAAACTCTCAGCTGTTATCTCTTTACATATTACTTCTGACCCATTTCCCTTCTCCTCCCCTGCTGAAACATGAATTGCATGTATTTTTAGTCCTTTTCATCATGTCCTATATGCCTTTCACATTCTTTTCTTTTCTTTCTTTCTTTTTTTGAAATGGAGTCTTGCTCTGTTGCCCAGGCTGAAGTGCAGTGGTGTGATCTCAGCTCACTGCAACCTCTGCCTCCTGGGTTCAAGCAATCCTCCCACCTCAGCCTCCCAAGTAGCTGGGACTACAGGTACACACAACCATACCTGGCTAATTTTTGTATTTTTACTAGAGACTGGGTTTCACCATGTTTGCCAGGCTGGTCTTGAACTTCTGACCTCAAGTGATCTACCTGCCTTGGCCTCCCGAAGTGCTGGGATTACAGGTGTGACCCTTTCACAGTATTTTCTGTACTTTCCAACACCTTTCCCCACATTCTTTAGTTTTGACTGTTTTCATTTTTATCTCCAAGTAGTCTAATTCTCTCATCAGCTGTGTCTACTCTTCTGTTAGAGCTCTCTTTTGAGTTCTTAGTTTCAGTTGTTTTTCTAGAATTTCTATTTATTTCTGCTATAGAATTCCTACTTTTAAAACATTTTTTATTCTCTTAAACATATTAATTACAACTATTTTACAGTCTGTGACTAATAATTCTTATATCTGGGTAAGCTATAGTTCTGCTTTTATTGTGAATTTTTTGTCTTGATTGTTTCTTGGTATAATTAGGTAATGTTTAATTATATGCCAGGAATAATATTTCTGTATGAATTTTGCTGAAACTTTGCATAGTGTTATTTTCCTCCAGGGAGAGTACACCCTGTTCTTGGGCAAGCAGCAGAGGGGCAGATTACTTGTCTATTCAGGGACTAATCCTCCCCTGGTTTTTCCCATTTCTAGATTACCAGCCTCTGGAGTTCTCAAATAATGCCTGAGGTGTTTCCTAGAGCCCCCACTCTTTGTGGGTCTAAAATTCAATATCACTTTGATATAGTTCAAAATTCTACTCTGTTCTTAAGCTCCTCTCTGCCTGGCTTCCTAGCGTCTTTTTAGGTGCAACTTAACCAGAAGTTGCCTCTAGGGGAAATCACCAAGTTTGGGGCTTACTTCTCTATACCTTGCTTCTCTCTGGGATCTTGCTTCCCAAACTGGCTGCCTTGACAACCCTGAACTCCAAGTTCTGTCTTCTCAGTGTGGGATTGCCTCAACTCTGCAGTCTTCTGTACCTCTCAGTAGCCTGTTGCCTCTTTGCTTCTCAGCTTCTTGTCCCATGCCAAAAATTGGCCAGTGCTCCGAGGAGAAAGGAGGTGGGAAGAAATGTGGGGTCACATTAGTGCACGTCCCTTTTCTCTGGGGCATACCTTCTCAGATCCTGATTTTGGCAGTTCTCTGATTCCTTTAAATGTATCTTTTTTTTCTTTTTTCCTTTTTTTTTGTATCTTATCTAACCTTCTAGGGAGCACTCCTGCTAAGATCTACTACAGGTGATTCCATCAGAACCAGAAGCTTTTGCCATTATTATACTTTAATAAAAACATACCAAAGTCTGCAACCCAAAGTAAAAGAAAGCAACATTTAATAAAATAGAACAATATATGACTACCTTTATGTTTTTTTCCTCTATGTGTTGGGGTGCATAATAGGGTGCATAATGGGGATATTCTGGAATATCCTAATATAAAACCACCAATAGTGCAGATTTTTGTCTTGCTTATGTTAAGATAGAAAAAAGATTAAAATATTACTTAACTATTTGGATAAAAACCCCTTGGTATCTGGAAATGCTGACATTACTACAATGAGGTCACCAGTTGCTGGAAGGGATGGCACTGTAGACTGCCTCCGTTGCTTGGAGTAAGCATCATCCTTCTTTCTTTCTCTCTCTTTTTTTTTTTTTTTTTTTTTTTTTTGAGATGGAGTCTTGCTCTGTTGCCAGGCTGGAGTGCAGTGGCGCAATCTCGGCTCACTGCAACCTCTGCCTCCCAAGTTCAAGTGATTCTCCTGCCTCAGCCTCCTGAGTAGCTGGGACTACAGGCACACACCACCACGCCCAGCTAATATTTGTATTTTTAGTAAAGATGGGGTTTCACCATGTTGGCCAGGATGATCTTGATCCCTTGACCTTGTGATCCACCTGCCTCGGCCTCCCAAAGTGCTGGGATTACAAGCCTGAGACACTGTGCCCGACCCACGTCATCCTTCTTTCTGCAACAGAACATCTCAGTGGCTCAAGGGGTTCACAGCTGTCAATCACTTCTGCAGTCATCAGAAAGAAAAGCTCCATTTAAAATTGATGGCATTTTAAAAGCAGTCAACTAAAAGCCAGAAGGGTAGGAGGTGTGTCTGTCTTGTGCAGAGGGCACACCACCTTTAGAAAATGCCCACTTTGGATTTATCAAAGGAAGAAAGTGGCCATTTTCCCACTTTTCATTCTTTTGATAAATATTATGTAGTTAAACTATATGTGCTCAGGTGCTCTCAGTTATATAAGGAATCAAAACATTATCCATAGCAGCACTAGCAACTTAACACTCTAGGCAGTAGCTGAGACTTAGCTCACTGGTCAAAGCAGTTTGCTGTTAAGGGTGAAAATAATTATTGCAGGAGATAAATGCTAAGGGAGGTTTGCCAAGGGGGAGATCTGTGAGATGTGGAGGGATCTGAGAGGGCTTCCTGGGGGAAGCAGGTCTTGTATTGATGCCAGCTCTTAGCACTCATAGCCACTGCTTCCAGGGTTGAAATGGGGCCTCCTTCTGCTTCATATTTTCCATCGACTCTTTCTTCCTCCTTTGATTCTGTGGTCTGAACATTTGACAGCAAGTGCCACTTTAGCATTCTGTGGTTTATTCCTAGGCAAATCCATCTTCACTGCCAATGAGTGTTATGGGATGTCTCCCAAGCTTTCTTTTTCCTTAGATCAAGTATTTTTTCTCTCCAGAATGAGCATTCACCTGCACATATGCCCCTGTATCACACCTCCCTCCTCCATGGGAGTCAGCAATTACCAGAGGATGAATGAAAGGCAGGGGCAATCAGCGAGAGAATAGGGGTCCAAGCTGTTCAGGCGCCACTGCTTGGAGCTTTGAAGGGATTTCAATAAATTAGTGTTGTTGACAGAGATGTCTTTATAATCATTTCCTCCTTTTTTCTTGTTGGCTCCATGAATTTTTTCCAGAAGGCAATGGCTAAGATTTTATGGAAACCAAATGATCTGTTACATGAGAGAAATAAAAGATAATTGATTCAGAATATTAATTCATCTCCTCTCTATAGTTTAGTAGAGAGGTTTCCTCCTCTTGCCCTTGGGAGCCAAAGGGGGTTTGTTATTTAAGGCTGATGTTATTTTTCTTTTTCAAGCCATTTAGCCTCAGAAATAGTTCATCTAATAGGTTAAGATTCCAGCAAGGAGACAGCCTGTGTTTAACGGGACAGTGACAAGATGGGCATGAGGGAGGCAGAATTGTGGGCCTTCATGGAAGGCAGAGAACAGAAGGACTGCTTATTGTAGAGCCCGTTCTCCAAGGTCTAGCCTATTACTGAGTACGCAGCAAATGCTCACGTTATTCCATTGAACTGACTACAGGAACTTGCATTCTTGCACATGATGGTCCTGTACTGTTGCTTAAGTACTTCACCTGCCTGAGAGTGAATGTCTCCTGGACCTATTCCCTGCATTGGAGAGCAGATAGAATGAGGGCTGCAATACTCAGGAACCCATCATCCTCTCTACCTCCTGGGTTTCAACAACCTCTCGAGAAGTCTTTGGGGACATGATGGAGAAATGGGAGCTAAGAGTTGGGGACTACCCCAAGAGTTGGTCTTAGTGAGTTGAATCCAACTGGAAGAGGTCTCCAGAGTGTGCACACAGCTCAGACTTCAGCCCTTGCCCTCACTCTATTCAACATTTTAACTGATTGTTTAGAGGAGGCCATTATCTACTCATTTTGTGTGCAGGCTTATTCTCTGAAGGGCCACACAGTAAATATTTTAGGTTTTGCAAGCTGTATGATCTCTGTTACAACTGCTTTATTCTGCTACTATAGTTTGGAAGAGCCAATGGTTATACATAAACAAGTGTGGTTGTATTCCAATACAACCTTATTTTTGAAAACTAAAATTTGTCTATCATCTCATTTTTACTGATCATGAAAAGTGATTCTTCATTGGAGTTTCTCCTCCTGTGATTTAAAAATGTAAAAGTCTGCTGGGTCCAGTGGTTCACACCAGTAATCCCACCACTTTGGGAGGCTGGAGATGAGTGGACCGCTTGAGCCCAAGAGTTTGAGCTAGCTTGGGCAACATAGCGAGATCCTACCTCTACAAAAAATACAAATATTAGCGGAGTGTGGTGGCATATGACTATAGTCCTAGTTACTCAGGACACTGAGGTGGGGGGATTGCTTGAGCCCAGGAGGCGGAAGTTGCAGTGTGCAGAGATTGCATCACTGCACTTCAGCCTGGGTGACAGAGCAAGACTCTGTCTCAATCAATCAATTAAAAATAAAAATGTAAAAGTCATTCTTAGCTTGCAGGCTGTACAAAAGAAGGTGACAGTGTGGACCTGGCCTGCAGGGTTGGTGTGCAGACCCCTGGTGTAGACAGTAGGATGAGTTGCAAGATTCCTGTTACAGTTGACGATAGGCTCAAGATCCCCAAGAATCCTAAGCAACTTAAATAATGGACCAAATCTAATAAAATAAAGTGTGATGGGGCTCACTCATTCATTTAGAAAATATTCACTGAGCGTCTGCTGTGTAACATGCCCCATTCTCCAGTGCTGGCAACACAGTAGAAAACCATCTTGCCAAGGTCCTGCTCCCAGGAGCTTATGTTGCTGTGTACTCTTGAAGACAACTAGTCATCACAGCTCAGGCTGGGCCCCTAAGAGAGAAACACATTTTGCCTTTGGAGATGTAGATAAAATTCTGCTCTTAGGTTCAGAACTGAACCCACAAATATAGGATGAGGGTTGTCTTGTTTGGGGTCTCAGTGGACTCAGTATGAGTCAGGGGTGTGTTGTAGCTGAATTAAGGGTAACATGATCTGAAGCAGTGTTAATAGAAATCTAGAGTTTAAAACCAAGGTCATGATCTTCCATTTTTTTTCTTTGGGCTTATCAGAGCCTACCTTGAATGTTGATCTAGAAATGGCATGTTCCGTCTTTCAACAGCTGTTTATTGGGGGCTTACTTTGTGCCAGCTATGAGACTGGGCAACAATTTCTCAGGAATACTGTAGCAACTGGGGCTGGGTTATTGTCAAAGGCCTTCGTTTTATTTATGATGTGATGGTACATGTAGGAGAAAAAAGTGAATTCATAGGAGTCTGGAAAATTATGTGGGTTACAAAATCACAAATAGTTACCGAGAGTATCTAAGGCATGCTTCTGTGAAATGAAAGAGGTTGATACAAGGGCACAGCTGTGTCCTTCCACCATGAGTATCTCAGGGCTACCATGGTAACAGATTGTAGAGCTGGACAGGTCCTGGGTCAACCAATTTTGGCAATTCCTATTTTCCAATAACAACGTTTTAGAAGTAGAGAAGGCCCTAAAGTATTAGCTATTGGGATTATTTGTTATTTGAGACTTTCTCATTACCATTGCACAGTGGACAATAATGTTTACAGTTACAACCTTGAGATACTAAATATATCATTAAAGAGTCAATAGTGTTTAATATCATGTTGATATTAAACCAAAATGTTTAATTACCAAGTATTCGTTTAGTCGCCAACCAACTCAGGTCACAGATTGCTACTTTGCTTTTGCATGGCTGTAGAAAGGAGTTACTGGTAAGTAAGTAAGTAAATAAGCCTTCTCTTGCTCGGAAAGATCTGAAATACAACATTTTCAACCCAGGTATCTTCTGAAAGGACTGGTGAAGTGTGAGTGACTCTGAATATCAGTCATTTGAAAACCTAACATATTTCACCAATTCTGATATATGTATTTTTTCCACCTCAATATTCTTGAAATCATGATGCTTCTTATAGTCAGTGGTGTCTTAACCATTCATAATCTTCCTTCTTTCCTTTCTTCCTTCCCTCCTTCCTTCCTTCCCTCCTTTCTTCCTTTCTTCCTTCCTCTCTTTCTCTTTCTCTTTCTTTCTTTCTCTTTCTTTCTTCTTCTCTTTAACATAAAAATACATCTTTGAATTAATAGCATTTTATGTTTGATGAAATATGGTATTTTAAAATAAACTATTCTGCTCTTAAGGTGGTAACTTGGGGTAGCTTTGCAGGGGGGATTGATGGCCATATTCTCTATTACCCCTTCCCAAAGCTATCCCCAAGTAAAAATAAGAGTATTCCTTAACATGGAAAACTGATATTTTCTCTATTTTATGTAAAACATGAATAAAGCCATCTCTATTTTTACTTGCTAGTAACAAAATCTCTAACTTAAAAAGAACAGTATGTTTGCTGTGCAGATGCAACTTCAAGAAAAGTTTCCATGTCTTTGCTATCGTGAATAGTGCCGCAATAAACATACGTGTGCCTGTGTCTTTATAGCAGCATGATTTATAATCCTTTGGGTATATACCCAGTAATGGGATGGCTGGGTCAAATGGTATTTCTAGTTCTAGATCCCTGAGGAATCGCCACACTGACTTCCACAATGGTTGAACTAGTTTACAGTCCCACCAACAGTGTAAAAGTGTTCCTATTTCTCCACATCCTCTCCAGCACCTGTTGTTTCCTGACTTTTTAATGATCGCCATTCTAATGGGTGTGAGATGGTATCTCATTGTGGTTTTGATTTGCATTTCTCTGATGACCAGTGATGATGAGCATTTTTTCATGTGTTTTTTGGCTGCATAAATGTCTTCTAGCAAGGACAAAAAACCAAACACCGCATGTTCTCACTCATAGGTGGGAATTGAACAATGAGAACACATGGACACAGGAAGGGAACATCACACACCGGGGACTGTTTTGGGGTCGGGGGAGGGGGGAGGGATAGCATTAGGAGATATACCTAATGCTAAATGACGAGTTAATGGGTGCAGCACACCAACATGGCACATGTATACATATGTAACAAACCTGCACGTTGTGCACATGTACCCTAAAACTTAAAATATAATAATAATAAAATTTTTTAAAAAAAAAGAAAGAAAAGTTTCTGTCCTCATTTAAGACAGGCTGCTGACCCTATGGTTCTCCTATATTGGAAAATCCATGGTGCCACTCCAAAAGAGATGCAATTTCAGTTTGAGTATATCTTTGCATTTTTGAATGGAACAGCCTCTAAATCCCCTTTTCACCATCAGCATACTTCCTTGCAATGTATGAAAAAGGCTACATGCAAGTAATATTGTCATTTTTGATCAAGGCTGACTTCTCGTTCACCTGTTAACTCACAGACTTACTGGATGTGAGTTTCTAGCTAAGCTTTTCATCTAAATCAGGACAAGCAGGCTTACTGACTAATTGGCACAAGGAGTATTCTGCGCTTGGTCTAGAGGTAGGGAGACTCCATTCTCCTAGTTAGATGTTAGATCTCTAGACGTGAGCAGCGCGGTCATTGTGCCTGGGATTTAACTGCTTTCGACACATTTTCCTTCTGCTTTTCATTGTGGGTAGTTCCTTTCAAAGACTGTCTTTCAGGGCTGTAGAAACTGGGTGATATATGACTGTCTCTAAGTTTGCCCTACTTTCTGCTTTTAATAGTAATCAAACCTCATTCCTCAATTAATTTGGCTAAAGAGGGCTTGGATTCCCACTCTAAGCGATTTCTTGTGATGTCAGGGAACTGTAATGCTGTGTTTCTTTGCCTCCACGATGGAGGGAAGAAAGAAAGTTGACAGGCTTTTATAGAATAGATTGTTTTCTTTGTCTTTCGCTTTTGTTTTCTTTATATTTGAAGTTATTTTGTACAATTTAATAATTATCTGCTTTCTTTTCTGCATCTTTGGTCAAGAGCTTTGTGTAGGAATAAATGGAAAGTAAAAGACCCATGGAAGGGTCTGCTTAACCACATATTCTGCAACCTTCTATTACTTTGCCGTATAGCATTTCAATGTCTCGTCTGGAAAGAAAACCCAGCAAAATCTATAATTTGAACACTTCAGTCTGTCAGTTCTTTTAGCTGCAATTTGCTATTAGGCAGCTCTGCACAATTATGAATACAGCAAAAAGTATGCACTTAATTCAAATTAAGACACTAGCATTGTTTTTGGTATTGTAAGTGATACTAAACATTCCAGGTCATGGTTTTTCTCATGAGTGTTTAGTCAATATTTCTAAGGAGTTTTGGGGGATGTCTGTTTTGTTGTTGTTGTTGTTGTTGCTGTTGCTGTTTTTGTTTGTTTGTTTGAAAACCCAGAGAGGGACCACTCTGAACCCTTCCCAGAAGTATTCATGGTTACCTCAGTCTGTGAATATCTCCAGCCAGAGAAGCAGTTAGTAATCAGCTCAGGAAGCTTTGCTTTCATCATTGAAGGCCTTGCTTGCGTACATGGAAGCTATTCCTTCTTACAACTTTTTGCCTAGGAAAACATTTCTCTTTACTGGAAACTTTTTTTCTTTTTTTTTTTTTTTTTTTAATAGAGAATCATGTCACCTTTGCCTACTCTCTGCCACTCACTTTTTCTTTCTTCCTTTCTTTCATCTGGCACCAGGAGCATAGCAAAAAGATCATTTTTCCCAAGAACAGTTTCTCCAACCCTAATATATAGTTTATAAACTCCTTTTTTTTTAAATTTTTTTAAATTTTTTGAGACGGAGTCTTGCTCTGTCGCCCAGGCTGGAGTGCAGTGGCGCAATCTCGGCTCACTGCAACCTCTGCCTCTCGGGTTCAAGTGATTCTCCTGCCTCAGCCTCCCAAGTAGCTGGGACCACAGGCACCTGCCACCACGCCTGGCTAATTTTTGTATTTTAAGTAGAGACGGGGTTTCACCATGTTGGCCAGGATGGTCTCAATCTCCTGACTGGAAGTGATCTACCCACCTCAGCCTCCCAAAGTTGAATTCTTTTTTTAAATTCTTATTCTCAAAATAATCATTTTCTTCTCATAAAAGTAACATTTGTTGTAGAAATGGCTAAAAATCTTCCCCCAAAAGCACAATGAGAAAAATAAATATCACCCAAATTCCCACTTCTCAATTGCTAAAGCTAAATGGTATATACCATTTCCATTTGGTACCTTTTCCTTTGAAAAAAAGATTTTTGTTCAGTTGAAATTGATTGGTAATGTATTTTGTATTCTTCATTTTTCTCTTAAATAAATTTTGTCCTTCGCTATGCTATTAAAAGCATTCATGAATGTGACTTTCGACGGCTGCATACTATTCTACCATTTGTTAACCACATTTCCCCAGCCATTCCCCTACTGTTGGCTGTTTAGGATGAACCCAATTTTTACTTCAGTTTGTGAGTAAATATGTAATGACTACCCTGAGACTAAATGATTGTCAGCATTTTATCTCTTTATCTCTCCCTAGTGCAGGAGCCCACAAACGTTTTGGTAAAAGGTCCAGGTAGTAACCATTTCAGGCTGCATGGTCTCTTACAGCTACTTACCTGTTCCTTTGCAGAGTCAAAACAGCTGTAGACAATATGTAGATGAATGGACATAACTGGGTTTCAGTAAAGCTTTATTTACTCAGACAGAATTTGGTCTACAGCCATAGTGTGTCAACTCCTGTTTTAGTGTATTCAATTTGATGCTTATAGGTTTCAAAACTTTTTTGGAATTAGGAAGGTAATTAATGAGAAATCAATTGCAGTATTCTCTCCAAATGAGTCCTTTATAGGTAATAGGTCCAAACAGCCTCACTGGCAGCAGTTGCCAGCCAGCCTGGAGAACAGAGGATGGTTCCAAGCCTGTGGCTCTCTTGGTAGGGTCAGACAGGCCATCTCCCAGGCTGTAAAGCCCCAGGGAAACCATCACCTGGCCCTGAGCAAGTGCAACTGTGACATTATTTACCCACATGTCAGCTCTGTTTACCAAGAATAATTATAAAGAGCCTCACCCATGTTTGTACCTGTGTATGCCAGACCATCACTAGTTCTAGCCTCCAGCCAGCCAGGTAACAAGCCAGAAAAGCAGAGCAAGGGAAAAAATGTGGTGAAACGAGTCCAGCTGTCTTCACAGAGCTCAATCCTCCAGTTCTTAGTGGCTGGGTTCCACCTCCTCAAACCCAGTTCCTTTGAAAGTTTGAAGTAAAACAAGCTGATGATGAGAATCACTGAACCTCTGATTTTTTGATCATTTCAAACCCCTTTGTAGCTGTTGCGTGTGTACCTCAAAGGGAGAGGATGTTTGCGTGTTTCTAAGTAGTGCCAAAAATTCATGTTTGTGCATGTATATGCACACAGAATTGTGGGTGAATTCCCTCACTCTAGGAATAATCAAAAGGTAGCTTAGAAGTAAGGGTGTTCATATATTTTCATGGGTGTAAGAAGTGCAAATAGTTGGCATTAAAGCCCCCATCAGCCTGCCTCTTTCCAGGGCAGGGAGAACATTTTCAGATGGCCATGCTCTGAATTAGAGTAGCGTGAAATGTTTCCTAAAACACTAGGAGGTAGTTTCTGAACATGTACCGCCATTATGACAACTATAATATTGAGTAAAAAGCCAGACAGGCCTTTTATATTGTAACCTGAGATGTGATTTTTTTTTTTTTAAGGCTGTATCAGGGTTGTCTCAAGTTCTCTGGCTGTGAACTTCAACTTATTTATAATTTATTGCTCATGAGGAAGAGCTAATTTGGGGTTATTATATTTTGTCTTGAAGCTGATATTTGAGTGAGTAGCAGACTCATGGCCCACCCACTCTAGGGTTTGCCAACGATAGATTTGCTTCTTTATCCTTAAAGTCAGTTGAGGAATTTTAGAGGGGAGAAGACAAATGTTGGTAGAAAAATGTTAACTTAATAATATGGGCAAAGATCAGATTTCCCTCTTTCTGGCTGCCTCCTGCTTGGAATCCTTTTGTTGACTTCTTGAAACTTCCTGTGATTTATAGAACCCCTTTCCTGTAGGCCGAATGCCTTTTGATTAAGAAGCGAACCACAGCTCCGAAACCACAGAGACAGCTGGTGTTTGAATTACCCGGAACACTTACTGCTATTTTCCGCTTTGTTGTGCGAAGACACGTCATTTTCATGCCACAAGTTGCCCCAAACACAAGCTGGCACACCACTGCCCAAGACAACTGCTGCTCCATCTTCTGTGTGCCTTTGACCCTCAGAGTTCTTAAAGAAGACAGTCTTTGGACTTCTTAAATGGGTGGGTGGGTGGGAGAGTGTATTCTGGATTCTTTCCCACTCTAAAATTCAGTGATTATTTAAGACACTGGGATCCTGCCAATATCAACTATTTAGAATAGGGATTCCAAGGGAGCGTGGGGGGATCTGTGTCCCTAGAGGACCAAATCAGGGTGTGGGGTGGTTGGGGTTGGTGGTGGTGGTGGGAAATGGGGTGTGTGTGTTTAAAACAAATCAGGGATTACCCCTATTGGTCAGATTTTTGATGTAGTTTTTATTTCAAAGAACAGTAAAAGAGAACATGCTGTTTTCATTGGTCAAAGGGGAGCGTAGGTAAAGAAAGGTTGAGAAGCACTCATGTGGAATGACTAGACCAAGCTTACAAATGGGAAAACACATATTAATATATATTGGATGATCTCTGCTCTCAGGCCCTTCTAGGCCTCTGATGTGTCTAGAATCACCAGTATTGGAGCCCTTCCTGTGAGACAGATTGACCATCAGGACTCAGTAAATGTGTCTGTGGCACCTGGGAGGGAAAGCAGATTGAGGCATCATCACTCAGGAAGGTAAAAAGGGCCTCGTGTTATCACTGGGCTTGGAAAGCAGATCCCTATCAGCCTGGGACATGGGCAGGTGGGTTTTTGATACAGAGGGAGGTAATAGTCTAATGTAGGGGTTGGCAGACTACAGCCTATGGGCCAATCTGGCCCACTGCCAGCTTTTGTAAATAAAGTTTTATTGGAACACAGCCATGCCCATTTGTTTACATATTGTCTCTGGCTGCTTTTGCACTACAATGGCAGAGCTCAGTTGTTGAGACAGACTGTGTGACCTCCAAAATGAAAATACTTTCTGTCTAGTGTATTATAGAAAAAGTTTGTCAACCCCTGCTCCAGTGTATGGGTCAGAGGAGAATATTCTGGATGGTTGTCAAGAGGGAAGATGATGCATAGTGAGAGAGCACGTGAATGCACTATGCTGGGGTGAGGTAGGACAGGACAGGGGAAAGAAGAAGAGTATTACATGTGCCTGTTGCTCTTTATTCCTTGGAGTTTTTTCACTTGAGCTTTGATAGTTGTGTTTTGTCATGGCTTAGTGGTAAAGGGAAGTTGCCAGGGTGACTGTAAACAAATTCATCCCTCATTTATTTGCTGCTACCCACACATGTTTGGTCAAATGAAGAGGGAATCTAGTCTGGAACTTGTGCAGAACCCTGTGAGTAAAGTGACTGTAGTGAGGTGTACAGACATTTTCTCCAGTGATTCCTGTGCTGAGGTCATCATTTTACTTGAAAGCAAACAGAATGGAAGGCACACCTGAGCAGGGCTGTCCCCCACAGCTACTATCTGAGTGTCCCGGTCATCAGCCATGCACACGCTCTCAGCTGCTCGGCCTCTGCGACCCAGTGGGAACAGGTCAGTGCAAGGCGTGGAAATGTATTGCTCATCAGCCCTAGCCCAGGCTGTTCTGAGGCAGGTCCGACAGAGGAGCCTGTGGCCTGGAAGGGCATCACTCTGGCTGAAGGGAACATGTCCGTGAGTGTTCCCGGGTAACACCAGGCAGGGATCCCCATGTGCAGAGACTCATGTGTAGAGTCCTCAATGACTCCCTCCAATGACCCCAACAAGTGTGACCAGCTCTGAAGAGGCTCACTCCTGGGCTGAGCGGGTGCAGGGAGACTGTACAACCATCAGAAGCATGTTTTCCAGGCCCACAGCTTTTGTGTTGCCTCCCAGTTCCATCTCCTGAAACGTGGCAAAGTGCCATGAGAAGGAGGCAATCACCCCTTTCTGCTCCAGCAGTGGAAGTGGAGTTTCTTGGTTCTGCTGCGCCCACTGGGATGAGGCACAGGAAGCCTTGCAGTAGGTTCCTCCTTCCTGACTAAAAGGCTTGATGACCTGAGGGGTAGGGTGGGGATGTCATCCTGGCGTGATTCTTCTGTTTGCTGTTTTTGAATTATTTTTAGTTACATTTTAGAGCACTAGCCAGGGTAGAGCTAGCCAAAGGTTATTTTTTAGCCCAATAAAGGATTGTTGCAGAACTTCCAGACCTCAGTCTTTTAGTACTATCTACATAATCAGGGAAAAGTGATGGAAGTTGAGGGGTGGTATTTAAAGCTGAACAGTTTTGTCCATGGCCAGCCACCCTCAAGTCTACTGTGTGTAACTTGCTTTTTTCAGTAAAACAGAAGCTGGGGCCGGGCGTGGTGGCTCATGCCTGTAATCCCAGCACTTTGGGAGGCCGAGGTGGGCGGATCACAAGGTCAGGAGTTCGAGACTAGCCTGGACAACACAGTGAAATCTCGTCTTTACTAAAAATGCAAAAAAAAATTAGCTGCGCATGGTGGCGGGCACCTGTAATCCTAGCTACTCAGGAAGCTAAGGCAGGAGAATTGCTTGAATCCGGGAGGCAGAGGTTACAGTCAGCTGAGATCGTGCCATTGCACTCCAGCCCAGGTGACAGTGCAAGACTCTGTCTCAAAAACAAACAAACAAAAAACAGAAACTGGGCCCGGCGTGATGGCTCATGCCTGTAATCCCAGTACTTTGTTTGGGTGCCTGAGATAGGAGGATTGCTTGAGGCCAGGAATTTGAGATCAGCCTGGGCAACATGGGGAGACCCTGTTTCTACAAAAAAAAAAAAAAAAAAAAAGCTGGG
The DNA here is from genome assembly GCF_000001405.40 of Homo sapiens. Classification (NCBI taxonomy): domain Eukaryota; kingdom Metazoa; phylum Chordata; class Mammalia; order Primates; family Hominidae; genus Homo; species Homo sapiens. Next base: position 121,242,114 of record NC_000010.11, on the reverse strand, counting down.
TATGGTGGCACATGGCTGTGGTCCAGCTCCTCAGGAGGTTGAGGTGGGAGGATCGCTTGTGCCTTGGAGGTTGAGACTGCAGAGAGCTGTGATCGTACCACTGCACTCCAGCCTGAGTGACAGAGCAAGACCCTGTCTCCAAAGAAAACAAAACAAAAATCCAGAAGCTGTATACCCATCCATAGCATGCAGTTCATTGAAGTCACGTTGGAAAGTTTAGCAGCTATACCATCATCTTTCAGTATCATCTTGCCTGCTTCCTTTCTGGCAAATTCTCTTTTTGGGGGATGGGTAGTCCTGGGCCATTTTTTTTTTCCTGTTGGAGTTAGTGCTGTATCTAAGTTATCTATCTCACTTGGCCACAGTACAATTTTGGAGTAACTATATGCACCTGGGAATAGATCTCAGCCTGGTCCCTGGGCCATACTGGGAACATATCACCTAAAAATCAAATTCTGCCTGGTCCCGGCACATCTGACTTGATGCAGATCCTGGCAAGCCCTGCCTGCTGCTCCTTCTTCAGATGCTTCTATTGTGACAGACCCATTCACAGGTCCCTTGTGGTAGAATGCAGGTCTTCTGTCCCAATAGCTTTCAAGCCACGGCAGGTACCCACAAGTCCTCCCATGGGTCTGGCCTCTAGGCCAGTGTGGTAGAAGGGGAAATTCCTTTGTCTAAAGAATAACAACTACTGGCCAGGTGCGGTGGCTCACGCCTGTAATTCCAGCACTTTGGGAGACCGAGGTGGGCATATCACGAGGTCAAGAGATCGAGACCATCCTGGCCAACATGGTGGAACTTTGTCTCTACTAAAAATAAAAATAAAAATAAAAAAAGTAGCTGGGCGTGGTGGCACATGCCTGTAGTCCCAGCTACCCAGGAGGCTGAGGCAGGAGAATTGCTTGAACCCAGGAGGCGGAGGTTGCAGTGAGGCAAGATCATGCCATTGTACTCCCGCCCGGCAACAGAGCTAGACCCCGTCTCAAAAAAAAAAAAACAAACAAACAAACAAAAAAAAAAAACTACTTCCTGACATCCTTGTCTGCCCTTTATAATTTAAAATGAGTTGTGCTTTTCTTGTCTGCAAAATGGAGATTTGGATTCCTACACAGCTTTTTCCACAAGACTTTTGAGGCATTTACCTTCCTTATAAAGTGCATTGGTGAAGGAGAAAAATGAAGGGGAACACAGAAGGATGTGTAGAGAGCTTCCTGGTATTGATAAAGGAAGCTGGTAGGTGGCAAGCAACAGAAAAGGATCCATAAAGGCAGATAAGCGCCAAGGGCCAGATGCTGTCATATCTGGACAAGATGATCATTCCTTGAATGTGTGGGCAATATAGTTAAGCATGGTTGGGCAGGAAAGGTAACAGGTGCTCTTTGGTGCTTTTATTGTTTTGTTATGTGTGTCATACTCTTCAGCCAGAGCAAAACAAATACATATCCTGGTTATTTAATAACAAGGAAAAGGCCACACAGCAAATCAGGGTGAAAAGACAAACAGGAGAATAAATGCTGTCTTTTGACACGTGGCAGGTACCAGGAGGGGCAGGGTCTAGGAGGGGATTAAGGTGAGGGGTTTAGTTGCAATAAGGAACTTTCCAAAATTGAGGTCTAAATCCAAGGGTGTTGCTGGGTGCTGAACCCCTCCTACTTCCCATCTCGGTAGTGGTGGTTGGGGGCGAATGGGAGAAAGTCTACCTACAGGAAAGGGTATCCAGGATGACAGGCCTGACCGTGATTTGGGAAGAGTGGAGGTCCGGTCTCCTGAGCAGGGAGAGGTTCCAATGAGCTGCAGAATAAGAGGGGGTCAGAGGGCACCTCCCAGTCATGGGGTTCTGAGTTATGGAGGAGAGCTCTTTGCTCTAGGGAGTTGGGGTGAGTCAGAAGACACTGGGGTGGAGCTGGGAGAGAAGGCAGCCACAAAGAAGCCCGGCTGCCGCCTTGAGCCTCTGCCAGAGTTGTGACTTCCTTCTACAGGCCAGCTGGCCATGGGGCAAGGGTCACTAGGTAGAGTGTCAGGGGCTAGGGCCAGCAGACCCTGTATACTGAGAGCCCCTGCCTGAGGGTCAGTGACCACTGGCCCAAAAAGAAACTGCCTTCTCTGGGGAACTGTTTTTTTTTTTTTTCTTTCAAGTGGTTTGGTTAGGTTTTTTTTTTTTTTTCTTGTTCTGTGATTTGGATGAATTTGAAAATAGAAGAGTTATACTTCAACTGCCCCAAACTCCTACTAGTGGAGGATGGAGGAGACCCCAAGGATGTCTTCTTCCTTGTGCACTTATTTGTTAAGGACTTGATAAAATGATTTCCATTCATAGGCACAGCTCTTACTTTCATCTGGGCTTTATGCTTCTCTCACACAAATCTCCTTCAGAATGTCTTGCATTTGCTGTTTGAATCATTGTAGAACTGTCCTGGGAGGAATACAAGCTACTTTAGAAGTTTGCCTTGAAAGTTTGTCTTCAAAGCTAACCAGAAATGGTTTCCATGAGTAGAAAGACAGACATACAGAGAGAAAGGACAGGAGGGTGGTTCTGTGCCATTTCACGAATATATGGTGCCTCTTCCCAGGCCACAGGAGCATCTAGGAAACATTGAAACTGGTTCTGACCATGTGAGGCTCTTGCTTTTCCCACTGCACAGGAATAGTGGAAAAGTGAACCTGGTAAGAGAAAGAGCTGCCCCTGGTGACTACTCACAGACCAAGAAGGGCAGAGCCTTGGTGGCTGTAGGAACCCAATATTTATTGGCTTGAGTTTCACAGAAGATGAAAATGGAAGCAACCCAGAACCTCTGCATGATTTTATTACTAACAAAACCATTTCCAGTTGTTTTTCATTCTTCAGAGGACAGGCTCTGAGGGATCAGGTGATTTGGATTAGTTCTAATCATGCCTGGGCATAAAATCAGGGTCAGATTAAGCAGTCACTAAATTCATAGTTACAATGGGCAACAGTTAAGGATTAGTAAGATATTTACCAACTTGTACTCAAGGATCAGTCTTTCTTTAAAGATTCTTGCAGAATCACCTAGTGTGTTTGCTAAAATAGTTTAAATTCCAGATTCCATTTCAGACCTAGGGAATCAGTCTCCAGGGAGCACCCTAGAATTGGTACCTTCCTGAAAGCTTGAGATACAGTACTTTAACCTATACGTATATTCTTTAAAAATTGAAAATGTTCTTCTGTGTTGCATGCTTGATTCTTTGTGGCTATCATCAGGGATAGGGACACTTTAGTGTCCTCTCTCACCCTTGTCTATCTCTGCTTACCCTCTTGTAACTGAGTAGATACGCAGATTGTTTTCTTTCAACTTCATGTGGGCAGCTGGGCAGAGAATCTCTACCAATATCTCATCTCTAGATTTATTCTCTTCCTCCTTACTTTCTTCCATGTGGTTGGAAGAAGCTAACATCCTGGGGGTGAGAGACTGGGGAATAGGAATCTCATCTGGACTTCACCCTCAGCTGCCTGTTCCAGAGTTTCTTGTTCAGATTCTGCAAGGGGACTTTGCTGTGCCTGAGAGGTTCTGGGTCCTCATTCTGATATTGCTTCTTTTGCATATAGGATGCTCAGTGATCCTGCAAAAAGGGAGGTTGATGAGGAAGGAGAAGCATAAAGGAGATGGAGGAAGGGCGGCCGGACAGAAAGTAGGGCTGATGGTGTTGGGGAAGATTATAAGGGGAGACAGGTTGGCATTGGGATGGGGGCTGGTGAGGAAGGGAATGGATGAAGAGGAGGCCTCAGTAGGGGAGGAGGGCTCATGATGGTGGAGAAAGATAGGAAAGAAGGTGGGGGGATACTGGAGAGGAGGCCGATGAGCAGGGAGTCCGATGGGGGAGGGGGTGCAGTGGGTGTGGTGGGAGGGCCTTTGGGAGAGGATGGCTATGGAGAAATCAGGAGTGGGGCCAACAAGAGAGTGTAGGGGAGAGGGGACCCATGGGAAGGGGGATAACAAGATGGGGACAAGTGGGGAGGAAGGGTTATTGGAAGGGCAGGATCTAGTTATTTCCAGAACCCTAAACATAATAGCATCAAATTCTGTCAAAACCTTCCCCTTAGCCACGAGCTTATCTTTACATAAAAGATGATGTGAGTAATAAAATATTTCAATCTCCAAGAAGGCACATAAGTACCCTGTGTCCCTCCCACATAGCCTGTCTAAACTACGACCACCACACTGACACCTGATGGAGCTTGCTGTAATTACAGGCAAAGAACCCAAAGGAAACAAGTTCTTTGAAGACTGAAGTTTTAAAAACTGAAATACAAAGTAACAGCAGTGTGACACACTTGTGGAAAATGTATAAATTTTGAGCATAATACTAGATAAGAAAACTCTCAATTTTTCTCAACTACACATATTTTGAAATGTTTGCTTCTTTTTGTAAGAGTTTATAAAGAGTAGCAAGCAAGTCAGAATACTTTCTGATGCTATTTCTCATTTCTACTTTTTGGAAGTAGATTTCCGCCTGGAGTTTAACTTCCTGAAGCTCAAAGACACTGTAAACATGTTCTTTTATACTTTGAATAACTAAAGGAAGCTAATAGCTCATTAAAGATATTGAATTATTCTTTCTTAAGCACAAATGACAATAAAAATGAGAGCTTATAGATGAATATTCATTTATACAAAATATCTTCTGAAGTTAGTGAAAGAAGTTGGCAAATATATTTTTGGTCATAGAAATGAGTGATAATTTTATTTGTTAGTATTAGGTTGTTAACTGTCAATGGATTTTCTGGTTTGATGTAAGTTTTTGCATGGAGAATGTTTTCTGGAATTGTAATATTATGCCATCATTTTGGAGAAGCTCACATGTTTCCACCATGGAGAGATGCTTTGATTCCCATCCCCTGAGAACTGAGTTCGGGAAACTGGTCTTTTGAGTAAGTGCATGGTAGGAATCAAGGGAAGCTCTGGTCAGTTCTTCCTGATGTTGCATAATGCACAAGCAGAATCCATCCCCCAACCCCTCTCCCCAACCCCCACTTCCTCCTACATCCACAGTCCTCCCACTGCTCTGTGGTGGCCCAGACTCAAGGCCTGGCCTATTCCTCTGCTCTAGTACCCCCTTCTACCCACCCCTCCTGAGTATGAGAGCTTTCCTCTCCCAGGCCTTATGTTTTGGTTTTTATCACATCCCTGGCTTCCCACCCTTGCATGCCTTTTCTTTCTGCCATCTGCAGGTTCAGTGTCCTGCCAGGTTTTGAAAATCCTCCCCGCCGAGACGATCTTAATTGCCAGTATGACTAATATGAATTGTGGTTTTATCTAAAGAATTCCCTGTTCCCTAATCACCCCCTTGTGCCTCAGTTGGAATGGGCTTTGATCTTGTCTTCCCCTGTGAGGCATGGAGGACCGTGGAGAGAGTGGTTCAGGCTGGAGATTATGTGCCATGCTGAGGAGCCTGGAGTTGGCTTTCTGAAGGCACAGCAGTTGAGCTGCTCTGAGCAGAGGAGTGCCATAATAGAAGTGGTTGACCTGAGGAACTAAGGGCCAGTCCCTCAGGTGTTTCCATTTCCTTCCTGAGCTTTCTGTCCCTGCTACTGTCCAGCCCTCATGGCTGGTAGCCATTGACCTTGACCAGCAGATTCAGCGCAACACCAAGCCCTCAGAGCCAGTCCTTGCCCTGTATTTTGGTGAATGGGTGGATGTGGAGACAGGAGACCCATGCTCCTGTCTCACTTGGGATCTAGTTCTCCAGGAAGATATTTTCTCATTAGTTCCCAGTCTCATGGTAAGAACCTCCTATCTTTAAATTGAAATATTCTCAGGAAAAATTTCCCTGCCTGCTTTCACACCTGCTTGAACTACTGAGCCCCATGGACAGACCCTCTGAGGCAGAGTGTGGATGTGGGCTAGTAGTGTACTTCTGTCTGGTTCTTCTTATTTTTTCCTATATGGGTAGGTGAAGGCCTGGTGGGGAGTTCTGCCCTAGGGGCTGCTCCAGTATCCTAGGGAAAAGGCTGGACCAGGACAGACCATAACCAAGGGTGGCTGGACCCTGACTCTGAGGAGGGGACCCAAGGATGGTGGTGGAGGAAAGATATTTGACATTGGGCCAAGGGGAAAGTGTGAGGCTCAAGGCTGGAGCTGCAGTCAGAATTTAGGCACATGGGAAGCTGGGGGAGGGTAGTGTGAGGTGAAATGGCTTGGACTGTGGGCTGCAAAGAGAGGAATAAAGAGGATATGTGTTTATTGGGTGTTAACCGTAGGATGAAGGAGTGGCTGTTCATTTTAAAGGTGTGGTGCTGCGCTGCCTGGTTGATAATCATGTTTATCATTTTCTTCCTTGTAGATACATTTCTAAATTGACTTACCCTTTGACCCACAGCTAGTGCCCAGCATAGAGTCTAACACATAGATGGTATTTAGTATACTTCTAAGGATGTGAGATGAAGACTTTGGGAGCTTAGCCTCATAATATTGGACTCTGTCCTTCCCAGTGGTCTTCAAATGGGGAGGTGCTCCCAAATCAGGGGGTGGTTCTGTTTGTCACAGTGATGTGGGGGCACCACTGGCATTTTCTGGTGTTACTGGGGGCCTTAGTGATGTTAGGTGATCCTGATATCGATGGCCATCTAACCATGGAAAATTGGCCCACAACTTGCTGAACATCCACAGAGGTGAAAAACTTAGAAGTGGACTCTGTTTTCATGCACACGTATGTTTATTGTGGCACTATTCACAATAGCAAAGACTTAGAACCAACCCAAATGTCCAACAATGATAGACTGGATTAAGAAAATGTGGCACATATACACCATGGAATACTATGCAGCCATAAAAAAGGATGAGTTCATGTCCTTTGTAGGGACATGGATGAAGCTGGAAACCATCATTCTCAGCAAATTATCAAAAGGACAAAAAACCAAACACCGCATGTTCTCACTCATAGGTGGGAATTGAACAATGAGAACATCTGGACGCAGGAAGGGGAACATTACACACTGGGGCCTGTCGTGGGGTGGGGGGAGGGGGGAGGGATAGCATTGGGAGATATACCTAATGTAAATGATGAATTAATGGGTGCAGCACACCAACATGGCACATGTATACATATGTAACAAACCTGCACATTGTGGACATCTACCCTAGAACTTAAAGTATAATTTAAAAAAAATAAAAAAAAGAAGTGCACTCTGTATTTTACATATAGATACAAAGTATTTTGTGCGTTATTTTAATATATACCAAGATTTCAAGGAATGGAAGTAACCAAGTAAAATAAGGGACAATGGTACTTTGTTTTGTCCAGAACTCTCCCAAGAGTTGTTCAGCCTCTCTGAAAATCATGTCACCCATGGTTCTACTGTGTATGGCATTTGAGTCTCCAAAATAACAGCCTGCATAATTTTACATTTATAGCTGTTGCATTCACGCGATTCAATGTATACTTATAAATACACTTGAGCTCTTATTTTAAAATGTTGAATATAAAGGAAAAGTACCTACAATTACTGCTCTTACATCCCAGTGTATTTATAATGGATAGGTATCAACCTCTGGTTACTCATTACATCTTGAGAATAGATGTACCCAGCACTTACATATTGAAATATAGACTATTTTGTTATAAATTATTTAACTTTTAATTTATATTATAGTTAGAGCATTACAATGATTTGGCTTTTTGAAATTATGTGGTGGTTATGTTATATAAGCCAACCCTGGGTTGCAGACGAGTACCGGTCCGTGGCTTGTTAGGAACCGGGCTGCACAGCCTGAGGTGAGTGGGCGAGCGAGCATTATTGCCTGAGCTGATCAGCAGTGGCATTAGATTCTCATAGAAGCACAAACCCTATTGTGAACTGCGCGTGCAAAGGATCTAGATTGTGTGCTTCTTATGAGAATCTAACTAATGGCTGATGATCTGAGATGGGACAGTGTCATCCCAAAACCATCCCACTATGCACCCCTGCCCCCAACCTGATCCATGGAAGAATTGTCTTCCACAAAACCTGTCCCTGGTGCCCAAAACGCTGGGGACTGTTGATACAAGCTATGAAATTCATTTTATATTAATAAGTGGGGCATCATATTTATTTTTAAAGAGAGTGTTGGGTCCAAATTGGATTGGGGACCATTCTGTTCATAACCGTCATCTTTGCCTGGCCTTCCTCTGTTCCGTCTGCACATAGTAGGTGCGCAGCGCCCTTACCTGTAGCAACTGACATCTGACTGTTTTACCTCTCCAGTGATTCATGGTCTTAACTGAGAACTCATGGAGAAAATTGATGTAGAAAGTACAATTTTCTTCTGTTTTGTTTTTTTTTTTTAAATAAATCTTTTTCAAAAGCATGCATTCCTCTGCATATCACGAGTGTGAATTCTTTACTGAGCTACATGTTGACTCTTGACTTTTTACCATCCTGGAATAAGAAGCAATTTCTCCCAGACTGGTGTTTGCTGATAGCCCGGGAGCAGGGACTCCCTGAGGTCCCTTCTGTGGCCTGCTGGGCTAAGAGATTTCCCTTCAGGTTTTAAGCTGAGGAGCTCAAGTTCATCTGCCCTGCTCCTCGCCAGACTTGGACATTTTCTTAGGGTAGCACTGTGGGAACCAGGAGAAATCTCAGCTCCTCTGACACTGGGGAAAATAATGGAGCCCTTGATCATTGGGAAAATTCTGCAGATTTTCTCTTGCCAAAATCACTTCATGAAAGGCAACCCTTCCCCTGAAATATGTTGTTCCTCAGACCTGGGGCCCTCGTAACACTGCCTCCTTGCCCTTTGACCTCACAGTCCTGTGGCAGAGGCCACTGCTGGTACTTTTTTACCCCTGACCCTGAGTGATCATCTTTTCTTTTGCATCTTTAAAAAGCAGACCAATAAATAAGCAATTAAAATTATAGCAAATGATATGAGGGAAAATATAGGAAGCTGTGAAAAAGTGACAGGAAGTCTTCTTTAGACTGCACGGTCTGGACAGGCATCTGGGAAAATGCGACACTTAAACTGAGATCTAGTGATTAAGCATCCCTACAGGTGGGGGATTTGGGAGAACATTGCAGAGGAAACAATACGTGCAAAAGGCTTGAGGTGGACAGATGCCCGATGCGGCTGAACAGGAGGAGCGCCACTGGGTCTCCTGTTCAGCCTACTTTCTTAAGCTCTCCAACACTACCTTTATCCAAGAGAAAAGTGGTGTCCGGGAGCTTAGGAAGGTAGCCTGGGGTCAGGTCCTGTAAAGCCTGTGTGGTAATTTTTTATGTGTCCAGAAATTCTTTGGTACTCACCGCTTCAAAAAGCAAACTCTAATTCCCCTCCCCTTAAGTGTAGTTGGCACTTAATGACTAGAATGTGGTGGAAGTGACAGTGTGTGATGTTTGAAATTAGGACAAGACATGTACGGCAACCTTCTCCTCGCCCCCTGTCTGCTCTCGTGCTCTGGCGGCAGCCGGCCACCCTGGGGTGGGGATACTCAAGCAGCTCTGTGAAGAGGGCCATGTGGCTGAGGCTTCCCGCCAACAGCCAGGTGAGCAAGCCATTTTGGAAGCAGATCCTCCAGCATGTCATATCTCAGAACATCCTGACTGCAACCTCATGAGAGACCCTGGGCCAAAACCATCCGGCGATCCAGTCCTAAATTCGTGACCCACAGAAACTGTGAGATAATAAATGATAGTTGTTCGAAACTGCCAAGTTTTTCGAGTAATTTGCGATGCAGCAATAGATAACTGATACAGAGGCCACGTTGAAGAACTTCAAATTTTGTAAGTAACAAGGGAAATCACTGAAGAATTTTGAGCAGAGAGATTACATTATCAGATTTATTCCTTTGGAAGAATCACTCCGGTTGCTGCATGAAGAATGGTTTGGAGATGGCAGAAAGAAGAGATGAACACTTCTGAGGTTGAGTCAATCAAAATGCATTTGGCTGCAAGTGTCTGAAACATTTATTAACTCACCTTTTCTTTCTTTCTTTTTTATTTTTTGAGACGTAGTCTCACTCTGTCACCAGGCTGGAGGGCAGTGGCATGATCTTGGCTCACTGCAACCTCTGCCTCCCGAGTTCAAGCGATTCTCCTGCCTCAGCCTCCCGAGTAGCTGGGACTACAGGCACGTGCCACCACGCCCAGCTAATTTTTGTATTTTTAGTAGAGACGGGGTTTCACTGTGTTGGCCAGGATGGCCTCGATCTCCTGACCTCATGATCTGCCCGCCTCAGCCTCTCAAAGTGCTGGGATTACAGGTGTGAGTCACCACGCCCAGACTTTTAACTCACCTTTTAAGAAGCTCACGTGTAAAGTGGCTTTCAGGGTACTATAGTGCCCCCTTATGCATGGGGGATACATTCCAAGATCCCCAGTGGATGCCTGAAATCTTGGATAGTACCAAATCTTATAAATACTATGTTTTTTCCTATATATACATACTTATGATAAAGTCTAATTTATAAATCAGGCATAGTAAGAGATTAACAGCAATCACCATAATAGAAATATTAAATAAGTATATTATAATTAAAGTTACATGATGTGGCCTCTCTCTCTCTCTCAAAATGTGTTATTGTGCTGTGTGTGGATAACCAAAACTGCAGAAAGCAAAATCACTGATAAGGGTGGACTACTGTAATTAATTAAGTGATTTATCAACATCATTAGGACCCTAGCTTTTTTTTTTTTTTTTTTTGCTCCTGTTCTGCCCGTCTTGGAGTGTTGGCTTTGTCCCCGGACTAACTTCTCTCATGGGGACAAGATGGCTGTCATGATTCCAGATGTCACATCCAGAAATGACCAAGTCCAATTAAAGCAAAGGCCATCTCTCCCCAAGTTTCTTTTCTTAGGAGTGTGGGAGCCTCTCCCAGAAGCTCTCAGCAGGTTTCCTCTCACACATCATTGATCTGAATTGCATCACACACTCATGGCTAATCCATCTCTGGCAAAGGGAAAGGACCATCATGTTTGGCTCAGGCTAGACATGGTGGTGATCTGGAGTAGGACGGTATCAGTAAGAAGGAAAGAAATAGATGAATTTGAGATGTTTTGTAAAAACCAAGAGAAATGAAAGAACCGCGTATGGCTTTTAGATTTGTGGCATGAGCAAACAGAAGTTGTTATAATTTGGATGTGTCCCCAAAGTTCATGGGTTGGAAACTTGATCCCCAATGAGGCAGTGTTGGGAGGGAGGCCCCAATGGGAGGTATTTAGGTCATGAGACTCCGCCTTTGTGAATGGATCAATGCCTTTTTCATGTGGGTGGGTTCATTATTGCAGGAATGGGTTCCTTATAAAAGGACAAGTTCAACCTCCTCTCTCTCACTTTCTCTTTCTCTCTCTGTCTCTCCCTTCACCTGTCTTTTCCCTGTTCCATGGGATGACACAGCAAAAAGACCCCTGCCAGATGTTAGCCCCTTGATTTTGGACCTCTCAGCCTTCAGAACTGTGAGCCAGTGCATTTCTGTTTATTATAAATTGTCTAGTCTGTGGTATTCTATTATAGCATCACAAAATGGACTAAGATAGGGGTATAAAAGTATCATTCTTTAAGATGAAAAACCTGGGGGAGGCAGCTTTGTGCAATGGAGGAAATAAAGATATTGCTATTTCTATGGACAGGGCTTATCTGGTCTAATTAGCTAATTATCACCATACTCCTGAAGGATACAGCACCTTGGCTTCAAAGATGGAAGCACTGTGATACATGTCTAACACCATAGCAAACTGGCTAGAGGAGTATATTTAGTGAGGGAGACCTTTCTAACTCAATCACAAAGGCTGTAGCAGTGTTTTTTTACTAGTAAGGCTTGCTTTAATAATCATTGTTGGGGACATTAATTGACACTGTAAATTGTAACATGGATTTCGGTGGATGTCTTTGGACCATTTCATCTGAAGTGAACACTTTCATTAACTCTCTGGCATTCAGATGCATTGCCTTACAACTTCCATGAATAATAATGACAGGAACATTTACCTAGAGGTTATACTCTCTATTTTTAAAGCTCTTTGCCACATTAATGCATTGATCATAAATGTATGATAGCTACAGCCATGGTTTGAATGTCCCCTTCAAAATTCATGTGGAAATTTAATTGCCATTGTGATAGTATTAAGAAATGGGACCTTTAAGAGGTATTAGGTCCTAAGAGTTTTGCCCTCATGAATGGATTAATGCTGTCTTGTGGGAGTGGGTTGGTTATCTTAGGATTGGGCTCCTTATAAAAGGATTTTCTCTGTCTTGTGCATGCACTTCGTCACCCCATGATGTCTGCCCATCATGTTATAATGCAACAAGAAGGCCCTCATCAGATATCAGGACCATGCTCTTGGACCAACCTCCAGAACTGTGAACCAAGTAAACTTCTCTTCTTTATAATTTACCCAGTCTGTGATATTCTTTCACAGTTGCAGAAAACAGACTAAGAGAGAAAATTTATACTGAGAAATGGGCCTGTTGCTGTAACAAATACCTGAAAATGTGGAAGTGGCTTTAGAACCGGGCAATGTGTAGAGGCTAGAAGAATTTAGAGGAGCAAAACTAGAAAAAGAATAGATTGCCATAAATGGAACATTGGGGGCAATTTGGGTGAGGGATAAAAAGCAGACAAGAAAAGTAGGAAAAGTTTGGGATTTCTTGGAGTACTTAAGTGGTCATAATCAGAAAGTTGGTAGAAATCTGAATGGTAAAGGCCATACTGATGAAGTCTCAGACGGAAATGAGGAACAAGGTATTGTAAACTGGAGTAAAGGCCATCCTTGTTATAAAAGAGCAAAGACCTTGGCTGAATTGTGTCCATGTGTTAAGACTTTATAGAACACAGAACTTAAGCGTGATGAGCTAGGATGTCTGGCAGAAAAAATATCTTAGCAGCAAAACACTCAGGATGCTGCATGGCTACTTTTAACCGCACGCAGTGAAATGTGAGAAGAAAGAAATGACTTAAAGACATAAGGTATAATTAAAAGGGGAGAAGAATGAAAAATTTTGGAAAAATTTGCAGCCTGGCCATGTAAAGAGTAAAAAGATATCTTTAAGAAAGCAAACCAAGGATATGGCCAAGTGACCATTTGCCAAAGAGATGACCATGATAGGAGGGAATCAGGAGATATTCAAAAAGATTATAGGAGAAAGATCCTAAAGGCATTTCAAAGATCCTTGAGGCTGCACCTCCCATTACAGACACAGAGCTCCAGGAGGGAAGAATTGTTTTAGGGGATGGCCCTAAGGCACCCCTCATGGGATTGCTGCCCAGAGCCTCTTTGGGTCTTTGATCCTTGCATTCTGGCATAATGCTCCTTGGCAACCCCAGCCAAGTGGGCTCAGGTGTGGCTCACCGATGGCTCCAGAAAGATGAGTTGTAAACCTTGGTGCATCCATGTAGTGCTAATTCTGCAAGAACACAGAATCTAAGAGCTGTGGAGGAATGATCTCCTTCACCTAGATTTCAAGAGATGTTGCAGACATCTTGGGGGCCCAGGCAGAAACCTTCCACAGATGTGGAGCCTCCACAGAAAGTCCCCACTGGGGCAACGTGTAGTAGAGTCATGGAAGCGGGGCCACCCCCAAGTCCACAGAACTGCAGGGCCACCAGTGTGCAACTTTAACTTGGGAGAGCTGCAGGCACAAGACTCCAAACTGTGAGAGCTGCTGCATGGGCTGAGCCCAGCGAAGTTATGGGGTCAGGGCTGTCTGAGGCACTGGGGACCCAACTCTTATTACTCCTGTGTGCCCAAGATGTGGACATGCAGTCAAAGGAGATTATTCTCCAGCTTTAAGATTTAATGATGTCCACCCTGTTGGGCTTTCAACATACTTGGGACAAGTTACTCTTTTCTTCCTGCCTATTTCTTTCTTTTAGAATGGGAATGTCTATCCTATGCCTGGCCCACCATTGTATTTTGGAAGTAGATAACTTATTTAATTTCACAGATTCACAGCTGGAGTAAATTTGTCTCAGGATGAATCATGTCTTGAATCTCACCCATATCTGATTTAAATGAAACTCTGGACTTTGGATTTTTGAGTTGATGCTGGAACAAATTAAGAGTTTTGGGACTATTGAGATTCAATGAATATTTTTTGTATGTAAGAAGGACATGCACTTTTGGGGTGAGGGCAGGGTAGAATGGTATTGAAGATCCCCTCTGAAACTGACGTTGAAATTTACTTGTCATTGTGAGTGTATTGAGGTAGAACCTTAAGGATGTGATTAGGTCATGAGGGTTCTACTTTCATGAATGGATTAATGTCATTATCACATGAGTGGATTAGTTATTGTACAAGTGGGCTCCTGATAAATAGACATTTGGTCCCCATTTTCATTCTGCCTCCCTTGCACATATCCTCCCCATATGATGCCCTTCTGCCATATTGAGATGCTGCAAGAAGGCACCCGCCAGATACCAGCATCATGCTCTTGGACTTCCCACCCTTCAGAATTGTGAGCCAAATAAACGTTTTTCTTTATAAATTACCCACTCTGTAGTGTTCCATTATAGCAGCAGAAAACGGATTAAGACAGCTACCTAAAAGAAACAACCTCATCACGTTTTCCTACCCTATATTGTTTTAAATGAAGTTAAGACCAAAGCTCCATATGACAGGCTGGTTTGACAAACATATTGAATACCTACTCTGTGTCAGGGACTGTCCTAGGTGCTGAGAGTTTATTATGATAGTAAGTGCACAATCAGTATTGTTGACTATTGAGTGAATGAGCTTCAACTTATTTCACCAACAAGTTCATAAGAAAGGCTCACAATCCATGAAAAAGTGTTGGTTTCCCTCTTTGGCAGTTTCCTTTTTCCAGAATGGGCAAGGACTTCATGTCTAAAACACCAAAAGTAATGGCAACAAAAGCCAGAATTGACAATTGGGATCTAATTAAACTAAAGAGCTTCTGCACAGCAAAAGAAACTATCATCAGAGTGAACAGGCAACCTACAGAATGGGAGAAAATTTTTGCAATCTACCCATTTGACAAAGGGCTAATATCCAGAATCTACAAAGAACTTAAACAAATTTACAGGAAAAAAATCAAACAACCCCATCAAAAAGTGGGCCAAGCATATGAACAGACACTTCTCAAAAGAAGACGTTTATGCAGCCAACAGACACATGAAAAAATGCCCATCATCACTGGCCATCAGAGAAATGCAAGTCAAAACCACAATGAGATACCATCTCACACCAGTTAGAATGGCGATCATTAAAAAGTCAGGAAACAACAGGTGCTGGAGAGGATGTGGAGAAATAGGAACACTTTTACACTTTTGGTGGGACTGTAAACTAGTTCAACCATTGTGGAAGACAGTGTGGCGATTCCTCAAGGATCTAGAACTAGAAATACCATTTGACCCAGCCATCCCATTACTGGGTATATACCCAAAGGATTATAAATCATGCAGCTATAAAGACACATGCACACGTATGTTTATTGCGGCACTATTCACAATAGCAAAGACTTGGAACCAACCCAAATGTCCATCAATGATAGACTGGATTAAGAAAATGTGGCACATATACACCATGGAACACTATGCAGCCATAAAAAGGATGAGTTCATGTCCTTTGTAGGGACATGGATGAAACTGGAAGCCATCATTCTAGCAAACTGTTGCAAGGACAGAAAACCAAATACCACATGTTCTCACTCATAGGTGGGAATTGAACAATGAGAACACTTGGACACAGGATGGGGAACATCACACACTGGGGCCTGTTGTGGGGTGGGGGGAGGGGGTAGGGATAGCATTAGGAGATATACCTAATGTAAATGACGAATTAATGGGTGCAGCACACCAACATGGCATATGTATACATATGTAACAAACCTGCACGTTGTGGACATCTACCCTAGAACTTAAAGTATAATAATAAAATAAATAAATAAATAAATAGATTACGTTGGCTGTTGAGTCCTGAAATTTTATAAGAAAACTGACAGAGCTGAGACCTGATTGGATCTTACTGGGTGTGAGTTTTGCTTCTATGTAGGGTGAAATACAGTTTCTACAATGATGGAGAACTTTTAAGTCAATTCGAAATTTAAGGTCCTAAGAAGTAGTTCCAAAAGCTTGAACATAAATTGCAGCAATATTGGATTTGCTTCACTGGAATGACATGCGTAAGTCTGCAGATCAGCTGAATACACTTCACCAATCTTAATTTTTTAAATTTTACTTTAATTTTTCTTAATATATTTTTTCTATATGAAATAAACTTGATTATTTGTTTTGTTTTCATTATTTGTTTCCTAACACTTAGAGCACTTAGAGCAGTGCCTGGCACAGAGAATGAACATAACAAATATTTGTTGTCTAAATTGATGAAATCTCTCTTCCTGCTTAAAGGTTTTCTGCCTGTTTAGCTCTTCTTGCCCCAGATTCCATTTGCCCTAAATATGATATAATAAATTATTTGGTACTTAATTATTTAAAATTGAGTATTTAAATTCATCCCAGACTGTAATATCCTGGAGGCCAGGGACTAAATCTTGTACTTCTCTTAAAGCCAGCCTCCGTGCTTGGATAAAAGGAGTCTATTAGATACAGACTGGTCAAGATGTAAGGCAGGCAAATATTCAGGGAGGGTCATTCCTTTACTCATCAAGTCCCCAGGAATAGCAGAGGCCTGTGGTTTATGAGGAGAAATATAAGTCTAGTGTCCAAAATAAAACTCACTAGCTGCAGGAGTTTGATTCATTTATAGGCAGTGGCATTCAGCTTTGCAGCTATGTGGCTTTGTATGTGATTGAGTAGTGTCATAAAATTGTCAGTTTTGTTGTGTATGTGGCTTGGAACTGAAGTTTGCTGTCAGTTTACACTCTTGGGAAATGCACAATGGAGTTATATTTACGTGTTTTTAAGAAAAACCAGCTGGGTGTGGTAGCTCACACCTGCAATCCCAGAATTTTGGGAGGTTGAGGTGGGAGTGTTGCTTGAAGCCAGGGGTTTGAGACCAGCCTGGGCAACAAAGTAAGACCCCCCCCCCCATCTCTACAAAAAAAAAAAAAGAAAGAAAAGAATCAGCCAAGCATGGTGGCACATGGCTATGGTCCCTGCTACTCAGGAAACTGATGCAAGAGGATTCCTTGAGCCCGAGAGTTGGAGGCTGCAGTGAGCTATGGTCATGTCACTGCACTCCAGCCTAAGTGACAGAATGAGACATTGTCTCCAAAAAACAAAAAGAAAGAAACACCAACAGTCAAAAAAGATGCAGAAAATTTAAGTAATAACATGTACTCTCCACCCACTAAAGATGAGAACAGATACTGATGGCAAATAAGTTTCTGGGTGGACACAGTTGGAGGCAGGAGCTAAGGACAGAGTTTATTGCCACAGAATTCTGGTTGCTTTGCTCTTGAAGTTGTGTGAAATGAATCAGGATAAATGTGATCAAAATTAAGACACATTTGTTATTAAACATCTTTGGGACGGTTTGGCTCATTGTTTCTGTATTCAGTGTGAGAGAGTGCTTACATTGTCCTCAAAGAAGAATTAAGTTCATACAGGATTTGCAATTGATGGGTTGTCCAGAATACAGGACAGTTTCCAATAGCTGGATTGTCAGTGAACTGGCAGGGTCAAAATGTGGTTTTGGGGTCCCGTGGCTCTCACTCTCTAAAGAGCCACCCTTTGGAGAAAGAGCCACCCTTTGGAGCAAGAGCCAGGAGGGAGAATTACAGTTACTCTGGCTAGCTCAGTCAAGTTAACTTACTTTTTGAGGCACTCAGAAAACTGTCAAAATGGCTTCTGATAGGTTTAAAATTTTTTTGAACTAATTTAGGACTTTCATAAACGTTGCAAAGAGGGTGCAGAGTTTTAGTATATCCCTCATCCGGTTTCTCCTAAAGGTAGCATATTTTATAACTATAGTATAATTATTGGAACAAGGAAATTAGCACTGATTCTAGCCTATTAGTGAAACCAAAAACCTTATTTTAATTTAACTAGTTTTCCCACTGATGCCCCAGATCCCACTTTACATTTAGTTGTTGTTTCTTCTCTGTCTCCTCCAAGCTGTAATGGTTTTTTAGTCTTTTCTTCATGACCTTGACAGTTTTGAAGGTCACTGATCAACTATTTTGTAGATTACCCTCAGTTTGGGTTTATCTGATGTTTTCTCATGATTTCAATGAGGTTATGCATATTTGTCAAGAATACCCCATAAATGATGTTGTGTCCTCAGCGCTTTATACTGTAGGGTTCCTCATGTTGATATGTCTTCTAACTGATGATGTTGACCTTGATCATGTAGCTAAGGTGGTGTCTGCCAGTTTTCTTAACTGTAAAGTTATTATTTCCTTTATAGTTAATATCTTGGGGGAAACATTTTAGTGCTAAGAAAGTTCTGTTTCTCTTCTATCTTTCACCCACTAATCTTTGCATTATTAGGTGTCTTAGATCTGCAAAAGTTACTACTGCCGAGTTTGCCGATTATTACCATAAAGTTTCCTAGATCCCTCTTTCCTTCTCCATTTATTAGTTGGAATTCTACTCCAAGGAAAAGCAGTCTTTTCTTCACCATTATTGTTATATGTATTAATACAAAGAAGTCAGTATGGACTGAAGGATAGTCATTATTTGTTTTGTGGCTCAAATTGTTCCAGCTTGGGCCATTAGGAGCTCCTTCAGCCTGGTTCTTATGCTCTTTCAACAAGTCCTTATCATTTTCTGGGCACTCCCTGGTTTTCTGGCACCAAGAGATGTTCTCAGTTCATCTTGTACTCTCCCTGCCCCAGCCATGGAATCCCTGAGTAGCTTTCAAATGGGAATAACTATGGAGCACCAAGTCATCATTTTAGCCTTAGATTTCAGATACAGTTTATTTAGAAATTGATGAACCCATTGGAGACTAGACGACCTATCATATGGCACCTGAAATCTATCAAGGTGTTTCAAAAGATAATAATGTACGTGAAAACTTGAACTGAGTTACAAAGGCTGGAGATGTATTTCACAACAAAGATGACGGAGAGAGCTTGTAGCATAGAAAGACAGGAACAGAACATGAAGATGTGATTTGGGTCATATCTAGCACCTATTATCCTAGTGTCCTCACACAAGTCACATTGCAACTCCACATAGGGAACAAGTTTGACTGAGTATATGACTCACAGAGTGACTGTGGGGATCAAATGAGCTTTGCATGAAAAGGCTTTACAAATGGTAGAATGTTCTAGAAAGGTGAGGTGTTAGTTTTATGACTTCTGTAAGTACTTATTCCTCATAATCACGATGGAGTTAGAGCTCATCCCATTTAACAACTGTGTTTTATGGGAAGAGAAGCCATGTTAAATTATGTGCCCAAGTCTCTAGGGTGGTAAACTGACCAAAACCAGGGTCTAGTCTCTAGTCAGGTGTTCTCTGTATTACAGCATTCACTATTTAAGCAATTTTTTTCATCACCAAGCCTGGGAAGAGCCACCAGGATTTTAAAAAATACCTACTTCTGAAATGAAACTCAGGTAGGCAAGGAAAACCAAATGTCAGTTTTACCTTCAGAAATATTACATTTTTCCTGTGTTCATTTTCATTCTTACACTTAGCTCTCATATTGGGATAGGGCTAACTTGTTTCTTCAAGAAACAGCACCTGATAAGGTACTTCTGTTCTCAGAAAATTACAATCTGAACCTGGTTCTGAGGAGCAATTTTGTTTTGGCTGCTGAAGGAGGCTCCTGTATGCCGTGGCTTGAAGTTATGCTGGATGCCGGACATCTGGATATTTGGAAATATTTAGATCAGTGGTCCCCAACCTTTTTGGCACCTGTTTCATGGAAGACAATTTTTCCACGGATGTGGAGTGGGGGATGGTTTCGGGATGAAGCACATTACATTTGTCATTAGATTCTCATAAGAAGCATACGGCCTAGATCCCTTGCATGCACAGTTCACAATAGGGTTTATGCTCCTGTAAGAATCTAATGCCGCCACTGATCTGACAGGAGGGGGAGCTCAGCTTTGCTTGCTCACCCGCTGCTCACCTCCTGCTGTGCGGCCCGGTTCCTAACAGGCCATGGAAGAGAACTGGAGAAAGAATATTTTAAAATCATTGTATTTTCGTAGTATCCTAGATCAGGGCTTCCTTTGCCCCTCCCCCACTGGAATATTTGTTGGGAAGGGATGAGGAACTTCAGGAATACATGTTTCATAGGGTCCTGATTCTCAGATATTGGCCACCTATTGTAATTTGGTGTTCAGTACCACTCTTTCCATCAGGCAATTGCTTTCTCATCCCCTGTTGATCCCGGCAGTTGTCAGTTGTGATGCCCTGCCCACCCTCTGGTAGCAGATATGAATATATGACCACCAGATCTTGCTAATCTTTGAATCCCATCTCCATCATTGGTAATTGTACAGGACTGATCATAATATTTGTGTTTCTGGATCTAGCTATACCTGAGCTGGACCCTAGAACTTCATAATCAAGTGAAATGATAATTCCTCATTTGCTTAATTGAGTTTGGTTTCTTTCTCTTGTAACCACAAAAGTCCTGACTAATAATACCAGGGCCCTGTCTCAGGGGCTGTCCCACTTACCTGACTAAGGTGCACTGCTAGGCAATGAATGAATGCATATTGAAAGAATGAGTACATTGCGGGTAAATATAGTATGCGTTTTTTCAGTCCAACTATATGAGTCTGTAGTTTCAACTTTTTCTTTCAATGGTCATTTATCAAGGTACAAGAGACAAATAGGGGATAGAATGATTTATTTTTAATTATCAGTGAGCAGTGACATAACTCAAAGGATGAAAAGAAAGACAAGCAAAGTATCTGAATAATTCACAAACTGGATAATTAGCCGGAATGGTTAGCAATACTAGAAATTCCACTGTTCAGGATTCCTTTGTTCAGCCAATAGCTACAATCTGTCTCATTTCATTACATCAGATTGTTAATGAGAAGGGAAGGAGGGAAAAAAAGACACGCATTTGTTAGACTTCTACTGTGTGCCAGACTTTAGGTTGGGCAGCAGGGTGGCTTCATGAGTATGACCTGTGAAGTCCCACAGGGCCCCATGCTTAGAAGGGCCCTGCACTTCTAAGTTTAATGCTTTACTGTCACCGACTTGACATTCTTAGTGATTTTTGAACTAGGATCCTACATTTTCAGTTTTCACTGGGCCTTGCAAATTCTGTAACCAGTCCTGCTAAACGGTTTTTATGTTTTCTCTCTGTTAATCTTCTTTTCTGCCCAAGGACATTGTGGCATTACTCCATCTTTCCAGAAGGAGGACCTGGATGCATGACGATCCCAAGGAGATGTTGTAAAGTCAGGATTTGGGCTCAGGTCTGTCTGGCTTGAGAGCCTCTGGGCTTTGCTCTGCCTCCTCTGCTCACACACAGGTAATAAGAGCAAGTCTTGCATTTGTGGCCTATGTCTGATCCTAGGGAGATCAACACGGAAAGCAGGAGACACAGTGAATTTGAAGATTCTCTAAACACCAGATTTGTAACTGGACTAGAAACCTCTCAAGTGCTTTTTATTCATTCATCTGGCTGATATTTTTTGAGGGCCTAGTATCTTGTAAGTACTTTACATGCATGTATTCATTGAAGAATAGATATTCATTGAGCTCCTGCTCTGTCCGAAGCCTTGCTTGAGGCTCCAATAATATGGTAATAAGGTAGGCAAGATCTCAGTTTTCAGAGAGGTCACTGTCATGTACCTGCCTGTGTATGAGAGAGAGAGAGCTGGAGGGGAGGGGGAATTGACAATCCACAAGTTAACAGCAAACTGGATACTTTAGGATGTGATGATTGTCATGAAAAACATAACAGTTTTGGACAATGCGAGTTTCAGCAGCACAGGTCCACTTTTATGTAGATTTTTTTTTTCAACGAAATGCCAATTGAAAATACAGTATTCTCATCTCAGGATGCAAAACTTGGTATAAGGAGGGATAAGTTTTCATATACCTTGGTTCTGCAGGGCTGACTGTGGGACTTGAGTATGCAGGGATGTTGGAGTACTCAGGGATGCTGGAACCACTGCCTTCTGTATACCTAGGGACAACTGTATACATGTTTGATTGAGGTAGGGTGTACGGGAAATCCCTCATCCAAGGAGTGGATGTTGAAGAATCAGCTATTGGGAAAGGCAGCTGAAGTACCTTTTAGCCAGAAGCAAGGGTGAGTGCAAAAGTCTTCGGGGGCTGCAAATAACTGAGCACGTTGCACTGACCCTTACCATAGCTGTTTGAGACAGGTGTTGTATTGTCTCCATTTTGCAGATGAGGAAACTGAGACATGGGGAGGAAAAGCAATTTACCAGTGTCACAGTTACCAGGAGACTAAGAATTAAATTCTGTTTCCAGAGCTGGTGCAATTGATTGCTTCACTCTGCTCTCTCTGGAACAATAAGCTGATGAAGGAGTTTGTTCTAGATGGTGACAACCTTGGGAGGGACAGACACATAGACCTGAATTGAGACATCTCTGGCCACATAAATATTTATCACAAATTTGAATCACATTTTCCAGGGTACTGCTTTTTTTCTAGCGTAATTTGCAAGCCAGGGACCCCATGCATCCTAGTAGAAGGTGGCATTTGACTTGTGGGTGGGGTCAGGTATGAGATCAAGCATGTATCAAGCAGACTATTTTTCTGCCTCACCTGAGTTTACTTGCTCTTTTCTTTAAATTTGAGAGTTCCAGCACCCTGGGAGATGACGCTCTCAGCTCCAACAGGACAGCCATTGTCAGCCTGGAACCACATGCATCCAGTGGGATGCTTGTAGCACCCAGCACCGATGCAGGGGGTAGACCCACTGTCACCTCAGATTTAAACCAGGTCCTTAGAAAGCCCTTTCCCAGAAAGTAAGTGGATTAGGAAGTTCAGCTAGGCTGCTGATAGGTGTGACCTTGTTTTTACCTTTAACCAAAAACAAACAAAAGCAAACCAAAAAAATCAAACTGCTACCAGAATTCTAACTTGCTCTAAGTCTTGTAGAAGAATTGTAGAAGGAAGAAACCTTTGCATGCATTGCCTTGCCTGAAATTACTTTGGCTGGATTTTAAATTGAGTAATAATAATAATGAGTATTTAAATATAAGACATATTCACTTAAATGGTGAATATTAACAAGCATCACATGAGATATTAAGATGATTTAGACCTTCAAGCTATACTTGTGACATAGCTAAATGCACCAAAATTTGTATTGCTGCTTGTTTCAAACCAGGAATTTCAGTGCCTTATAGTTAATTATTGGGTCAGATCATTGCTTTATTGCTTTTTTCTGTAAGATTTACTAAAGAAAGCATGCATAAAATGTGATTTTTAAAGTAAGTTATAAAAATCCACATATTGTAAAGCTAGAGTGGATTTCAGTATGTAAAAATAGCTATTTTTGATAGTTTCAGGAAAGTCATCATATTTGGTATTTTAAATAATAATGCTGAGCTAATGACAATGGCCCAAAGAGCAGTCGCCTTTTGATGTAGTGCAAGGAAAGGAAGAAGCTCTAAAAGTTGTATACAAGACTGTGTCTAGTAGGAAGCAGTTTATCTTTTCTGGTATTTTTCTTGGGTGGGTATTAATTAAAATAGCCTTTAAAAAATGTCAAATACATGTGGTCCAGTTTGGATTTTCTGAAGGCAGAGAGGTATTTGTGTCTAGATAGATTTCCAGTTTGATTATGTTTTACTGGGGTTGAATCAATGATGTCTCTTTAGGAGTAAACTTTTCTTGAAGTTGTATTTTGGATGGGATCCTTTTAACATTTATAACTCTACTGTTGGGGTAGGTGGATGTCAAAAAGTATTTTTTACTAATGTGCTTCCTTTTATAATCTCCCCAACCCATCCACCAAGTACATCATCATCATCATTATTACTGTTATTAGAAGGTTTGCTTTGTGTGTGTGTGCCTGGTCAATGCTGAAGGGAGATTCTGCAAAATGCATCCCTCAGTGAAGGTATCTGGGCCCCTGCTATCAGTGTGATGCTGGCCAATTTAGGAGACATGCCTCCAGGCAGATGGCAAACTTGTTATTCCCCCCACCCCTCTCCGGTTTCCCTATCTCATTTGGTTTCTTCTCTAGCCCTAACAACTTTCTCTTCACCGTGTCCTATGTATTGAGGTGCAATCCTGCTCTTATTTTGCTGTGTGTTGATAATGACGCAGTGACCTTGCAAATTACCACCACCCACTTGAACTGAGTTTTGAGGAATTGGCTCTGATTACAAGCTCACATCAGACTTAACACATGCACAAGAGGTCTGAAACTGCTCAGATTCATGAGAAATGTCTAGTGGCTGTTTTTCACATGTGAGCTAAGGCTCACCCCCAGCCCCGACCCCAGCACACACCCCGATCTGATAAACAAAAGGAAATCTGAGAAAAGTGTCACCATCTCATCCCTCAGCAGAGGGAGTCTACAGAGGTGCTCCGAAACTGGCACCCTTGCAGAAACTGGAAAGTTCTGCTGAGCTTGCCTAATTAACCACTTTGGAAAGTAAGTTGGCAACGACAACAAATTGGGTCAAAAACAATTTTCCTGCATATTCCTTGAGTTGCTTTGTTTTGTTTCTCAGAGAAATGAGGGAAAACTTGCAATAAAAATGAGGGCTCTTCTTTTCATGAGCACTTAAAACACACCTGCTCTCTAATTGCACAGGCTGTGAAAACGCTGTGCTAGGCAAACTCGGTCACAATTCAGAAATACCTACGGGCTTCATGCCTTTCTAGACTGTCCCAATTCATTCTCTTCAGAGGATCACGAACTGAGTCTGAATTATGCCCAGAGTGATTCTTTCCCACGGATTCTGCTGTTTTTAGGAGAGCCCTGGCCCAGCCACGCAGCATCAGATAAAGGTCATCTTCTGTTGTTGGTATCCACATGTTGATAGTACTCACATGCTTTCTGCTCCAAAGACAATCGTTTTCTCTGATTAAATCATGTTTCTTTTGCTTTGCAAGTTAATGTTCAGGCCAGGACCTGGCAGGAGAAGCACCCTCCACTCCAGGAAATGTAGGGGTTTGTGTTTCTGGGTCAGCAGATGATGTCTTCCCTTTGCCATGCCTGGCACACAGCCTTTGGTGGAGGCTGTGTGAGCACTAACATGTTTAGTAACTTGAGGAAGAGATGGAGCAATCAGTTATCTGCTCCGATATCGCTTAGTAAACGGTGTGCCCAGAGTGGCCATCTTGAATTGATTGCCCCAGCGACACACATCAGCAGCGAGCTCCGTGCCAATCCTGCATGCCAGCAGATGGCTCCAAATGAGGTCATTGTTTTGACAGTTTCACAAAAGAACTCTAAACAGCCTGAACAAACCCTCACGCATGTTGGATCACCCAGAACAGTTATGAGATGAACAGTGAACTCAGACCAAAACTTTGGGAAACGTGAAACACCACTGAGGATTTCTCTCTGATGCCTCACATCCATGGGAATCCTGAGTGAGGCCACAGAGACTGGCCTGATGCCCCTCCCAGCCCCTCTTCTGCCCTGGGTGTTGGAACTGCTTGGGTGGCAGTGATTATCTGATTAGGGGGAAGACAATTATTTCAAACCTCAGTGATTGCAAGCTCCATTTAGAATCCTCTTGGCAGTCTGGATGCTGATATTTCTGGAACACTCTGTGTTTTTCACCAATTCCAAGAGTGTGTGTGTAGCAAGTCACGTGACCCCAAAGTAACACTGGAAATTCATAGAATTAGACTGTCCACTGAGACTACTTATCATTTGGGTTGGGAAATTGGACAGGCATATGTCTTTCTGGGCTCCTTGTGAGGATGACCACTGTGTCTTGGCTTCCAGAGTGTACACTGCTACACAACAGTCCCTCAATGGAAACACTCACGTCTTGAATATACTAATTTATCTTAACTGAGCCCTTTGAACTTGTACCCTGATGAAGGGATGTTTCCCTGATTTAGATTCTTGTGCTCCTCAGAACTGAGGTCAAAAGTGGTCACATTTTCTGCCTTCTTCCTGAAGTGGCAGAAATAGCCCTGGGTTAGAAGAATGTTTCCTACACTTAGGTTCTAATTCTGGAAACTCATGGAGGCAGAAAACCAGACTTGGGATTTATATTAGGAGTACCACAAACTGGGTGGCTTAAAACAACAGAAATGTATTCTGTCATAGTGCAGGAGGATAGAAGGCCAAGATCAAGGTGTAAGCCCAGTTGGTTCTTTCTTCAGGGCTCACGGGGAGGTCTGTTTCATGCCTACCTCTTTGCTTCAGTTTGTTGCCAGCAAGCCTTAGTGTTGCTTGGCCTATGGCGGCCTAACTCCAGTCTCTGTCTCTGTTTTCATATGACATTTTCCCTACATGTCTCTGTGTTCAAATTCCTCCCCTTTTACAAGGACGCTAGTCACTGGATTAGGGGCCACCCTACTCTACTATGACCTCATCTTAATTGATTATATCTGCAAAGACGCTATTTTCAAATAAGGTCCCATTCACAGGAACTGGGAATTAGGACTTGAACATATCTTCTTGGGAGATGTAATTCAACCCAGTCTCAAGTCCATCCTCAGCATCAGCCATCACTTGCTGTCTGTGGGCCGTTGGCAGATGGTGAAATTTCTAGACCTGATTTCCTCATGCATGGAATGAGAACACTGACTTAGAAGATCTCAGATATCATGCTCTTTGATTGGATGATCCTGTTCGGTGGTGTTTAAGGGTACATTCCTAGTGCACCTTTTTGGGTGTAGGGATGAAAATCAATACAGGAGGGCCTCGAATTTTAAAAATGGATTTCAAGTTCTTTCAACAGTTCACTTTCCAAACTCAACAATGCTGGTGAAGTGAGTCTTACACTGAAAACCATCAAAATAACCAGGTCCTCGGACCCATGTGCGAACTTTTACTGTAGGCATTCATAACCTAACTTTTTATGAGCTGGCACACAAGCGTTTTTCATTTCTCTCCTTAGAGCCTAGGACTTAAAGAAAAACTCCATGGTTTTAGAGAGACGTGCTAGGGTGAAAAATCACTCAGAGACATCTGGGCACAGGACTTGGCCTTATTGGCGATGCCCAGGGAGGAACTCAGAACTAAAAGTTACTGACTAAGGCTGATGAAAGCCCATGACACCATCGGTCTGGGTTCACCCAGGTGATTCTCTGCATTTTTGCCCTGTAGGGACATTGCTTGTATCAAGTTAGCTTTTCTCTTGTCTCCTTTCACAGCCCAGGGATTGTGAAGCCCCACCTGAAATGTCTTAAAATGACATCATGTCATGTAATCAGTTTCCACCCCTGCTCCTCTCACCAGCACATGACTTACCATGGTGCTTCATTATTCTAAGAACTATGACCCAGGTGTATATCAGCCAGGTCTGCAATTGTCAGGTGCCAGCCACACACAGATGGTGACCACATAGACCCTCTCCTCAAGGAGCTGCAAAGGTGTGACATCACTGCTCGATACTCCGCTTACAAGGATAGAGTCATGCCTAGGCAATTATGGGAGCACAGAAGACCAGGACACAGCCTAGCCTGTGCATCCAGGAAGCCTTCCAGGAGGAGGTGACAGATGATTTTAGGGGAAGGAGGAGTTGTCAATGGGTTGAGTAGACCCAGGAGGCATTCCATCTAGAGGAGAAATGAGAAAAAGCAAGGGCAGGAAGAGCAAGCTGAGTGTGTGTGTGGCTCGGAGTTGCTGGAGGTTAACTACTGTACTTTCATTCATGATTACTGAAAGCAGCGACAGCAGGCAAAATGTGCCTTCTTTGCATAGCACTTCCAAGAGATTAGACTTTGTGTTTTAGAGCTGATTGCAAAGGAGAGGCTAGGCTAGCACCCAGTCCTGCTGTGATTTACTCATAATCTCTCCAAAGCTTGGGTATAGCATGGAAGAGGTTAAAATATGTACAGCTCTCCATCTTTCTTGGTTTCAAGACACTTAAGGAAGAGTGTGGGTTTGGACATTACTTGGGAGAGATTGGTGGGGCAGGCCAAACCCAGGCCTGTGGAGCCTGCCACCCTGGTGGGTGTAATGACTACAAATAGGGACAGCCTGCAGTGGGGGTCTGGCAGCTCCATGTCACTGAATCTTGGGCAGACTGGGGACAGCCACATCCAGCTGAGGGTGTTTTGACATCCCTTGTGTACGGCTCTGGGGAGAGGTCTCCTTGAAGGGAGCCTGCTGGGGTGGGCCATGCCTGTGTCGCCTCTGGGCTTTGTCTGTAATATCGGCACGGGCAAAGCTGCACCAGGGAGAAGGGGAAACCTTGTAACCCTCAACTAATTAAAACTGCTGGCGGGCTTTGTCTGCTTGATCCAGCCAGGGGATCCCCAGCGGATGGGGATCATGTCTGTCCTTGACCCCCTCTCCCAGGCAGGTCATCCTGTCTTTCCAGAAGCCTCCTCGTCCATTGAAGAAATCTTAGCTGTTCTCCAAGGCCCTATCCCACCTATGCATCCTCGCTGAATTCCTCTACAATTCTTGGAGAAATTAATGGGCACACTCCATGTTTGGTATTCCCCCTAGTATTTTGTTAATAGTAATAATAATAAACACCTTATCATTGACAAGGTTGGTCAAACCTCGTGCTTGATATAACTGCTGAGTTTGCACATTTTCTCATAAAATCCACCTGTACTGGCTATGAATGTGAACCCCTAAGCTCTCCTTCTGCAAGGAGCGTAATTGTTGATGGCTTTAGCTGCTGTGCTCTGAATCTATCACCACACTGATGTGGCTGCTCCCAGCCAGAGAGTGAGTTTGGCAGGGATGTTAAGGCTGAGAAATGTGGGATGCCTCTGGTGGGCAGCTCTGACTCCAGGGTGCCCTATGGGCTTCCCAATACTTTCTTAGAACTGAGAAGCAGGCTAAGACTCCTGCAACCCAAACTGCCTTCCTTTTTCATTTCCTCCACAGGGAAAACCTGTATGGTATTAGAGGTCTTGTGGCCCCAGCACTGCTGCTTCTACCCAGCCATGCAGGCTCATCCCTCCGTTGGTACCTGTTCCTTGAGAGTTATTCCTGTGCCCGTCTGTTCTTACAGCAGACTCAGGGCCTTGTATGGTCTTTATCATCTTTGGAAACCCAGTTCTAGCTCAGTGTCCTACATAGAAGGTGCTAGATAATTGCTCTCCAAAGGAATGCATCCAAATACCTATTCACCAAGGTCTTTTTGGGCTCCAACTCCTTAAGAACGCCTTGTTTTCCACCCCCACCAGCTCACAGTGATTGCTCCATCTCTGACTATTGCACCTGCAATCCTCCTCTAATGGAGGACTTCATTGTTCGCTAACCAGCCTATGTGGTCTCTGCTTAGGTCTCCAAACGGAGTTGATTCGCTCTGTTCCAAAGTTAGGGATGGAGTCTATGTTCTTTGTAGTATTCACACACACCCAATGGAGTTGGGATGTCTAGTTGGCATTTGACCTTATGAATGATTGCAATTAATTCATTTTTAAACTTTGTTTGTCTCATGCTCCCTCTGTCTCCATCCATCTCAATTGGGCTTCATGGGACTTTCAGCTTCTGGGGTTTGTTCTGTTCTGGTGTATCTTTATGCTGCAGGACATGCATTTGCATTGGCGGCAATATTGCTCCAAAGGGGGAAACATTAGTTCTTAGAGGATGAAAAAAGTCTTTTTTTTTTTTTTTTTTGAGACACAGTCTTGCTCTGTCGCCCAGGCTGGAGTGCATTGGCGTGATCTCTGTTCACTGCAGACTCTGCCTCCCAGGTTCAAGCGATTCTCATGCCTCAGCCTCCCGAGTAGCTGGGATTACAGATGCGTGCAACCACACCTGGCTAATTTTTGTATTTTTGGTAAAGGCGGGGTTTCACCATGTTGGCCAGGCTGGTCTTGAACTCCCGACCTCAAGAGATCCACCCGCCTTGGCTTCCCAAAGTGCTGGGATTACAGGCATGAACCACCATGCTCGGCCTAAAGTCTTATTCTTTTAATGTGTAAATCACAGATATACATTCAAAACTTAAGCAGATATATAGTATATCTATGATATATACAATATATGCAGTATATACAGGTATGCAGTACATCATGGGTTAAGAAAAAAGATTCTTAAAAAGCTCTTTGTTGGGGGTAATAACGAAAAGAAGAGGCTGAAAACACAGCTCTAGGAGTGTGCCTGTGCCATGGAATGGGCACTGTGTCTCTCTTGTTCACTGGTGTGTCCCCTGCATGACCCAGGATACATTATGGCAAAGAGTCAATCAACAATCTTTATTAATTACTCTTTATTAGGTAACTAATTTACCAATTAATCTCTGTGGAGTACGCAAATGATTGTCAGAGCTGGGGAGGATTTTAAAAACTTGCTATAAACCACCATGGCACATATTTACCTTTGTAACAAACCCGCACGTCCTGCACATGTCCTAGAACTTAAAAGTTGAAGAAAGATAAATAAATAAAATAAAACAACAATAACAAAAAATTTGCTTTAAATAAATCGGCTACTGTAGTACCCAATCCTGAGCAAAATGCCCACTCAACATTTTTTTTTTCTCAGTGCCTATATTCATTTGATACCTAGTCATTCTCATGTTTGTCTCCTGGAATGGTTCAAATGGAAACATTAACCCAGATATTTAAAATCATTAACCTGCTGATTTTATTCAGAGGAAAGCATCAGAGTAGAGTTGTGGTAAAACATTGTCATGAAAAGAAATATTTTAGAGAGATGACTTGGATCACAAACGGATTTTCTTTTGGGAACTGGCAGCTTATAAAGGAGGGGCTGAGGGGTAGCATTCTGCTAGGAAGGGGCTAGGAGTTTCTAATTTTATTTCAACATCAAATTGTACCATTGAATTGGTTTCAACAGCAAGCTCATAGCTTTTACTTAGATTGTGCTTTTGGGTTGGAGGGTATAGCTTGTTAGGGAACAGTGAAGTCCCATCCCATCTTTCTATGCCTTGGAGCCATCACTGCTCATGGGAAGTTCCCTTACGGGTAAAGATAATTGTACCTACTTCATTTGTAATACTATCATCACAGATGAAAACTGAGGCTTACACATTTAAATGCAGGGGAGACATCTAGTAAATATCAAAGCTAGGATATTAACCTAGGCCTGTCTAACTGCAAAGTCCGAGCTCCTCTCACCATATGTTGCAAAATATGAATATTGATGGAATTTAAAGACAGCAGGGTTGTCACCTTATTAATTTCTTTAGAATTTCCTGCCTCCGCACCAAGTTATTTTCAGGCGGCAGCATTTTAGCGAAGAGGCCTGGAACATCACGGCTGAGACTCCAGTTAACTGAAGAGATGAATGATGAAGCCCCACCAGAAGAGCCCTGCTTTATGTTTTTCTTTATTCATCCTCACTTGGCACTTAAGCATGGGTAATAGTTTAAAGTTAATAAACATAAGCAATGACAAGTGTCTTAATTACTGTTAATTATTTCTGTCCACACTTGGAGTTCTATAGGCTATCTTAGCTCTTGGGTAGATGCTTTGAGTTAAATAAATTCAGCTTAAAAGACAAAAACTTTGCAGGAGACTTATCTTTTCCCATGTATGTGGGTGGTGGGAAATCCCACTACTGTTGGGGCGTGGAGCGGACCCAGTTCTTACTGATCCTGAATATGGCAACATCATTTGTAACTTAAAAAGTCAGCTTTCTAAATGAAGGCATTTATTGATGACTCGTCCAAGTTCAATAGGATGGAATGGAAAAAGTGGGCAAAATAAAAGTACATTTGTGAGTTTAAATTTTAGCCAGGACAACCACACACATTTGCTGGGTATTTACAGACTTCAGATCCTGATCTCTGGGCAGAATCCTTTTTACATGGGAATTCTGGATCAGTCTGGGTTTGGTCAAGACAATGGAGTCAATCTAAGTATTCTGGAAATGAAGGGGTTGTGTCTAGGACTTAAGGTTCATATGAGTATTGTAGGAGTTGGAGTTGTAGAGGCCAGGGGAGTCACTGCAGAAAACCAGGAACCTGCAACCAGAAAGTTATGGAAGTGGACGCTGAAGACCTCACACTTCTCAAAAAAGCTTCCAAGGAAACTGCTGTAGTTCTCACAAATTTCTGAACAAACTCCCTCCAACCAGTTTAGTCTGCAGTAGCAAAATGAGTGATCCCCAAGCACTGGCTGAGAAGCCGCCGTGGACTTCACATGTGCCCACCTTACAGATCTCATTGGCAAACTCTGACGTGGAACCACACAGGGAAAAAGATTCTGGGAATTGTAGTTTTCCAAACCTTAGAAAGTGTAGAGAATGATGGCCCAGCGCGGTGGCTCACGCCTGTAATCCCAGCACTTTGGGAGGCCGAGGCGCGTGGATCACAAGGCCAGGAAATCAAGACCATCCTGGCCAGCATGGTAAAACCCCGTCTCTACTAAAATACAAAAAATTAGCCTTGTGTGGTGGCAGGTACCTGTAGTCCCAGCTCCTCAGGAGGCTGAGGCAGGGGAATTGCTTGAACCCGGGAGGCAGAGGTTGTAGTGAGGTGAGATTGCGCCACTGCACTCCAGCATAGCGATAGAGCAAGACTCCATCTAAAAAAAAAAACAAAAAAAGAAATTGTAGAGTGTGATACCACGTTGACAAAAGACCATTCAGCAGTTGTCCCTCAAGTGTCTCCAGGGCGGTCCTCAGGTTGGCTTTTTATGCCATTACTCTTCTTAGTGTGACGAGTTCAGGCAAGCTTGATTGACAGGTCTAGGAGCATCTCTTTTACATCTTACTTTCCTGCCTCCAGCGCTGTGGTCTCTCCTGAAAACTCTCCTTGCCTCTTTTCCTTCTTAATCCTGCCCCCGGGAGGTCTGTATCTACTTGCCTTGGTTTTCACTTATCTCTTAGCTGTGGGCTGATTTGTTAAGTGTTACCCATAGGGTAGGGTCTCAGGGATCATTCTTTTCTTCTTAGAGGATGACCAATGCATTGTAGAGCACCACACTGGTCACATAGTAGGTCTTCAGTAAAGGTAAGTTCCTTTCATCCCTATGGCAGATGTTTGGTGTTTTTGTTCATCCATTATCCACTCACCCTCTACAAGTTATAGCAGCTCCCTGCACTTTGGGGGCCATCCCTCTCCCATTCCATATCCATCTGTCGGTAGTTTGGATCGGGTCTCTGCTGTTTTGCTCCCTTCCTACTCACCCCTTCCACCTGCTTCAGGGGTGGTCAAGAGACCTGGGCTTGTTTCCCATCCACTGGTCCTAGGGATTGGCTGAGAGATGAGCACATGGCTCAGATTTGTCCAATGAGAGTCACATCTGGAAGTTGTATGGTAACTGCGGGAAAGAGGAGCCCTTTTTTGGCTGGGATGATTAAGGTGCTGGAATATAAGCCCAGGGATACTGGAGGTCTCTTTGTCTCCAAGAGTCAAGAGCCTGCCTGAAATGAAAGCATTCCAGAGAAAGCAGAGTCCAGGAATGAAGAAAGAGTGCTGACAACTTTTTTTTTTGGGGGGGGGTCCCTCAATTCAGCGGAGTCTAAGGCTTCCAGACATTCATGCCCCAGGTAAAATCTCATTCTTGACTCTCAACTCACAGAGATTCTGGAAACAAAAACAAGACATTCTGAGAAGGCAAAAGAGAGGAGTTCCAATCAAGAGTAATGTAACCACCTGCTGCCTGAGGAAAAAGAGCAGGGGCATGTTTAGAAGTTGCTTTAGATCCAACTCACTAGCATCATGGGTCTCCCCTGCTCTCAAACCTTCCCAGAATCCTCCCAGGCTCTGTACCTAGAATCTGTAACCACCTCTTGCTCCTGTGTTAATAAGACTTGCTTTTTTTTTTTTTGACGGAGTTTCACTCTTGTTGCCCAGGCTGGAGTGCAATGGTGTGATCTCAGCTCACCTCAACCTCTTCCTCCTGGGTTTAAGCAATTATCCTGCCTCAGCCTCCTGGGTAGCTTGGATTACAGGCATGTGCCACCACACCTGGCTAAATTTGTATTTTTAGTAGAGATGGGATTTCTCCATGTTGGTCAGGCTGGTCTTGAACTCCCAACCTCAAGGACTTGCTTTTAAAATCATATTTTATTCAGTATTTTTGCTCTGATAATTAACAGTATAAGACCATGCCAGGAAATGACTCTACATTTGGTAAGACAGTGTTGAGTATTCTTTGTGTTTAAATGGCTTTTAGTTGCTTAAAACTATGAGTCCTTGCTAATGTTTTATATATTATTTCAAACAAAATGCATTTCAATTATGGGAGGGCTACAGTAGGTTTGATTAGACCCATGAGCAGCATCATTTATTGTTATGTTTCCATTAAACTTTTGATTTCAAATAACTGGCCTACAAATGAATTTTTAGAATACAGGCTTCTGGAATTTGGGCATTTCTTGCTTCTCTAGTTTAGCATTTGTTATCACAAAAGACTTGATCTATGTATGCTATGTACTAAAGAATTCAAGTTCACTGTTTAAATATAATGTGTATAAAAGCCAAAGTGAGCATGCTTTTGAGATGCAATCATAGAAATCCAGTGTCTGGCTCAAGAGAGGTGACCCTTTTGTGCTGGTCAGACCACACATCAGCACAGGGTGTGGTCAGTTGCATGCACAAACCACAGTGAGGGGCTCTGCTATGGAGCCAAACTCTAAGGACATTGATAAAGTAGAGCAGCCTAGAGAAGAGTAGTAGGATTTTGGGAAACTATGAATGATCATTGACGGACCCAGAAATATTTAGTCTGGAACCCAGAGGGCCAGAGGAGAACACATGGTCACGCAAGGGATGATGAGTCCCCTAAGTTTGTGTGGTTCTGAGGACAAGACAAAGCTGGAAGGGAAAGATGAATGGGGACAGAGTGTTGGAGCCCAGGGTGGTTGCAGTCGGAGGGGCCTGCCTGCCTTGGCCTCCAGGAGACTCAAGTGGCAGCACAGTTAAGAGGTCCAGCTCTAGGGTTAGTTACCTTGGTTAGGATCCTGCTTTGTAGTTGTGTGACCTTGGACAGATTCCTCATTTGTTAATTGGGATGGTGATAGTACCTACCACATAGGGATGGTTACAGGAATTAAATGAATGCAAAAGTTTCCAAGAGTATGGCATAAAATATGCACAGGGATCACACCTAACACAGTGCCAGGCATAGTAGGTATAGGTGCTCAGCTGTTTGTTGACTGACTGACTGAATGAATCAATGAATAAAAGAAATGAGTGGATCATCCCTAAGATCTTGTCCATCTTTGTAATTGATGTCTCATCAAAAATAGCAGTACTTGCTTTCTCTTTGATATACATCAACTCTATTTCTATGGGTTTTAAGAGTAGTGTGTGTGTATGTGTGTGTATATATATATATATATCTATCTTAAATATACTATTTAATATTTATACCGCTACATAAATATTAAAAAGTTGTAAAGTAAAGAAAATTAAGCAGCAGGAAAGAAAAAAACACACAGTTATCTCAACCACTAGAAATAACCACTACTAATGTTTCTTTCAAGCTCTTTCTCCATATATGGTTGACCCTTGAACAACACAGGTTTGAACTGTGCTGGTCTACTTACATATGGATTTTTTTCAATAAAAGTTATACCAAGCATGCCTGCCTTTTCTGCCTCCCCCCCAACCTCCCCCTCATCCACCTCTGAGACAGCAAAGACCAACCTCTCCTCTTCTTCCTCCTTCTCAGCCTATATGATGTGAAGACACAAGGATGAAGACCTTTATGATGACCCACTTCTGCTTAGTGAATAGTAAATTTATTTTCTCTTCCTTATGATTTTCTAATAACATTTTATTTTCTGTAGCTTATTTGTTGTAAGAATACAGTATATAATACATATACAAAACATATTAATTGACTATGTTATCAGTAAGCTTCCATTCAACAGTAGGCTATTAGTAGTTAAGTTTTGGGGGAGTCAAAAGTCATACACAGATGTTTGACTGCATGGGGGTCGGCACCTCTAACCCCTATGTTGTTCAGGGGTCAACTGTGTTTGTTTATATAGCTGGATCACACTGGGTACAGATTTTGTATCCCAAGTAAGTTTTGTTTTTTGGCTCAGCATTACATGATAATTGAGTTGTTTTTTTGAATTGCTTTTTAGCATTTACTTATTCCTTTTCTACTTCAGTCTCGAGCATCCGTTGAACATCTACACTGTGTTAAGGTCTAGAAACAGAGAGATGAATGAGAGGTTGTTCTTGTCCTCTATTTGTGAACACAGACGGTAGAGGCTGGGTTCCTAACGATGAGTAACTGGATGTTAAACAATTAAACACCCCTGTCTTTACCATCTTCTTTGAAACCCTGGCCCCAGACATGTATTATCAATAGTTAAAATGTGTCTCTTTTTACATATGGACTAGAAATCTTCCCCCAAAGAACCAGTTCCTCTGCCTCTGATGCTTGCCTCTCCCCCTGCAGCCACCCAGCTTGCTAGGAGCTGCCAGGGCACACACTGAGCTACTAGACATGTTCCCAGATGAGGGTTAATTAAATCCTTTAATTATTAACCACTCACCACATTTGCATCATTCCCTAGCACTTAGCCCCAGAATCACTTAGGGGAAGAAGCCAGCCTCCTATCTGCCCAAATTACTGCCTCAATTAGAGTTTTATCAGATTCAAAAAAGCTGGAATTCGGAAAACATTTTTTGAACTCACTAGCGCTAAGCTTTGTGTTAGACAAGTCTTTAAGCCTTGAAAATGCCCTTTTGTCCAAACTGACAAATTAAGCCTGGATGTCAGGTGGAATCCAAATATAGGATTAGCTTAATCAAACTCATTGATGAGAGTAGCATTATCAAAGGTAATTGGGAAGCATTGTTTTTATCACTTTATTTACAGACCCAAACTCTGTGGCACCACGAAACCCCATGCATATCTTCATGCTTGCATGGGACAGGGTGATTCAAGCAGAAAAGGCAGTTATGGAGGGAAAGGAGAATTGAAACACCTAGAACTGAATTTCTGCTTGGTCACAGGTTAGCCAATAACCTCCGTATTCCCCTTGTCTGGACTCAGCTTTTTCATCTCTAGAATTGACCTGCTTCCCTGGGGTGGTATGAGGACTAAATGGGGCGATAGAAGGGAAGGCACCAGTTAAGGTGTAAGAGCAATGGAAATGTGAGGACTGAACTGGCAAAAAGTGTGGAGGCCAGCAGGGGGACAAGAAACCCCCGTGTCTTGTGAAAGAGGAGACCACATTGGGTCTTATTTTTTAACCTATCTTTGAAATATACTTTATCTTTGGCAGACAGAGGTGGAGGTGGCAGGCAGGGATGATGTTGAAATTTTTTTTTTTTTCCTTTGAGATACAATCTCGCTCTGTCGCCAGGCTGGAGTGCAGTGGTGTGATCTCGGCTCACTGCAACCTCCACTTCCTGGGTTCAAGCGATTCTCCTGCCTCAGCCTCCCAAGTAGCTGGGATCACAGGCATATACTACCACGCCCAACTAATTTTTGTATTTTTAGTAGGGACAGGGTTTCACTATTTTGGTCAGGCTGGTCTTGAACTCCTGACATCAAGTGACCTGCCTCGGCCTCCCAAAGTGCTGGGATTACAGGCATGAGCCCCCGTGCCTGGCCTGAAATCTTTATTTCACAAACAAGGACACAACCTCAGAGTGCCCAAAGGGCCGTCACTGCTCCACCTCTCCCCGCCTGCCCCAGTAAAATGTTTCAAAACATAAAACAAGTGGGATCTGTCAGTCCCAGGGGTCCTGTCCTCTTTCTTCCCATAAGAAACCAGGAGACTGAGGCCTAGAGCCGGGGCTGCCTTACAGCCCTCCCTCCCCCTGGTTGGCTTCCTTAGCATCCTCTGGGGTCACACGATGGTTGCCTGTCTGACACCTCAGGGTGTGGCATTATGGGTGAAATAAAAGCTATTTCATGGGAGCAGAGAAAATATTTGGCAATGCCAAGCACATATACAGTGCTCAGAAATAGTTTTAAAATAATACATTTCATCCCATATTTGCCTCATTGGTGTTCTGGTCTTGGAAGCCTTCCCTGGCCATTGTGTCTAAAATGGCAAACTCCCTCCCTCCCCTAACCAATGTCTTGGCATGCTCCAGTCCCCCTGTCTGACTGAATTTTTTTCTCGTTGGTACCTGTTCCCCTCTTATATCTGAGAAGATTTTTGGTCTCTTTGCTTCATGTGTAACTCCTTCACCAGCCTTCTCCAGAACAGAAACTCAACAAGGCTGGCCGTGCCTGTGTCCTCTGCTGTTTCTCAGCTCTAACACAGCACCTGGGGCACAGTAGGTGCTCTGTAAGTATTTGTGGAATAAATAAATAAGTGTGAGAAACTTCTAGAATCTTCCAAAGTGTGTAGGTGATAGCGTCTGCCTTAAAGACCTTTATTTATATAAAAAACACTTGATTGGGGATAATTATTCTCTGGATATGATAATGAGAGGGCATTTGCCCAAGCTTGTTCTAAACTCTACTTAGAAAGATGGTTCGTTTAATTCTACAGACATTTTATGAGTGTTGTTTCTGTGTCAGGTATTGTGCTCGGTGGGCACTTGGAATTTAAAAACAAAGTAAATGGGATGTGCCTCTGCTCCCAGACTAATGGGTGGGACAGACATGTAAGTAGATCATTAGAGTAGAATGTGCGATGATTGAGGTTGTTCAGACAGCTGAGGGGGCCTGGAAAGGGAAGCAAATAACTTGATCTGGAGGCAGTGGGAGAGGGTTTTAGAGATGGGACAAAGAGGAGAACGGAAGACATATCAGGTAAAGGGAAGAATGTACAAAGGCAAGACATCGCTAAAGGGCAGGTGTGCTATGCATGGCCATGTAGGTTGTGCACTGCACAAGTTTAGGTATGTGTATGTATGTGGCAGGCGATTCACATGATAGTCTATATGTGGTGGCCCTGTGAGAGAACAAGGCAAGTTCAGAGAATAGAGAGAATTGCAGAGGGGCTGGAAGGGAGGGTGAATTTAGTGAAGCTGAGGGAACTGGCCAGAGCAGGTATGATGCAGGTGGGGATGTCAGAATAAGAAGAGTTTCATCAGCAAGGTAAGGAGTTTGAAGTTTACTCCTTCGGCCCCTGAAGTCTAATGAGACAAAAAGCAGAGACAAGGAGCCTCAAGGTAGACAAGGAGGGGGCTAAAGCCTGGGGAATTTTCCCAAGCTGAAGGAGCTTTTGTAGGGAAGTGGCAGCTTCAGACACAGGCGAGGGACACCTTTCAGGCACTTCAGAGCTGTACGTAGAGAAGATCGAGGTCAGGGCCTGTCGAAGCAAGGACTTCTAGGCAAGGAATAAGAGGAATCAAGACTCAGGATGGAGGCAGAATAAGAATTAGTGCAGAACAGTGCCCTCAAAGCAGTGTGAAGAGAGTTTCAGAAAGGCACTTTGCAGTCACAAAGTCCTGCAGAAAGATGAACCAGAATAAGGCCCGAGAATAGACCTTGGAATTGTCCATCTGGAAATTTCCTGGCTTACGCCTGTAATCACAGCACTTTGGGAGGTCAAGGAAGGTGGATCACCTGAGGTCAGGAGTTCGAGACCAGCCTGACCAACATGGTGAAACCCTGTCTCTACTAAAAATAAAAAAAATTAGCTGAGCGTGGCAGCATGTGCCTGTAATCCCAGCTACTCGAGAGGCTGAGGCAGGAGCATTGCTCGAACCCAGGAGGCGGAGGCTGCAGTGAGCTGAGATTGAGCCATTGCACTCCAGCCTGGACAACAAGAGCAAAACTCCATCTCCAAAAAAAAAAAAATTTCCTGGGGCCCCTCTGGGGAGCGGTGGGTAGCAGTCAGATTGGGAGGAGCTGAGCATTGAGGGGAGTTGAAGATACAGAGCAGAAGCAGGGGGGCATCTGAAAACTCAGGGTCTTCCTAGCCCAGCTGGGAAGGACACCTTGCTAGCTGGGGGCCAAGGGTCCCGACCTTCACTTCTCATCTCTCTTTGAGCTTTGAGATTTCTATGTGTGTGACTATATCAGCCATCGTTCATTTAACCACACATTCATCCACTCGCAAAATACATCACTGTTTCATGTCTGCCAGGCTATTCAAGGAAGAGACTGGACAATGAATCACTATTACTGGCACAGTCTCCCAAAGCTCATCCAAGGGTGATGAAAAGCTGAGGTGGGAGGATTGCTTGAGGCCAGGAGTTTGAGACCAACCTGGACAACATAAGGAGACCCTGTCTAAAACTATTTTTTTAAAAAATTGCCCAGCCGTGGTGGTGCACACGGGTACTTTCAGCTATTCAAGAGGCGGAGGCAGGAGGATCCCTTGAGTCCAGGAGTTTGAGGCTGCAGTGAGCTATCATTGCGCCATTGCACAGCCTGGGCTGAGTGAGACCCTCTCTCTAAAAACGACAACAAAAAAGAATAAATAAAAAATCATTCACTTAAACCTTTTGGATAGTGATGAGGGCTATGGAGACTATACAACAGGGTCATGGAGGCAAGAGTGACAGCTGTGACATGGGACAGAGAGTGACAGGTGTATGTCCAGGTAGGCAGCTCTGGGAAGGCCCCTGGTGGAGGTGGTATTTGCACTGAGACCTGAATGATGAGCAGGAGTCCGCCATGCAAAGGTCGAGGGAAGAATATTTCAGGTAGAAGAGACCGGACAAGTCCTAAAGGCAGAAACAAGCAACAGAAAGAAGGCCCGTGGCTACAGCTCAGCCAGAAAGGGGGACTGTGGGATAAGGTGATGATGGAGAGTTGGGACAAGGGCCTGGCAGATTATGTTAAGGGGGCTGGATTTATTTTTATTTTATTTATTTTATTTTGGTGGGGGGCTGGATTTATTTAAGTGCAATGGGAAGCAGTCGGAGAACTTAAAGTGGGAGTGGAAATTCTGCCTTGGAGTTAGTACCTTTCTTTGCCATTTTCACAAATGTCTTCGAATTATAACAGATTTGTTGAATTATCAGGATTGCTCTAAATGTTCTCTTCATGCTAGCCAAGAGATGTCTTCTTCCTTTTCCTCTTTGAAACAACCCATTTGGCCTTCACTGGGAGCTAGCTCCATGCCGTGTTATGTTGTGGGTGTGATAACAGGGTGGGATACAGGAATGACAAAGACTAAGTCTTGTTCTCAAGGTGTTTATGTGATCTCCTTGTGGAGACAGGACCTGTTTCCCCATCACAAGTGATTTTGAGATGAAGAAAAGCTACAGAGGTGTAGCTCTAGAGCTGAGGAGTTAGAAGTAGAGAAGGAAGCAGGAAGCTCAGTCCTACGGTGGCTCAGGCTATGGAGGATCTTCTTTCTCCCAGCCAATGAGGCCCCTGGAAGGGCAATGCTGGAGTGGTCCACAGGATACACAGTCATTCATGGTCCATGCCGTCAACCACGGAAGTCCACGGCCTGAGGTCAGGAGCCCCTTGGCCTGTGGGTCACGAAAGCAGACTCCTTGCTGGAAGCTGGACTAGCCCATCTTTGGGGTCTTCAGCTGCCCTGGGGATAAACTGAAACCTGAAAGCTGGAGGCAGAACCTCTGAGACCCTTGGGGACTGGTCAGCAGATTTCAGTATTGCAGCAGATTTCCCTGTCGCTTTTTTTTTATCATTGCCTTCTCGTCTTCTTCTCCCCCTGCCTTTTCTCCTCTCTGTTTTATCTCCTCCTCTTCCCTTTCCTTCCTCTCCCTTGATTTCTTTGCCTTTTCTTCCTCATCAGTATGTCACTGCATAGAATTGCAAAAGAATTGCATTTCTTTGATGTCTGCTATTCCTTGAAATCCCAGGCTCTCTTCTTACTTTCTTGGACCTTTAGCTCCTGGTTTCCTTCTCCCAAGTGGGGCTTCCATGTCTCTGGAACCTTCGCATGCCTAAGTGAATGGCCATCAGACCCCTTGGTCCAGAGGCTCTTGACTCCTCTCTAGGGACCTTTTCTCTCCTTCACTTCAAGAACCCTTTGCCAAGGACCTCATCTTTGCTTTGACCACTACTCCCATGGAAACGTTCAACTCAGGAGAACCACAACATTTTTATATGTAGGAAAAGATAACCCTAAGCTCTTATCTGGTTGTAAGGGATTTATTTTAAGATACAGGTCGAGAATCCTGAATCTGAAAATCCAAAATGCTCCAAACTGAAACTTTTTGAGCACCAACATCATGGTTAAAATAAATGCTCATTGGAGCACTTCGGATTTTGAGTTTTTGGATTTGGGATGCTCAATTGCTAAGCAGAATGCAATATTCTAAAATCTGAAAAAACCCAAAACCCAAAACACTTTTGGTGCCAGGCATTTCAGATAAGGGATAGTCAACCTGTAGTATTCACATAGCAAATGCAAATATGATAATTTTTTAAACCAAAAGTATAGTTTGTGTATATCTCAATAAATACTAATTTTTATGTATGTTAATTGTTGATTTGGTGAGGGAAATGATGGAGATTATAGGGCTGAAGCCCGTCTCTCCATGCCTTGGTTACCCTGTTGACTTAAACTCATTTATCTGACCTTCTGATCATGTCCTTAACTATCTAGATCTTACAGTCCTATTCTCATAATTCTTGTTCTTTTATTTTACCAAAACCTCTACTTCTTTCAACTTCCAATTTTATCAGTCTCACATCTCCATTCTGCCTTCTTTTCTTCCTTTAATTTTGGTATTCCATTCTTGATGTTCATCTCTTCTCATTTTCTTTCTTTTCCTGCCTGATCTCACCCCCTCCCACATGTTGTTCCTATATGAATGACTGCTACCATCCAGAGTGACACTGTCTCTGAGTTTCAGAGATATATATATCTCTGGGATTACAGACATGAACCACCATGCCTCGCCTCTACTCATTTTTGTAGGGCATATTTTTGGCAGTCCATTCAATCAAAATTAGATGAATAGATGTGTCATTTTCTTGTTTGAAAGCCAGATTTGTAGATTTAACTTGGGCAGATGATGCCCTGTCTCCCAACACCAGACTCCTTATGGAAATTGATTGAATTCAATAATCTTTCTCCTCTCTTCCAGCACTTGCTGTGTAGAAACTGATTCAATAGAGTTCTGTGTCAAGATAAAGAAATATTTGGCTTGCATGCTGCTTTTTTTCTTTTAAAGGCTTGGAATCTTCAGCTTGAGCTCTAATTTATATGTACTTAAACACCATGGCAGCTGGTAGTAAAAGGCAAAACCTTGATGAGGCAATGACTTGTTTTTTAATTAAAGTGTATCACATGACTCCATTCTTTCTAGTCCTTTATTCTCAAATCATCATTTATTAAGAGTTCTTGAAAATGGATATAGTTTTCTCTTGAAAGAAGAGGTGAGGGGGGAATGAGCAAATGAAAATGAATGACAGGTCCAGATCAGGCAGTCAGCCTTGACTGTATTTTTGAAGGTCACCTTGGCACCTTGGATTACTATTCCCCTTCCTCACCCTGGCCATAAGCTGGCAAAAATGAGGGCAGGGGTGGGGAGTGGTGTTGGGGCATGACCCCAGTGGCTGGCCAACATGGCACCTATGAAGGTTAACATCACACTAACCTTCCAAAGTGCCACCTGCTGCAACCCACAGCTGCAAGGGCCTGGCAAAGCTGATTCTCACCCTCCCTTTGCAGCAGCGTCATTCTCGTTCTTATTTC
Organism: Homo sapiens; assembly: GCF_000001405.40. Lineage (NCBI taxonomy): Eukaryota > Metazoa > Chordata > Mammalia > Primates > Hominidae > Homo > Homo sapiens. Next base: position 121,198,734 of record NC_000010.11, on the reverse strand, counting down.
ACAGGTGGGAGAAGAATGATGAGTACCAGGAGTACTCCTGGCAGTGATGGATGGTGTGTGGAGTTGTTTGTTACGCTGCAAGTGCCTTGAAGCATCTTAAAATGATTAACTTGAGAAGAAGTTTGACACCATTCTGAAAAGTTCCAAATAATGAACATTACTACTGTTCTCTTCCCAGCTCTCCTCCCAGACACATTCTGTGTTCTCAGTTCAGGTCTAGCCTCACAGTTTATTGCACCTTACTTATAGAATTTGTCTTTTCCTTCCTGACATGTTATCATGTTATGTACATTGGAGCCGCTGACATTAGCTTCTCATCACCCCGGGGTCCTGAAATCTAGAACTGGCTTCAGAAGCAGGGATGGTAAGTCACATGGTCATGCACCCTAGACTTTAAAGGCAGACAGCCCCCAAATTCATGAATTGCTTATTCCACAGAAAGCACCAGTCTGTGATAGTTGGGGACCATAATTCTCTTCCCACTGAAATAATTCATGTCTTTTTTTTTTTTTTTAGATGGAGTCTTGCTCTGTCGCCAGGCTGGAGTGCAATGGTGCAATCTTGGCTCACTGCAACCTCCGCCTCCCCAGTTCAAGCAATTCTTCTGCCTCAGCCTCCCGAGTAGCTGAGACTACAGGTGCGCGCCACCACACCCAGCTAATATTTGTATTTTTAGTAGAGATGGGGTTTCACCATGTTGGCCAGGATGGTCTCTATCTCCTGTCCTCGTGATCCACCCACCTCGGCCTACCAAAGTGCTGGGATTACAGATGTGAGCCACTGCACCTGGCCCATTTCCTCTTTATAACAAGTGAACAATTTGAAAAAAAAAATCTTTACTTGTACATGGTAGCATTGTATTCTTCAAAGATCATAAAAAATAATCATTTATTGAATATTTACAAGGTACAACCATGGGGGTTTCCGGAATTGAATTACAGTGGCTTTTTCCTTCCTGTTTTGTGGACTTCAGTAACAGCTGGATTGGGGCTGTTGTCTTGATGGACACACCATGCACTGGAGGAGGCAGGTGTTTGCAGATCCTCATTATCTGAGGATATTTGGTTCTAGAAAGGGTAAAACATCTTAACATCAAGACCAGAATTGCTGTTTTACATAGTGAAAAACCAATAAAAATGACGAAAGCAGGTTTATTTCAGAATAAGCAGAATATAGGTTATAGCGCAACAGTGTGCTGATGTTTTAGTCTGAACAGAGAATGAATCAAGTGTTGGGGCATTTGAGGCATCCTTTTTTTCTGACAGAATTGTTTTGTAGGGCCATTATCTTTCCCTTCATGTATGACTTTCAGAGCAATAGGTAATGAAGATCATTTTGGCAAAAATATCTGAGGCCATTTTCACTTCCTCCTGGGACCCTCTCATCCTTTGCTGCGGTCATCTCTGTTTCCAGCAAGCCTGTGTGTCAACCTTCTTGGTGCTTATTTCTTCCTTTCTTTAATTGCTAACTGGTCCTATTCTACCATTTTCTCACTTATCAGTGACTATGGCTCTGATTTGAACCGTTCTAATTGAATAATAATGTCATCATTATATATAAACGATAATGCAGTGATATATGTTTTCTAATTGTGTAGTCCATTTTGTGTGCTCATTTGTGAATATTTTTGTGTCCTGATAATTCTTCCTTACCCATAAAACCTCATAATAGAGAGAAACCAAATACCAAATATTCTCCCCCAAGAAGGAATGTAAATGCCAGTGTAAGTGGTTGGGCTCATCATGAAGTGGTACAGACGTTTGTCTCCTGGGTCTGAAGGAGAAGATGTGGTTGTTTGCATCTGTGTCACACTAGAGTCTCCAGAGCACTGTGATATTCCTTTTTCTTTCTTGGCCTCATAATTCCTTGCAAGGCCAGAGCTGATGGACCCATCTTATAGATGAGCCTCAGAGGGTGAAAGCAACTCCTCCAAAGGCATGTGCTGGCCAGTGCCACGGCTGGGATTCCAAGGTTTCCAATTTTTTTTTTTTTTTTTTTTTTTTTTGAGACCGAGTCTCGCATTGTTGCCCAGGCTGGAGTGCAGTGGTGTGATCTTGGCTCCCTGCAACCTCTGCCTCCTGGGTTCAAGCAATTCTCCTGCCTCAGCCTCCCGAGTATCTGGGATTACAGGCGTGTGCCACCACGCCTGTCTAATTTTTGTATTTTTAGTAGACAGGGTTTTACCATATTGGTCAGGGTGGTCTCGAACTCCTGACCTCGTGATCCACCTGCCTCAGCCTCCCAAAGTACTAGGATTACAGGTGTGAACCACAGCACTCAGCCAGGTCTCCTAATTTTTAAGAGTGTTGAGGGAACCTAGAAAGATGGAGGAAGCTTGGGTGAACAGAGAAAAGGGAGGAATCCTAGAAGAGTGCCTAAGGTGGATATGAACTTGGGATAAATTGAATAATGAGAAATTTAAACAAAATAATAGATGCAGAATATGTAAAAGAAATTCTGAACTTACGTCAGATGATTGGGCTTTTAGTATTTCCAAGAATCTGGGCAAACTGCTGAAACCCTTTGCTTTTATCTTGACTCCCTCAACCCTGGCTAGTTCTATTGTCCTTCAGCCTTTATCTCCTGCAACATAGGCTGGACCAACTCTTGAAGTTAAATGGAAAATAGTCTTTTTATCCTGCAGCAACCAGTCTGCCAGATAGCATCTAGATAAGGCGCCCTGCACCTTTCACAGTACTTTGCACACAGCAAATGGTTTTTGGCAATAAAAACCTTCAATGTAGAAAGAACTTAGAAAAAAATCTTTTGAATTGTTATTTTTCCCCAGGGTCTTAAACGAAGAAAGGAAGTTTACTTAAAGGGGAACACTTTTCCATAGACTCTAGGAGCGAGTAATTTGGCTTGTAAAACCATATTCCAATGACAACCTGCCCCAAACGTCTTGAAAATCACTTTTGACTGGGGAAACTGGCTCCAGGAAGCCACTGTTGATATATTTAAATGACTCCGGCTGGATTACTCTGATGTATTGATCTAGGGGATGTGGCCAGGAGTCCAGGGACAATACCTGAAGTCAATCCAACACATTGTAAGAGTTTATTTTATTGCCACTTTGGTGAAAAGCCCTAAGCCCAAGCCGCTGCGTGGGAGCACATAGATGCCTGGGCCAGGAGTCCTACTCCTCCTCACGCACTCCCAGGTGCCTGCTGCTCCTGCACGCTTCCCTTTCCACGACCTGGTCATAGCTCAAGCTCGTAATCATTTCCGATAACATCCTTACAAGTTTCTGGGTCTTGGAGAGCCCAGTGAAAGCCCACAGATGTCTCCTTTCTGCTTCCCCCAGAAGGCCAGACAGGACCACATCTCCTCCGTGGGCTGGTCTTACCTTCTGCCAACAGCCATCTCTCCCCTGGCCTCCCTCAACTGCCTGGGCTCAGCCCCAAGGCAGGCCTGTGCATGCTGGCGAGGCTTCCTGCAGGCGGCTGAATCTGATGCCCAGGGTGGGCAGCCTCTGTCTACCTGCCTGGGGCAGACAGCATGCCTGAGCCCAGTCCCATCCTCGTGGGCCGAATGGATTCTTGGGGGCCAGGGCTTCTCTGCTCTGTGGAGCAGTGTCACCAGCCTCCCTAGCAGTGTGCTATCAGGAATGATGGGGAGTCCAAAGGGCAAAACTTGTCTTCTCAATACGCCAAAAACCTCCCAATCAAACAAACAAAAAGGCCAAAACCAAAAACCCAGCCCACTTGAGACAGACCACAGAGGTGTGATGAATGTGAGGTTCTGCTGCCCAGGAGCCAAGAATGCGGGGAGGGAGAGTAGAACCACAAGTGAGGCAGGTAACTGACAAAGACAAAAGTGGTCTTTGTGTAGCCCTGTGGAAGCCAAGCTGGGAAACTGTTCCCGAGGCAATGCCCAGAGCAGGAGCACTGCCCAGACCCATTTGTCCAAACCCTACATTCTAGACTAATCCTTAGCAAAGGAAAGAGGCCACTGGGGCCCAGGAGGATTTTTTTAGGCATGGTCCCTTAAAGAAGCATGGAAGCCCACAGTTTCATGTCTTCTGACATCTGGGCTCTAATTCCAAGTGCTCTGTTATGAAAAGCCCAGTGTCACGCAGGGAAAATGGAGGAAGCTACCTTTAAAAATGACTGTTGTGGCCGGGCATGGTGGCTCATGCCTGTAATCCCAGCACTTTGGATGGCCAAGGCAGGAGGATCGCTTGAGGCCAGGAGTTCAAGATCAGCCTGTACAATATAGCGAGACTTTGTCTCTACAAAAACATAAAAAAATTAGCCGGGCATGGTGGCATGTACCTGTAGCTTTAACAACTCAGGAGGCTGAGGTGCGAGGATCGCTTGAACCCAGGAGGTTGAGGCTGCAGTGAGTCATGATTGTGCTACTGCACTCTAGCCTGAGCAACAAAGTGAGACCTTGTCCCCCCCATGCCCCAACTCCCCGTAAAAAAAAAAAAAAAAGCCTGTTGCAGCCCTTAAAAGCCCCCATCAAAACACAATGGAGCATAGAATATTACACTCCAGCCTTGACTTGGCCAGGCAAGTAAATCACACAGCCATTCAAGTAAGACTCAGGTGACAATTCTGTGATTGAGTTTGGTTAGACCTATTTTTATTGATGTGAACTTGATTTACAGAGATGTAGTAAACATAAGATCTATCCTGTTCTCTCAACCATTCATCATTGAATTTGGTGGCTGAAAAGAAATTTTAAGAGGTTATGTTGTCCACAGTCTTTTAGTCTAGACAGAAATTATTACTTTTTGGAAAAACATTTATTGTAGCTCAACCATGTGCCAAGAATTGTGCTAGATGCTGAAATGTTTGCTTTTTTCTTAGGACTACATGGTCTATTGAGGAAGACAGACGCATATACAAATAATTACTATGTTTTAAAATAAATGCTGTCATAGATCCACGGCCAGTCCAAGCAGATACCTGTCTCCTTATTTTTCACATTTTCTGGCCAATGAGATTACTATTATCTTCTTAGGAAAGCATGCAATCACAGTAGTAGGCCCAGTGGGCTTCATGTATACTGGACTCATTCCTAGGTCTCCTGTTTATGGCTGATGGGTTACTGGGTTGAAGCAGACTCCTTGCAAGGCCAACACGTATTCCAGGTCTCTTGTGAATTTATTTGTTACAGTGGACCAGAGGAGAAGATATGGATGAACTCCTTGGACCCACCCTGTTCCCAGCTCATCTGGGAGAATGAAGCTAATTGGTAAATCCACTGTTTGATGCTTGTAATGAAGACTCAAGGAGTTCTGTCTCTACCAAGTTCCTTGCCCTTAATGACTCAAGAATTAATTTTATCTTTTCCTCTCAAAACCTTGAAAGAAATGCTTGAGTCCTTGTAACCTGTAAAATAAATGTTGTTACTGAAGGGAAAAGCAAATTCCCTGGTTGCATTGACTGCATGGAATATTATGGTAAGATTTGCTACAATGCATTTCTCTCCTCTTTCTGCCATTTTGAAAGCAGCCCAACGTGAAAACTTGCTGAGATGCTAACCAATGTCTCTACCCTTGGCTGCAACAAGAAGATCACTGGCCAGGCACAGCCCCCTCTAGGAGATGGATCTTAGGCAAAACCGTGAATGGTGCTATCACAAAGCACAGCCCATCCTGATTCCTGTCTGCCTCTTCATGGCCATTTGTTGACATCTCCATAGTTGTGCTGGATTGGACCTGGAGTGATTCATCACCCTTTCTCTTCCCAAATTACCAAAGGTATTTATGATATTGCAGTAGAAGGAGGGAGAAATCGCATTTAACATTCCACAGAAAATCTTTTTTTTTTTTCCTGAGACAGAGTCTCGCTCTGTCGCCCACGCTGGAGTGCAGTGGCGCCATCTTGGCTCACTGCAACCTCCACCTCCTGGGTTCAAGCGATTCTCCTGCCTCAGCCTCTCGAGCAGCTGAGATTACAGGTGCGCACCAACACGCCCAGCTAATTTTTGAATTTTTAGTAGAGACGGGGTTTCACCATGTTGGTCAGGCTGTTCTGAAACTCCTGACCTTGTGATGCACCCGCCTCAGCCTCCCAAAGTGTTGGGATTACAGGTGTGAGCCACCGAGCCCGGCCCAGAAAACCTTTTAAAAATAAAGTCCAGAGCTTTGGTTTGTTCACTGAATTCCCAGAGGGTGCATCTTCAGTCATCTCCTAGTTAATCACGAACAATTCTAGATTGTACAGGTTACTAGTGAGGTCTTCAGATCCCTAATTTCCATTGAACCTCTTGGTTATCACTAAGGAGCTCCTCTTGGCCATCCCTTTCAGTGACCTGGTTATAACTCAAGCTTGTAATCATTTCCAAAGACATCCCTTACAGGCATGTTTTCCCCTAGAAACAATTTTGTCAGGGCTTTATTTGATTGTTTCCCTAACAAAAATCCTAAATGTTATTTCTGAAGAGAGTATGATATTATTGTGATTTCCCTGTGGCAATCTGAGAAGCCTGCCTTAATTGACACCAGCAAAATACTTGGCACAAGGGATTTGCAGCTTCAACTAGGAGCAAATGAAAGGCTCATCTCTGTTGTAAAAATTTCATTTTTGGTGAACGGTCCAATTCATAGGCAGAGCCAGAAGCTAGAATTCCAGGGGAATGGTTCCATCTTGGGTTTTAATTGATTGTCCTCTTTTTTTCTGCCTAAAAACGATTGATTCCCTGACCTCATGATCCACCTGCCGTCTCTACTAAAAATACAAAAATTAGCTGGGTGTGGTGGTGCGTGCCTGTAATCCCAGCTACTCAGGAGTCCGAGGCATGAGAATCATTTGAACCCAGGAGGCAGAGGTTGCAGTGAGCTGAGATCATGCCACTGCACTCCAGCCTGGTGACAGAGCACGACTCCATCTCAAAACAAACAAACAAAAAAAAACACTTTAAACTGTGAAACTTTATATGAGGGAAATAACACAGTGAGTTTTTCTAAATCAGTTTTTCTAAGGGGAAGTTTAAAGCTCCATGCAAGCATTTAAATGCTATAGCACTTTACGAGGTAGAACACTTTAGACCACTAATTATTACCAAGGCTAATGAGATATCATTGGGTCAACTATCAAGCAAGTTCAGAGGCTATCTTATTTACCAGGGAAACAAATCTTTGGCAAAATAAAGTGGTTTAAGTGGTTTGAAACAACGATTTGAAGGATATGTGTGGCCCCTATCCCTGACCAAAGCCAACTGGATCAAGCAATTTCACTTTTGTATGTGATCAATACTGGGGCTCCTCTAAGACTTAATTTTTTTTTTTTTTTTTTGAGATGGAGTCTCTCTTTCGCCAGGCTGGAGTGCAGTGGCATGATCCTGGCTCAAGGCAACCTCTGACTCCCTGGCTCAAGTGATTCTCCTGCCTCAGCCTCCCGAGTAGCTAGGATTACAGGCGCGTGCCATCATGCTCAGCTAATTTTTGTATTTTTAGTAGAAATGGGGTTTCACCATGTTGGCCAGGATAGTCTCCATCTCCTGACCTCGTGATCCACCCACCTCGGCCTCCCAAAGTGCTGAGATTACAGGCGTGAGCCACCGCACCCAGCAAGACTTAATTTTTAAAAAGGCTTCTGCTTAAAAATTTTTAGTAAACAATTCTCTTTACAATATTGTCTTCCTCCTTGTAAAATTTTTGTATTGCTTGGTTTTTCTTCTCAACCACATATATCAACTTTCAAAATATTCAATTGAATACACCCCCCACACATTCTTACACTTTCTGTAATACCCAGCCCTTTACCCAGGTCACATGGCTTGGGAAACATGGCCTGTTTTGGGCTGTGGATGGATGAAGCATGTAGACTGTGTAACTTGGTCAGCAAGAAGGCGGGATGCATGTTTGCTCTGTGTGTACGGACCATACTTTGCTAACAACAGTGCCATGAGTCAGGAAAAGAAAGAGGGAGAGTTTCCCTTTACAAAGAGAATACCATCACCTGATAGTTTTATTCATTGGTAAATTAGTGAGATATGACTCTAAAAGTATAAACCAAAGAATTTTGACCTCCTCCAAATTGTAACCTGTGACAAAGCCTCACTTATTCTATAGATGTAGCCCTTTCTTTTTGAGAATTATCCTCAGAATCTATGATGTTAAAACCAACCTTATTGGGAACACAGCACAGCTCTGTGATGGCGCATTGGATTTTGGGTGACCTACCAGAAATCACAAGGAACAAAACTGGGTGAATGAGGTGGTCATCAGCTTGGGTAATGAAGTTTTAAGTAAAAATAGATGGTGGCCAATTTTTTTCTCTGGGCCTCATGAACTGATTCTAAAGAGCTTATATTGAAAAAAATGAATTCATTCTTTCAATCACTGCTTGTTGAACTTCTTCCCCAGGTAGGCAGATTTTTTTCTTCATTTACTATCTCTTACTGTTCTTTAATTAAAAACATCTTGCCTTTTAGCCAATATTATCCATTGCTTTAGAATAGTTACTTCACGTCATTCATTCAAATGAAAATCCAATTGTTGCTTGAAGGGTCTCAAATACTTCTTTAAGCTGCCATCTTTAAAATTCAGGCTCTAGAAATTCTACTTGCATTCCATAATATTTGGGAGGTTGACCACAGTCTGCAGTTATTCCAAACTATTTTTAGAGTGTAAGTTATGCCAGTTCATTATTTACATTGGTCAAATTAGCTGGCTAATTGCCAGGTGGCCTCTTTGCTTTCGGATATGTTGACATCGCCTTCATTTTGTTGCTTCTAAAGAGGCATAGGCTTCTTGGGGCACACATGGTGTATAATTGCAAAAGAACAATAACTATTGGCGAGGCGCAGTGGCTCACGCCTGTAATCCCAGCACTTTGGGAGACCGAGGCAGGTGGATCACGAGGTCAGGAAATCAAGACCATCCTGCCTAACACGGTGAAACCCCGTCTCTACTAAAAAATACACAAAATTAGCCGGGCGTGGTGGCAGGTGCCTGTAGTTCTGGCTACTCGGGAGGCTGAGACAGGAGAATGGCATGAACCTGGGAGGCAGAGCTTGCAGTGAGCTGAGATTGCACCCAGAGTGAGACTCTGTCTCAAAAAAAAAAAAAAAAAAAAAAAAAAAAGAACAATAGCTATCTCAAGCATCTGCTTATGTAATCCATTCTTTTTTCTCAAAAAGAGCCCCAAATACAAACTGAATTTTTTAAATCCTTTTTTTATTCATGATATTAACCATGCTGCCAGACTCCTGGGGCGCCAAGCATATTCAGCTAACCAAAACACAGAACAAATTCTGGGAGACCAGTAAGGATGTCAAACACAGCACCATTCTCTTTGTTTCATAGAACTATGTTCTCATTGATGGTTTGCTTTAATTTTCTTTTTTGTAAAATAAGCTGGCAAGACAGGGGGCTGTTTGAAACCTAGGGAGGGAGGCAAGATTTCCAAACTCGTGGAATGAAATGAGATGGGAGATTGTGAAAGTGCAATGCACGGAGCGGTGAAATGGCTCTGTAGTGTGTTCTCGCTGACCAAGTGTTTTAAATATTAAACCGGGAATGTTATCCAAAGTTTCAACACATTTCAGTGTATTATATACTACATGCCATATTCGTCATTTCAGAACAGCTTGAAAAATTGCACAAAGTCCAGTGGGTGACCCAGTCACTTTAGAGTAATAATATAGCTTTAACAGTTCCTCCACGCCTCCCTCTTTCATGTGAGAACCTGATTTTACTTTGTAAATTTGACTTTGTTAATCCTCACAGCTTCACTGCCTGGTTGACACGTTTTCCAGTGTTTCAGATCTCTCTGTCTCTCTCTTTTTTTAAATTAGCTAAGTGTACAATATCAAGGCCTACATTTCAGATAATGGACGCAGTCTTTGACTTTTGTCCATTCTAATATGATCATTAAGTAACCCCGGAGGAAAATGGAAAACTTTGAACAGGCGATGTGAAGCAGATGCAGCTTCAGAAGTAACATTTTTAAAACGTGCATTGGATATGACATCTTTTCACATTTCAGAAATCGCCAGTACGGTGGATTGTTTAAAATATATGAAGTGAGATTTAGCAGCTGGGGAACACTCGTTTATCTGCTTCATAGCGTTAAATCCCCATAAATGTTTTGAACAATGAACTGGTATGTAACATTACCAAATAACTCTTCCTATTAAATGAAACCCGTTAGATCTCATGGCACAATCAAGTTTTGTAATATCAAAAGATTATGGGCCATATGTTAATTCGAGGTAACGTAATAATCACATAATTGTTATAGCTGTATTTCAGAAGTTGTTAACTTCAGTATGCAACTTTATTTTATACATTATGGTAAGACATACCCTAAGCCTGGAAGCAGGGCCCATCAGAGAGCCCCAGGTTATTGGTTAGAACTATGTGGTTTGATCAAATACATCAGTTGAGGGGAAAGAACCAGAAAGCCTAGTTGTTGTTTTGTAATCAGAATTACCTCTTTGGTTGACCAGATACTCATTCTTTATCTTGCTGGGAGGGCTTGTTAGGAGCTAGGCTTAGCGTAGTTATCTTGGATCTTAGTTCTACGAGAGACCATAAAAGGACTCAGTGGCTGCTGAGCTGATTTATTGCAGTTCAGCTGTGAGGCCCTCATGTGGCAGGAACAATTCCTCTTGTCCATTTTGTTTTCTCTGACTCTTCCACGACGATTATGTAAATCTCCTCTCTTGAGGCCTATTGCACAATGGAGGCATCATAACCCGAAAATTGTTGAGGAAAAAAAACAACCATAACACTGATAGCTCGAGCCTCAGGTATGAGGCTCAGGTCACAACACTGAGTGTGAGAGATACAGCTTCTTTACTTTTCCCTGTTCAGGTTCATCTAATTTACCCTGGAATTTGTCTAAGGAGCTGATGAGGGAGCACTAGCCCAGGGGGTGTAGGTGGGCATGTTCATTCCTTGATGCCATCTCTCCACACTAGTACCCGCTAATTCCTTCCTCATTTGGGCTGGCTCTTGGTCAACAGTCGTTGTAGCCTTAGCTCCTTTACCTGAATTCTCATCTGCAAGGCTACCTCAGGTCCAGGGGCTCTCTGCTGCTTTCATACTGCAAAGGGATCATTTTGTGGCTTGTAAGGCATTTGAAGAATAGAAAACTTATGAGGCTAAGTCCCTATCTACCTAGAAATTCCACACTTTTTTTTTTTCCTTTTGGAGCTAGTCCTAGAAAATGAGTCACAGGTGTCCCCTGCTGTTGGATCCCACAAGCTTAACTGGGAATTGATTCCTTCTTAGGACTTGATCAGGAGTCTAGGTTGGGGACTTTATCCTTGCATCCTGCTGACTTTTACCTGCTTATCTGGCCCCCCCTGGTCCTCAGGAGGTCCTATTCTATTCTTGAGGGAACATAATTCTATTCTATTCATGATATGTCCTCCTTAATCTTCTATCTGTATCATTATCCCCTTTCCTTCCTCAAATTATGTACGCTTTTGCAGGAAAGGCAAAGATTGAGGATAGGAGAAGGAAATTCTGGGAGAAAACATTGGTAACTTTCTAAACATTAAGTTATCACACATTTACAGATCACTTAAAGCCAGACAGTATGTTCACCAATATTATGTCTCATTTTTGTCTCATAAAGTGGAGATCTTTAGCTTTTTTTTTTCCTTTTAAATAAGGGGAAACCTAAGCTCAGAGGGGTTAAGTAACTTGTCTGAAAAACAGTAAGCAGGAAAATTAAGATAGGAACCAGACTTTTCTGACTCCAGAGCCCAGAACCTGTTCCCTAGGACAATGGAATCCCCAGAGATTTAGATGTGACTGGCCTGGATACGGCCTGGGCACTGGGATATTTTTTTCAGTTCCCCAGATGATTCTGCCACAGCCCAAAACTGTGCTGCCCACAAAACAAGCACTGTTGCGAGGCTTCTTGCCCGATGCCATCCATTGCAGATGGATCTTTGGTTTTCATTCCTTTTCTCTGAAAGGTAACTGAGCTTCTGAGAAGAAACTGTGGCTGGAGGAAGCATGTATGTTGTTAGGATTTTGAGTCACAGAATATACTGTTTACCCCATAGCTTTTTGTGTGCCGAACAACTCCCAGATGTTCACAGGTTAGGATGAACTTCTAGTCGTCTTGGAATCCAATGGGGGAAGAAAACCTTCAGAGAGTACACGTTCAGATTTTGATATAAGTTCCTTAAACAGAGAAGATGAGGAGCAGTGCTCAGTGCTGTTGCTTGGGAAATTTATTTGAAAAAACTTTCTTTAGAATGTTTTTTGAGGGAGTTGAGGAGTAAAGGAGCTTTTTTTTTTTTTTTTTTTTCCGCTTCCAATGAAACTCATAAATGATCTTCTTCCAAAAAGACTAATTTCATAGTAGGCTGGAGAAGTCAGTAAAGGCCTTAAATAGTTTGAACTTCTTTAGTTTTCACTTAAAGGCCACACTCAATTGTAGCCCTTGTTGAAAGTTAAGCCGGGAAATGTCTCTGAGGAGAAATTCAAGCTTTCCTTCCAGCTTGGACAGGTCATGAATGGTGATTATCTGACTGTAATTCAAATCATATGTATGGCCGTTGTTTTTTGTCCTACTCAAGATTATTTTTCCCCTTTTAAATCGAGCAAAATAGTCATTGGCTTAAAGACAGACCTGTTCACATAAAGACACGGTGCTGGAAACGCAATGGTGTTCCAAGACCTCAAACTACAAACCAGATTTCTAAATCTCCAGCAAAGATAAGGCTCAGTCCAAATGCATTCATAATGCATTCATAATCTCCAATTCAGCCTTCCCCCGCTGACCCAAGAATGAATACATTTCAAAACACAAAACTAACATTGTCAGAAAAATACAAATGTGGACAAAAGACAGTGAAGCCCTTTATTTGTGTCCTGTGTCAGGGACTCACTTTATTTACAGATGGGCCTAATTATGCCTTTGTCTCTAAACTGCTGAATGAAGAATGGACAACCTATGTGTGTCTAGGAATATTTCCTGGCCTCTCGACTCTGGATGTCATTTTGGACAATGCAAGTGGATATTTGGTTTTACTCGTGTGAGTGTTTTCCATACTGGCAACAGAGCTTTACACCACATGAGGTGGTATGGCCAGGTAGGGAGGGCTTGTCACTGAGAGTCACCAAGTGGGGTGGAGCTTCTGCTGTGTCCCTTACTGGTAGTGAGCTTAGGATACCTACCAGTAAGGTATCACTTACTGGTAGGTATCCAGGGGACACTTGAGTACCACTTGGGTCTCAGTTTCCTTCTCTGTAAAATGGGAGACAATAATCCTTACCTCACAGGGTCATTGTGAGGCTCAGATGAGGTCACGTGTGGAATTAGCAGAGCATCAGAGAAACGCTGGCCATTGCTGTTATCAGGGGTCATTCGGAGGGTGCCGAGGACTGCAAAGGAAATAAAACATGCCTGGAAAAGCACTGAGTGAGGTGAGTGAGGTGAGTAAGTGCTCCGCAGGTGCGCGGCCACCAGGAAACCTGTCAATTACTTGCCCCTTCCACCCTTTCCTTTACATTGGACTTTAGCATTTTCCTCGGTTTTCAAAATTATTTTCACTGATACAGACCAGATTTCCTTAGAATCCTTAATGTCCTAACACTTTTAAGACCCTGTTCTAAAAATATATTTTGTATCCTGTGTTGCTACAGGCAATTATTTCTTTTCACTGGCTTGCTCATGTAGTATCAACTGGACTTTCTAGAACTTGTCTGTAGTTTGTCTGTAGTGGTATTTTGCATGCTCTAACTGCTGGTTCAGCCCAAGGCCCCACATAGCTTCTGCGCCATGTCTCTGTTTAGCGTGTTCATGTGAGATATGTCTATTTGGATGTGTGCTCATGCTCCTCACAGGTTTATATGGTTACATCAACAAGGCAGGAGCTGTAGCATGTCTTTTGGAGAGGGCCTTATGCCGCTGTATTTTATAATGAAATATAATGGTCCAGGGTCACTTTTTAAATTCACCTACATAGCAAAGTATTCTTCTGACAAACAAAATGACAACAGCAACAACTAAAGTATCATGAGGCACAATTCAAGAATGTTAGAGCTGCCTGATTTCTGAATTTTTAGGTTTATCGGTTAAAGAATCAGGCCAAATTTGGTTATGGTTATGGTTTTTGGAAATAGGAGGGAAGGGAATTGATGGAGGGGAAGATAAAGGGAAGCAAAGGAGTAGGTTTTAGAGGGCAGCCTTAGAAATTATAAAGAGCCCTGGATGAAACCCTGTGCTTTGGGAGGTCTGCCCTCCCTACCTCTTGGAGAGGGGGTCCCAAGCCTAGAGTCAGGTCACAGGCCAAGGCTCCTGTGGACAGAGCTGGGGCTCCCTGCAAGCCTGTCTGTCCGGGAGAGGGGTGACAGCTTTTGAACATGAGCTCTTCCTGATCTCGGTAGGTTCAGTTAAGGTTTTATACTCAGAGATTTCCCCGAGGTAAGCATCAAGTTTCTCCTCCCCTTTGGAATCTTGATGGAACCAGGAAGTCAGAGTCAGCAACAATGGGGTAGAAGAAATCTCTCTAGTCCTTCCTGGGACACTTTCCATTAATGTTTTGACAGTGTTAATGCAATGTCAATTTGGGCTAGAACCTTGGGCATGCTGCTTCTTGTGCAGTTTTGAGAATGAGAAGAGGCACAGGGGTTAAAGAACCAGATTTTACAGAAAAGTGCTTCCTTGGGAGGTGTTTTACCTATTTTGGGTCACTGGGACACCTTATAAGATATGTTTTGTTTTTTTTTTCAAGTGTGTTAAGACAGAAGCCTGGGTGTTTCCTAAATTCTTTAACTTATCCCTGGAAGAAAGCCTGTGTGTAATCTCTAGGATTTTCCAAAATGAATCCCAGTGCCCTTTGGATAAGCAGAGAACCAGGGAGTCAGCAGAATACATTTAGCCTTTAATTCCCCTGTTGTAGAGTCAGCAATAGCCATGCACAACCTTGGGGCCAGTTGTGAGGGTATTCAAAAAATCTAATTTAGCACCATGGATACATTCCAAAGAAAGAGTGAACATGCCTGGGTCGTGTTTGTTTTTACAAAGAGAGCCCTGATTTTGTTAAAGAATGACAACTGAGGCATCTGCAACCTCCAAGGAATATTTTTGTGCCTTGTTCCAAGCAAAAATTTCCAGCAAATTTTAATATAATTTGCCCCCCTCCCATCCCAAATGAGAAAAACCTGCTTCCAGGATGAGAAGTCAAGTTTCAGCAAAGAATAATCTCTTTTTGCAACTCAATTATGAGTAATTGAGAAGTGGTTTTTGCATTGCCAATGCTCAGTGCGCTGCCATGTAGGGAACATTAGGCTTGGGAGGGGGAGTGTGGTCCTCAAGTACCTGCAGCTGCATCCTCTTCTGGAGACAGCTCCACAGGCAACGTCTCTGCATGCAAATGTCGGCTGGCATTCTGGTGTGGCTTCTCATGCATGTAGGTATCAGGATCCCAGCCATCTGCCAGGAAGAGAAAGCTTTCAGTCTCTTGGAACAGATGGATGGAGTACTGTAATGCATCATTGCCATTTGCAACTGGGCTTTTGCACACACACTTAGGTAAACTCATATCTTCTCAATTGAAAACACTATCGATTGTGACCATGGAGGAAAATGGAGAGGAGAGTTTACTCATCTCTTCAAAGCTTGAAATGAGACTAGATAATGCTTTAAGTTGGGGTAAAGATGGGCCCCATTTTCTCTTACAATAAAGAGCACTTTTGACAGAGTTCTGAAAGCTATATTATACTAAGGATAGTTAATGCTGGCTACTGTTCTGAGCACTTGTGTGCCTAATATTCTTTACTCCTTTTAATTTTATTATCTTGATTGAGTCTCAGATAGGCTCAAGTTTCTGCAGCTAGTAAACTGAGTCAGGGTTTCAATCTGGGTCTCCACTAAAAGCATTTTGCTAAGTCTGAATATACATTGGTGAGATGAGTACTAAGCACCCCCAGACCATCAGTGGACCTTTGACACATCTGCTGATCTCTGAGTCCTTCTGTTTTATGAGGAGGATTGCTCAGGGTCAAACCTAGGAGTCCGTCTATTGGTAAGATGCATATCCACAGAGGAGGCTTCCGAGACTTCTCGTTTCCATTTGGACCTTTAAGTGAGTCTGGATTTTCTTGGCTTCACTTGACACAGGTCCATTATCCAAACCCAGCACACCAGATTAGCCCAGTAGAACCAGGGCAGGTTACGCTTAACCAAGGCTGTGTTGGTTGACATGGGCTTCTCCAGTAGAAAAGTCACAACCTGGAAAATATGCTCCTTTGTGCCATGTTTTCTTTTCCCCATTTCCAACGTTTGAATCATTTATTAAAGAAAGGAGCTGTTCTTTCCCTTGTTTTCCTAGGACATTATGTTCTTAAAAAATACAAAACAATGCAAAAGCCAAGATACTGGGCCCAGACCTGGTCACCCACAGGCTAGCCCAGATAGAAGCCTGTGGTTCCCTCTTCACCAGATGCCAAGTGTCCCAAATGTCATATGCATAGAGTACACGAGAAAGAAATTTCCCACCTGAATTAACTGAGATGCAGTAACTTGGATTAATGAATGACATGAAATTTGTTGAGTGACTATGTAAACAATCCATGCATGTAACACACATTCAAAACATTTAAAAGAGCACTGAGTGAAAAGAGTCCCTCAAAGTCTAGTAAACTGCCTCATTGGAGGCACACCAATGTGAAGGGTATTATTTTTCTATTTTTAAAAAATTCTTAAGTATTATTAATCAGTCTTGTTTTCAGTTATACTGAAGTAATTGGGATTAAACTCTTTGTAGAATCATCATCTAGGATTAACATTTGCTGTGGGATGTTGAGATGGTATGCTAACCTCCAGCCAAAGATCTCCAGGCACTTCACGTCTATTGACATTTTTTGAACACCTACTATGTTCCAGGCTCTGTGACCAAGCAGCCAACTTGGGTCGTCAATGAAGTCGAACAGGTGTCAATTCGTTTTTGGAAAATTGAGCAATTGGCAAAAATTCCACTTGGAAGGCAGACAAATTTGTTTGGAAGAATGGATGAATAAAAAGCCAAGAAAACTCTGAAAAGAAAGTGCAATAAGAAAAAAAAGTCCCACCAGACATCCAAACATACTGGAAAACCTCTGTTATCAAAACAGGTTATACTGGCATGTGAATAGGCAGACTGACAAAGCAAAGTAGAAGACCCAGAAATAGCCCCACTTGCACGTGGAGACTTGTAGATGAGAAAGGTGGCATCGCAAATTGGTGGGAGAATGAACTTCTCTGCAAGGGGTGTTGGGATAAGTAGATAGCAACTGGAAAAAAAACAAAATCGGACCTGTTTCTCCATATACTGGGTTAAATTCCAAGTAGACAAGAGATTTAAATATAAAAACTGAAACTGTAAAAATAAGAAAATATTGGCAAATGGCTTTCTATCCTTGGAGATTGTGAAGCTTTCTGAATTACGGCTCAAATCCAGACATGGTAAGGGAAAAGATTGAAAAATTTGGTTGTATTGAAATAAAAAAAACTTCGTGTGACAAAAAAATCAACAACAACAAAAAAATAAAAACCACCATGAGTAAGATAAGACAAATGACAAACTAGGAAAAATAATATTCACAGCTTATATTAGAGACAAATTATTAATAGCCCTAATGTATTTGAAAAAGCTCCTTAAAATGGAGGAGAAAAACTACAACAATTCTGTAGAAAAATATACTAAGGATAGTATATTTATTGATGTTCAAATATTTGCCCCCTTAGGGCAAATCTTTCTGTAGAAAAATGGGTTAGAAATATAAGCAAATAATTGACAGAAAAAGAAATCCAAATATCTCTCTGTCGCTCTCTTTTTTTTTTTTTTTTTTTTTTTTTTTGAGATGGAGTCTCACTCTGTCACCCAGCCTAGAGTGCAATGGTGCGATCTTGGCTCACTGCAACCTCCACCTCCCAGGTTCAAGCAATTCTCCTGCCTCAGCCTCCCGAGTAGCTGGGCTTACAGGCACCCACCACCATGCCCAGCTAATTTTTGTATTTTTAGTAGAGATGGGCTTTCACCATGTTGGTCAGGCTGGTCTCGAATTCCTGACCTCAAGTGATTTGCCTGCCTCGGCCTCCCAAGGTGCTGGGATTACAGGTGTGAGCCACCATGCCCGGCCATCTCTCTTAACAGTATGAAAAGATAATCAACTTCATTAATAATAAGATAAATGTAAAATAAAAACTATACCAACGTACCATTTCTCACCTATCGGATGTCAAAACCCCAAAGGTTGACAACATGCTGTATTGGCAGACCTATGGGGAAACAGGCCCTCTCATTCAATTCTGGGAGGAATATGAAATGGGACAATCCCAGGGAGGAGACTGGCACTATCTAGCAAAACCACATGGGCATTTAGCCTATGACCCAGCAATGCCACTTCTAGGAATCGCCAAGATACCTTGGCAAAAATATGAAAAGACAGATACACAGGCTATTCATCACAGCACTTTTTATAAGAGCAGATGACTGAAAACAACCCAAATGTCCACCAGTAAGGAACAGGTTAAATAAACTATAGGACAGCTACATGATTGAGTATGTACTATGCAGCTATGAAAAGAAATGAGGATGAACCCTGTGATAGCTGTGGAGTGACTTCCAAGGCATGTTAAGTGAATCCAAGGCAGAAAAAAGAATAGTCTGCTGTTATTTATCAAAGAAAGGGAATATATATGTGTGTGTATCTGTGTGTATGATTATATATACATACATATAGGCACACATATATAATCATGTATATAATCACATATATGATATATATATTATGTACACACATAAATATATAATCACATATATGATTTGCTTGTATTAAAAAGGAAGAATAAAATGTATTTTTAAAATAAGTTATTTTTGAGGAAAAAAGGAATAGTGTGGAGAGTTCAGAGATGAAAGCTAGCCTTGTTACTTACATTTTGAGTTTCAAATTTGGTTTTGGAATCATACAAATGTTTTACATAATTGTGAAACCAAATTATAACACTAAAATTTAAAAAGCTAGTCTCTAAAAGCTGATGATAAAATGAAACAAATGAACCTAACTCTGGATTGAGCTGATGGCATAAGCAGAGACAGGAACTGCTCCAAGTGACTTTTAAATAAGATAACTTGACAGCATGTCCCTGGTGAGTATATACCCTAAGGATAAAAAGAACTTAAAAAAAAATTAAACTATTTTTAGTAATCATATTTTGGTGCTAATGCTTATATTATTATTCTGCTATTGTTCTAAGTATGGTGTGGGATAAAGCAAATGAATAATTATATTGGTGTCACTGAAAAATGGGATTTTTGTGGATGCAGATTAAGATCAAGGAATTTAGGTAAAATCTTACAGTCTTGATTTTGAATGAGGAGTATCAGTATGAACTTGATAGATTTTTCTCAAGGTCTGTCCGCTTAAAAGGCCTGGAAAGAATGACCAAACCAGTAGCAATGGGAACACCTATCACCCAGATTGTGGTTCTATTGGACAGAACCAAAGCTTCTTGGCAAGATGGAGGATTCCAGGTCTGGGAGGAAATAAACAAGGTGAGCCTGGAGCAATTGTCATAACTGAAAGCCAAAAAACTATCAAAGACTAGAAGAAACATGTCAAAAAGACTCAGGAGACAACTTGCAAAACCTCCCTCAGGGCAAATATTTCAACATCAATAAAGATAAAAACTAAGAGGGATTGAAACACATCGAATATGTTTTAATCCATGAGTTCCAAATGGTGCTAGGAAAATCATGGGTCACTCTTGCAGAATGCTAGGGTACAACTCATTAGTTTGAAAATTGGTAAATGAAAGAAAGAGGAAAGCTTATCTTGTTTCTATAAGAACCCTACCTTAGGAAACAAAGGAGCTGGTGAGAGGAGTTTCTCTTCAGAAATGTGTAATAGGTCACGAAGAGGAATGATGACAATAATGAAGCCAGCAAGAATACGTCCTCAGCTTCAGAGGTTCCTACCTGGGAGACAGAGTGGAGAAGAGAGGGTCCTTTTGCAGACCTTAATGAATTAATGGATCTAGGCAGTGATCATCAATGGCTGCAAACATCACAAACAGAGAAGCAACCTGACTGATGGAAGAACACAGCTCTACTCATGAGGTGGTCTTACAAAGCAATCAGACTTGAATCTGATCCAGAGCCTAGATCCAACTGCCAACTACGGGAAGTACAGGGTCCAGAGGAACAGGTTAATTCCTCAGGGATGGAATCAGCGAAGTGCAGACTATGGGAAATTCTACACGATAAGTGACCCAGTTTCTTCAACAAAAAAAGTTACGAAGATATAAAAAAGAGAGATAAGGAGGAGCATATATATTTTAAAAAGCCTTTACAGACTACCGACCAATTTAGTCTCATTGTATGGACCTAATTTGAAACCACCTTTGAACAAACAATTTAAAAATGTTTGAGATAATCAAGGAAATGTGAACACTGGAATATGGTCTAGATACTTGGCAATATTAAGATACTAATGAATTGTTAATTCTTAACCATATAAGAATTAGGTGTGGTAGTATTATTGAGGTATTTTTTAGTATCCTTATATTGTAGATATACATATTGGGATATTTATAGATAAATTGCTATATCTATATTTATAGATCTATAATTATATCTATAGATATATAAAAATATATATATTTATAAATTTATATCTATATTTATCTATAAATATCTATAAATATCTATATTTATCTATAATATCTATATATAAATATATATGAATATATAGATATTATCGATAATATCTATATATAAATATATAGATATTATCGATAATATCTATATATAAATATATAGATATTATCTATAAATCTATATAAAATATATATAAATATATAGATATTATCTATAAATCTATATAAAATATATATAAATATATAGATATTATCGATAATATCTATATATAAATATATATAAATATATAGATATTATCGATAATATCTATATAAAAATATATATAGAGAGATATTATCGATAATATCTATATATAAATATATATAAATATATAGATATTATCGATATCTATATATAAATATGTAGATATTATCTATATATAAATATGTAGATATTATCGATAATATCTACATATAAATATATAGATATTTATAGATAAATTGTTGTGCAGAATCCTTTTGCTGTTGTTGTTTTAGAGATAGAGTTTGCCCTTCAGGATGGAGTTCAGTGGTGTGATCATAGCTCACTGCATTCTTGACCTCCTGGGCTCAAGCGATCCTCCTGCTTCAGCCTCCTGGGTGGCTGGGACTACAGGCACATGCCACCATGCCCAGCTAATTTTTTAAAATTTTATTTTATTTATTTATTAGAGACAGGGTCTTACTATGTTGCCCAAACTGGTCTCAAACTCCTGGCCTGAAGTGATCCTTCTACCTCAGCCTACCAAGTAGCTGAGATTAGAGGCTTGAGCCACTGCACCTGGCTTATAGATGAATTGATATAATATCTGTGATTTACTTCAAAATATGAGTAGGGGAGAGAGCTATGTGGAGTATAGGTAAACAGGATTGGCTGTAAATTGATAATTTCTGAAGCTTGATACAGTACCTCCACGTTCACTAAGCTACTCTTCCTATTTTTGTAGACATTTAAATCTTCCATAATAAAAAGTTAAAAGTAGAGGGTAGGTTTTATCCAAGTATAATTCATCATCATCAAAAATACATTTGGACTTTCAAATTTCCTTGAAGGATAGCTGAACTTTGACTTAAAAAATATATATTCAAGGCTGGGTGCTGTGGCTCACATGTGCAATCCCAGCACTTTGGGAGGCTGAGGAGGATGGATCACTTTAGGTCAGGAGTTCAAGACCAGCCTGGACAACATGGCGAAACCTCGTCTCTACTAGAAATACAAAAATTAGCTGGGCGTGGTGGCAGGCACCTGTAATCCCAGCTACTTGGGAGGCTGAGGCAGGAGAATCACTTGAACACAGTAAGTGGAGGTTGCAGGGAACCGAGATTGCACCACTGCACTCCAGCCTGGGTGACAGAGCAAGACTCCGTCTCAAAAAAAAAAAAAAAAAAAAAGTTGTGTGTGTAAGTGTGTATATATATATATATTCAGGTATCTATAGTACAGCTCACCTTATTATCATCATAATTGTTTAAAAAAGTGAAATAAACACAACTTATCTGGGAGTTGATCCTGAAAGGGTGATTCTAGCAGATTTTGAAATTTACTTTTCATAAAAACTTCGAGTTGTCACTGATGAAAAGAGGCATCTAATCAACCATCTAAAAGATCCAGCTGTGACCATTAGAACCTCTCCCTTTTTCCTCCCCTTACCCCATCTGTTTTAGTTTTTGTGGGGAAGTATTATTCTTTTTATTTACAAATGGCCATAGATAAGATTGTAATAATTGTCAGTATCACAGTCTTGGGGGATGCACAGAATAATAATTTTAGCGATAGAATGCATCTTAGTGATTCCTAGGTTGAACTCATTTTAAAATTGAGGTTTAGGCTGGGTGCGGTGGCTCACACCTATAATCCCAGCTCTTTGGGAGGCCAAGGCAGGTGGATCACTTGAGGTCAAGAGTTCAAGACCAGTCTGGCCAATACGGCAAAACCCTGTCTTTACTAAAAATACAAAAATTAGCCGGGTATGGTGGTGCATGCCTGTCATTCCAGCTATTCTGGTGGATGAGGATTGAGAATCGCTTGAACCTGAGAAGTGGAGGATGCAGTAAGCCGAGATCATGCCACTGCACTCCAGTCTGGATGACAGAGTGAGACTTTGTCTCAGAAAAAAAAAAAAAAGATAAAATAAAATGGAGATTTACACATCAATTTCATCATCCTATACATAGAAGTGTGCATTATTTGTGGTAAACGGCCTAGAATTGTGACTTTTTAAAGCTGGTTGTTGTGGGGTTTGAATAGCCAAGTCCTGCCTGGCTTTCTTGGCAACTCCAAAGGCCAAGGTTGCCATGGGAGGTGGGAAGTGACAGTTTTCCCATGGAGGGGCTCCAATTATGGCCCCACCTGCAGTGTCTGATGCTGTCCTCATTGGCCTGGACCCTCAGATGGACTGTTGGGCGGGAGAGCTGACTCATATCATAAACTCCGTCAGGAAGGTGTTATGATGACAAGCTCAAGAGTGGAACATAAACTTTCAAATTCGCCTGCACAGTCTGAGGCTTTTACATAACATGGTTATTTAATTTTCATCAGTGATTTCCTGACCTACTTTACACTTTAAAGATAATAGTTTCAGAAACTACGGTGGTGGACGCCTATAATCCCAGCTACTCTGGAGGCTGAGGCAGGAGAATTGCTTGAACCCAGGAGACGGAGATTGCAGTGAGCTGACACGGTGCCACTGTACTCCAGCCTTAGCGACAGAGTGAGACTCTGTCTCAAAAAAAAAAATAAAAAAAAAGAAACTACATAAACCACCTGGGCTGTTACCAGCGATGGAAGGTTATTTGATGCTAAGGTGTTTTTCTGTTCATTTGCCAAACAAAGATTGATCAGCTGTTTACAAAACAATGAACTAAGTGCTGTGGGAAATGTATAAAAATAAAGTCTGTGATCTTAATGTGGTCGGCATTTAGTAGGAGGACTAAAGCAAGACAGCACTTTTAAATTTGTTTTCTAACTAAGTGTGGTTCAGAGAAAAGGATATGATATGTCAGATGAATTGATTTTCACAATTTCTGGTCTCAGTTGGGACAGATCGAGGGAGGATTCTAAGAAATGTGTTGGTAGGCAATTTGTGTGACCATCATAGAGTGTGCTTACACAAACTTAGATGGCATAGCCTACTATACACCTGGGCTACGTGGTAGAGCCTGTTACTCCTAGACTAGAAACCTGTACAGCATGTTACTGTACTAAATACTGTAGGCAATTGTAACACAATGGTGAGTATTTCTGTATCTAAACAGATCTAAACTTAGAAAAAGCACAGTAAAAATAACCATATTGTCATCTTAGGGGACCACCATTGTATAAATATATTTTGGTCCATTGTTGACCAAAATACAGTTGTGTGATCCGTGACTGTGTTTGAGATGGGCTTTGAAAGTCGGCAGGATTTGGGTGACTGAGTCGGAGTGTGTGTGTGTGTGTATGTTGGAGTGTGTGTGTCTGTGTATGTGCACACTCATGCGTGGGTACCTGCTTACGTGCAGTCGTCTGGGTGAGAGAGGGATGGGTCTGGGAGCGGTGTTTCTGGTGAGAACCAGCGTAAACAGAGGCCGGAAGTGGGAAACTGGGGCCAGTGTCTAGAGAAGAGAGAAAAGTTTGTTTGCACCTGGCTGTATCCATCCTTTGGATTTTTGAAACATTGTACCTGTCTACCAGGCCTGCACCATTTTTTCAAAAGAACTCACTAATTATTCATACCATAATGGAAAGTTTCCTTCAGGGTGTTCATGAGAATAACTTCTTCCAATTCTATAGTGATAGATAGTGAAATAATTAGATTGCAAGTGGGCGTGAAATATAATTTGTTTTTTTGAGTGTCTTGGCTGTTGGCTTCATTTTAGTGGTTATTATCAATTATAAATAATAATAATAATTATAATTATTATTTGAGACAGAGTCGTGCTCCGTCGCCCAGGCTGGAGTGCAGTGGCATGATCTCAGCTCACTGCAACTTCTGCCTCCTGGGTTCAAGCAATTCTCCTGCCTCAGCCTCCCAAGTAGTTGGGATTACAGGTGCCCGCCACCACACTTAACTAATTCTTGTGTGTGTGTGTGTGTGTGTGTGTGTGTGTGTGTGTGTGGTTAGTAGAGATGGGGTTTCACCATGTTGGCTGGCCTAAGGTGACCTAAGGTGATCCACCTGCCTTGGTCTCCCAAAGTGTTGGGATTACAGGTGTGAGTCACCATGCCCGGCCTAGGGGTGATTATTTTTTTTTAAAAAAAATTTATTTTAGGAGCTTAGAAAATGAATCTGTATTGAACTGATTTAATTACAAAGTATTTATTTACTTTACAAAAGAGATGCCTAAAGAAGATTCCTATAAATAGCCAGTTTCCCTCATTGTGTTTACAATATAGTTTCTTTTGCTAAAATTTGGTTTACACTAAATTTTCAGGTCCAAGTGCATGGAGTAAGGCACACTGTATGAGCAGCATGGAAATTAACAATACATTTTTTGTCTCCATTAATTTTTATGTTATACATTAACATGAGAGGGTCATTGTTCATGGTTGGGGAGCACATGCCAATCCCTTGGGAAAGGAAATGGTACAACTTCTATTTGCATTTGTTTTTATGAGAAAAAATAATCTTACTGATATTTAACATATGGGTTGATGGTAGTACATGTATATAATTTTAAAGTAAATATACATGTATCGGGGTTGTGTGTTCATAAGGTTGTTTTTGGCTGGCTTGTGTTTTGACTGATAAGCACCTGGGGAGTTATATTAATATATTTTGAACATCAGCCTCGGGTGTGGGCCAGCTTCAGCTTCTCGTCTTTAGATGAAGAGTTATGGGAGCCATTTAAGGATTTTAAGCAGCAGAGTGCTTGATCAGAGGTGCATTTTATTTTTATTTTTACGTTTTAAAATTTCAGATTCAGGGAGTACCTATGCAGGTTTGTTACATGGGTATTACATGATGCTGAGGTTTGGGCTTCTAATGACCCCATCACCCAGGTAGTGAACATAGCACCCAATAGGTAGTTTTTCAACCCTTGTCCCCTCCCTCCTTCCACCTTTTGGAATCCCCAGTGTTTATTGTTCCTGTCAGAGGTGGCATTTTAAAAAGATTACTTAGGTTACTGTGTGCAAGAAAGGAAGGCCAGTTAGGAGATGAGACCAGTACTCCAGGGACTCTACAATCATGAGAGAAAGTTGGGGCCACAGGTGGCAGAAGCTATGTTGACCTACTGGTGCTATCAGCTTGAGATCACATTTGGTACAATTGTTTTTCTTAACTATTTTCTGTGTTACATTTGCCCTGGGGCTTTATGGCATGTATCTGATTATCCAGCACTGTAAAGGGATGAGTGTTGAGATTAATGAAGACTTGCCTTAAATCAGTTTCTTTTCTGAGAATTCGAGTAGAGAGAAATCCGTCTAACAGTGAAATTTTACTTGTTTGCTGAAAGCAGAGGCTTGTGGAGCCCTTGTACGATGACTCCAGCTGAGACTCTGGCAAGTGTTGATTGAGCAGAGAACTTCCCTGACCACCCCACGAGAAAAAGCTCCCACCCTCCACACAGACATACAGGCTTTTGCTCTTACATCATCGCACTTGTCGCTGTCTGAAATGACTACGGATTTGTTTTCTTGCTTACCATGGGTCTTTCTTGCTTGGATGTAAGGGCAGAGACCATCAATCTCCAGCCCTGGAATAGAATCTGACATGTAGGAGGTACTCCATTTTTTTAAATGCTCGAATCTGGACTTGCCCACGAACAAACATCAATTATCCTCATATGGAGCATTGTGAGGGGACCTGCTGGTTAGATGGCAGAGTTTAGCATTCATGCCCCAGGCCCTGGAAAGTTTTGTGGAGCTTCTCATTTGCCAAAAAACTGTCATTTTTACAAATATTTTTCTGATCACGGAAGAAGAACAAAAGAGGAAATGAGAAATAGATGTGTGGTGCCCAGATGGCCACTGCTCTGAGCACAAGCAAGAGGCTGTCATGGCCCCTAGACAGGCTCAGTAAGGGCTGGAGGGGCAGCCTGTTAGTCAGGAAAGCTACAAGGAGGAAAGAGGTGGTTCTGGTTTTTTGATCATGCACCAATTATGCTTTTTGCTTCTAGTTGGTTTTTATTTAATTTTTTTTCTTTAGGGATAATTTGAGGACCAAGCACATAGCCTTTTTCTGTCCCTTCCCCATCTCCCTTCCCTTCCCCTCCCCTCCCTTCCCCTCCCTTCCCCTCCCTTCCCCTCCCTTCCCCTCCCTTCCCCTCCCTTCCCCTCCCTTCCCCTCCCTTCCCCTTCCCTTCCCTTTCCCCTTCCCCTTCTCCCTTCCCTTCCCCTTCTCCCTTCCCTTCCCCTTCTCCCTTCCCTTCCCCTTCTGCCTTCCCTTCCCCTTCTTCCTTCCCCTCCCTTCCCCCTAGTTCTATTCCCTCCTTCCTTTCCTTCCTCTTTCTTTCTCTTTTTTCCTTCTTTAGATAGAATGTTTTATTAATTTAGGTGGATTTTGGGTTAATAATTAAAATAATAAAATGTCTAAGATTTGTTGAGCTCTTAACACGAGCCAGGTGTTATTGTGCTACACACTTTAAAGAGGCTCAGCTCATTGAAAGCTAACAATAACTCCCTGTGTATTGCTACCATTAGCTCCATCTTACAGATGAGGAAACAGAGATTTTTAGAAGGTTCAAGTAAATGTGCTCAGTTGCACACAGCTGAGAAATCATAGGTCTGAGAATTAAACTCCGGTGAGCTCTCTCTAGAGTTCACAGACAAAACTAATACACTACACTACTTCCTCCTGTAATGTTATTTAACTTTCTCTTTCCTAGAGAAAGACATTGCTGCAGCACACTAAAACAAAATTTTAACATAGTCATCACACTATTCAGTGTACTAGCTACTGGCAGCTTCACGAGGACTCTGAGTTCTTGGAGAAAAGGGATTGTGCTGTGTCCATTGTTATGTCCTTAGTGACTCCAATATGATATGTACTTAATAAATATCTACTCAATGAAAAGTGAATGACCTCGTTTTTCTTTTCTCCCAGTCCTCATATCATAGGCAGTAGTAGCAGAAAGGATTTGAAATTTATTTTGGCTTTTAGGCAATGTCAAAGCTCCAAAGTGCATGGCAATATGTCTGCACTGTCTCCAAAAGCTACTTCAGGATCCTGCTGCATCTTTGGGTGCGTCTTAATAAAACGTTTTCAGAAGAGTAGTTCAAAAGGCACTTGCCAACAGGACCAAATTCTACTCTATGGTTAAAAGCATGAAAAGCAAGCCCCAATGAAACAACAAAGATTTTACTCGTTTTCATTGCAAGTGGCTTTTCCTGCTTGTTCTTCTTTCACCATCCCACCATTTGACCTCAAACTGGGGCATAAAAGCTGGTGGACATGGGCCATGGGGCATACATCCATAGCTGAGACTTGGCTCAGCTGACAGGTTCTAGTCAGCCATTGCTGCTGGATTTACCCTATAGGACAGAACAGTAGGGGTATCTACAGACCTCCTGCATCAAGATTGGTGGTGATACCTGCTTTTTAGTCTGAGCTCTTTATCTGGGATCCTACAAGCAGTGATTGGGCCCTGATGTGTCTGCTCATTAATTCTTTAATTTCTTAACTCATTCAATAGCTATTTTTACAGAGTGGTTGGATGGGTTAAAAACTATGTTAAGGAACTAATTGTGACATAGGACTTCTCCTAGGCCTCACTGCAACATGCAGCCAGTGTATTCCACCAGGATCCGATCTTTGGGACATCCATGTGGCAGAGAGCATTGGGCAAGAGAGATCCTGTTACAGCCCAAGAAATCTCGAGGGATAAAGATCCTAACATGGTGACAAAGGGTGCAAGCAATTGGATCCAAGGCACAATTTACATTGCATTATCAAGGGGAAGGGTTACATATTGGTTAAAAAAGAAAACCACTCCTCAATTACTTTTGGAACTGCTGCAGCATAGAGTGAAGAATAGTTGCTGGAGCAAGAATTAGAAAACTAGTCTTGACTCTGCCACTGACTTACGTTTTATGCCTTGTGCCTAGTAGACACTCAATAGACATTTGTTGAGTATTAAGGAAAAGCTTGGGCAAGGTACTTAACTTCTCTGGCTCTCATTTTCTGTAAAGAGTAAATGATTTTTAAATCGCATGATTTCAAAAGTCCATTGCAACATTAACAGTCTGTGACTGATTATAGGAAGACACATGGAGGAGAGAAGTATCATAGATGATATCTGGCAACAAAGGCATTCTTTTAATCAACAACTTTATAAGTGGTTGGATTAAAGGTGACTGAGGACTTTCAGAAACACCAAAATTCCCAGCAAAGATTCAAGGGTTGCCATGGCCAGAAGTTGGCTGTATTAATTTAGCCCAGTATGAGAAGCAGAAGTTCATAGCTCAGAGTGAGGATTAGACTCTGAGTTTAAATCCTGCCCTGCCACTTATTACTATGCCCTTGGGTAAGTGTCTTCCCGTAAGCCTCAGTTTATGTGACGTGGTGATAGCAACACACCTTTCCTCATACCGTCACTGGAAGTGTTGAGTGAAAATGGTGAAAAACACTTGGCACAGTGCCAAGCATGGAGTGGAGGCCAAGCACATGTTTGGGGGAACAGACAAAAACATATTTACTCTGTACCCAAAGTTTTCCAGAAGGCTTAGCCAAACAATTCAAGCCATAGTGCTCTAGAGTTCTCCAGCTATTCAAGAATGGGGAAGAATGCCTCAAAGTATCTTTTGTGAGGAATATGCATTAAGAATACCTGCATTCATTTGTTCTGACTCCACAGTTATCAAATTATAGTGTGGATTTTCTTGTTTCCGTGAGGGAATGCACTGACCTGCTGATGTGGCCATTCCAGTCTGCTAAGAGTTTGCCATTTCTCATTACAAACCCATGGATTGGCATCCTGGTTATTTATCAGTCTTTTGGGAGTTTAGCAAGAAAGAGCTTATTACACAGGATTTGCCTTACTCTGGGAAGGAACCAGACCTGCTGAAATGAAGTTCCTGGAGCAGCAAAGTAGGTGGGGGCACATTGTGGACTGAGGTCCTAACCCCGTTGGGATTGCCTGAAGGATACTCGTCTCTACTGGAAGACACTTGGACTAGGTGTGAGCCCTTTCACCCTCTACCTGCCTTTCCTAAAGCGAAGGGTGCCCCACTGAGGCCGCTTGAGTTATAAAGGCCCTAATAAACACAGCCTAGGTGTTGGGTCTTGTCACCACTGGCTCCAGCCTTCCAAATGCAAACTTAAGAATGTCCCATAAATGGAGCAGGAACTCTTATCTTGGACCATAGTTATAATCTCCTTGTATCAACTCTGTCAACTGGTTCTAAGCCAAAATAATTGCATTTTACTATAATTATGTAATGAATACAGAAAACACATGAAATATTAAGCAAGATTGTAAACTTAGGAAGGATTGCAAATTCTGGGGCAATGATTTGGAAGGCACTACTTGAAGTTCTCGCTCACATCCCTCATTTTATTTAATCCTCACAAGTCTGCCAGGAGGATTTTAAAGGAAAATATCCTCATTTTATAAACAAGGGATCTGAAGCTCAAAAAGGTTGGGAAATGCTCCCAAACTCTTTTTCTTATTAAAGGGCAGAACTGAAGGTCAGTCTCAGGTCTTCAACGTCAAGCTTGGCTCTCTTTGTCTTTGCACTATACTGTTGAGGCTCTCCTGTACAAGTGTGTTTTGAAATATGCTGGAGGCATGTTTGTGAGTTTTATGAAAGTGTCAGAGAAAGAATTAAGAAGATCCTTTTTGCTTCCATAAAAAGAGAGTGGAAGTAGAGTAGGCTGTAGTGGGGTAGTCAGGAAAAGGCACAATATGTCTTTTAGCATGTCCTCAGCAAGGTTGAGTTTATTGTAGTACCCAATATTGTGAGATGCCTTAAGGTTCATAAATGTCCTTCTCGTTTTGCTTAGTTCTTCAGGAAAAATTCATTCAGAAGGCAAATTAAAGAAGGCTTAACACATTCTTGCACATTGATTTTTATTACTTTTATGGGTTAGTATGAAACAGCAAATTGCCACTGTAGCTCCTCTTACACACCCTTCTCAATTAGCAGGTGACAACCCTATTCCAAGACAAGTTTCCAATTTCACCCACAAGAATCCTGCAAGCACACATTCTACAATAGCATGGTTTCATGTTTCATAAAACCAGTGATACACTCATGGTAGAACTGGTATGGGTTTACACACTAATTTCCCCTCCCACCCCTACTAATTGTGAAAATATGAATACATTTCAAATCGGGTGCTACCTCTACCAATGCAGACATGCACACCTGTGACCAGTACCGGTTCAAGGCTGGGCTATTCAAGCCCCATGTTTATCATTCCAGTCCCACAGATCGAGTGGATGGCAGGTGAGAGGAAGACGCGTCACACACGCTGGGAGAAGCCCGATAAGGACACCGCAACTGCCAGCCCCTGTGTGTATTCAGCACTGTCCATTGTAATTATGGGAGCGGATTCCAAATGCAAGCTTGGATCCAACAAACTGTGTAGGTGCAATTAAGGAAGTGTTAGCTCTCCAAACTCTGGTGTTGGCCTCTGGAGCCCTTGCTTGCCAGGATGGAATTTACAAAAAAATAGAGCACCTGCATATAATATAGCACAGTACAGCCTTTGCTCTGGGTTAGAAAAACCCCAGTAGGGAGTTGAATATTCTAGATTTGCTGGTGAGCAATGCATGTGGTCAGTGCTCTGGAAAACAGGCAGTTTTTTATGAGCGATCATTTTTTCCTCAGAAAAATTCCTGGAGGAGTGTTCTGCACCCGCAGGTCCCTCTGTGCCACTGCAAGGGTGTTTCACTGCTGTTGTGCGTAGAAGCCATGTATAGCTCGTCTTCTGGCTGGATCCTCGGGTGTCTCTATGTACTCCCCCTGATTCAAGTCAAGACTGTGCTTCTGTGGCAGACTGATCAATATTTAATGCATATTGAAGACTTGAAGGGAAGGTTTCTTGTCCTGTGGGCACAGAGCTGAATAATCTTCACTAACCATGATTTTTTTTTTTTTTTTTTTTGAGACAGAGTGTCACCCTGTCACCCAGGCTGGAGTGCAGTGCGATCTTGGTTCACTGTAACCTCCACCTCTTGGGTTCAGGCGATTCTCCTGCCTCAGCCTCCCTAGTAGCTGGGGTTACAGGTGCCTGCCACCACACCTGGCTAATTTTTGCATTTTTAGTAGAGACAGGATTTCGCCATGTTGGCCAGGCTGGTCCCAAACTCCTGACCTCAAGTGATCCGCCTGCCTTGGCCTCCCAAAGTGCTGGGATTACAGACATGAGCCACTGCGCCTGGCCCCATGTTTTCTTTTTGGTACTTCATCTGCATTTGTTTATTGAACCAATCAATATTTACTGAGCACTTGCTGTATGCAACAAGAAAAATAATAACAATAACAATAATCACAATAGTACAAAACTGTCCTGATCTTTAAATGCTTCCAATATTTCTGGAAGAGTGCTAAGTGCTGGACACACATTATGTCATTTAATTCATGTAGCAAAATGCTAATCTCCATTTCATAGACAAGGAAAGTGATGGTGAAGTGCAACCTTGGATGATATAGGAGCTACGCAACCAATTTAGACACAGATGTTGCCTTCAGGGAGACTCTTATTCCTCAAGTCTTTATTGAGCACCTATTATGTTCCAAGTGCTTGTCCAGTTACTGGAGGTACAGGGACTCCTATGAGACAACAAAGTCCCTGACCTCAAGGAATTTCCCTTTTAAGAGAATATGAAATGTGCAAAAGCAATCTGTTTCAGTCAGCTCAGGCTGCTATAACAAAATACTATTGGCTTGGGGCTTACACAAGGAAGATTTATTTCTCATAGTTCTGGAAGCTGGGAAATCCCACCATCTGGTTGTCAGTTGATTCAGTGCCTGGTAAGGGCTCTCTCCCTGGCTTGCAGATGGCTGCCTCCTTGCTGCATCCTCACATGGTGGAGAGAAAGAGCTCTGGTCCCTTCCTCTTCCTGTAAGGATACTAATCCCATCATGGGGTTCCTACCCTCATGACCTCATCTAAACCGACAGTAGGGAAGGCCAAATTTGACCTCTTTCCTCTTAGCATTTTTGGCTGGTCCTGAGAATTAAATTGAGAAAAATACAATTAACAGGAAAAAAGCATATATATTTATTTAAGTTTTATGTGACTCAGCCCTCATAAGGAACTGACAACCCAAAGAAGCAGTTAGAATTAAATACTTACATACTGAACTGGACAAAGAGTAGCAAATTATGGAAACATTACAGGACCAAGAGGCTTGGGCTAGGGCAGTTAATGGTGGAAAATTAACTCGGAGGGGTTATTTGCATAAGATTTGTACAGATTTCCTTCTGGTATAGGGAGGACATTTTTTCCCATGAGAGTTTTATCTTCTACTTTTAGGTAGAAAAAGGGGGAGGCCAGAGTGCCACGCTTCTTGCGTCTGCTGTTTTCTTAAGTGAATTTAGCTCAAAATAATCCTTTTACCAAGTGGCAGCATATTCTTGCACCCTTCACTGCTTATCTCCCAAAGTTCCCACCTCCTAATGCCATCATGCTGGGATTGGGCTTCAACATTTCAATTTTGAGCAGGACTCAGATATTCAATCCGTAAAACAATTCTGTTAAATGACTCTAAACCTAGTCATCTTGCATGCAAACCACATCTCAAACCGCATTTGTCAAAAATGGTATGCGTAATTCAGATGCCTGACTGTCTCCTGAGAGTAGTTTGGTAACTCTCCAGACCCTTCCCTCCTGCCCCTGTCTGTTGACTTTCTGTCCAGCCACTTTGAGATCCTAAATTTAGATCATTGTTACTTTCTTTCATTAATGCATTTTAAATTTTAGAGTATAACACTTACACATCTTTCGGTAAAGGTATTCCTAAGTATTTTATTCTTTCAGATGCTATTATAAGTGGAATTGTTTTCTTAATTTTATTTTCAGATTGTTCATTACCAGTGTATAGGACTACTTTTGTTTTTGTAGATTGGTCTTGTACAGAAAATCCTGGCCAGGCATGGGGGCTCACACCTGTAATCCCGCACTTTGGGAAGCTGAGGCAGGAGGATCACTTGAGTCCAGGAGTTCGAGACCAACCTGGGCAACATAGCAAGACCTCATCTCTACAAAAAATTTTAAAATTAGCTGGGCATGGTGGCACATGCCTGTAGTCCCAGCTCCTTGGGAGGCTGAGGTGGGAGGATTGCTTGAAACTGGGAGGTTGAGGCTTCAGTGAGCCATGATTGTGCCACACTGTACTCATCCCAGGCAACAGAGCAAGACCCTGTCTTCAAAAGAAAAGAAAAATATTCTATAAACTCAATGAAAACATTTATTAGTTTTAATAGATTTCAGTGGATTCCTTAGGATTTCCTATATACAGAGTCAGGTAATCTATGAATAAATATAGTTTTATTTCTTTCCAATATTGGTGCCTTTTATCATTTTATTGCCTAATATCTCTGGCTTGAATCTCCAATACAATGTTGAATTTAAGTGGTGGGAATAGACATCCTTGTCCAGTTCCTGACTTTAAAGGAAAAGCATCCAGTCTTGCACTATTAAGTATGATGTTAGCTGTGGACTTTTCATAGATGCCCTTTATCTGGATAAGGAAATCCCTTCCTATTCCAAGTTGCTCAAGTGTTTCTCCCATAAAAAGTACTGAATCTTGTCAAATTCTTTTTCTGTGTATATTGAGCTGGTCATGTGGTTTTGTTTTTTATTCTATTGATACAGTGCATTACATTCGTTCATTTTTGGATATTAAACCAACCTTGTATTCCCAGACTAAATTCCACTAGGTTATGGTGCATAACTCTTTTTTATGTGTTGCCAGATGCGGTTTACTATTATTTTGTTGAGGATTTTTGCATCCATATTCATAAGAGATATTCGTCTGTAGTTTTTTGTTTGTTTTTCTTGTGATGTCTTTGACTGATTTTGGTATCAGGATAATACTGGCCTCTTTACGGGATTATTGGCCTTCCTCCTTTATTTCTCTCCTTTCTAGCTTCCCTAGGTCTCCAGGAAACCTTAAATCCTTATTTGTGAATATCTGTGGGTGGTGTCTGATGCAAACATCACCCTTTGCAGGAGACCCATGTGTCAGTGCCCTAAAAGACAACCTGAAGTTGCTCTGTAGCCACTCTTGTAGCACTTTGTAGATTGATCTCAATAGAGGATGAGCTTTTGCTGATTTTCTCCTTCAAAGGGATATTTGGTCTTAAAACTAATCTGTGCATGAGAATTTCCTGGGAAGCTTTTAAAAAATAAAACACTTTTTCTGGACCTTCAGAATCTTTGGAAGTGGTGCTCAGGAATCTGTATTTTAAAAAATCTCCCCAGGTGATTCTGATGATTGTCTAGGTTTGCACTCACTGTTGTTGAACATGGAGTCAAAATCAGCACAGGTCTTCTCTGCTGGGCTCTGAACACAATGCATTATCAGTCACTGCCCTCATCTTCCTTGATCTGTGATTTACAAACTTTTTAAAACTTGATTCATAGTATGAGGTGCATTTTACATCCTGACTCAGGACACAATATGTATGTTTGTGTGTGTGTGTGTGTGTGTGTGTGTGTGTGTAAACTGAAACAAAAGTTTTATGCAGTAACACCTACCCTTATAGAAAATGCATTCAGATTTTTTCTTTGCTATTCTGTTCTATTCTCATTTGTTCATTAAAAAAATTGACCAAACCTACAAACTAATTTCACAACCCACTAATAGATGTTGACCCACAGTTTGAAAAGCGGTATCCTAGAATGCATCCCAGATGCCTTGGCATTTCCTTTAGTCACCTTGGTTCTGAAAGCCTCAGTTACCTCTTCTGTAAAATGAGGTGGTTATTAGGTCAGATGATCTCTAAGCTCTTGGATTCTGTACATTTGTTGAGTAGTAAGTGTCTCTTTAGTTGTTTCTTGCTGTTGTCTATTCTCTTACACTGGATTAATACGTTGTACTTTCCAGTATATCATTGGTTTAATCTCTGTACTCACTCCAAGTACCCTGTATCCCTCTTAAACTAGAAAGGCCAGAACTGGCTCCAATAGATGTAGCATGTAGCATGTACCAAATATAATTCAATAAAATCCATCATCATTTTTATCTGCTGTTTGCTGTGTTTGAAGCATTAATAACAAAAAAAGGGAAAGAAACAACTTATTAGTAATGTTCTCTTTATTCGATCATTCAGTAATTATGTATTGGGTCCCTGCTATATGTGTATGATCTATGTGTGTTGGGCAAATAGAGAAGTCTTGAATAATTCCTTTTATTGGTTAAGACTTTTTAAAAAATTCACACATAGAGATGGAAGAAAGAATGAAGGCAGGTAGAGGTTATCACATTGTGATTTCATTGTGTAATGAACTTTCAATCTTTGTGCCAAAATGGATGGTGGGGTGGGGATGAGGCTGTAAATTGTATAGTCTATCAGTGAGAAGGGGCCATCTCAAATTTTAGCTTGTCTCCCAGTAAAGACAGTCTCACAAACGTTCTTAGGCTCTAGTGTCGGGATTCTTTTAACTGCAAGTGGCTGAAATCTCAACTCGAACTGGCTTAAGCCATATATGGAGTTTTTTGATTCACATCCCAGAAAAGTTCAGGGTACCAGCTAAATTCAGGGTATGGTTGATGCTACAAGGACTTGGTGTCCTCCCATTTCTTTGTTCTGTCTTCCATGGAATTGACTTCATTCAATCTGGTTGTCCCCAGCAGCTACATGTTCTCAAGATGACAACTCTAGACCTAACAAGCTCTTGGCACTGAGGTGAAAAGTACGTGCTGCTCCCCTTGCATTTTCACTTAGAAGTGACACTGAATGTTGTTGATTGGTTCCTTTGCCTGTTCCTGAACCAATTATAATGGCCTGGAAAATGCAATGTGCTGATGGGCGTGCGCCTGGATCATGTATCACATCCAAAAGTAGATGTGGGATTCCCTCCAGACCACATGGCCTGATTGAATGGGCAATGGATGCCCAGTGAAAACTGGGAACTATTGCTGAAGAAGAAGATATGACTGCCAGGAAGGACAGATCCATCAAATCAGAGACATAGTGCTTTGGGACAAGAAGAAGCCTAGTGTAGTGCTCTCAATTTACAACACGGAAAACAGGACTTTAAAAGGAGAAGTGACTTACATAAGACCCTTCCCCTAATGATCTGCATGACTTTGACTTTGGGCCATTCATTCATTCATTTATTCGTTAAGAATATATTAAGTGCCAGATATTGTCCTAGGTGCTTGGGATCAATCAGTAATAAACACAAAGATTCTTGCCCTTGTGGTGCTCCCATTCTGGCTTAGGTAAGGAAGCTAGGGGGTGCTCAAGGAGATACAATTTTACATAGGGTGGTCTAGACAAGACTTGAGAAAATGATAGTTCAGCGAATACTTGAAAAAGAGAAGGGAAGTTGGCCAGGTAGGTACCTTGGGGAAGAGCATGGCAGGGACAGAAAATCACCATTCAAAGACCCAAAGGTGGGAGTGTGCCTGACTTAGTTGAGGAAAAGCAAATAAGCCAATGTGACTAGAGTGGAATGAGGAAGGGGGAAAGAGACAGAATATGGATGATGGAGAGGTAAGGGAGAGGGAAGATCATATAGGACTTTGAGTACTTTAGCTTTTACTCTGATAGAATTAGGGAACCATAGTAGGGTTTGAGTGGATGAGTGCCATCATCTGACATTTAACAACGCTGTTTGTTTTGATGAGAACTTGAGAGCAAATGTAGAAGTAGAGGGATGATATAGGGGTTATCACAATAATCAAGGCAAGAATCAAGGTTGGCTGAGACCAGCTTTAGTGCAGGCAGTGAGAAGTGGTCAGGTTCTGGATGTGCTTTTGAAGGGTGAGCCAAAAGGGAGGTTTCAGGACAGATTGGATGTAGAGTAGGAGAGGAAGGGAAGAGTCAAGGATGACATCAAAGCTTTGGGCCTGATCAAGTAGAAGGATGGAGTTGCCATCAACTGAAATGGGGAAGGTTGTGTGTGTGGGGCTGGTTTGGCAGAGATATCAAGGATTCGGTTTTGCACATGTTATGTTTGAGATGTTTATCAGACATCCAAGTGGAAGCATAAGAGGCAGTTGGAAAATGAAGTCTGGAGATTGGAAGATGAGTCTTGAGGAATATTATTGAATTTGTCCATAATATGTTCACGAAACTATCATTTAGTTTAGAACACCTGTCTAAAGTCCTGTCTTGACTACCCTATATAAAATTGTATCGCCTTAAGTATCTTCAAAACTCCAGACTTCATTTTCATGATTCTAAACGTCACATATGAAAGATATGAAAACATCATTCGTATGTGATATTTAGAACCATGAGGCTAGATGAGATTGCTGATACAGTCATAGGTAGAGCAGAAAAGCAGGCTAAAGACTGAGTCCATGGGCACACTAACATGAAAACAAAGGAGAAAAGGAAGAATCAGAAAAAGAGGCTGAGACGGGGAACAATGGGTCAGAAGAAAAACCAAGGCTTTATGGGGCCTGGATGCCAAGTGTGTCATGGAAGAAGGAGTGATCAGCTGGTTCAAATGATTTTTATAGGTCAAATAAAATGGGGACTGAGAATGGAACCATTGATTTAGCAATATATAGATGACCTTGGCAAGAGCATTTTGGTGGAGAGGTGGGGCAACATGATTGGAGAATTTAAGAAAGAATAGAAGGTTTGGAGATAACAAATTGGCTAAAATATTAATCATTTATTTGCTTATGGGCTTGCAGTTTGGCCAGAGCTCAGCAGGAACTACTGTTCTTGGTCCTTTGCAGAAAAAGTTAATGAACTCTTGCACTTTGAGTGTCTCATCATAGAAATTTGACTAAATAATATCACTCACCTACTCCCAATTAATTAGCAATTTGTTTTAATAAAGTGGAGATGGTTTCAGTGAATCCATTGTTGGTTGATGCCACTGAGCACTGCCAGGGAATTCTATGTCTCCATCCTGGATGAGGCTACCATCTTGGACCTTGATCTTCTGGGATACCGATGAGCTTTGAGCAGACCAAAGTGTCTGACTAAAGTGACAGATTAAGATATGTGAATGACCACCTTCTCCTAAAATGCACTGAATTTTAAAAAATTAGTTGTAAGTCTTTCTCCCTAAAATTTCTGTTAAGCCCCTGACACTTGGTATCTACTACTTGCCAGGGCATGTTCAGAGGACCAGGTAGCAGCAAACGAAGGCAGAGCTCTGGGGAGTGGCCCCTTCTGAGATGCCTGGGGCTTTGTGGTTGTGTTGCTCATGGTGGTTTTCATGATACCCACACAGTGGTATCATGGTTTCGGCTAGTCATTTTGCCCATGCCGTGTAAGTCGGGCTCTGCTCTGATCGATGTTTCTGAAACCCTGTCATGTGTTAGGTTTGAGCTTCACTGATGGCAAGATACAGAGAAAAAGAGTACAAATTTGAGGGTCAGAGAGACAGTTGTTCAAGCCCCCAGCTCACTCACTCACTAGACAATTGTGTTTCACAAGTTCTATAATCTTTCTGAGCCTTGGTGTCTGCATCTATAAAACAGGGTTAATAATACTACTTACCTCCAGATTGTCTTGTCAACCTTCTAAACTATCAAGCACTTGCCTGTGTTAACTGTTACTGTAGTATCCAATATAGGTGTGTCTCCTATTTCTATGGACTGTTTGAAAATATGCATGTGTGTGGGCACATGCACACCCACACACACACCCACACACACATACACACACATTCTGTCAATACTGGGAATGAACCAAAATAATTTTAGCTTTGAACTATTTCCTTCTCAGTTGAATGAGTCATTGCCCATTATCTTTATGATACAATAATGCAAAATGCCAGTGAAAGGAGCCGGTGTTTGTTTCAATGGACGATTAACCCTTCAGGTATGATTTTCCTTGTGTTGCTATTGAATTTTACATT
Source organism: Homo sapiens (assembly GCF_000001405.40). Classification (NCBI taxonomy): domain Eukaryota; kingdom Metazoa; phylum Chordata; class Mammalia; order Primates; family Hominidae; genus Homo; species Homo sapiens. The sequence continues at coordinate 121,159,226 of NC_000010.11, read as the reverse complement.
AATTTTAAATTAAGGAAATACTTAAAAGGTAATAGCCAAGAGAACAAAAATGCTCTGTTAGTCCCATGGCAGTCATGAGAACTCCTGGCAGACCTGAATGGGATGACTGTGTAGTTACAAGCTGTGGGTTGCTGTTTGTGCAAGCACTTACCAGGTGCCTGTTTACATCTGACTGTGATGAAGGCCTGGCCCCTTCCCCAGAGGGTCATGGCCTGCAGGAGGAAGTCACACTGACATGGTTGCAGAGCTGAGTCCAGGTACAGAGTTCTGGATGCTGATTTTAAATACACCCTCTTTGTGTTTTCTTTCTTTTCTTCTTGGATTTCCTCTGTAGGGTTTTGATCACACCTTCTAGACATCATTAAAGGCAGTTCTTTTTCTCTCTACCTGAGATGCTTCCCCAGGCATATCATTAATGAGTGAGTTTAGTTTTAACTCCCATCTTTGAATCCACACAGCTTCAAGAGGGAATTTTCTAAAAAGACAAATCTGGTCATGGCTCTTGCCTGTTTAATATTTCTCCTGGCTACGGCAGTTTTATTTTGTAATTTAATTGTTATTTTAATTAAAGTTATACATTAACATAGGTTTTCTTTTTAAAAGGCAGAGTAGTACTAGTTTATAAAGAAAACAGCTGGCTCTTCCCTGTTCTTCCCAAACCCCAGGAGGAGCTATTTTTCACTTTTTCACAGTTTCTTCTCACACTTCCCAATATACACTTACACTCTGTGGTTGGCAGAATAGTTGTCCTTCCTAACCCAAAGGTGTCCATGTCCTAATTCCCACAACCTGTGAATATGTTAGTTTATATGGCAAAGGGGAATTAAGGCCACCAGTGGAATCACGGCTGCTAATCAGTTGACTTTAAAATAGGAAGATTATCCAGGATTCTCTGGATGGAGCCAATGTAATCATAAGGGACCTTAAAAGTGGAAGAAGAAAGCAGAAGTTAGAACTCAGACTTGATACATCATCACTGGCTCTTTGCCATGAGCCAAGTGATGTAAGCAGTCTCCAACAGTTCAAAGAGCAAAGAAACGGTTTCTCCTCAGAGTCTCCAGAAAGAAACAGAGCCCGGCTGACCCCTTGATTTTGCCTGGATGGTCACTCTAGTGAGACCTGTTTTAGACTTCTTCTTCTTCTTTTTTTTTTTTTGAGACGGAGTTTCCTTCTTGTTGCCCAGGCTAGAGTGCAATGGTGCGATCTCAGCTCACTGCAACCTCCACGTCCCGGGTTCAAGTGATTCTTCTGCCTCAGCCTCCTGAGTAGCTGGGATTACAGGTGCCCGCCACCACACCTGGCTAATTTTTGTATTTTTAGTAGAGACAGGGTTTCACCACATTGGCCAAGCTGGTCTCGAACTCCTGGCCTTAGGTGATCCACCCGCCTCGGCCTCCCAAAGTGCTGGGATTACCAGCGTGAGCCACTGCACCCGGCCTAGACTTCTAAACTGAAGAACACTAAGACAAATTTGTGTTGTTGTAAGCTACTAAATTATTGGTAATTTGTTATGGCAGTGATAGAAAGTTAACATACACTTCAATTCCATGATTTTTTCTTTTGAGTTCTAGAGATTGTCTGTTGACCTGTTGTTGAAGGCAAAGATGTAACTTACACATGCCCTCTTTCCACCCTTCCTCCATTTCTCTTCTTCCACCCTCCCTGGTAGTTATATTATATTTTAGAATATTTAATGTGTAATACTTTCTTTATGGTAGTACATATTTTGAGCTGAGTCACGTAGTGTACTATGATTATGTTTCTTTTCTTGTGCAGCTTTTTCTTTTCCCTGGAGCTAATAATTATCTTCTTTGTTTTCTTCATTTTCTAGTGCTTACCACTAGTATATGCTCAAACATTTCACTAGAAGTGTAAATATCCTCTCAATATATTAAAACTCATCAGCTAATCTCTCAGTTGTATCCTTTTTTTGTGGAGACATTTTTTTGTTGCTCTCCATTCTTAAATTCCAACCCTGAATGTCTGCTCTCTAGGTTTGCTATGTGGTGGCTAACCTGTATCTCCTTAATCAGCCATGCCAGGGATTCTCCTTCTTCTGTGTTAGGGCCCCTGCTTCTTGTATCCCATTTTTTTTCCTACTCCGTAACTGTATTGATTTTTTTCTTTTCTTTTTTTTTAATGGAGCACATGCTCTAAAGCTTCCTAAAGAAAAGGATTCAGGAGAGGTCTGTTTTAGGAATGAATGTTCTCAAAATATCTGTATTTTACCCTCAAACTTAGTTGATGGTCAAGCTGGAAATGGAATTCTAGGTTGGAAATCATCTTTCCTCAGAATTTTGAAAGTTTTGCCCCCATCCAGTAGTTTGAGAAGTCTGAGGCTTGAGTTTTTTAAAATAATTTTCTCTTTTCAGTCCTCTCTTCTGGAACACACCTATTTTCTAGGATGTTGGATCACCTAGTGTTATGCTGTCATTTTATTTCCTACCTTGCTAGTTCTTTCTTCTTCTTCTTAACTTTGTCTTCCAAAATTGTTATTCAATCTTTTATGTCTACTCTGCTTTTTAAGATATTTTAATTATTCTTGTTTTATGTCAACTCCTTTTATATAACTCTGATTCTTATTTCATGGGTAAAATAATTTCTCTTGCCTTTCTGAGGATAGCAATTGCAGTGTTCTTTTATTTAAAAACATTACTTTGATTTTTCACACGTTTATTTTTAAATTTTGTTTGCTTTGATTTCCTTAAGATATTCCTTAAATTTATTGTGCTCCTCGATTGTTTATATTTAAGATGGGTGTGTGTGTGTGTGTGTGTGAGTGTGTGTGTTGTCTATTTGTACATTCACTATAGGTTGATTCAGCTTCATCCTTTGGGAACCCTAAACCTTCAGCACTTCTGGATTTTTCTGTCAGAACGGCTGCTTTTCCAGAGAGGTGGCCTCCCATCTTCTACCTGGGAGGCAGGCACATTGCTGTCAGATGTTCTCATTGCTGAGTGAGGGAATGCAGCTGCAGTTCTCGCTGCTCACTATGTAACTGCCAGTTATTTTTTTTTTATAGCCAATGTGTGACTGCTCCATAAAGATCCCCCTTGGATCTTTTTTTTAACCATTTCTGTGCATCCCTTTCCAGGTATCAGATGCTTTTGCCTTCAGTGTGGGAACCTGTGTCCTTTTTTAATTTTAATTTTTTTAAATTTTTATTTAGAACTTCCCTTAGGATACCAGAGCACTTGCTGATATGTGCAGAGTTGCAATTCCTGGGAGTTTACATTGGCCCTCGCCCAACACCAGGCAGCCCTTGACCAACGACTCTCAGGGTGAGAATATGAAAGTCCAACAGCCTTCACTAGGGATGGGACAGCTCCGAAGCTTTGCTTAGCTCTAGGGTTTGGTGAGGCTTTGCCTGAAGTTGCCCCCTTGTTTGTCTTCCTCCTGTTTCCCTTCTCCTGCTTCCTGTACTTCATTACTTGTCTTCCCAGAAACCTTGATATATTCTTGTCTTTATCTCAGGCACTTTTCTGGAAAGCCAATCTGAGACATTCCATTTTCAGTATAGTACCCATCCTTGAAGTCACTATTCAGGAAGAAGTCTGATTCTTAATATCTGACAGCCTGTCAAGGGGAAGAAAAGTTACACTTAGAATATGTAGCTCCTGTAGATAGATCTTAGATCTTAGATAGAACTTACCAGGAGGCAGATTTCAGTCCATTAGAGGACCCCCATTGTAAGTAGTAAGTTCACAGTCCTTGGAGGAACACCAGCAGAAGCTATATGCTTGCTTGATAAGATGTTTGAAGATAGGGATTTGAACAATTCATGGGGAGGCTGACGTCAGATTTCATGGCATTTGTATCTTAACACAGGACCTCCTTAATGAAATCATAGTTATGTAGCAACAGAAAACCCTAATTGAGGGAGCAAAGTTTTAATTCTGAAGTTTTGTTTCAGTACCACGTGGTACTTTTGAGACTGTGAGCACAATTAGAGCCTGTAAGATTTTTAGAGAGGTGCCCATGTGTTAATTTCCAGCACCAATTATGGCTTGATTAAAAGAGTGCCTAAACAATTGCAGTACAAATGCACTGACAGCAAATGCTTTGTGTGTTCTTGGCATTTCTGTGCCTCACTTTCATTACCAAGAGTGCAAGTCAGAATTACACATTCACACGCCTCCAGAATCACGTGCCTGTTGCTCATTGTTCCTGGGATCTTTTTGTCAGCTCTCCACTGTCAGTGTACACACACCGAACACAGTTTGCTGATTCAGCCCCACTGTTCCATTTGTAGCTCTCTAACCCAACAATGGGCCGTTGTTTTCAACTATGAAGATGGCCAGGCTGGGCTGAAAGGCAGAGTGCTGGTGATTTTATTTTGTACAGTTGTGAAGACTAACGGCTTGCCTCTCTGTCAATAAAGATTGAGACTTGAAATTCAAGGTCAGGGGCAGGGATACTATTGTCTCCCTTACCCCAAGTTGTCCCCATGGGTGTTGAGACATTTAAGCAGGAGAAGTAATTCTGTCAGCACATGGAGGTATTTGGGCACTTGTTACTCAGGTTTTTGAAAACCCAGGCCAAGGAAACACAAATAACACAGCTCTTTTAACCTTTACATGAGAAGAGAGTTCTCTTTCAGAAAATAAATATTACTATCTCCGCCTCCCTTCTTTTTTTCCACTGCAAAACAGCATGGCAAAACCTCTAAATAAACAAGCAAGTAAACAGAGAGTGGAGAAGCTAAGGCTTCATCTGTATCGGCTGACTCAGGAGGCACCAGTGCCAGGAGCATTTGCCCCAGTCCCTGCACTAGATTCTGGCTCTGGACACCCACACTAAGGAAGTGTCTGTGATGGATAGATTCTAAGGTGATCTTAGTGATGCTACCTCCTGGTGTTCATTCCTTTGATATAATGCTTTCCTCTTGAGTGTGAGCAGCACCTTTGACTTGCTTGGATATGGCAAAGGTGACTGTGTGTCACTCCTGTGGGTGAGTTACATTGTGCAAAATTTGGGCACATGAGAGCTAGAGACTCCTGCTAGAGACAGAGGAATACCAAAAAGGCCATTGTAGCTGGGATAAGGCAAGCAAGGGGGGCGGGGAATGGTGAGGGATGAAGGCAGGTGGGACCTGATGCTAACAACTTTGGATTCAGGGAAGCCTATATCTCAAATGGTGGTGGCCCTGATGAAGTAAGTGACCTTGCTGAGGAGGCCCATTGGTAAGGGACTGCAGGCAGCCTCTAGGACCTGAGGATGGCTTCTAGCTAACATCCAGCAAAAAGTCAGGACACTCAGCCATAAGGAAATGAATTCTTCCAGCAACCTGAATAAACTGGGAAGCAGATTCTTCCCCAGGTGAGCTTTCAGATGAGAATATATCTCAGTCAACACCTCAATTGCAGCCTAATGAGACCCTGAGCAGAGAAGCTATGCCCAGACTCCTAACCCACAGAAACTGAGATAATAAATGAATATAAGATTATGGTAGTTTGTTATGCAGCAATAGAAAATGAATATGCCACCTTTGATTCTTCTGTCATTTGTGAAATGGTTTGTTTCCACATTTACCACTCTCTCTTCCTGCTCCCTCTTCATACTATTTCTTAGCAGAGGGATGTTGAGATCAGAGGAACGTGAGATCTGCTGGGAACTCCATTCACTTGTTTCCCAATAACCTCCAAATGTATTTGTGTGTCCTCCCATTCTTCTCATGTTTTCTCCAACCCTGGGCCAGCTCCTCCATGCCTTACTGGGCTCTACCCTCCAAGGCCACAGGACCTTGATATACCCTGGGGTCCTCGTATAGTCGGTTGCTACCTCTCTGCTTCTTTCCTCAGCCTCTCTAGAAAGCTCATTCCCCCTTCTCTTAAAATAATCAAATAACAAACCCATATGACAATTGATGAACAAAACAACTTCTCTTGACCTTGCCGTGCTGTCAAAGGGTAGTTTTTTTCTCATTCTCTTCACTACAAAGTTCTCTAAAAAGTAGATGCCATGTGTCAATTCTCCAACCTCATTTGTTTCATCTCTCCTGTGCTGTGACCTCCTTTTGTCTGTATTGCTTTGCAGAATGCTCTCAGTAAGGGCAAGCATAGGCCTCTAGTTGCTTAATTCTCATTTCAATCCTCACCTTGGGTGAGGGGTCTGAGTCATTGGAAGCTGCTTTCTTGAACACTCACTCCCCTAGCTCATGGGAAAGCCCTCTCAGGGGTGGCCCCTGTGTAAAATAAAAGTTTCTTTGTAATTAATTAAAGAACTCACACTCCTAAATTGTATCTACTGCATTTCTCTGGTATAGTTAATCCCTATGGAAGTTTTTATAGGCAATTCATTAATTCTTAATTATCTACTCTAAACTTTGTGCTGTTAATACGAGATTTTCCCCTAATATAGTGTCTATTTCATATCTCCTGCTATTAGGAAACTCTGTTAATTAAAAATTTTAAAAATTATGAAGGATTCTTCATAGTTTTCTGGTTCACAAGGGGAGAAGGAGTAATTCGCTGGGGAAGAGGAGGAGAAGGACAATGTATGAAAATAGACCAGAAAAGAAAGGATTACACTGACATTCAATTGTTGACAGATTGCTTATGTTTAATAGTGTCATTTTTTACAACTATCCTCTTGGTATAAAATTTTATTCTATAGTTTCAGGGTTATTTTGCTTAATTTTTTTATTTGTTTTTTCAATTTTCCTTTTTTTGTCATTTTGCTTAATATTTTAATATTTTGATATTTAAGAATTTATTTCAAGAGTTTAGGCCTATATATTTTTTTCAATATAAATTTATTAATAAGCAAATACTTATCACTTACTATATATGTGACATTCTGTACATCTTGTGGGTAGGTGTCATTAGTTCCAAGTTTTGAATGAAGAAAAAGATCCAAAGAGCTCCAAGCTAGCAGACAGAGGCAGAATTCCAATCCAGATGTAACTCTTGTGGCAGAGTCAAAGCTGCTGTGTGTTTGCTATAGGCTTTACTTTCCCCAGGTACAGTGGAAGCCTACATTTCCCAGCATTCCTGGCAGTGAGCTTCTATCTCTGTGACTGTGTTCAAAGAAATGTAGGTGAAGTGATGTAAGGCACTTTCAGGGGTGGTCTTTAGAAACATCCCGTGCAATCTCCCAGACTCTTCCCCTGCCCGCTTTTGAAGTGACATTGAGTGATGCAAATCCAGGATGGGACAGCTTGGATCCCTGAGTCACCACCTGGAGGAGATATGAACAGAAAAGCTTTCCAAATCTCACTGAATTTTGCATAAATGAGAAATAAACTCTTATCACGTTTTACTGCTAAACAAATAACATCATCCCAATTCTAGTACCAATTTCTTAACTAAAGTAAGCACTTCTAGATGTTATTTATTACATTAGTTGACTACAATTTCTGTCGCAGCATCTAGAATTAAGGAAACTGATACTATTCTCTTTGATGAGGTGACATTTGAGCAGAGACTTGAGTGAAGTGAGAATGTGAGCCATGCATGTATCATGGGGAGAAGTGTTCCCCGCAGAGGGGACAGGAAATGGGAGTGTGCTTCTAGTGACAGGAATAACAAGGAGGCAATTTTGGCTGGAACAGAGTAAACAAGGGGAGAATGGGGAGGGATGAAAGCAGTAGGACCTGATCCTTTGAGACCTTTCAGGCCCTGCTAACAACTTGGGATTTAAGGAAGGCTACATCTCTAATGGCTTGAGAAGAATCAAAGTGTCTGAATAGAAAAGATCAATAAAATTAGGAATTGGATTTTTAAGATAGACAAAATTGACAAAACTTTACCTAGTCTAATGAAGACAAAAGAAGACTCATAAATTGTAAGTGGAAGAGAGAGCATAATAACTGATATCACAGAAATACAAAGGATCATGAACAATTATATGCCAACAAATTGGATAACCTAGAAGAAGTGGGTAAATTCTTAGAAACACACAGCCTACCAAGACTAAATCATGAAGAAATAGAAAATTGAAACAGATCAATAGTGGATAAGGATTGACTCAGTAATAAAATATCTCCTAACAAAAAGCTCAGGCCCTGGTGGCTTCACTGGTGAATTCTACAACATTTGAGGAAGAATTAATGATAGTCCTTCTCAAACTCTTAAACAACAACAACAACAACAAAAAAAAAAAAAAAAAAAAAAAAAGAGAGAGAAAAAAAGAAAAGAAGGGAAAGAACACATTCAAACTTATTTTACAAAGTCAACATTATCTAGATACTACAGCCAGACAAGGACACTACAAAAGAAAAAAATCACAGGCCAATATCCTTGATGAACATAGATGCAATCATCCTCAACAAAATACTAGCAATTCAGTGGCATGTTAAAAGGATCATACACAATAATGAAGTGGGATTTATCCTTGGGATACAAGGATGGTTCAAGATATATGTCTTATTCTATTTTCTATTGTTTGCAATAGAAATCCTGAAACTGGGTAATTTATAAAGAAAATGAATTTATTTCTTACAGTTATGGAGGCTGAAAAGTCTAAGGTCAAGGAGCCACACCTGGTGAGGGCCTTCTTGCTGTTGGGGACTCACTGCAGAGTCTCAAGGAAGCATATGGTATCACATGGTGAGGAAGCTGAGCATGCTCATTCAGCTATCTTCCTCTTGTTATAAAGCCACCAGTCCCACTCCCATGACTCCCAGTAATCTATTAACTCTTTGATCCATTAATTCATGAATGAATTAATCCATTTATAAGGGCAGAACCATCATTCCCCAATCACCTATTAAAGGCTCCACCTCTCAATACAGCCACAATGGGGATTAAGTTCCAATATGAGTTTTGGAGGGATCAAATATTCAAACCATAGAAATACGGAAATCAACACATTTGATATACTGTACTAACAGAATAAAGATTATAAAAATCATGTGATCACTTCATTAGATGCAGAAAACCCATTTGACAAAATCTAGCAGATTTTTATGATATAAACTATCAACTAATTAGGTGTAGGATACATGTACCTCAACATAATAAAGGACATATAAAACAAGCCCACAGCTTATATTACATCAGCAGTAAAAAGCTGAAGGCTTGCCTCTAAGATCAGGAACAAGACAAGGATGTTCACTGTCACAATTGCTGTTCAACATAGTACTAGAAGTCCTGATCATAGCAATTAGACAATAGAAAGAAAAGGCATTTAAATTGGAAAAAAAGAAGTGAAATTGTTTCTGTTTGAAGATGACATGATCTTATATATAGAAAACCCTAAAAACTCCACCAAAAAGCTTTGAGAAGCAATAAGCAAATTCAGTAAAGTTGTAGGATATAAAATCAACATGCAAAAACCAGTAGCATTTCTATACCCTAGCAACAAAGTATCTGAAAAAGAAATCAAGAAAATTTCAACTTGAGGTTTGGAGAGGCAAACATCTAAACTATAGCAAGCATCAAAAAATAAAATATTTAGGAATAAATTTAACCAAGAAGGTGAAAGGTTTGTACACTGAAAACCGTAACACATTCATGAAAGAAACTGAAGAGGGTATACATAAATGGAAAGACACCCTGTGTTCATGCTTGTTCTTTTTTTCAGATGGGCATTTTCAACCAGTGGCCATCACTGTTTTGGTTTGTCCATAATAGCCACAGTAGTTATTGTTCATTGAGCACCTACTCTGTGCAGGATTTGGAGCCTCCTTCTAGAGCCTGTGTTCTTAACCATTGTGCTTACTGCCCTTGCCCCTGTCTGGCAGAGGTACTCAACAAATGATGGCTTGTAGTTTTGAGGTTCTATGGAATGGAAAATTATTTGGGGCCACCAAACAAGTGTGTGGGGTGAAATTTAAAGTCAATTATTTATTCTTGGAAGTTAAGCCTCCTGGAAGCAGATGGAGACACAGTTCCCATTGGCACCTACACAAGCCACGCTGTCCTCTCGGCTTCATCATGGCCAGGAGGGAGCTGGCCATTCTCAGCAATGCTGTGTTGTCTCCGATGATATCAACTGACCGCCCCAGGAACCCCACAGCCTCCCCGACTCCAACCTTATCTTTGAACAAAATACCTTCCTCTGCACATCATCGAGCTGCTTGTGAGGCTTGCTTTGCTCCTCAATCAGGCTCTATTCATCTGTGACCCTAGACGTGAGCAGAGGAGCACGGGGCAGGCCCTTCTTTCCACCTGAGTGGCTGCGATATGAAGACTTGCTTTGGAACACTGAGGTGCCCTGAGCATCTCTGTGCTCCCTGGGCCCTGCACCGCTGCATGAAAGACCCTTCTTGTTCTGTGAGCGGCCGACTGTGAGATAACCGCCAAGGTGCTTTTCATGTGGCCACATCCAGGCACTCCCGTCTGCCTTGTAATCGCCAAGTTAAAGGTAACTCGATAGGCAGATAGGGAAGGAGCCTGGAACTTGGGTCTATAGCCCTTTATCCCTACTTTTAAAAAATTAAGATGGAAATAGTTTTAATTGTTAAATTCCCCCTGCTTTCTTAAATATCTCAGTATGCAATTTGGCAAGCAGCTAAGTTCATTTCTTAGTTGGAGAGAAACTAAAGCCCCTGAAATTTTAGTCATTTGCTTATGTCCTATTATTCCAGAATCATTTGGTCGTACTCATGGCTTCACAGTTGATCCAATAAGGCATGGGGTGAAGATCACAGGATGCCTTGTTATTATCTCCTGTGCAGTTCCTGCCTTCTGCCATGCTCTATTCACTCCTAGAAACAGCCAGGAGCCAGTCAGAGATAAGTGGAGTGCATGAATTCCTGAAGAGACTGAAGGATATAGTAACATATACATTGCTTTTTACTTTACTTTGGATGTTGATGTTGCCAGCAGGAAATGGCTGTCATGGAAAAACTTTACTGGGTGAACAGGGAAGAGTCGTATGCCTCTCTAAGAGTCCATCCTCCAATCTGCAATGGTAAGGGTGTGATCAGAGATTCTCTACCACACTGAGAATGGAAAATTATCTGAGACCTATTTTCAATAGTCCTGCAGGACAGCTTCCGGAAAAGAACATGCATCCTTCAAAGGTCACATTGACACCTAGATTTGCTGATCATCCTGGCCTGCCTGGGAATGAAGGAATTCCTGGGATGCTAACCTCAAGACAGTCTTGGAAAAATCTAGAAACAAGAATTTTAATTATTATAAGCAATTTTACCCTACCTTTCTGAATACATTTATTAGTAAAAACTGCAGGATTTGTGTAACATGCAAACACCTGTGCTTTGTTAGTGGTTAGCATGTGTCTCTTTCAGACTGTGGGGCATTTTCAACAGAGATCAGAGTGGCTCCATTGTAAGATGCTAGAACTGTGGTTCTCACAGGGACTAGGAGTGAGTCAAGCATTACTATTTGGGGTCTAGGATGTCAAGTTCCTAAAATAAGAATTTCATCCAAAACACTGGTAGCAACCCTGCTGAGGAACACTGGCTCTAGCCATGTTTCTTCCCCTGCCCCTGGTCTTGATCCTAGATTAGTTGGTGGTCCAGCCCATTGAGCGAACATAACAATTGGTGGTGTAGGGGTGTGGAGGGGGTGGAAGCTGCTCTGTAAAGAGAGGTGGCACTTCTACATTTACTTGTTCATTTATTTTAGGAAATATGTATTGAGCACTTACTATGTACTCTGGGAATAAAGGGCAAATAAGGCATGGTTTCTTCCCCATGGAGCTTATACTCTAGCAAGAAATGCAGCAAAAAAAAAAAAAAAATTGCTGATGACTGCTAAGAAAGAAGAAATCAAGGATGATGAGGAGCCCAAAGCAGGGTAACTGACTGGGTGAGACCCTTCAACAGGGGTCACCAGAAACCTTTTACAGGGGCATTACTGCTGGCATCAGGTCGGTGCCCCTCTGGGACAGATCCCAGAGGAAGGAGCTGGCAGCTATCTTTGCTGTTTTGCTGCCTCCACTGGTGACACCTCCAGGTGTGGGAGGGACCCAGGGGCATAGGGTCTGGAGTGGACCCACAGCAAACAGCAGCAGCCCTATGAAATAGGGGCCTGACTATTAAAAGAAAAACAAACAGAAAGCAACAACAACAACAGCATCAACAAAAAATTGTCCCCCAAAATACCCCATCCAAAGGTCAGCAGCCTCAAAGATCGAAGCTAGATAAACTCACAACCATGAGAAAGAATCAATGAAAAAATGCTGAAAACTCAAAAAACCAGAGGGCATCTTGTCCTCCAAATGATTGCAACACTTTTCCAGCAAGGGCACAGAACTGGACAGAGGCTAAGATGGATGAATTGACAGAAGTAGGCTTCAGAAGGTGGGTAATAACAAACTTGGCTGAGCTAAAGGAGCATGTTCTAACCCAATGCAAAGAAGCTAAGAACCATGACAAAACATTACAGGAGCTGTTAACCAGAATAACAAGTTTACAGAGGAACATAAATGACCTGAGGGAGCTGAAAAACATAACACGAGAACTTCACAATGCAACCACAAGTATCAATAACTGAATAGAATAAGCAGAGGAAAGAATTTTAGAGCTTGAAGCCTATCTTTCTGAAATAAGACAGGCAGACAGCATTAGAGAAAAAAGAAATAAAGGAACAAACAAAACCTCTGAGAGCTGTGGGATTATGTAAAAAGACTGAACCTACAACTGATTGGGGTACCTGAAAAAGGTGGGGAGAATGGAACGAAGTTGGAAAATATACCTAAAGATATCATCCTGAAGAACTTCCCCAACCTAACAAGTCAGGCCAACATTCAAATTCAGGAAATTGAAAGAACCCCAGTAAGATACTCCATGAGAAGATCAACCCCAAGACACATAATCATCAGATGCTCCAAGTTGAAAATGAAGGAAAAAATATTTAGGGTAGCCAGAGAGAAAGACCAGGTCACCTACAAAGGGAAGCCCAACAGAGTAACAGTGGACCTCTCAGCAGAAACCCCACAAGCCAGAAGAGATTCAGGGCCAATATTCAATATTCTTAAAGCAAAGAATTTTCAACCCAGAATTTCATATGTGGTCATACATAAGTGAAGGAGAAATAAAATCCTTTTCAGACAAGCAAATGCTGAGGGAATTAGTCACTACCAGCCCTGCCTTGCAAGAGCTCCTGAAGGAAGCACTAAATGTGGAAATGAAAAACCGTTACCAGCCATTGCAAAAACACACTGAGGTACAAAGACCAATGACACTACGAAGCAACTACCTCAACAAGTCTGCAAAATAACCAGCTAGTATCAGAATGACAGGATCAAATTAACACATGACAATATTAGCCTTAAATGTAAATGGGCTAAATGCCCTAATTAAAAGACACAGAATGGCAAACTGGATAAAGAGTCAAGACCTATCAGTGTGCTGTATTCAAGAGACTCATCTCATGTGCAAAGACACACATAGGCTCAAAATAAAGGGATGTAGGAAAATTTATCAAGCAAATGGAAAGCAGAAAAAAGCAGGGATTACAATCCTAGTTTCTGACAAAACAGACTTTAAACCAACAAAAATTTTAAAGACAAGGGCATTACATAATGGCAAAGGGATCAATTCAACAAGAAGAGCTAACTATTCTAAATATATTTGCACCCAATACAGGAGCACCCAGGTTCACAAAACAAGTTCTTAGAAACATGCAAAGAGACTTAGACTCCTACACAATAATAGTGGGAGACTTTAATGCTCCACTGTCAGTATTAGATAATCAAGACAGAAAATTAAAAAGGATATTCAGGACTTGAACTCAGCTCTGGATCAAGTGGACCTGATAGATATCTACAGAACCCTCCACCCCCAAAACAACAGCATACACATTCTATTCAGTGCCACATGACACTTTCTCTAAAATGGATCACATAATTGGAAGTAAAACACTCCTCCCTTGGCAAATACAGAAGAAATGAAATCATAACAGTCTTTCAGACCACAGCACAATCAAATTAGAACTTGAGATGAAGAAACTCACTCAAAACCACAACTACATGGAAATTGAACAACCTGTCCTTGAATGGATCCTGGATAACTGATGAAGTTAATGCAGAAATCAAGAAGTTCTTTGAAACCAATGAAAACAAAGAGACAATGTACCTGATATGGTTTGGCTCTGTGTCCCTACTCAAATCTCACCTTGAATTGTAATAATCTCCACATGTCACAGGAGGGACCAGGTGGAGATAACTGAATCATGGCGGTGATTTCCCCCATACTGTTCTCTTGGTAGTGAATAAGTCTCATGAGATCTGACAGTTTTATAAATGGGAGTTCCCCTGCACAAGCCCTCTTGCTTGCCATCATGTAAGATGTGCCTTTACTTCTCCTTTGTCTTCCACCATGGTTGTGAGGCCTCCCCAGCCATGTGGAACTGTGAGTCCATTAAACTTCTTTCCTTTATACATTACCCAGTCCTGGGCATATCTTTATTAGCAGCATGAGACCAGACTAATACAGTAAATTGATACTGGTAGAGTTGGGAGCTGCTGTAAAGATACCAAAAAATGTGAAAGTGACTTTGGAACTGGGTAACAGGCAGAGGTTGGAACAGTTTGGAGGACTCAGAAGAAGACAGGAAGATGTGGGAAAGTTTGGAACTTCCTAGAGACTTGTTGAATGGCTTTGGCCAAAATGCTGATAGTGATATGAACAATGAAGTCCAGGTTGAGGTGGTCTCAAATGGAGATGAGGAACTTGTTGGGAACTGGAGCAAAAGTGACTCTTGTTATGCTTTAGCAAAGAGACTGGTGGCATTTTGCCCCCTGCCCTGGAGATTTGTGGAACTTTGAAGATGATTTATGGCATCTGGGGGAAGAAATTTCTAAGCAGCAAAGCATTTAAGAGATAACTTGAGTGCTATTAAAGGCATTCAGTTTTATGTATTCACAAAGATATGGTTTGGAATTGGAACTTATGTTTAAAAGGGAAGCAGAGCATAAAAGTTTGGAAAATTTGCAGACTGACAATACAATAGAAAAACCCATTTTCTGGGGAGAAATTCATGCCTGCTGCAGGCATTTATATAAGTAACGAGGAGCCAGGTGTTAATTTCCAAGACAATGGGGAAATGTCTCCAGGGCATGTCAGAGATTTTTGTGGCAGTCACTCCCATTACAGGTCGAGAGGCATAGGAGAAAAATAATGATTTCATGGGCCAGGCCCAGGGCCCTCCTGCTCTGTGCAACCTAGGGACTTGGTGCCCTGTGTCCCTAGCCTCTCTAGCCATGACTAAAAGGGGCCAAGGTACAGCTTGGGCCATGGCTTCAAAGGGTACAAGCCCCAAGCCTTGGCAGCTTTCACATGATGTTGAGCCTGTGGGTGCACAGAAGTCAAGAACTGAGGTTTGGGAACCTCCACCTAGATTTCAGAGGATGTATGGAAATGGCTGGATGTCCAGGCAGAAGTTTGCTAAAGGGGTGGGGCCCTCATGGCGAACCTCTGTTAGGGCAGTGCAGAAACGAAATGTTGGGTTGGAGCCCCCACACAGAGTCTCCAGTGAGGCACTGCCTAGTGGAGCTGTGAGAAGACAGTTACCATCCTTCAGACCCCAGAATGGCAGATCCACCAACAGCTTGTACCATGTACCTGGAAAAGCTGCAGACACTCAAGGCCAGTCTGCAAAAGTAGCTGGGAGGGAGGCTGTACCCTGCAAAGCCACAGAGGCGGAGCTTCCCAAGACCATGGGAACCCATCTCTTGCATCAGCATGACCTGGATGTGAGAAATGGAGTCAAAGGAGATCATTTTGGAGCTTTAGATTTGGCTGCCCTGCTGGATTTTGGACTTGCATGGGGCCTGTAGCCCCTTTGTTTTGGCTGATTTCTAAAATTTGGAATGGCTGTATTTACCACTCTCTGTGCCCCCATTGTATCTACGAAGTAACTAATTTGCTTTTGATTTTACAGGCTCATAAGCAGAAGGGACTTCCCTTTTCTCAGATGTCACTTTGGACTGTCATCTTTTGAGTTAATGCTGAAATGAATTAAGACTTTGGGGGACTGTTGGGAAGGCATGATTGGTTTGAAATGTGAGTACGTGAGATTTGGGAGGGGCCAGAGGTGGAATAATATGGTCTGGCTCTTTGTCCCTTCCCAAACTTCACCTTGAATTGTAATAATCCCCATGTAAAAAGTAAAAATGTCCACATCAAAAAGCTAGAAATATCATGAATTGACACCCTAACATCACAACTAAAAGAACTAGAGAACCAA
Source organism: Homo sapiens (assembly GCF_000001405.40). Taxonomy (NCBI): domain Eukaryota; kingdom Metazoa; phylum Chordata; class Mammalia; order Primates; family Hominidae; genus Homo; species Homo sapiens. Next base: position 121,143,123 of record NC_000010.11, on the reverse strand, counting down.
GAGCAAGCAAACTCCAAAGCTAACAGAAGACAACATCAGAGCAGAACTAAAGGAGATAGAGACATGAAAAACCCTTCAAAAAATCAATGAATCCAGGAGCTGGTTTTTAGAAAAAATTAACAAATATACTGCTAGCTAGACTAATAAAGAAGAAAAGAGAGAAGAATCAAATAGACACAATAAAAAATGATAAAGGGGATATCACCACTGACCCACAGCAATACCAATTGCCATAAGAGAATAACATAAACACCTCTATTCAAATAAGCTAGAAAATCACACTGAATATGGCACTTTACCTTGAAAAAGACAAAGTTTTCCGGTGGAAGTGGGTATTGAAAGAAGCAAACAGGGTTAGCTTGTGAGTTATTGTGAAGTGGTAGAAGCCAGGTTATCTAAAATGGAAAATCCTAAAACCACTATAGATGGGTGTGGCTCATAGGTTTGAGCTGCTAGTGATGGCAGGAGTAGGTTTTGAATTCCAGCTGTATGTTAGAGTCTTTGTGCTCAACTTCCAGGGCCTTCTGCCACTCCTTTGCCCAGTGGCCTCTGGAGGCTTCTCCTTGCCCTCAAAACACAACACCCAAGTCCTCACCATGTCTTCAAAGGCCCTACTTTGAAGGGTTCCCCATCAGCTCTCTGACCTCATCCCCTCCTTCTCTTCTCCTTACCTCCTCTGTGCTCTACACTGATCCTCAATGTTTCTCCAATTCCCAAGTACACTTCTACCTCAGGACCTTTGTTAATGTGATTGCCTAGAATTCTTCCCCCAGATATTTGCTAGGCTCACATTCCCACTTCTTTTGGGTTTTTTCTAATCTCTGCTGAGCAGAGAAGCCTTCCCCAAGTGCCTTAAATAAAAAGATACCCTTCTCACTATCTCTGTTCTCAGTGTTTAATTTTTCTTTGCGTCACTTACTGACACATAGAGTATTTATCTTTTGTCTTTTTTTCATATACCATCCTTACACCTCTTATAGAATGTGAGCTCCATGTGAAATGGAGATTACCCTGTTTACTAGAGCAGACCATGGAATGTAGCAGGTGCTCAGTTGGCATCTGTTGAAGGAGTTAAATGGAAAGACAGGAGAGGAGGAGTTGTTCTAGGCAGTGAGAAGAGCACACCTGAACCCACATGTGCCTATACTTTGTGCATCTGAGAACTTCTGCCTTTGAGGACTCCAAGATCAACTCCTCAAATTGGGACTGGCCAGAAGCTTATAGACACCAACTGGCAGGTCATAGAGCTTGGATAGCAGAAACAAAGTCAGAGATGAGAAAAATACAAAGATGATACAAACCTTTCATCCCTTTCTTCCAGGAGCCCCAGAATTTTCAGCAAGGAGAACTTCCCAATTCAAGTTATGTATGTTAAAACCAGATGGTGCAGAAAGATTTCTGCATCAGGGCCAGGGGCTTTTGTGTACTTGACTCTGACTAGATGGGTTTGCAGTTGACTTCTTTATAAACTGATTTCTCAGAGAATTATCCCAAATGGGAAAATATTGTTTGCCATGATAAAAGTAATGATTTGTGCATGCATGATGCATGAATAGTCATCATGGACCAGAAATTGAGTTAAGTGTGTTACCTGGGTTTTCTTTTCAAATACCCAAAGTAGGATTAAAATAGCAGAGGCGGGTACCACAATTCTCATTGTTTTACAAGTGAAGAGAAAGAGTTACAGACCAGTTAACTACCGAAGCCAAGATCATGCAGTAGAGCAAGTATGTGAGCTTGGATGGTATAACTTCAAAGGCCACACGCTACATTGTCACATTGTCTAGAATGGACTTCTTGCAGACAGTGGAACACAACTTTAGAGCATGGAGATTTCAGAATCATCTGGATCATTAACTGTTGAAGAGAACGGGAGTGGCTTCCCCATGTCCACACCGCTATCGAAAGGCAATGTTTCTACGTCCAGACCCAGCATTTGAGGCCCTTCCCACTGTACTTGTAACCTGTGACTGCTGGGTAACCCTTAAATGGGCAACCATCTAAGATAAGTTAAGACAATCCTTTTATCTTCAAAGACTTTAAAATATGGGTCACTTTTTCAACAAGGAGAATGTTTCTTAGCATCCAACACATGTGGTAGCAATAATCTTGACTATCTGAACAAACTTGAAATTGTACAGATCTCTAGGTAATTACCCCATCATTTGGTAAACCAGTATTACCAACCAGTCTCTGAGGAGTACCTCAATGCCCATTGCTTGTCATAGCTCTGAAACTGCCCCCAGCTAAGCCAGGGGACAGGCCTGGCAGGGCACCTGCATCTGCCAACATCCTGCCTCACACAAGGCAGCCACAGCAGGGAATATGAATAAACCAACGTGTATGTCAGGGGAAGAGTGTTTCACTCAGTGGGTCATTGCCAGAAGGACTTGGCTTTGCAGATGGTCATTCCCTCCATGGAGAGCAGAGCACCTTCAGCAGTGGCACCTGCCTGACTGTACCCAGCTCATCTCCCACTGCCGTGGACAGTGATGGGAATGGCACGGGGAACATGCTTTGGGCTCCTGGAGCCAGTGGAACATGGCCGGAAGGGGTGGGTGTTGGAGTCAAATGGTGCCTAGCTCCCATCAGAGAGATTTTAGGCATATCCTTGTCCTTCTTTGAGTTCTGGTCTTCTTATCTGAATACAGGAAACAAATACAACCTCAGAAGTTATTGCAATAATTAATTGAGGCTATGTGGAGCAGGGGTTGGCAAATATTTTCTATGAAAGGCCAGATAGGCCTTGCAATCTGTCTGGTTTCTGTCACAACTACTCAATTCTATTGTTGCCAAAAGAAGTCATAGACAATATGTAAATAAATGGGCATGGTTGTGTTTCAAAAAAACTTTATTTATAAAATAGGTAGCAGGCTGGATTCGGTTTATGGGTTGTACTCCTGATGTAGAGCATCTGGATCAAAATCTGGCACATGCTAGGTACTAAGTAGAAGCCACTGTTATCATCATTATTATAATTAGTGCTTCTACTGTTACTACTCTGCTGATTCTACCATTTATGGCTGGGTGATTGTAAGCAACCACGATTGATTAATGGTGTAAAAATAATCAAAAGTAATAGAGTTATTCTTATTCTGACCAACACTTAGAGAAGGCTTACCATGTGCCAGTCTTCTAAGCACATTATACACATTAACTCTTTAGCCTTTTAAGCACATTACACATATTAACTGTTGAACCTCAGGTAGATTTTATTGTTATCCCCCTTCTGCAGGTGAGAAAACTGAAACAGAAAGATCTTAATAACTTGTCAAAGCATATAGCTAGGATTCAAACCTAGGCAACATGGCCTCAGAGCCCATAACTCATTTCTTTGCTTCCTCTTCAAGAGTGAGGCCTTCCTCAAGATTTGGGGACTGTGGCATTGCTCAGCCTGTTGAAGGGTTGGACCACGGGCCTGGTCATGTCCTCAGCTTGGGAAGATTCTTCTCCAATGGCGCATAGCTCCCTGTCCTTGACTGTAGTTGCTGGCCAATGTAGGAAATGTTTTGGGCACAGCTAATTACATCTGAGCACCTGGGCAGCTCTCATTTACTGGTGCTAATTAAATGACTTCAGTGCTAGTGGTACCCATTACCTAGCTGATTGCTTTTTCTCTGCTATTAACAGTGAAATTACTGAGCCTGGAAAAGGTCTGTTGGGAAAGAAATAACTCTTATTTGGGTGGGATGATTATTTCATTTTTACTATGTATTATGTCCTTTAAAACAAACAACCTTTAGACAGCATTTCATTTTGGAAACCTCTTTACCAATCCCCAAATCCAAAATTTGGCAGAATTTGGTGATGATAAAATTTCCACTTCAAGTAAAATTTTAATTTCTTATGGATTTATTGCCATTTTCCGTGGCTGGGCGTCGTATTTCCCTTTGAATTTAGAGCACTTCTCCTTCGAATGTCTCTCCAGAGCCCAGGATGTATGTGGATCTGAGAGGCCAGGGAATTGGCTTTGCTCTCTCCCCAGTGACCTCACAATGGCCAATTAAACCAGCAAAGTAAAACAATCAGTTCCTTGCTGGAGACATTGTAACATCAGCCCTGGGAAAGGAGAAACAGCCATGCCCTCCTGTTGGCAGCAAGTTGAGCAACATGATCTCATGGGTCTTTTCCATGTATGACATGTGATGCATACATATATATGAGTGCAGTTCTCAGTGAGCCAGGCCAATGGGGGAGAATAAACCTTGCTTTCTTTCCATTTGACTCCCATATTTATAGGCAGGCGTCTTTGGGCTCTCTACATTCTTTTCTTGAACACATTTGGAGAGATTATTTTTTCTGTGCATGGTGGGTATTCTCTTTGTGGTCACGCAGTCTGCTGTTTCAAAAACCAACCCTGGGCGATCTTCCTCTGCTGGGTTTATTTGGAAATATCTGCATCCTCAGTGCCACTCACCCTTCAAAGCTGGAGAAAGCTGCTAGCCAAAAGCCAGATGGCATTTCTCCCTGCACCAGGTGGCGGGGAGAAAGATGGAGGCAAGGTTTATGGAGGAGATCAACCCAGACAGGAGAAAAGGGAGTGCTCTGGATAAAAATAGCTCATGTATGAACTCTCGTCCCCCACTCCTTAATGATTTCTCTGCTGATGGTGTTTGGCTCTCAGAGGAGGAGTGGGCGCCGAGGATGGTTACTCAACTGGAGAGAAGCGGAGGGAACCCGCCTGCCAGGTGGGTTTTCCAAGCCTGTACGGCTCTAAACTTCTCCACATGTGAACAAGTGTTTACAGTTTTAAAGATGTGTTGAGTAATTGCACATGCGAGATAGCTCCCCTTTAATGCGCCCAGCATGTTCCAAGGCTTTCTACGAGAACACCCTGGTTGACAATGAAATTGTTTGCCTTCTCTGTGTTGAAACTTAAGGAGGTACTGGTTTGTGTTGAGATATAATTGGTAGCACTTGTGCCTTTGTAGTTTTTTTTTTAGCTACTGAAAATTACTGCCTTAATCCACTCTTTGCTTACCCGGATTACCATAGAAGCCCCACAGAGCCCCCTTCACATCAGAGAATAGAGAGGCAGTTCTTAAAACTTATTTTGATGCTCACATAACATTTCAAGATGCTGGGTAGAAAACAAAAGCAACAGCATTAATTCTCTTTTAATTTCTCTCAATTTTCAAAAAATTTGAATCACTGCAAAATCATATAATTGTTCTTTTGCTATTTAAAAGTCATCAAAAACCCTCCTGTGTTTACAGATGGGTTTCTCTTGTTCCCTCCCCCACCTTCACCCCTTCTCTTAATTATTCCTTGCTCTCTTTATTTTCATGGGAAAATAGCTGGTGTCACCTCAGGGAGACAGGCAGGGCATTCTGCTTTGCTTGTTATTTTTTATAGAGTTCTTTGTCTTCTCTCTGGCTTCCAGCAAAACACAGCCAAAATAGTTTGGCAGATCACTTTGCGTTAGTAAAACTCTGTGTCAGCCATAACCAAGGCCTGGAGTAAAGAACTAATGTCAACTTGCAAATATGTTGGAGAAATGTCTTGAGATCCACAAACATCTTCCCCTCAGCTCTCAGATGAGATTCCATGATCAAGCAAGACTGGTGGGTGGCTGAGATGTCACCTGCTTGCCAGTCCTTCACCTGCCCCAGGATCTCCCCATCTCAGTGGCAAATGATGGAACTTCACAACCTGGCTGCTTCCTATCAATTAATTCCAGGGCTGCATATTTCCAACTCGAAAATCTTTTTACTACTGTTTTGCAGTTTTCCCAACTGAGCACTTTGGCATCTGAGAAAGAGACTCTGAGAGGCATGGCCCCGTGAGAACTGAGCCCTCCCTCTTAGTTGGCCAGCTCTGCCCCTGCTCCAGACTCACTGTGGACACCACCTTCATTCCTCCTGCAGGCCTTCTGCAGGAAGTTAGACAGGGATATCCTCACCGGAGAGATGTGTGCTTATGTGGAGAAGACCTTACGATTTCCAAAGTCTTTTCAACATTTGAGTCTGAGCTTCTGTCTGGCTGGAATCAGACATTAATTACATTTAAATGAGAAGTAAAATCTTATTAACATTTCTTGCTTTCACCTAAACCTTTTCCATGAGGCTACACTGCCTCCCCTCCTCTTAAGCCAGGGTTAGGGCAGCCTATAGATGAGTTTTTCTGTTACTAGGATGGTCTGGTGGCAGCGACAACTGGAGAAGCCCCTGTCTTTTCCTCCCACTGCATCCCACTCTCATAGCTGTAGCAGTGGAATTGGGATGCTTATTATTCCAGGATAATTATTTGTTCCTTTGCAATTTTGTGGGATTCTTGAGGATAGTTTCTGTGGTTGCTCACTTTTGTGCAACTCTGATTTTTGTGTAGAGTAAGTGCTCAATAAATATTATTTGGCTAAATTCTATATTCTCTCTGAAGTGGTGCTTATTTCTGATTGGCATTAATCCTAGAACTGGCACTAAAGATAAAATTCCTGCAGCATGGCATAGAGGTGCAAGAGCTATGTTGGAAACAAGAAGTGTAGACATGGCCTTGGAGGGTCTGTAGTCAGTCGGCAGAGTAGTCGGCACCAGGGTGCTCCCACACGGAGGATGGCAGTGATGCATGGGCAAGCCTGGAAGGTCTAGAAAGGATATAGAAGAATGCAGGCATCCATTTATTCATCAGCGGGTGTAGGGTGTCTGGGGGAGGGGAGCAGATACTGGCTGGGGTCCTGCAGTCCCAACAGTGAACAGGAGAAAAGCAAACACTCTCCTTCTGTTGTGTACCGCTTACTAAGGGAGGCAGATGATAACATGTGTAATTAACAATTCCAAGAAGCGCTGCAAAAGAAAGGTGCTGCCTCCCCAGCAGGGGCTCAAGAGTAGTAGACCTGAATCCAGGGATCCTTGGACAAGAGAAAAGAAGGCGCAGATGATGAACACAGGGCCTTGGGCCCAGAGCATCAGAGCAGGTACTCAGGATCATGACAGGGGCCCAAGGCAGGGATGCAGTTGCAGCAAGGGAGGCTAGATACTAGATTCCAGAAATCCAGGTTGGAACCCCTTAAATCTCTCTTGCCTCAGGTAAGGGTTGGTCCTGAAGGAGACAGGGCTGAGCTTAAAGTTCCGAGCCAATTTCACTGCAGTCATTCATTCACGGAGCAGCCACCACATGACTGCTAATGTCATGGGCAAATAGCAAAATCAGTACAGTTCCTGTTCTTACAGAGTTTTCACTCCAATGGGAAAAATGATCAAGTAGTAATTACACAAATATATCTAATTACAGACTGCTGAAAGTGCTACGAGGGAAAGAAACAGGAGCCATAGTAACCAGAGGGTCTAATTTAAAGTAGATTTTTACTGAGGTCTCTCTGAGGACCCAAAGTTTGGCCTAAAGGAGTTAGGCTGATGAGAAGTGGGTGGAAGAGCACTTTAGGTAAAGCAAACAACATGTGCAAAGGGCCTGTGGTCTGCAGAAAAATGCCCCTCCCCCACCCCACACTCCGCCCACAGATGTTCACACCTGAATCCCTGGAGCCTGTGAATATCTTACCCAACATAGCAAAAGGAACTTTGCAGATTATGGTTATGGTCCTCGAGATGGGTTGATAGCCTGGATTATCAGGGGGCCCCAATCTAGTCACACGAAACATTAAAAGGAGAGAAGCTTTCCCAACTGCAGCCAGAGAATGATATACCAACAGAAGGGTCAGAAAGATGCCACATTTAAAGATGGGCTGTACACTGGAATGTAGGCAGCTTCTAGAAGTTTGGAAGGCAAGGAAACACATTCTCTCCCACAGCCTCCAGAAAGGAATGCATCCCAGCAGACACTGAGGCTTTAGCCCTGTGAGACCCATGTGGGCTTCCGACCTAGAGAACTGTAAGATAGGAAATGAATACAGTCTCGGTACATGCCAAACAGCTTGGTACATTCCAGAGACCAAAAGGTGGTGGCTGGTATGGCCACAGCATTGTATATAAGACAAACACACAAACCATTTAAGTGACTGAAACAGGGAAGGGACAGACATGATGATCTGATTTCTATTTTGCAATTCCACTTTAGATGTTAGGTGGAGAAAGGACTGGGCGGTAAGTGTAGAATGGAGAGACCAGTTAGGAGTCTATTTTAGGAGCCCTCACAAAAGGTGGTAGGAGCTCTGATGTGGGTGGTGTCAGAGAAGAGAGAGTAGTGTATGCAGTTGAGAGCTGTCTGGTGGTGGAATTAATCAGATGTGATGATTGACTGGATTCAGGGAGCAAAGGAACAGAGGAATCCAGGATGCCCCCTCTCCTCCCCAGGCTTTTGACTTGATCAGAGGGTGAGAGCAAAAGTCTAGAAAGCTGGGCAGAGGCAGGTTCACAACACCCAACCACTGCACAGATGGCTCCACCTGCCACCAGCAAAGCTAATCACTGAGAAGCATCTGTCATCTCAGAAATCCTCCAGAAAGCCAGGGAAATGCCTACTGCAAGATCCACTGGTTGGGACTCTTTTTGAAGGTACGAGTGATAGAAAAACCAATGTATCTTAAGCCCGAAGATAATTTATGCTTATTTTTAAGCTGGAAGTCCAGAGGTTACATCTGGCTTAGCCTGAGCTTGATTCAGGGTTCGGATGAAGTCACAGGGCTCATCCCTTGGCCCCACTTCCTTTAAGGGGCTTCGTTCTCCATCCCTGTGTGCTGACAGCCCCAAGTCCAGCAAAAGAGAGTGTCTTTATCCCAGAATACCCAGTAAAATTACTGAGATTCATTTTGATTGGACTAGCCTTTATCCATTCCCACCACCACCACTAAGGACACCTCAGGACGGGGAAGGGAAGGTGCTGGATGGTTTTGCCTGGGTTGGGAGTTCCACTCCTTAAGCTGTGGACAGAGAGAGAGAGGAAGGGGTGGAGGCCCAAAGAGAAGTCAGAAATGCTCCCTGCAGGAAACAGGCTGGATAGGCACAGAACAGCCAGCTCCTCAGTCCCCCACGCAAACATCCACAATCCCTGGCTACTTTACTGATTCATAGCAAAAGTGTGTGCAGACCCAAACATATGGCTTTTTGACTGAGAACCGCGTGTAAAACTAAAGCGAGCTGAGCTCATCGTCAGGGCTGTCGCTTCCATTGGCTGTTGTTTTTCACAGTCACAGTGTGAGCAGAACACAAGTGCCAGGTTGGAGGGGATGGGAAGGGTAGATCATGTGAAATGGCAGGTGGTGTCAGGGAAGAGGCTGGCTTGGGAACTACAGACGAAGGCAGTGGTCTGGGGCAACAGAACATTCTGGGGCATCGCTGGGCTGTCCATCTTAAGTGTTGGGCACATCTCTGAGGAAGGGTCTTTGTTTTGGTGGCCCCTTCCCATGGGAAAAGCAATGTCCCAATGGCCAAGGGTCCCCCCTGCCCAGGCATCTTGTCCCTTGCTCTTGTCCTGGCTCTTTCCTTTCGCTGCTGCAGCCACAACCATGAGTATGCTCAGTCTTCAGAAGAGGCTTGCCTCTAGTGTCCTCCGCTGTGGCAAGAAGAAGGTCTGGTTGGACCCCAAGGAGACCAGTGAAATCGCCAATGCCAACTCCCATCAGTGGATCCGAAAGCTGATCAAAGATGGGCTGATCATCCACAAGCCTGTGACTGTCCATTCCTGGCTTGATACCGGAAAACACCTTGGCCTGCCAGAAGGGCAGGCACATGGGCGTAGTTAAGTGAAAGGCTACAGCCAATGCCCGAATGCCAGAGAAGATCATGTGGATGAGGGGATGAGGATTCTATGCCAGCTTCTCAGAAGATACTGTGATTCTAAGAAGATTGATCACCACATGTATCACAGAAGATACCATGAATCTAAGAAGGTTGATCGCCACATGTATCACAGCCTGTACCTGAAGGTGAAGGGGAATGTGTTCAAAAACAAGCGGATCCTCATGGAACACATCCACAACCTGAAGGCAGACAAGGCCTGCAAGAAGCTCCTGGCTGACCAGGCTGAGACCCGCAGGTCTAAGACCAAGGAAGCACGCAAGCACCGTGAAGAGCACCTCCAGGCCAAGAAGGAGGAGATCATCAAGACTTTGGTCTAAGGAGGAAGAGACCAAGAAATAAAAGCTCCCCCTTTGTCTGTACATACTGGCCTCTGTGATTACACAGATCAGCCATTCAAATAAAACAAGCCTTAAAAAAATAAATAAATGGCATATAATTTCCGACTCTTCCCCGATTCAGGGAGGCCATGGGAGTTTCAATTAGCCTCAGGGGGCTGTGTGTCTTCAGCAGACATTATTTGAGGGACTAGGCAGGGCCTGGGGTCATAGGATCCACCTCTTGTCCCTACTGCCTTTGGGTGAGCTCAGTAACTGAGTAATTGAGAAAGGCATGGGTAATATTCTGAAGGCTCTCTAGAAGGCAGTGATGTGTGTGTCACATCTCAGAAAAGGTCCTAGAAAAAATAATGCTAAGACCTGGGCACATAGGCAAGGGACATTTTATTTGATATGGCCTGTGTGCAGTTCAGACCAGAGTAGATACTGTCAGGGCCCTGGCTATAGTACCCCAGCTCTCCTCATTGCTTTCTATGCTCATAGATTGCTATTGCAAGCAGCTAAGGCTCCCCCGCTGATGGCATTCTGTGGCTTTGAATGTGCTTGTCCCCATTCTAGGGCAGGCTGGATTGCTGGGTAGGTAACACCACCAGGAGCAGCTCTCACCAGTGGCTGATGGGGGCTGAGGATTGAATACTCAGGCTCCCCCAGTGCCATGTACTCTTAGGAAGACAATATCCTCTCTCAGAAACCCCAGTGAGCAGAGATGAGCAGGCAAACAAGCTCTTTGGTAGGAGAGAAAGTAGAATAAGGGTCTCAGTGATCCACCAAATCCCTCACTGCCAGCTAGGAGGGGTATTGCTATGTGTGACCCTCTCTGATTATACAGGCAGCCTTGCCCTTCACTACAGGGTTGTGGGTGCACCAGGGAGCAGCACCCCTCAGACCCTGACTCAGGAAGCCTGCCCACCTGCCATGGCAGCCCTGGCCTGCCGGAGAGGCTATTACAGCTGAGCTATGTCTTCCTGATCTCCAGGATGGTTAGGCTTCTGTCCAACCAGCTCGAGCTATCTCCGGCAGGCCCTTTTCTATTTGGCCCCAGCGCTGCAAGTCACGCTCTGAGACCCTTGGGTGATGGACTGAACAGATGGAGCAAATGGTTCTGAGTTCTCTTCTCCACTTTACCTTCCCCAGGGCATCTCACTTCTGGGCTGCCTTTATCTTCACACCAGAAGCGTGCTCTCTATGCTTTACTGTCAATAGGATTTTTAAAAATAGAGTTTCTATGGTGAAACAATGTCCCTTGTTTGGAAATACACAGAGCTTTATAAAATATGTTCCTGTGTTTTCCTGGATCAGGGCATATTGTAGAGTCTAGGGATTTATTTACAATGAAGAAATTGTTTTTGCAAATTGTGGTTAAACAAAGGGATTGTTTTTGGAGAGCTGAGTAAAGGAGACATTGTTTATAAGTTATTTGGGACACAAGCTGCAAAGGGATGATTTACAGGGAATCGGGGGGGAGGCAGTCAATAAGCACAGTTGTCCATTTCTTTGCAACAGGCAAACTGGGACTAAAACACTGTCACCTCTATCATTCTTCCCTTCTTTCTTCAAGCTTATTTCATCTTTTCTGCTTCAGTCCTTGCAAATGAGCATATATCAGCAGTTCTCCCAGCATGGTCCCCTTTACTCGGGGTTTGATCGCACTGGCTCCTCCAAAGCTCAGAAGTAGGAGATTTGCTGCAGGACCTCCCTTATCACACCACGAGTCTTTGCTTCCAAAGAGCTCTCAATGCTCTGGAGATAGAAAATCTTTTTTGCCTGCACAAAGTCCCCAAGCAGGGGGAAAATGGAGCGTGTCAGAGTTCATAAGATGAAAATACAGCCAAATCCAAACTCTTTACATTGTCACAGTCACATCTTAGGAGCTTTCCCAAGTGGCAAAACTAGGGCACAGAAGCGATAAGCCCTATTAACAAGACCTGCTTCTCTGGAGGATCCAGCGAGTGGCATATCTGCCATTGGGAAGATATGTCCTGACTTATTTAAGGCAAGTTGTCTTCTTCCAGGCCTGAGCTTTATGTATTTAGAATTTTACTTTTGGGGGAGCAGAACGAACTTCAGTGACTGGGCATGAGGTTGTGGGTGTGTGAGATGGGGCTTCTTTGCCTAAAATATTCACTCCACAAGTGACATTTTAGCACTGAAAGAGATATTGAAGAATGTACTTTCCTTCTGGATCCCTATTGGAGAGAAAATATCCCTAGAAGTGTGGGCTTCTGAGTGATGAACACCTGAACGGTCTGCAGCATCTGTGGTGGCGGGCTGACTGCTGTTGGGAAGTATGCAGGTGTGTGGATGGGAAGAGATAAGAGGGCTCACTGATGGAAACAGTATGTGGGCCCCACTCCACTTACCTGGCAATTTTTTCAAGGGCAGTGGACATCTTATTTAGTATCACTCATGGGTAGTTCAGACCCATAGCCCCTCAGCAATCCCCATTCCCTTACAAGCTAATGGGTTTCTGTGGCAAGCCACTGAGGCTTCCTTCCCCCGAGGGCATTCTGCGGCTGGGAGTATATGCATCCTCTTTTAGGGTGGCTGGAATCCTGAGTAGGTGACACCACAAGGAGTGGCTCTTACCAGTGACTGATGCGTGTTGGGGGAGAAATGCGCCAGCTCCCCAGTGCCCTGTGCTCTCAGGAGGATGACTCTGAGGACAGCATCATCTCTGAGGCCCTCGGCAGGTAGCAGGTACAGGTAAATGGGCTTTTGGGAGAGGATGGGCCCAGGTAAAGCCCCCATTTGTAGCATTTGCCAATTTCTGTGGTGTAAATACTCCCACTCTCACTGTAGATGAATTTAGGTTACCAACAGATGTCCCTGAACTTGGAGTGGGGGAATGATACACACCACTGGCCCTTGCAAGTCAGTTCCCACGGCTCTCACACGTCCCTGCCAGAGGGACTGAGGCCCTGTGGCCCCTGGTGGTAATATGCCGGTGCTGGCATCTTTCCTTTCCCCGTCTCCATGCCCCACTACCACATCAATGCTCCCTAGATCCCCTCCAAAATAAACAACTTGTACCCAAATACTCATTGCAGGATCTGCTTCTGGTGGCCTGCAAACTAGACCCCAATATGCTCAGAATCTGTTGTTCTTTGAACAAAGTGGGCAGAATGCTCCACTGAGTAAAGAAATGTGTGTCCTGCATGGGCCCCAGCCTCTCTTTCAGCCTCGCTCACACCCACAACCTAACAGCTTTCTCTGATGTCCTCCCCACACCACCGAGGTCTTGCTCCCCAGGGGTTCTACCCCCGGCCTCACCTCCAGTTGTGCCTCTCAGTCTTCCGCCACTTCTTCAGGCCAGATTCTCGTCCAGCCTCCACTCAAAGATCGCTCCTGGTCTGTCTGGGCAGAATGAACTACTTCCTTCCTGTTTCATTGAATTGTTTGAACCTTGATTACAGCATTTATCCACACTCGGCTTCTATTAGCTTTGCTTGGGTTTGTGACTCTCCCTCCTGGCTCCGGGAACCTGGAGGGCAAGGACCGTCTGAGCAGCATCCACCCAGGAGCTGGCTGGGTGGTTGTCAATAAATATTTGCTGAAATAAATGGACCTGACACTGGCCAGAGTTGTTCACCTCCCAACTCCTGCTTCAGTTTTCTCCAGCTCACCACTGAGAGCACTCCCGTCCTCAGAGCAGCCTGGTGCGGTCATGGCTCCATGCCCTAGGAGGGCAGTTCTAAGTGGGTGCTCATTGCTTCCATCCTAAAGGGGAAAGGATACCAGGCTCCAAGGAAAATTTTCCAGTTATACCGGGGATGTGTTCAATATAACAAGGAGAGGTGAGATAGAATCTAGTTTCCAAAATTTCCCTCTAATGAGAAAATAAGGTCGCCTGGCAGTCACCACAGTCTAGTGAACACTCTGATTGGCAAGATTGTCAGGGGGCACATTACTTTGTTCTTTCATCCATTTGTTTATCAAATATGTATCAAGAGCCTGGGAGTATTCAGGAATTAAGAGGCTTTGTCTGAATAGCCTGGCCCCAGACTTGGTACCCTCTCTGTCACAGGCTGGGAAACTTTGGAAAGTCATTTAACACCCTAGAGCTCAATCTCCACTTCTATAAAATGGGGATAATCCAGTACCTACCTCTTAAGAGTTTGGGGAATGTTTGAACGAGATGCTGAATATGAAATGTTTTGTGTTTACTACCTGGTACAGGTAAGCGTTCGATATATATAAGCTATTGTTAAAATAAAAATGTGGGTCAGGCTCTGTGCGAAGCTCAAGGAGTAATCATTTGAATAAGGTGCGGCCCCTGTCCTTGGGAAGTCCACAGTCCTGGGAGAGAAACAGACAACAGACCCAAGATCTCAGGGCAGGATGCAAGAGGTCTGAAAACAAGGTTTGCAGGGGTCTCGGGAGGGCTGGGGAGATTACATAGCAGTGCCCCTTCCCCCAGCCAGGAGCTATTTTGTAATTCCTCTGACTTCTGATAAAAATGCTCAGTTTAGCTAAAACTCTCACCTTTATATTTCTACTCTGACATAATGGAGGAGGCTAGCTGGGATAGAGCTGATATTGACGGAGCAAACAGGACAGCAGGGAAATTCCGGGGCCTCCCTTGCCATCTTCCACCATCACGACGTCCTCCTCCCATAAGACGGGAAGATGGAGGGAATGGGTCTCAGAGTCCCCCTGGCTGCTGATGTCTTCAATCCCCTGCAATTTCAAGGAGTAACTGCTGGCTCTTCCTCAGGAACACTTCTCGTTCAAATGAACTCTTGGGCTTTTTTCCAGCTACTTAAACTCTTTGATTTGTTTAATCCAGGAAATGAATTGTAAAATGGGAACTCTCTTACTCAACTTCTATTATCTCTTGGCTCTAAAAAAATTAGAAGTCATATTCCATATCACCCTTTTAGGTCTAAGGAAGCAGCGGTCTGCGAACGGGGGTGATTTGACTCTCGAGGGGGGCATCTGGCAACATCTGAAGATATTTTTGGTTGTCATGGCTTGGGGAGGGGGTGGTGGTGCCACTGGCATCTAGTGGGTTGAGGTCAGGGATGCTGCTCAGCAGCCTACAATGCACAGAACAGCCCCCACCGCAAAGAATTATCCAGTCTAAGATGCCAGTAACGCTGAGGTTGAGAAAGTCTGGTCTAAGAGAATGAAAATTAGGTGGTGTGTGTGTGTGTGTTTGTACATGTGTCTGTGTGCATGAAAGAGCAAGACCCATGGATTGCTGTGAAGGGGGATGCACTATTTTTCCAAGGTCATAGAAGGTCATGGAGCGGGATGCCACTTTAGACTTCACTATATCAGAATCAGATTTACTGGTCAATTCAACTCCCCAATACAAAGTCATGTTCAGTTTCTAATGAGAGTGGATGGGAAACAGACCTGTGAAATGAAGCCAGAAGTTGACTGAGTAGACGACATTTATGAGGCATCTGAAGCTCACACTTGTGTCCAGTGACGTAACTCTGATGATAGCTAGAGAAATCCAGACTTCCAAATTCCAAACAAAATAGGGAGTTGTGGCCGGGGTCAAGGGGGTGAAACGGAAAAGAGCCTGGTCATTATAATGTATCTCCTACCGTGAAACCAGCAATGAGCAAGCAGCGTTAAAAAATAAACAGGACGTTCTCCTTCCAGGAGTCACGATCAACACTAATTGGTTTGGCGATACCTTAGTGACCATCTGGGAGGGAGGCCCCTCGCCTGGCTCTGGATGTCAGGCAATCGAGGCTCTGCGGTGACTGTGGTAAAACATCTGCTTCTTGGACTTCATGGTCCCGGGCAGTCTGGGCCACTGCTTCCCCTGCAGCACTTGCAAAGCAAGTGGCCTGAAGGCCTTTGCCCCTTTTGCAGATATCTGGCAATTACTCTCCTTTTGAAGTGGCTGAGCATTCCAGGGTGTTGGATGCCGTGCAGACTTCTTGTCACAAAGGGTCTTGCTGGAGTCACTATTTATTTTAACCTCTCCTACTTGCGGACTCTGAATTTCAGTCTCCAGCTGTAGGGCATTTCCAGCATGGATTGTCCAGGCAGAATGCAGCCAGAGAGCCGATAACCCTTAATGTAGAACACGCTTCCAGAGTACTAAAGAGGCCGTAAAGTTGCTTAAGGAACCCAGCTCCAGACAAAGACACCATGGCACCCATGTATTTTGGAAGAGCCTAGGAAGAAAGCACAGGGCTCTATGGGACAGCCTCCATCTATATCCAGTCTGATCATTTACATGAGTGGAATTATCGCCATTTTTTGCATGATTGAATTAGTCATTGGAACATTTCTTGAGTGTCTGCCATGTTTTTGACAATGTCCTAGATACTGGAGACTCTTGGGAAGGTAGACATTGGGCAAAGGAGGGAGGATAGAAAGAGACTCACTAACCTCAAGGAGCCCAAGGGCTGAGTGTAGGACTAAGGCCCTGCTCTTTTGTGAAATGAAGTCTCTAGGGCGATGGAGGTGGGTGTAAGTAACTTGCCGGCAGTGAGGGGAGATGCCCAACCAGAGTTGGGCTCTGTGCTAATTTTCTTGGATTCCAACACACTGTGTGCAATTCAGGAGAAAATGGATGTGGAATCAGCAGTCCATGTAGAGAGGCCATAGGTAAGGCTTTTGATCCATTGGTAAAACTGGCTGGGGATATCCCCAAAGACTTGCCCAGTGGAGCCAGTTCAAGGCTTGTGTCCCAGGGAAGCTGTCAGGTCAGTTTCTTCTTGCAGGACCTTCCTAGGCCATTGGAACATCATTGAAAGAAAAGCTTTCAAGAAGTATCTAGACATGGCAGGGAAGTGTTCTGATTGATTATTGCTGTGTGCCGAAGTCCCAAGAGGGAGGAGGGTGAGAGCGTGCCGCATGCCTTCTCTTGGTAAAACTGCAACACTTCAAAGCAGCCCCTGGGTGCCTGCGTCTATTCTGTGGCCTGCTGAAGAGCTCTGGTGAGGTTTGTGCCCTCTTAAAATGACTCTTGCACACGAATCCACCACCACCAAGAAGGCTGTGGTGAAGCTCATGGCACGGAAGAGCTTGATTTTGGGAAAAGAGCTGCCGTTGTCACCACAAATACAGCACGTTGACTCTAAACCCAGGGCTGCTGTTACTTATTTCCTGCTTCATGGTAAGTGGTGCTATGGTTATTCCAGAACTCTGCAGACACTTTGCAGAGCTACTGAGACCACTCAACTCTTTAAAAAGTCCCCCAAGACTCTGATTTATACTTTACTGTTTGTCTGTCTTTTGTCTTATTCATTTTTCATATATAAATGGTGGCTGGAATAAGCCTATTTGATGTATCTAGAGGATCTAAAATAGCTTCCAGTGCTTTTGAAATGTGGTTAGAGAAATCTTACCTTGAGGAGGATTTTTAAACGGATTTATGAAAGGTTTCCGAATAACCTGCTGCAGAGTAATTTGTCACTCTCCGTGACTCCAGACCGATTCTCCCCTTTGTTTTAAAAGGCAATGGCTCTTATTTATTTTTCTAAATGTAAAAGCAAAATAATATGCATTATAAAACATTTGGAAAATATAAAAGAAATATACATAAAAAAACAAAAATCGACCGGGCGTGGTGGCTCACACCTGTAATCCCAGCACTTTGGGAGGCCAAGGCAGGCCGATCATGAGGTCAAGAGATCGAGACCATCCTGGCCAATGTGGTGAAACCCCATCTCTACTAAAAATACAAAAATTAGCTGGGCATGGTGGTGGGCGCCTGTAGTCCTAGCTATTTGGAGGCTGAGACAGGAGAATGGCTTGAACCTGGGAGGTGGAGGTTGCAGTGAGCCAAGATCGCCTCACTGCACTCCAGCCTGGCAACAGAGCAAGACTCGGTCTCAAAAAAAAAAAAAAAAAAAAAAAAATCACCCTTATTTCCTCCACTAGGGCAATAATCACTGTTGGCGTTTGGGTGTTTTTTTGTTTTTTGTTTTTTGTTTTTCCAGTGTTTATCTGTGCATGTATAATTGATATACATTAGGAAACAAAATATACACTGTATTTAATTTTATGTCATATTTTCCATATTGTATTGTAACAATTTTCCCCTCTAAAATCACTGGCCCACAAAATCAGGAGCAAAATAAAATGGCTTTTCTAAGCCATCAGATTTTGGGGTAATTTGTAACACAGTGATACTGACTGGAGCACATTCATATATTAATGCACATTTCTTTGATTAATGGTGAGGAACGTTTTTACGTTTAGTGGACATTTGAGATGCCTTTCTTTGATGGTCTATTTATATCACTTGCCAATCTTTAAATTTAGGGATCAGTGTTTTCCTTAGTGATTAAAGAAATATTTTTGGTTCATTAAAACTAATGAATCTACAATTCTGGTTGCAAATAGTTTTTTGAGTTGTGATTTGCCTTCGTTTTCTTCAAAATGCTATTTTGGAATTAGACAGTTTCTATGTTGTAGAATCTGTTAAGTGTTCTATTTGTCATCTCATTAATCATTTCTAAGTTAGAAAGTTCTCCTTCCAGAGCTCAGTGGTTCACCTGCATTTCTGGTTTTTTACTGTTATCTATTTAACATTTAACACATATCAGTCTGTAGCTATTTTGCGGTTTGATAATAATTTGGATTGACAGCTAAATTTCCCAATATTATTTCCTGAATAAACTATTTCTTCCTAATTATGTTATGCAGCTTATTTTATCATAAACATATATGAATATGTATTTGTATATACTAATAAATAATATATGTATAAATATATTAATAAATGGATTCATGCATTTATGTATATTATATATTTATAACATACACATTTATGTATATTATATATATAAATTTTCACACACACATACATATACATATGTTCTAAGTTCATTTTAGGGCTATCTGCTCTATTTCATTTGCTGTTGGTTCTTGTTCCAGTAAAAGATAGTTTTAAATTCTGATAGGGCAAGATCTGTATAGCTTATTTAAATTTTAAAATAATCTAAGCTATTCTTTTTTATTCTTCTAGAAAATCTTTAAAATTATCTTTTCATCTAAGTTCAGCATATACATTATTGGGAAAGAACTGATACCTTTATAGTACTTTGGTTTTCTGTCTTGAAACGAGATACCTTTCTCTGTTTACTCAGACCTTCTTTTTGTGTCTCCCACAAAGTTTTGTCGTTTTCATATAATTTTCTTATGGCATTATTCCTGTGTATTGTTATTATGAATTGGTTCTTCTATTATCTTTTTAATTAATTAGTTCTTGTATTTTAAAGAAATTATTATTTTTGTATGTTTATTTTATATCTGGCCACTTTAATGACACTTCTGTTATGAATGGATCTCTTGATTTTTCTAGATATATAATAATATTGTTTACTTAGGGAGTAATTTTACATCCTCCTTTCTAGTAGTTTAGTGTTCATTCCTTTTTCTTATGTTATTGCATTGCCTAGATCAGGGCCTAGCGAATTGCCTGGCACATAGTAGATGATCAATAAAACTGTTGTTGAGTAGGTCAATTGGTGGATTCTTACTGAAAGTATTTAATTTGTTATTAGATGGCCTATTTTAATCTTTAGTTAAATATGAGGTTCCAGTAGTCTCACCTAGTGCAACATGGATAAAGTTAAACAGGTTTAAAGATAAAGTACAGCATGTCTCTCCCATTCTTGCCCATGTCCTCTCCCCCACCTCTTCTCCATTGCTCTGGCAAGTGAATTTGTTGTTCCCCAATTATGGATGCCATTTCATTCAGCTGCTGTGTTGCCACTTCAGCTGGGTCCTGCCGCTCCCTTGGGGAACCTTAGCTGTCCCCTGCACCTTCACTGAGCAGCACCACAGCCCTGGCACCACGGCCCATCACAAGCTCTGCTGAGTAAAGCCGCATTTTCTGGGGCAGCTGCTGCCTCCTCCACTGAGTACCACTGGCCTGCCGGCCACTGTGGCCACTCCTTGACACCATGATTATTGATGTGGCCTTCACACCTTCCAGAAAGCAAGGACTTTATCTCCGAACTCTCTTGTGGTTACTAGAGTCTCTGTTGTATTCCATTTTTATAGTAACCTATATGTAGTGGTCAAGAGCAAGGTCTTCAGTATCCCATGCACCAAGGCTTGAGCTCTGTTTGCTAAGTATCAGGTAGAGAATCTTGAACAAATCACAACCTTTCTGGACCCCCATATTCTTCATGTGTAAAATGGAATAAAACTCCAAATATCATCATTATAATTATTTTTAAATGGTGATGAAGAGCTGAGTCCATGTTGTCAGTTATACCCATTATCTCTCACCCCTTCCTACCTTGTACTTCACACTCCAGCTATGCAAATACCTGCTTTTCCGTGCTGTTGCACACACCTGTGCTGTTGCTAATTCTCTCCCTTTTGGCCAGAAGTGCCTCCCATCACCTTTCTCTGGCCACACTCCTACAGATCCTCTAAGACCCAGCTCAGTTGCCACCTCCTCAGGAAGCTCTCCCTTATTGGCCTGCCTTCCTGCAGCACCCACAGCCCCTGAAGGTTGGGATAGGTACCTGATTGGTAAGTGCTCAAAAGGCACAGGGCAGACCTCATGCACTGATCACTTTGTTGTTGGGTTGTCTGTCGTCTCTGTTAGCTGATGAGCATCTCGGAGGCAGGTTCTATGTCTTATTCTCTTATATTCCTGGTACCAGCATCACACAGGGCCCTTAGAAAGCTCAGTTGCCATTTGCTGCACTTCAGTGACTTGTATGGCTTGGATTGAACAGTATTTCTCTCTTAGGGGATGGGGTCCTCTTTGAGTAGGGCACTAATGGGTTGGGATGAGAGAAGGGGAATAATGACCCTATCAGGCCAACCAGCGGAATCAACCCTAATGGATAAAGAGAAGACAGACGTGCTGGCCAGATGGCCTACACCTTTAAACTAGGGCCGCTGGCTTGGGGGCTTCTGAGCAGCTTTACTTTAAAATGGAAAAGGCTCAATGTTTCAGTATGGCCCTTACCTAAGAGCTGGCCCTGTCTCTTTCCTCTTGATGAGGACAGCCAAGTACAACATGCAGGAGGGATGGATGCAGAGACATGTGTCACCCAGCAGCTAAATGCTTTTTGCTCAAAATAAGGCCCAATGGAAGGGATCAAAGGCTGCACGTAGCCAGGCAGTGACAAATTTATGAAGTCCAGTCATCCTCATGAAAACATTGTGTATTTTAATCTGCCCAGTGGAAATAATTCAATCTTGAGTTTCTGTAGAAGGAATTGCGAGTCAGCTACACTTCTCCTTAAAGACGTAAGAGATCTGTTTAAAGTGACTTTTCCATCTTTCAAAGAATCAAGGTTTTCTTAGCAATAGAGGCACCTAAATGCACCTTTGTATTTCCTCGTGCTGAACATCTAGAGTTCCATGAGTACACAAGCTTTGTTATTACACTTAGATTTACAAACAAAATTGTTGGCACGGAAAAGTCCGTGGTAGGTGGAAGAGACCACCCATACGTGTGCAGATGAAAGCCCAGTTGGAAAATCTCCTTATGTCAGCCAAAAGTGTGACTGCGTTTCTAAAAACTTGGCTGTTCTCTTGGTGGTCGAAACAGTGAACCTTTTTGTTCATTGAATGCTGAAAAAACAAGTATGCCAAAGAGTGCCTTTTCCTAAAGGGTTTCAAAACTCTTAGCTATTTTTGACTCCTTTCTCTCAGGGCTTAAGAATATTCAACAAACGTGAATCAGAGATGTTTGATTGTTTCGTGTGTACATCGGAGATTTCAGGCCATGGCCAACAAGTGTTGGCCCATTTGCCTGCCTTGGGGCTTACAGTGAGGGCTCTTTATGCCCAGCTCCTCTGGCTGAAGTCAGAGATTGATGCTGAAAGTGTTCACTCGGTGGGGATGTGGGAGAGATGTTTGGGCATTGGATGACAGGGGAAAAAAACGTGATCTTTCTTCTTGGAAAGTCCACTGTGTAGGTGGCTGACCTAGGCTCCAAGCATAGTCTGTGGTTATGGAAGGGAGAGGCCGAGTCTCAAAACTGGGAGAGAACCAGTGACTGGAATTTCATGAGCTTTCAACTTTTAACCAGCTGGGCCAACAAATTATCCAACTGGTGTGTGTGTGTGTGTGTTTGTGTATACAAATATATATGTAATTGTATATGTGTATGTACATACACATACACATATATACGTAATGTAGTAGACATATATATATATGCAACATTGTGTAATGCTGTATATGTATGTGGGTATGTGATACACTATATAATAAAGTTGATGCAATTTCTCTGCAGTATTTTTATGTTTTTGTCATGACCTCTCATAAACCGAAAAAACTTTTTGAACTAGTTTTTTTAAAATAAAAAAGTAATATATGTACAAAGCAAAAAATTCAAAGAACACAATAAGCTCCTCAATTAAAAAAACTCTCCCTTTTATTCTGGGTCCCCAGGTCCCCTACCATGGCAACCAGTGTTAACAGTTGTTTTTAAAGCAATCCTTCCAGAGATGTTCTAAACTTGCATTTGCACAAACACATATACACCTTCTAACCACATAGTCAAACCAGATGGGAGCATATTATGTAGTTCTCTACATTTTCTTCCTAGTGATTTGTTCTGGAGATCCTGTTCTAACATGTTCATCTACCTTATTCTTTTTAGGGCTGGTGTAGTGTCCCATTTACTTAGATGTAGCCCAATTTAGCACACCATCCTTCACCAAAGGGCATGCAGGTCATTCCTAGCTTCCTGTTACAATAAACAGCACCGTAGTTAATCTTCCATGTGCAAACATAGCTCTAGGAGAACCTCCCAGAAATGAGTTATCAGTGTAAATGGGTATATGCGCTGCAAATTATGATTGTCATTGTTATTATATTTTTATAGATATCCACAGAGGTTGAGCCAATTTATTCACCCACCAGTAAGGCCAAGAGCATCTGTTTTGTTATCTCCTCATTAGCCCCATGTGTTTCAATCTTTGCCAATCTGATGATGAAAAATGCCACAATAAATGTGAAGGTTTATAAAAGCAGAGTTTAATTGCTTTCTTATAGATATTACAACATCACAATGCTTAAACATCCCTTAGCAAGCATTCCATCCAAATCCCTCACTTTACAGATGAGGAAGAAAGCTCAGGGCAGAAACAGCCCTGTAAAATCCATGCAGTATGCCCCCCTGCCTCCCTTCTTAGGTGCAGAGCCGCTGTTTCTTGCTAGCAATGTTGTATCAATTACTTGACTTCATCAATGGGCTAAAGTTGCAGTATAATAGTACTCCATCATCTACCATTTTTGGACATGTAGATCACATATAGGGAGAGTTGGTAGCAGAACATCCTTCTTGATCACTGGAGAAGATTTTTTAAAAGTTTTTCTCCTGGGGGAGGTGATGCAACACTTCATTGTCTGCAAGTGTGTGATTGTAAAGTAGGAATGATTGACAGCAGATCTTTCACAAGGGGAAGAGCTTTTGTTTGTGGGGTGAGAGGGAAGAAGGGCAGGTAGGGGAGGGTAAGAAGGGAAGGAGCCAGAGTCAGACTGGGTTCTAGTTCTGGTCCTCTCCTTTCTAGAGCTGTTACTTTGGGCAGGCTACCTCCAAGCATCAGTTTCCTCGTCTGTAAAATGGGGATAATTATAACATCTATCTCTTATGGTTTCCATCAGGATTAATAATATAATACCTGAAAAGCATTTGGCACGGTACCCAGCAGATTAAGCCCCAGTCTATACAATGTGTTAGCATCAATGTCATCTTTCATAGCTTTCATGAATTCATTTCTTCTAGCCTTCATCCCAGTGGCCTCTGCTCTTCACTTCCTTAACTTGCTTATCCATTTTTTTTCTTCAGATGATCATGTGAAATAAGAACATTATCAGAGACAGTGAATTTCTCATGGAAGAAACAATCAGCACTCCACAGGAAGGCAAATGCAGGGTCTTCCCCAGAAAGCCCAAGCCCTGTCTCAGTTGTGGCCAACTCTCAGAGATGTAGGTGGTGCAGGTGCTATTCGTAACCTCAGCCCATCCAAGAGCATCTGGAGAAGGGCTTCAGGGTTGATCTTGACTTCTGCAGAGTCAACCACCAGAGTCCTTCAGATCCATGCCTGGCACAGCATTCCTCTGACCCTGACTGACATTCCCCACTCATCTCTGATTTCAGAAGCCGGACACCCTTGGAGATAAAGACTCCATGGCAATGCAAAATGATCACCTGAAGGCCAATCAGGGTCAACACAGCTTTTCTAGACTGCAGAAATGCCAAATATCAACTGTTCTCCTCCAGTATTTTAAATTTAAAATAAAAATGTCAGTCAGCCCTTTTCCTCTTTCATCTAGGACTTGTGCAGTCTGTGATCTAACTCCTAAGTTTCTAAGGCTAGTGGTTGGTTGTATTTCTGGGCTTTAGGGTACAAAGACCCTGTGTGTTTGTTTCTTCTTCTTAGCATCCTTTTTACACCAGTAGGAGAACTAGTTTCTAGGGTATCTACTAGTTTCTAGGTCTGTAGAGGACATATTCTGTGTGACCAGGCTGCAGGTTAGTATCTCTATAACTGTGTATTGTTTGGCCTCCTCACAGAAATGTCAGGTCTTTTTGATAGAGCTGAAAAACGCTACATCCGCTCCTTTGCTAGAAAAGATTCAATGTAAAGATTAGTTATAGGAACAATAGCCCCTTTTTAACCTCATTTTTATGTTACACATTCCTCTGATTTTGCTAGCCCTGCCTCTCTCCAAACAATCAGGGCTCTGTCAGAAAGCTTTCAACCATGTTTCGAGCACCTTTGAAAAACAACACACACATGTGCATGCACACACACACACAAAGCACAATGTGTGCACTTCATAGTTAGCTTCATCCATAGGAAATATGTAGAAAAAATGGAATTAACTCTAAAGCATGAAGTTGGTGGGTAAGGGATCAGGGCTCTAGAGCTAGCAATGCCCCTGCCTCACTGCAGTGCCCTGTGACAGGTTGTTAGCCCTCTGGCCCTATTGACTCATCTGCATTACAGGACATTGGATTTGTTGATCTAGGTGGGAATGGAGCCCCTCCCTCTACAGTATATCTGTATCTCAACTTCAGGCTGGGATTTACTGATTCTTTGTGTTTCCCTCTTGTTTTCTTTTTTCTTTTTTCATTTTTAGAGATTTATAGAACAAAATTTAAAAAGAAAGTAACCTTTTATTTCTACTACCTCAAATTAGTAGATTGATATATAGTCCTCCCTTGCTATTAGTAGGGGATTGATTTCAGGACTCCGAGAGATACCAAACTCTGAGGATGCTCAAGTCCCTGATATAAAATGGCATAGTATTTGCATATAACTTACACATATCCTCCCATATACTTTAAATAATCTCTAGATTACTTATAATACCTAATACAATGTAAATGCTGTATAAATAATTGTTACACTGTATTTTTTCTTATCTGTACTGTTATTTTTCTGTGTTCCTTTCCTTCAATATTTTCAATCCATGGTGGGTTGAATCTGCAGATGCGGAAACCATGGATAAGGAGGGGTGACTGTATATACATCCAGAATCTCTTTCTCTTCTCTTGACCTCTTTTTTTTTAAATTGGAAACTTTTATTTTAGCTTCAGGGGTACATTTGTAGTTTGTTATATAGGTAAATTGCATATCACAGGGGCTTGGTGTACAGATTACTTCATCGCCCAGGTAACAAGCATAGTACCCAACAGGTAGTTTTTCAATCATCGCCCTTCTACCCTCTATCCTTAAGTAAGCCCCAGTGTCTGTTGTTCTCTTCTTTGCATCCACGTGTACTCAATGTTTAGCTCTCACTTATAAGTGAGAATATGCGGTGTTTGGTTTTCTGTTCCTGCATTAGTTTGCTTAGGATAATGGCTTCCAGCTCCCCACATGTTGCTGCAAAGGATATGATCTTGTTCTTTTTTATGACTGTGTAGTATTCCATGGTATATATGTACATTTATTTTATCCAGTCTACCACTGAAGGACATTTAGGTTGATTCCAAATCTTTGTTATTGTGAATAGTGCTGCAATGAACATATGTGTGCATGTGTCTTTATGGCAGAATGATTTATATTCCTTTGGGTATATACCAATTGTGGGATTGCTGGGTCAAACAGTAGTTCTGTTTTAATTTCTTTGAGAAACTGCCAAACTCCTTTCCACAATGGACGAACTAATTTACATTCCTACCAGCAGTGTATAAGCATTCCCTTTTCTCTGAGGCCTCGCCAGCATCTGTTATTTTTTGAATTTTTAGTAATAGGCATTCTGACTAGTGTGAGATGGTCTCACTGTAGTTTTGATTTGCATTTCACCAATGATTAGTGATGTTAAGCATTTTTTCATATGCTTGTTGGCCACGTGTATACTTTCTTTTGAAAAGTGTCTGTTCATATCCTTTGCCCACTTTTTAATTGAGTTGTTCATTTTTTTCCTTGTTAGTTTGTTTAAATTCCTTATAGATTCTGGATATTAGACTTTTAGGTCGGATGCATAGTTTGCAAATCTTTTCTCCCATTCTGCAGGTTGTCTGTTTACTCTGCTGATAGTTTCTTTTGCTGTGCAGAAGCTCTTTAGTTAAATTAGTTCCCATTTGTCAATTTTTGTTTTATTAAAATCTTTGTCTACTAATTCCAACATTTGTGTCATCTCGGTATCAGTTTCAATAACTACTTTCATCTTTGGATATGGGTCACATTTGCTTCTTTCTTTTCATATTTTGTTTTTAAATTGTCTCCCCTACATTGTGTAATATATGTTACAGATTCTCTGGATTCTGTTATTTTCCTTTGAAGAGTGTGAATTTTTTTTTCTAGCCAGGAGTTAAATTACTATCTAATCATCTTGAACCTGTGGAGGCTTGAGTTTATACTTTGTTAGGATGGGTTCATTTTGTTTTTTCCCTTTGTCTAAGGGCAAATTCTTAGTTCTAGGATATAGTCTTTATTTATCAGAATGACCCTTCTGAAATTTCAATGAAAAACCTCAGCTATTTATCAAGCACCTATAATCTGGCAGGATTCAGACTCAACACTAGTTTCCCTGCTAAGGCCAGCAGCTGAAATCTCTGCTCAGCCTTTTAATCCTTCTAGCTGTATCTTTCTGCTACAATCTCAGGAGTTCCCCTAACTATGCACAGATCAGAGATCAGCCAGGGACTTAAATAAAAGACATATGCATACTTGGGGGCTCTCAATGTCAACTTTCTGTGATTTCCTCCCTCATTTTTCACATGCTTCGGCTGTCCAAAACTTAATTTTCTAGTATCTCAAACCAACTACTCTGTGGTTTACTGCTTCAGTTTGAGCCACCCAACACTTTGTAGACTAAGGGGTTGCCCTCAAGGAAAAATCGTATAAACATAGATCTCACCCAATGTAACTGTAACTCCCATCTGCCAAGGGTTGAATCTCTTCCAGTACTGCCTGACTTTGATTGCTCTCTAGCATATTTAAATAGTTGTTTTAAAAAATATTTTGTCCAGAGTTAGCCCAATAGTAGCTGCTTCACCCTTATTGGAATTGAAACCCCATAGTAATTTGATTTTTAATAGTATGTATTCCGTACCATTATGTACAATAATAATGAGTTGTTGTTATCCTCATTTTGTTTCCTTAGACCTGGGTCTCCATTTTTATCTCACTTTGTTGATTTAACATCTTATCTTAGTGTTATTGCTTTAAAAAAAATAGAATTTTCATTTATTCAGTAGCACTGTGCACTGTCCAAAAGAGGATATGCCATGTTAAGATGTTGTTGATGGGAGAATAAGTCCTACCTGGCAATGTCATTGATTCATTTTCAGCTTTGTATTCACAATGTCATCTTGCTCAAAATTGTGTTGTCAGCAGTTCATATGTTTACATACAATTTTATGAATTAGGACTCCTTTTGTTGCAAATGACACAAATTCTGTCTCAAATTGGCTTAAGCATGAAAGAAAACTTATTAACATAAGTACAGGGATTTGTCATTTTGCATGCTTCTTGATCCAGGGGCTGAAATGATGTTCCTCGGTCTCAGTCTCCATCTCTCCACCTCTCTCCTACACCCTTTGTGGAGCATGAGCTCCATTCTCAGCCGACTCATCTCATGATGGCAAAATGGCCACTCAAGCTCACTCTGGGCCAGGTTCAAGTCCAATAGGAATAATCTCGTTCAGCAAGAGTCATTGATTCTCATTGGCTCTGACTGCAACATCACCTATCCCTGAACCAATCAGTGTGGAGGGAGAATGTGATCCTCTGATTGGCAGGCCTGAGTCAGTGGCCTCTTCCCAACACAGAGCTGGAGCCAGCTCCACTAAAGTGCAAGGGTTGATGGTAGAGGAAAAAGTAGTTTTCCAAAGAAATACTGTAGCAGGTTCAATAGAAGAAAAATCATAGGACTCTGGAAGGCCATGGAACAACACATTTGCTATAACAGAGTAGTGTATTGGTTGTGGGTTTGGTCCAGGTGTTATTTTAAAGCTGAATGGCTTGAGGAGTTTAAACTTTCTGCTCATCACTTAACCTTTGGGGTATGTTTCAGAGCCTATAGGAACTGCCCTGGAGGAATCCATGTGTATTTCTTAAGCAAATACTCTGAGATACTCTCAAGAAGCAGGGAGGTTCCTGTGGCCCAACTACCATTTATCAAACCACTCCAGGAATATTGGAGATAACATAAGTGTTTGAATTTTATAAAATTAAATAGAAAATTATTTCTTTAGGGTATTATTATCAAACATCCATTTACAAATATTTAATATTCTTAGCAAAAAATCCAATGATAGGGTCTGTAGAGGATACTAAAGGTTTGCTCAGATCTTGCCTTCTTATTTATCCCTGCTTAAAAAAAAAGTGAGACTCTATTCTGGGTACAGTCTGGTTTTGCAAAGCTTTAAATCTTCAGAGGAATATGTAGAAGAAAAGATCTGAGAACCCTATACGGAATTTGTTTTGAGTAAACCAGACAAAACTAGGAAGAACTAGATTGAGCTCTTTTGCTATGTAGCATGAAAAAGAATTATTCTGTGGGACAGACTAAAGCCACTTTGGGTGTATTTTTTCTCTAGGGCACTTAACTTTATTTATGGTCTCTGTTTCTTGTCACTTCTCAGGTTATCTGGGAACTTTCAAGGCATTTGCTGGCTGGTTAGTTTCTATTAATCAATGTAAGCATCGTCGCATCCTAAGCCTGGATTTTGCTGTCCTGGTAGATAAAGAGGTTATCATCATGTTATTCTCACATCTAACCTTTAGAAGTTAAAAAAATTAAAATTCCACTTCTGAGGATTTTCACAGATCTCTTATTCCAGTTTGATGTATGGAGGCGAGTGCTCAACTTGATACTCTTAGGATTAAGAGCAGGTTTGGGGCCCTTAGGGTTTTTATTTCTTAAATGTCTAACCCATTTCTGGGATATTTCCATAATATTCTTAACTAGCACAATATCCTCTACCCCAGAGGCTAAGAAGAAAACCAATGACTATTTCTTGCATTTGCAAGCCTTTGGGGCAAAGAGTCTTGTACTGTGGGTCTCTCAGAGCAGAGGGAGGCACAGATATTTTCAAGTACTGGTTGTATTCCATTTGATTAAAAGGTAAATACCTAGCATTTTTAAGAGATAAGTAAGTTGGAACTTAAAACACTTAAAAACAACCTATTGCAAGCTGCCCAGTATCTGATGACTCACAAGCCTTTCCAGGTGACCAGGGTTTGACTGAATGCCTGACTTGGCTGGGGATCCCAGGTGGCTGCTTGAACCTCTTGAGATGGTCTCTGACTAAGGACTGTGCCATTTGGGGGACATCTTTTCATATGATCCACTTGCTTCCTAGAATACGAGTGACGCCTCTCAGAGAGGGGCGAGGAGGCTGGCACGGAGGGACTTCGAGGAGATTGTAACTGGCAAATCTGCTTTGCCAAGGACCCTTCCAGCCTCCAGCCTGTGCCACCCCACTCTGATCAAACCTCTGAATCACAATTCATGTGATTTTGAAAAAGCACAACCCTGACCTTGTCACTACCCTGATGAAAACGCAAATGTCACCTTGTCACTGCAAGGTTACAACACTTTGGCGACCTCCTGCCACCCCCACTCCTTTCAGGATGAAGCCCAGATTCCTGTGTGTGCCCTGCAAAGCCCTGAAGGTCTGGCCCTGCTGCCCTCCAGCCTCAGCTTTGCTGCGCCCCCGCACTGGGAGCTGCAGACCTGGGAAAATGTTGCTTTCTCCCAGCCCTCTCCACTCTGCTGACTTCTCTGCCTGGCACCTTCACCTCCCTCTCTTTTTCTCAGCCTCTAGCTCAGATATCAACTTCCCCAGGGGGTCTCCCTAACACTCCCCTCCCTGAAATCTGAGCCACAGAGCCTCCACCTGCTCCCTCCTCTGGACTCTGGAACAAATCCATCCTCAGCATTGTGTCCTTGGGGCCCCAGCATGTGCCTGGCACGTTATGGATGTCCAGTAAATATTTGTTGAATTAATTTAAGCATAGTTTACAATTTTTTCCCTAGGTGGGGCTATGGGGCAGAAAAAAAAATGGTGGAGAGCCATTTGTTTTGCTTCCTCTTAATTTTTTTTTGAAAGTTATATCATTTGAGAATGTGTGTGTGTGTGTGTGTGTGTCTGTGTGTGTCTGCGTTTTAGTATCCTTCAGTATCTGCCATTTTGCAAAGGGCCTTTCTTGATCTATGGCTATCAGGACTGAATATCAGATAACCAAGAGCCTGGGGAGTGGTTTACTTGGATTTGGAGAGGTGAAACTGATGAATGGAGCCATTCCTTCATGATCTGAACTATACTTGTTTATAAATAATGAATAGTGATGAAGTATTTCCTCCTAGCTTTGTTTTGTTTTGTTTTGTTTTCCTTAAGACATCTTGCCTTGGGAAAGTGGGAGGAGAACTTGGAAAACTGTCCCTTGAAACATTCATTAACTGAAAAATGGGGAAAATATATGTCTCATGGAAATGCAGCTTAGCTATCATACATATGGAATGCATTTTATTCGAGTCAAAAAGTTTCTGAAGAAAAGAATCCCATAAATATACAAACTGCTTTATTTTGTTATTCAACTCAATTCAAAAAATGCTACAGGGAATTTAATATGAGAAACGTTGGCTTTTGAAGACCACACCTAAAATTTTATTATTGTTGGCATATTTATTGAAACATGTAGCATACATGATTGATTTATTTCCATGCTGTTTTGCTGAGCTCATGTTTATGTCTTGATTTCGGTTCAAGGCTGAGTTGTGTCTTTGGAATCTTATTTGAAAGGTTTTTTACAATGCGAGAATAGGTTCATTTTGATTTTTATTTCTGCAAGTAGCAGAACTGCTCTTGGAACTTCCTTTTTATGGAAAAAGTGTTAAATTAGATAGTGCTGATTAGGAGATTTTCTGGGAGACTTTCTCTCAGAAGTGTCTTCCAGATGCGTTCTCCTCACTGGCTCAGACCTTCATAGCAGGACTACCTGGGTCAGGGTTGAGAATGCACATCACTTTTTGATATGGCGTGCTGCTTATCCCAAACAGACAAATAGATCTTGTAGGATCTCAGTTTGGGTTGAGAATCATAGGCTTGTCTGAAATGTGCATGCAGCTTATGCTTTCTCCTGTTTCTTTGACAACACTGAAGTAAAATACATTTAAAGAGAAGATAAGACCCTGGCCAGTTGAATGGAAAATAATAAAATAAGTATCCTACCACTAAACACAGATTTCTTTTCACCAGCTCTGAGCCACCTCTGACATGATCAAGGGTCTTTGGGGAGATGCCCTGGACTTGCATCAAGTGAAGAAAATATTCCAGCAAAGTTCGATTATGAGAATTTCTCTTATTGAAAGATGCCCTTTGTGGAAATGAGGAGGGAAGAGTGAGGGGGACTTGGAGCTTGGCTGACAGACTGGAGAGGGCTGCCCCTCTCTTAGAAAACAATCCACCTGGGCTCCAGTATCCTGAGACCACTGCAATCCCAGCTCTTCTTGTTATAGATCCTCAAGAGTGGATCCTAAGTGCTGCATCTTCTGTTGAGTAATAAATGAAGTGTCAACTTGCCTTTAGGGGCCAAGTTAGAAAAAAATTCATACTAATTAAGAGAGTTGTTCACCCTGTGAAACCTTCAATAAGGAGGTAGGGAGGGGTGGGAAGGGAGGTATACCAGAGGGAAGACCAGATGGATACTCATCTCCCAGTTCACATTTACTCAGGCACTTGGTAATCAAAAAAGAATTGCCTTTACTATTTAAATTGTTATTCTTCCTTTCCCTTCCCTAACCCACCCAGCTTCACCCACACCCCTTTCATGCTTGCCAATAATTAAATGTGTATGTGATGTTATCCCATTATAAACCAACTAAGAGACTTCATGATGGTAGGGAGCCTGTCAGTTTCAATCATTCCTGTATTGCTGGTGCCTACAGTGTCTGCTGTTTTCTGTAAATGTTTGTTAAATGAAGTGAATTATTTAGGAAGGGAGGACAGGAGAAAAAGAAAACAATAGTAGATGTTCCAAGAGGTATGAAATGGGTGATATCAATTTTGAATCACAGCAGTAACTCCATCAGGTGAAACTGATCAAGGGCAGCTTCCTGAAGAGTTTGGGATTTGAGGTGGTCTCTGACAATGGAGTTCAATTAAATAGGAAGATGGCATCTGAAAGATACAAACACTGAATAAGGGGAGGCAGGAAGTTATAAGCTGTGATCCCAGAATTCTGGGTAGACCAGTTAGCTGAGCAGGTTAGTAGGACAAAAATAGAAAATGTGCATAATTAATCCAGAAGTTGGACTGATCTGAATTAGTAATTAAGTAAAATTTTATATTTCTAGAATTGTAAATTTTATATTTCTGCCTTTTCTCCCATCCATCCTCTCTGACTTCTCAATTTCCCAGTAGGCTTCTCTTTCCGGAACTTCCCTTGGATTGGAAGTCTATTGGTTAAATGTCCCTGAGTAGGACCTGAGGAGGTGCTCAGGTGTTACAATTCCTGAAATTGGGGTTCTCAGTGACTAACATGGACAAGTCCATAATCTCCATGAAATGTGATACAAATGGGTAAAATAAAAGTGCTTCAAAATATATGGTGCAAAATCAAGGTGAATGTGATTTCTATACATTTTTTTCAAATATGTATTTATAGGGAAAAAGGAAGTTTTTTAAGAAGGGAAATATACTGAATGACGGTTGTGGATTTGGGTAGATAGAATAATTCATACACTGAAGATGGCTTAGTTATCTAAAAAGTGTTAACCAGTGGGGAATGCAGACAAGTTCCAAACATTTCTCAGCGCTCTAATGATAGAGCAAATGCAATAATCAGCAGCACATTTCCTGCATTACTATGCAAATCATGCTACCACTAAATTAATAGTTGTCATTTGTTGTGTTTCCTGGTTTCTCTTATCCCTTTCATTTTGGTATCAGAGATTAAGATAAAAGGCATACTTCTATTATCAGTCAACTTTTGACTGCATGTATTTTTCACTCTTTTTGGCCAAGCTCTAGTTCACTGACACAGACTTAATGGAAAGAAATGATAGTACTATTAAAAAATAATTATGGACTTAAAATAGCAGGCACATTTTTAACCACCATGGTTATAACAGAGATGGGTTATGATTAGAACCTTAAGCATAACTGTGAATTATCTTCCTTCTGCTGTTGGGAGCACAGGGGGAGGGGTAAACATTGATTCTGAATGACATTTTTCCTTTTAGAAATTATTTGGATAGAGACATCATCTAGGGATAATTTTGCTGCAGCATGCTCCAATAAGCCAGTTTAATGGTGTATCAGTGATTCCCAAGGTGGGTGGGGAGGGTGAGCTGTGTATCAGCACCAGCAGGTGCATCTTCAATGTATGCCCTTCCTCTGGAGATTCTGACATGTAACTTAAGGGAGACCATTCTCCTTACTCCGTGCCACTATGAACAACTTCCATTTATGAGTTACAGAATGTTCTTTAGCTATATGCGGATAAAGAAGGGTTGAGAACCACTGGTCTGAATGCATTTTATCACTACGAGAATTAGGCCACTGTTGCTTAACTCTCATATATTATAGGATAAGGTTAGCTACCAATTCCTGAGTTACATGCTAGGTCTTTGCTACGTGCTTACATACATATGTCCAATCTAAATATTATTCTCACTTAGAGGTGAAGAAGTGAAGGCTTGGTATATGGATAGTCCAATAAAATGGATTGTCCAAGACTACCTGCTAGGTGGCATTGCAGGGATTTACATCCTAGCTTTTCTGGCTAAATTAACAAAGCCCCTATTGATTCAAATAACTGGGGCATGACCCTGTAAAGAACGTCTGTTTTTACCTGTCACCATCTCTTTCTGTCTTAGGGTAGCAGCACCCTGACTTTCTTTTAGGGATCATTCCTTGCTCACTCTTAGTTCACGTGGCTCTAGTACAGTCAATTCCCCCACTGACTCCTGGGATGGGCACTTTCCCTGGCATAGCCAGTCAATCAGCACATCCTGTAACTCCAGCCCCAGTGATTGGTCCAGGGATGGGCACATGACCCAAGCAGGGAAACCAGAACCGATTCTAGGATTTAGGCTGAAATTTGAGAAAGAATCCACCAGGATTGCTAAGACAGAGCATAAGCCTGGAGCTGCTTGAAGGTTCTGCCTGAATGTAGCCAACACTTTTTTATGAATCGGGCTTCTCCAGAAAAACCAAACCAATAGGCTGCATATATATATATATATATATATATATATATATATATATATATATATATATATATGTACACACACACACACACACACATACATACACAAGAGTCATGTGCTGCATAACAACATTTCTGTCAGTAATAGCCCATAAGATTATAATCCATAGTTTTACCATATCTTTATATGTTTAGATACACAAATGCTTACCATTGTGTTACAGCTGCCT
Source organism: Homo sapiens (assembly GCF_000001405.40). Lineage (NCBI taxonomy): Eukaryota > Metazoa > Chordata > Mammalia > Primates > Hominidae > Homo > Homo sapiens. Next base: position 121,108,294 of record NC_000010.11, on the reverse strand, counting down.
ACAGTGTTCAGTACACTAACATGCTACAGCATGTTACAGCTGCCTACGGTGTTCGGTACACTAACAGGTTTGCAGGCTAGGAGCAAAAGGCTTTACTATACAGCCTATGCATATAGTGGGCTATACCATCTAGGTTTGCATAAGTATGCTCTATGATGTTCACACAACACTGAAGGCTGAGAAGTGCCGAGATCTACAGTTGGTAAGCTGAAGACCCAGGAGAGCCAATGGTATAAGTTGCAGATTGAAAGGCAGGCAGTCTCAAGACCCAAGAAGAAAGGATGTTTTGGTTCCAGTCTGAAGATTGGAAAAGACATGTCTTCGATCAAGTCAGTCAGACAGAAGGAGTTTCCTCTTACTGAAGGGTCATCTTTTTGTTCTGTTCAGGTCTTCAAGGAATTAGATAAGGCCCATTTTCATGAGAAAGGGAAATTTGCTCTACTCAGTCTACCAATGCAAATGTTAATCTCATCCAAAAACACCTTCACAGACACACCCAGAATAATGTTTGACCAAGTATCTGGGCACCCCAAGACCTAGTCAAGTTGATGCATAAAATGAACCATTACAGCCTCGAAGAGCAGAGACGACTGATATAAGACTGTTGATTCACGTCCTTGGTGACCATGTCTCATTCTCTACCTCTTGTATTTTCAGTTACATGAGCCAATAAGCCCCCAGCTTTCTGCCCCCTTTTTCAGGGAAGCAGGGAAGTGTTCTTACTAATGCGAACCCCTTGCCACCCAGAATCTTCAATCTTCACACAGCCTTAATGAAACTGCTGTAAGTGGGAGAGCTGAGCACATGCCTACTGCACTCAAATGTATTGACAACATGTGACGGTGCAATTGCTGATGACTATGTGGCATGTTCCTGCTGAGGCTGGGATTGATGGCATGGCCCCCAAGGCAAACACCTTGTTTATGGGCTTCTCACACAACAGCACTAATGTGTATTGTGAAAGTGAAATGTTTTTGATAGATTTGCAATCTTTCAGTAATTTTAAATTTCTACATAGGTCTTATTTTTTAAATTTTTGTTTATTTTGATTTTTAGAAATTTCAAATAAAAGTACTTGATGAAGCAAAGTAGCCCTGTGATCTTGTGCACACCATTTAAAAGTTAGCTTGGTTTTTCTGCTGAGCTGTTTGGAATAAATTCTCAACAGCAAAAGTTAGGTCTTGAATGCTTCCTTATTTCTGGGGTCTTTTTTCTGGCTATTTCTACGTTCGTGAATCTATCTACGATCCTTGCACATGTAGTCTTTTGTGATATAGAGATGGGACTAAAAAAACATAAATTCTAATTACTTCCCAAAGTGCTTTGTGCTCTTTTAGATATGTCCATGAGTGCTGGTTCTGGATTCATGCAAAAATGCTTATTGCTTAAAAAAAAAAATAGGGAGCGGGGATATTCCCCAGGCAATTACTGCAGAAGCTGATCTCACAGTACAATAATACACGTGGTTTCTGGCCAAAGGCCTCTCTTTGTGCTACACAAAGCTGAGACTGCATTACTGCTTGTTCAGTAAGAACCGTGCTTGCTTAAACCAGTGTGTCCCTGTCACACCTGCCCTGCTGTTTATGCCTCTTTAGAACATAGAAACAATTTATCATTCATAAAACGGGACAGTTGATATTTTCTTGGTCTACTTCTTAGGGCAATTTTGAGAATAAACTAAAGTAAGGGTTATGAAAAAGTACACTAAAATACTCCCGGCCTGGTGCGGTGGTTCACGCCTGTAATCCTGGCACTTTGGGAGCCTGAGGCAGGCGGATCACGAGGTCAGGAGATCGAGACCATCCTGGCTAACACGGTGAAACCCCATCTCTACTAAAAATACAAAAAATTAGCCCGGCGTGGTGGCACATACCTGTAATCTCAGCTACTCGGGAAGTTGAAGCAGGAGAATTGCTTAAACCCAGGAGGTGGAGGTTGCAGTGAGCCAAGATTGTGCCACTGCACTCCAGCCTAGGCGACAAGAGCAAGACTCTGTCCAAAAAAAAAAAAAAAAAAAAAAAAACTCCCAAAAGTAGTTGCTACATATTATTCTTTGTAACATGGGATTGGGGGAGTTCTAATGGGGCTGAGTGATGAGTAGCTTTTTAAACTAAAACCATTTTAGGAAGTTGATAATCTGAAGTCTTCTAAAGGTGCTAGTGGAGGTCAGGGGTTGCCAGTCTTCCCCTGTCCCAGCATAGATCTCAATCACAATCCATGGGGAACACAGATTCCAAAAAACTCTGCACCGCAAATTTTCTGGGAAGTAGAGCCCTCCATGAATGTGTTGCCAAAGCTAGGATAGTACATGAACAATGGAGGCTCCCTCTGACCTGGGGTGTCTAGGACCGAAAAGGATGGAGAGGGTGATGGACCGCCCATCTCTACCTCCTTCTCCCTCAGAATAGCAGATGGGAAGACAAATGAGTGAAAACAGGTCATTAGCGGCCAGCCTGAAATCTGCTATAATTTTCTTTTGTCTTTTAAACTTTAATATCCTAGCTACTTAAAGTCTCACTAGCAAAAATTACTTGAACTGCAACTCACAAATGAAGCTGACCCACCAGTGGGTCATGATGCTATGGATGAGAATTGTTGGTATAGGGTGATAAGTAGAGCTATTTGGAAAGAAAGATTTTAGACATGGTCCACTAAGTCTAAAAAACACCTGGGAAACTACTCCTTTAAAAGAGCAAAGTATCCCTGGAATTTCAGAGTGAACTTCCATTTCTTTCCAGAAGACAGGCATAATATTAGTATTGGAGATAATATATGGGATCACATAGCTGCAGTTTCTCAATATATGTGAAAGCTTGTCCTACTTTCTGGTGCTATGCGCCTTCCCAGGGTGTTGTGCGGCAGGTGCAGATGAATTGGACATAATATGTGCTCTCCTGGAGCTCCCCACTCACAAGGAAGGCACACACATGCCTAAGCAATTCCACTGTGGCTGAATGTGGATAAAACCTATATGGAAGAGGCAGAGGGAGTTCTATGGGGGTGGAATTAGCAGGGTAGGGTAGTATGTGTTTGTACTGAGCCAGTGGATAATGTGCTTTGGAGCCCCCCTAAAAATAGGGCCTGCAATTTTACCTTAACACATTTTTACTGTGCAGAAAAAATCTTTTTTTCTTAAGTTTTTGTTTGTTTTATTTTGTTTTGTTTTGTTTTGTTTGTAAATCAGGTTAGTCTGATGGGAACACAAAACCATTGCTTGGTGCCTTCCAAGGGAGCACAAAGAAAATTACAAAGGTGTAAAATGCAGTGATTACAAAGGAGTTGAGACATGAGCTTCTATCAAATGCATGTGTTCCCTGGCTAGGTATAATCTGTTTCAGCCTTTATTATACAAATAAACACTACCAGGTGGTGGCCAGGTAGACAGAAGGGGCTTGCTAGTAGAAGCAGTGGGAGGGCTGCTAAGAGCACTCAGCTCTTTTCTTCCTTTGACAATTTTTGCCCTAAAGAAAATAACTAAATGCTTTCCTTCCTTATGACTGTAACAATGAAGTGAGTGACTAAAGGCCCCACCTCCTGGGTGTTGCCTGCCCACTGGAGGGTGGCATCATCTCACCTCTATTGTCTGGCTGGGCTTGGCCTGTGACCTGGGAGCCCAAGAGCTGGCCTGGAGCTCCAGCTAGTTGAGCAGCTGCTTCATGTGCGGGCTGAGTTCAGACTGAATCCAGCCTTTTGTCTTTCCCTGAAACTGCACAGTGTAGCCTCCTAGGCTGGAGAAGACCTTACTCCATCCAAGGCTTGCCCAGAGGAAAAAGCTGGAACAATGGCTTGCTTGGAACAATGATCTGTGGAGTGGTTGCCAGTGCCTGGTCTGGAGGTAATGAAAGTCATGACAGTGCGAGCCCTTCACTCAGGAGCTGCATGATTAATGCACCAATGCGAACACAATTGGACAGTCTCGGTTCTGAAACTGGGTCAGGGCAGGGCAGTCCCAAAGGTAGACAGGCATTGTTACAATATAGAGGCAAATAAAATCTCAGGCTTTTTAACAGTTCTGTGCCCTTCTTGGTGAAACACTACAGGAAAGGGGCTGGCGTTTGAGCTCTGAGTTTGATGGCAATATGCTAGTTGCTTTCTATAAGTTATCTGATCTGGACCCATAACAGTGTACAAAGTGGGAATATTATTTTAATTTTGCAGATGAAATGGACACTCAGAAATTAGGAAAGTTGCTTGAGACATTTGCATGAATAAGCCCAGTAGAAGAACCAGGCCCCAAATCCAGTCATGGCAGACTAACACCATTCTCTATGCTTCCTTCTACCATGACCCTCTGTGAGGGCAGAGACCAGGTCTGTTTCTGTTTTTTCTTCCATGCTTAGCCCAATATCAATTCTCCATATTTGTGGATGACCAAAGAGCTATGCTTGTGGGCATGATCTTGTGCCAAGCATAGTACAAACAGAGTATAAAATCCTATGGAGTGGAGATGCTAGAATCCAGTAGATGGGCTGTCCACAAACATGCATTGATTTTCTGCTGTCGGCAGGTACTATGCTGGGAGCCACAGTGCAAGATAGTCAGGGTCCCTCACTGCACAACCCAGGAGGCACTGCTCACAATGGAAGTGTGCAGAAAGGAGCTGGGAGAAGAGGAGTCCTCAGGTGTGGGTCTCTGAACTCCCTACTCTGTGACAGTCAGAGCATTGCTGCATTAAGCAATTTTCTCTGTTTCAGCTCCCAGTAAGATATCTTTTGAAGAGTAGATGCTGTGATTTCAAATATAATCAGCTTTCTTTTTTGTTTTGTTTTTTTGGTTTTTTTTGAGATGGAGTCTCGCTCTGTTGCCAGGCTGGAGTGCAGTGGCACGATCTTGACTCACCGCAACCTCCAACTCCCTGGTTCAAGCAATTCTCCTGCCACAGCCTCCCGAGTAGCTGGGATTACAGGAATGCACCACCATGCCTGGCTAATTTTTGTATTTTTAGTAGAGGCAGGGTTTCACCATGTGTGCCAGGATGGTCTCTATCTCCTGACCTTGTGATCCGCCCACCTCGGCCTCCCAAAGTGCTGGGATTACAGGTGTGAGCCACCACGCCTGGCCAGTCTTCTTGTTTTTTAATGCTGCTGGTTTTTTTTTTTTTTCTTTGGATGCAATTTAGATTTCTTGTTTCTTAGAAGCTGCGGTCCAGCTGATTTGCAGTGACCCATTCAAGATCACCCAGTGGTTTCTGGCAGATCTAGATCTACCCCTAGATGGTGGGGCAAAAGTCCAGGGTCTCCTGCATTCCGTCTTTTCCTTCCAAACACTGAATTGCAAGGTCTTCTCTTGGCAGGGCATGGTTACTGAAAGACCCTTTTGAGGCATCACGATGTTTGGTCTGTCTCATGAGAAAACCCAAGCTCGCTTGACAACAGTGGCAGTTTGCCAGTCCATTGAGGACTTACTATATGCCAGGACTGTTTAAGGTGCCTTCCAAGACTTATCTCATTCAGTTCCGGCAGAAACCCTATAGGAAAAGCAATATTCTTATCACCATTTTGCAAAAGAGGAAAATGAATGCTCAGTGACTTGCCCACAGTTGACCCAACTGAGACCCTGGGCAGTGAGACACTGGATCTCCCCAAGAGCTGTTTCTCCCTAAACATTGCACTAAATGCAACAATCATGCTGCCATCTTTTCTGTATACTATGTGTTTCTTCTGGGTACAGTATATATTTTTTAATCTAATGAGGCATGCTTGAAAAAGGATAGGCCTAGAGATCCTGTTTATTATTTAGGCAACAGTTTCAGTGATGACTTTCATATGAACCTTATCAGTGTCAAACCAGAGTTTACTAACACTTTGCTAACTTATAAACAGGCTCCCACACACTACTTTCATGCTTATACAAAGCAATACATGTAAACATTTCAAAACTTTTCTGGTGGGCAATTAATTTCGTTCCTTTGGGAAAATATTCGATTGATGATAATGATGCAATGCATATTTTGGAGATAAATAATATCAAAATGATAAATAATATTAAATTGCTGTATTTTAGGAATTTGTGGGTGCTTAGAAATTGACATTAAATTTTTGTTGACTTAGAGATCCATTTCTCAGCATGCTCCAAGGAGGGTTCTCAAGAATTTGAGATGGAAGAAGGGGGACCAGGCATGAGGCTTTTGGATTACTTTGAAATTCTGTGTCTTCAGGAGAACTAAAGACTTTTTTTCCAAATGTTCTTTGTTTGTTTCTAGAGTACTGTGCCACACTTTCAAGAACCCACTCTGCAGTTACTTCCAGATTTCTTTTTGGGGTTTCTATTTTCTTTTTCTTTTTTCCTCTCTATCTCTTTTACGAGCAGAAAAGATAGACTGGTAGAGGGATATGGGGAGTACATTTATCATGGCTTTACGACCCCAGTGCTTCCAAAAAAATAAGCATTCCCCTCTGAGCATCTTCCCTGGGTCTGCTGTCTGTCTGTGAAATCTTCAAAGATGCCTCTTCCAGGCATTATGACATTTTTTTTTCAGCTACATTAAGATAACGCCATTCCTCAGTTGAATACCAGACAACATTTTTGGCTAAGTTCTTCAAGGAATACACTAACAAAATTCACATCTGTGACCACTGACTTCAATGGAGCACACTGATTATCAATATCTCCCTGGATTCATGAGAGGGACTCTGGGAAAGCCATTAAGACATTTACTAATTCTTCTTTTTTCCCCCTTCCTGGTACATAGTAGAGTGGCACTTCTCTCCCGCCTTTGAAGTTAAGCGTGATCATGTGACTTGATTTGGCCCTTGAAATGTGAATGGCAGAGCCAAGAGCTAGAGCATAATTTACCACATTCTCTTTCCCTGTGCCATGGCAACCAGCAATATTTTAGAAGGTGAAGACTCCATTGGCTGGTGACGCCCTGATGATCCATGATGGATATTGATATTCACCATGGTATAAGTACTGGATGAGTGGGAGTCTAGGTCTGGATGTCTTTCCATGGGGAATTTCCCGACTTGAAGAGAGTTGGCATCTGAGGTTCCTTTCTAGTCTAAATTACCAATTACTATAAAATGTTAGTTGGAAGTTGACATTGGGGTCTTGCTGCATGGTGCCTCCTTAGTATGTTTTCTGTCTTATATTCAAAGATCTAGGTACAGATTTTGTCACTGCCTCTTATTAGCTAAGCAACCTTTATTAGCCAAACATGTAAACCCACGATTCTTGAACCCCAGTTCTGAAAATCTAAAAGGGAGGTGGCAATAAGCACAACCTATTTCATGGCAGTTTTGTGAAATCTTCAAGTCAAAGCAAGATGGTGCTTGTGGAAGTGCAGTCTAGCCCACTAGATGTGGAAAGCAGTCATTACTGTGGCATCATGCCTAGCTACAAGGGTACACATATGCCTACCAAGTCTTGGTTGCTGGGATGAACGTTAGTGTAGATGGTGCCCACGTTCTGTTTGGGTCAGAGTTTATAGTGCCTGACTGGATGGAAGAAACTTTTTCTGAACTTCGGGATTGGAGGATCCATGTCTATTCTGAATGGTGCTACTTGTAGTTGAGCTCTCTTTTCCAAACACAAGTTATGCATCTTGGCTCACCCATTTGTAAAGCACCCCAAATCTCTCCCTTCTCTGGCTGAAGCTTTATAAAGTGACGCCTTAAAATACACTGTAAGGGCAGAAGGGTTATACAAAGACTCCTGACAGTGGCACTGATCCTTTCTCCATCTGAGAGTGCTCAAGATCCCCTTCAGTCATTTGGTCCCATTATTTCCTGTCTGCGTGGTTTCCAATCCCAGGAATCAATCATTTCGGTGATTTCCAATCAGTGAGAGGCAAGGCAGAATTTACCAACTTCTGAGCTGTCTTTCTAGCAGAAAGATTCCATTTCTTGGACGAACCTCCACCAATTTCTATAAATTGATCTTTTGCTATGGAGAAATAAAAAAGCTATATGCATATATAGCTATATGCATACTGTAATAAATAGATATATATGCTTGCAATATATATATATTATAAATATATATATATATATATTGCTAAGTGGTACGATTCTATTTTCATAAACTTGGAATTGCACAGAGATCCCGAACAACTCAATTCTTCAAATCTTTCTTTCTTCTCTCCTTCTCTCCCTCCCACCCACACTTCCTTTCCTGAGACATTTTGATCAGTTATCTGCTGATCCTGGCTTTCTTTGGAGAAATAATCCACTGGACATCTTCCAAAGCAGCTCCTGAGAAGGGAATGGTGGTAACTCCCGTAGATATAATGGTCTTCTCTTCAAGACTCTTCCTTCCAACAAGCCCCCTTAGGACAGGTTGCCTTGCCATTCCGGAGTATGGTTAGAGCCTGGGCAGGGATGTCAGGCAGTAACTGAGTCATTCATAAGTCTGGCCACAGCACAAAAAGAGAAATCCTTTCTCTGCTCTGGACCCCCACCCCAGCCAAACAGTTACAGCTTATCTTTAAGAAGATTAGAGAACCTCTGGCTCAAGGCTGGCTTTCTTTCTATGCCAAAAGGCCTGGCAGATCAAAGTCAACATTACTTCACATAGCTGGTGGCTTATCTCCTGCCTGTCCTAAGACCACTGACCTCTCAATTAAGGCTTTAACAACAATTTCTCTTTGGAGAGGAAACCCTCATAGGCTGGAGGACAGTTTACACTACCAGACCTCTGGCTCTGACCCCACTGGCTGTGCAGTCTGTCATGACTGCTCACAATGCAATTAGGAGGTGGTTTTCAGTTCCCTTATAAAGAAAAAAATGTTATTTTTACTGAAAATATCTCCAAGTGTCCTAAAGCATTCTATTTTTCATATCTAATGAGGTGACAGTGGAATTTGTGAGATGACTATAACTTTATCAAGCTTTAATGCTAACACTCCTCTCAAATCCAGAGCTCTGTGGCGCGTTGAAGGAGACATTGATCATCCGAAGCACTGTATGATTAATTGATGCGTCTTTGCATATTCTTTTGCTTTCTCCAAGAAGTCTGCTCCTCACCTCCTGTATTGTTTCAGCCTCACTGGAGTTTCATTCCAAACATGGCTTGCTAGTTTGTGAGTTTTTAGCTGATTAAATTTAAATTGAACGCTAAAGAAAATTATTTTGTGCTCTGGCACTGAAAAACTCCCTGAAAGATGGGGACTTTTCAGACAGATATTCTAAGCCTCAGTGAATTATGAATATACAATTTTTTTTAAACTAGCAGATAAATTCCTTGTATTGAACGTCTGTACCAGTTACCCTGGAAGATACCATAGAAGAATATAGCATGTCTCTCCTCTTGAGAAGCTTACACTGTAATTAGGGAGATAGCAACACAAGGAGGGTGGTTGATTAAGTGTGAGACTATTGCAATAGATTAGAGCTCAGGGTCTGAGTCAGACAGATCTGGGTTTGAGTCTCAGCATTGCTCGTTATAATCTGTGCAGCCTTGGGAAAATTATTAAATGTTGTGAGCCTCAATTTCTTTGTCTATAAAACTTGGAAAAGCATCTGCAAACTATCTCACAGAGTTGTTGTAAGGATAAAATGACATAAAGCATGAAAGTATGTAGCCTAGTACATGGCATATGGTAAATAATAAGTGGTAACTGCTATTGTTTTACTATTATTTCCAGTAAATACTGGTAAATTCTGTAAAGTTGCTTATAAAAAATTTTACCGAGAGACTGGCAGATAGGAAGCCCTTTCCAGGGCACAGGCAGACAGGAACACCAGCTGAACATTGAGAGGACAACTGGTAAGCCCTCAGGAACCACTCGTTGGCAATTGATTTTATACACATTTTCCTAGTCATTCATATCTTATCTGCCTGCACTACTTGCTCAGAATTACTGAGGGAGCCACAAAGTTAGTTTGCTGTATTTGTTACAGATGAGGGTCAGTTGTCATTTCCATCATAAAATCCATGCTTCATGGATCTAAAGCTTGGAATTTAAAATGACACGGGGCTTAAACTCTACTTAACGCTTTTGATTTAAAACCTACTCAGAGAACAAGAGTTCTTAAGTCCACATGGCAGATAATACCACTGCTGCCTCTTTGGTATAAGTTACCTTTGAAAATGAATTCTATATCTGGCCTTGCACAGCCTTTTCAATGATAAATAGCTTTAAACAAAGAGTCATAAAAAATCAACACTTTCATAAAGCAAATAATCAACCACATTGGCTTTCTCTACGGGAGAATTAATGGTGTCTTGGGAAGGTTCCATTTTCATGCATTTTGATGATGACTTTTTAAAATGGCTACTTTAGAAAAGAATGCTTTAAGCAGAGGAAGGAGAAATATTTTTTACTATTTCCTTAGCCTCTAGAGGTATATATTTAATACATTTATATTTTTATATGAAATTTTATTTAAAGGTAAAAATGCATTACATGTTATATCAGTAAACATTTTTTCTTTTGGCTTATGAATCAAAGACATACTACAACTAAATGTACATCTGTTAGCAGACTGATCCTAAAGCATTTGACTTATAAATAATGAGATCAGTATTCCACAGGAAGTATCTGATAGCCCACATCAGCAAGGAATTTTAATTTTTTTGTTAAAAAAAAATTGCTCTGATTTCAACTTTGGAGATAAGAAAATGCTCAGAGAATTTCCCAAAGAAAGCTTGAGAAAGTTTGAAACACTTCCAGGAAATGCTCATGATCTAGTTGAAAATGTTAAGGCTCTATAGTGTCTAGTATCACCCTGTGACCCCTTATTTGTGGCATCCAGGTAAAGGGAACAGGATGGGGAAAGCTAACAGGGCTGCATCTTCATTTTCTTGTAAACACGGGTGTCTCCCATAGGCTTTTAGTTTCTACTTTCCAGGGCCCAGTGAACATATCTTCTTACCTCGGGCTGCCTTCAGAATTAGACCAAGATTCTAAGAAAAGCTATCAAAAGGCTTAGGCAAGGCTGATAAGAGAGCTTAGTTTCATAATTCAGCTAGTGAATTGGCTTTGACTGACTCATGCTGGTAGCAAGGGGCTGAAACTGCTCATGGAGTCTTGTGGATTTCTACGGAGATATGAAAGCTAAGGCATTCCAGTTTATTTCTGGGGGTAGATTGAAAAATAATGACGATGATATTGAGCAACTCCCTGTAGACTCGAGAGGTGGAGTCTACTGCCCACCCCTTGAACCTGGTCTGGCTTTGTGGCTTGTTTTGACCAGCAGAATGCAGCATAAGTTGTGTAAGTTCTGGAGCCTAGGCCTCAAGGGGCATGTAGGTTCTGCCTTTGTCCTCGTGGAATGTTTCAGCTACCATGTAAGGAAACCTAGGCAAGCTTACTGAATCATGAGAGACCACATGGAGAGATAAACCAAGCCGGCAGCCAGCATGAAGGCCCCAGGCATGTGTGTGATGTCACCTTCGACCCGCCAGCCCCAGCTGAGCTACCAGCTGACTGCAGCTGCCTGCAATAGTGAGCCTGACAAGACCAGCAGAATTTCCCAGTCAACCCACAGAGTCATGAGAAATAATAAACTATGGTTTTAAATCAGGGGTCTATGGGCCAAATCTGATCTGGCACATGTTTTGTAAATAAAGTTTTATTGGAACACCACCACCACACTTATCCACTGACATACTGTCTATGGCTACTCTTGTGGAGCTGCAACAGAGTTGAGAGTTGCCAAAGAGACCACATGGCCCACCAAGTCTAAAACATCACTCTTGCCCTTTACAAAAGTTTGTCTGCCCGTATTTTAAGCCACTAGGTTTTGGGGATGTTTTTGATATACAACAGTAAATAATATATAGAAGTTGGGTTATTAGTGATGGTCCTCCAGAGAAACAGAACCAATAGGATATATATTTATTTATGAAAAGATTTATTATATAGAATTCACTTACGTGATTATGGGGGCTCAGAATTCACAAGATCTGCAGTTGGCAGGCTGAAGACCCAGAAAAGCTGAGGGTGTAGTTTCAGTCTGAGTCCAAAAAGCCTGAGAATCATGAGAGTCGATGGTAGAGATTCTAAGCCAAAAGCAGGCAGGTTTGAGATCCAGGAAGAGCCAGTGATTCAGTTTGAGTCCAGAGGCAGGTAAAGTCCAATGTTTCAGCTGAAGGCAGTCAAGCAGAAGGAGTCAGGCAGGTGGAGTCAGCCCTTTTGCTCCATTCAGGCCTTAAAACTGGAGGAGACCTCAGTTTGAAGGAGGCCCACCCACACTGAGAGAGCCATCTGCTTCACTCAGTCTACTATTTCAAATATCAATGTCATCCAGAAATGCCCTCACAGACAAAGCCAGAATAATGTTTGCTCAAATATCTGGGCACCTCATAGCCCAGTCAGATTGACACATAAAATTAACCATTACATTTTGTATCTAAAAGTGAGGTGTTGCTTCACAGTCCCTTTCAGTATCTTCAGTGCTACTGCTACCTGACTCTGTCACATCCCTTCCTTGCCTGTGTGGTCCTGGCACCTTCACTTCTTGCTCAGAATGTCATCAGAGCCTCCCAATGCTTCCCCTACTTCTGCGTCTGCTCTTTCTAATAGCAACATAGCATGGGGAGGGAGCCTGTGAAATGTGAGTCAGCTCATACCACTTCTCTTGAATACCATGCTTCACATGGAAGGAGGCATCACTTCATAGCTCTATTGACCCCAGTGGTGGACATCTTAGAATAATGTAGTAGCTCTTAGTATTTCCCAGTGAATATTTGTTAATGGAATGAATAAATGAAAAAAATCGGAAACAAAGGGGCAAGACTGGTGACACCAGTCAAATAAAGCATGATGAGGAGTTCCATGTTACACGTACTTAGCACGATAATGTTGGATGTTGTAAGGACGATTGGCAGTGTAATGATAAATGAATTGTAAATATGAACATTTAAAACAACCGAAGCGGTAAGTACATAAATCATTAAAGCAAAGATAATTAAAATTGTAAAAAAAAAAAAAAGAGATAAAAGTGAGGCATTACAGGAACAAAAACACAAAATTGGTGGCATTGGCTCTGGACTAGAATGTGCACAGAAGGTGGGATGGACGCCATGGGTGGGGGCTGGAAAAAGGTGAGGAAACTGCTATTGAAGGTGGAGAAAAGTCAGCTAGGTTATGAAGTGGTGGATGATAGTCCAAACTATCATTCATGGTAACTTGGAACACAGAAAATTACCTACTGAATTCATAGATATGGCTAAGGAAGTCTCTAGACAGAATATTGTAAGTGCCACTTAGCTTCTTCTAACTGTGTATGATATGTACTGGGAGAGATGAGCTTTAGGCAGAGCTATTTAGTTTACAAGCAGAATTTAGAAAAAAATATAAAAGATCCAGGACATGGTTGATTAGAAAATAAGATGCTCTCATTTCCAACACACACACACTTCCCACCCCTGCCAGTAGAAAATTTTCAAGTGAAACAAAGTCTGAGGTTAAAAGTCCATCAAGTTTGTGGCTGCAAGATCCTTTATTAAGACCTCAGAAAACCTTAAGCTGGTGCCCAACATGCCTCTGAGCCAGACAAACAGGCTTTAAGAATCTTAAAGGAGTATCCCACAGCAGATTCACACTCAGCTCAAAATAGAGAGAGATCTGCCTCAAAATAGAATAAGGGATAGAATTTTGCAGGCATAGACTCAACCCCAATCAGAGTCAAGGGAAACATACAAAGTGTTAAAGATATTGCATTGTTAGGACTTGGAACCAATCCAAATGCCCATCAGTGATAGACTGGATAAAGAAAATGTGGCACATATATACCATGGACTGCTATGCAGCCGTAAAACCTAGATGACAGGTTGATAGGTGTAGCAAACCACCATGGCACATGTATACCTGTGTAACAAGCCTGCACATTCTGCACATGTATCCCAGAACTTAAAGTAAAATTTAAAAAATATATATTCAGGATCAAAAAAAAACAAAACAAAACAAAACCGCTATTGCATTGTTGAAATTACCCCCAACTTGGACAAAGACAGTTCAAAATGAAAAGAGTTTCTGGACCCTCAACTTTCTATAGGCAGAAGCAGGCAGAGAAAACAACTCAATTGCAAACACGTGCCATCTCTTATAGGAAAGGAAGGACAACTCAGGGGGCAGAGCCAAGATCCCTGAGAGTGGAGCCAAGAGCCAAGAACAATGGCTTATGGAACCACTCCAAAGGAGTAGAAGTGGATCCTAATCAAGGAGCATTCCATACTCCTAGAGTTGGGAAAGTGGCAATTGATGCCTGGCTGGATTTCAAAGTGCTATGGACCCGTAACCGCCATGTGCCTCCCCTTCCTCCTCTTTTTGAATGGAATTGTTTATGGTGATTATCCTGTCCCTGTTTCACCAGGTATGTTGCAAAGTAGGGGGCAGGTACCACGTCTCTTTAGTTTATAGGCCTCTGCTTCAAGGGGAGATGTGGCCATAGTGCTGCACCTGTAGAAAAGCAGCCAAGGCACCTCATCTGTATCTGCATTTAGAGGATTGAGATCCTTGACTTTGAGACCAAGACTGACACCATAATGGGATACAACCTTTGGGCAAGCAGTGAATATATTTTGTATGTGAAAACAAAGAAAATAGTTTTTGCAGCCCTTTCTATTAGAATATGGAATCTATTTCATCATGCCTTTATGCCTAGACTGGCCTCATGATTTCCTTTGGTCAATAGAATGTGGCAGAGGTGACATTAAGGAGCTCCAGAGTTTGGGCATAATGAAGCCCTGATACTGTTGCCACCATGTAAGAAAACCCGAGCTACTGAATGTTGAGGTATCACATGAAGAGAGAGGCCTGGCCAAGTACCATGGCGCCAGACAGGTAGGTAAATTAGGTCATTTTAGACCCCCCAGACCCGGCTGAGGGGCCAGCTGAATGAGGCCACACAAATGAGCCTCAGTTGAGCCTTTCAGTTGAGACTAGAAAAACAACCACCCCATCAACCCACAGAGCCATGAGAAGCAATACATGGTGGTTTTAAGCGACTATATTTTGGGTGGTTTTTCACACAGCAATAAATATCAATAAATAACTGATACACTTTCCAACTGATTATTTTTACGTTCACACCCAAGTGAAGGAAATTCAGGAAGAAAAGCATGTTCTTGCCACCTATGGGAAAGGAATTATTGCATACAGATTATAATGTAACTCCTTTCTCTCTGTTAAAGTCTACCATAGTCACAGGCACTATACCAATCTGAATGTAAATCCAGGATCATAAAAACCTATTTGGATCCAACAGCTGAACAGAAGAGTTCTAAACCCACAGATGATGTCATTTGTTTATTTTCTTTAATTAATATACACTTGTATATTTATTATTTTAAAATGAACCCAGGGACCTTTCTTCCAAATCAGGGGTAAGAGTTTCCTTCCCAGAACCTACCTGGGGAAACCTGGAGAGATGTATTTAACTCAGAAAATATTGGTTAGCCATGCCAACTGAGAAAAAAACATTAGTCAGCTGTAACAACATTGTCACTGCAATGAAGGCAAAGAGGAATTTGAGGTCATTGTTTAAGAGTGTGGCTGACTGCAATACTTGCTACTAGAAAATTAAAATACAGCTTGACGCTTGAATAAAAGTCTCCATGAGTGAACAGAGCTTTCTTCTTTTCATTGAAAAAACATATAATTCATATAAGCAGTGATGAATTTCCTGGTCACTACATTTTAACAGAATGAGGGCACATCGAAGCTATAGGAATGTTCAGCCAGCCGCTGGGGGTTTCATGTGTTTACTGGCTTCCTGCCCACAGCTGGAACTTAGGCAAGTCCTTTTGGTTTGTGCCTCTGTTTCTGTTTGTAAGAAGACACAACTTGTCCCCCAGGGCTTGGCCCATTTGAACCTGGATGTTCTTAGCATGGAAGAGCTTAACTGGTAACTCTAGGATTAAATGCCATTTCAAAGATTCCCTTGGCATTACTCATTCTTCCTTACTAGAGTTCAAGGTGCAACTCTGCCACTTGCTGTGAGACCTTGAGCAAGTTATATAACCTCTGAATCTCAGTGTCTTGTCAATGAAGAAAAATGATTCCTGTCCCCTTACCGGATGGATTGGAAGAATAGAGATAATATGGGTACAACCCCTTAAATGGTTCCTGGCATGTAATAGTACTTCTCTTATAGGGTTTTTATGAGAACTCAATAAGTTAATATTTGTAAAGCACTTAGAATACTGGCTTGCATATGGAAGAGTTTGTTAAATAAAATAAATAAAAATCTAGACTCTGTTGCAATCAATGGAGCCAGCCCTCAGGAGTTTGGCTTCCGTTGTCAAAATGAAGCACAGAGTCAAAAGCCTGATTACTTCAGATCAAGACCAGAAGTCAGAATACAAGTATTCCCAGGTATTCCATATAACCCATGCACATGGATGCCTGCTGTATGCACCAGCTGGGCACTCCAGGTTGCATCGGGGAGGATAGTAGCAGTTAAGACGAAGGAGAGATTAACAAACTGCTACTTGGGTGGCCTAAGATGGCCTCTGTTGTGGTCATTGGTGTTGCTGGCAGCACCCATTCCCCTTTCTTCCACTTACTTTAGGGAGCTACCCAGTTCCAAGGGACCCAGTGTTGGCAGAACTGCCCATCAAGGTGTGTCATCCTTTATCTGACCAAGAGCGAGCATGTGACCCACCTGGATCAATCAGAAGCTGTCTCTCCCTGGGCTCAGAATCTCCAGCTAGTGGTACTGAGACTCCTGGACACTGTGGTTCTGGCCACTCTCTGAAGCCGTTTAAAACCTCAGGGGATGGGACTTGAAAATTTGCACCTTTATCAAGGGCCCTGATGATTCTTAAGCTATGAGTTGGAAGACTGGCTTCTGGTAGCCACTGATAAAGTCCACGACCAGACTGAAGAATTACCAGAAAGTCACACCTTAAATCAACACTTTTTAAACTGCCAGCTGGTTAGTGAAATTGATCACTGGGTGGTATCCAGCACTTTTAAAATGAAACGAGTGGAATGGACTGCGGTAAAACGGGTGCAGATAATAAGATTTCATGAAACATTCACTTTTAAAAATGAAATAAGTATAATAGAGTGGAATGGACTGTGGCAAAATGGAGTACAGATAATAAGGTTCCATGAAACATTCTTTTTTTTGAGATGGAATTTCACTGTCACCCAGGTGGTAGTGCAGGGGCTCCATCTCAGCTCACTGCAACCTCCGCCTCTCAGGTTCAAGTGATTCTCCTGCCTCAGCCTCCTGAGTAGCTGGGACTACAGGCGTGCACCACCACACCCAGCTAATTTTTGTATTTTTAGTAGAGACAGGATTTCACCATGTGATCCACCCATCTCGGCCTCCCAAAGTGCTGGGATTACAGGCATGAGCCACCGTGCCCAGCCCCATGAAACATTCTTAATCAGCCAGCTATATGAGTACATCTTGATTTGCAACATAAAGTGTATTTATTAATGTATTTCTCATCTTGAGTCTTGACAACAAAAAAAAAATAGTGTGGAGGCCATGCCCTGAATTATATTTCCCAAATTTGCTTTAGGATAAGAATCCCCTAGGGAGCTTGTTAGGAATATAGATTTCTAGGCCCTCCCTCAGGCCATTCAGATTGGGTCTGTTTGGAGTGGGGTGGGATTTGCTCCTTTCTCCTCCTCTTTTTCTTTCTTTAAATAATAGGGACCCCCTGGTGATTCTTACCATTATCAAGTGGTATGTGGGGGTAGGGTGGCTGCCCTAAAAGCAGCTAGATCTACTTTTTTTCTTTCTCTTTCTTTTTTTTTTTTTTTTTTTTTTTTGAGACAGAGTCTCACTCTGTGGCCAGGCCGGACTGCAGTGGCCCGATCTCGGCTCACTGCAACCTCCGCCTCCCAGGTTCAAACAATTCTCCTGCCTCAGCCTCCCGAGTAGCTGGGACTACAGGTGTGTGCCACCATGCCCGGCTAATTTTTGTATTTTTAGAAGAGATGGGGTTTCATCATGTTGGCCAGGATGCTCTCAATCTCTTGACCTTGTGATCTCCCTGCCTCGGCCTCCCAAAGTGCTGGGATTACAGGTGTGAGCCACCATGCCCAGCCAGCTAGCTCTACTTCTGAGGGAAAAGGAAGCCATCAAGGAAGGCTGAATGCTCATTTAATTAGCAGTCGAAGTGGGAAAGCTGCAAAATCGAGATGCAGTAAAAACCAAGCCACAGAGGAGCGAGGAGTTGGAGAGCCTGTTAACCGTGACTATGACCTGAGATGACAGATCATTTCTGTCCCTTTCCTAGGAAAAAGGTACTCATTCCATCTTTCAACTCATATCTCCTCAAACTACCAAAGTGCCCTTTACGACCTACCTGTCTTAATTCCTACAAGCTCTTTAAGTACAGCTATGGAAACTGAGTCTTGCCTGGCTGGTGGAGGTTGAGGTGGGATTTGAACTGCACCAGTTTCCTGCGGTTATCATTTTTCCTCCTCTGGGATGCTGGCTGTCCCAGCAGACTTGCTCTGCTTTGTCTCCTCAGCTAGCAGCCTGGGTGTCCTTTCTACCTTTTCCAGCCTCTATCATTCTCCATGGTGACAGAGAATACTCCAGTGTGCCACCCCTCAGATAGCGGGAGAGAAGGAAGCCCATCTCTGGTCTTGGTAACCTGCTAGGAGATGGGCCTGTGGCCTGGCATGAGAGAGGCTGCTGGGGAGAGACACAGTTCCTCATCTCTGTTCAAGCTTTTATCAAAACACTGGGGAGGCAACCCAAGTCTACCAGGCCACGGTGCTTTGCCTTTGGGGCACAGCTGTTCCTCATCACCAGGGAGAACTAAGCCATGGCTTGACACAGCCCAGAAACCTGTCCAGTCTTCCTCTCCTGAAGGAGAAATCTTTGTCCCAACCCCATGGAGGCTCGAGTGGGAGGCAGGTGGCCTGGTCCTTGCTCTGCATCCTACCCAGAGGATCCAGATGCCCTTAGGGGGTAGGAGAGAGGGGAGGATTTAAGGAGTCCCCAGGCCCCCACCACATGCCCTGGCTCAGAGTTTGTCCCCTGGGACCTGACAGAAAGGATATTTGCTTCACTGTGGAAACAGCCACAGACCAGAGCCACCAAGGAGATGCCCCCTGGGTCGGGTGGGGACGGCTCAGGGCCCAGGCCAACCCTCTATAGTAAAGGAGTCTTCTTCTTTCCATCTGCCTGTTTGAAGCCTTTACATGAGACTACGTCTTGACTGAGTAGAAAGATAAATAGTATGTTTGGGGAAAATGTTAGATTAATGTTAAATTAAATATTAAAATTAAAAAATATTAAATTGAACCACTAACATGCACTGTGTGTGGGTGTGTGTTGTGAGAGAAAGGGGGAGATTGTTCTAGAAAAAGCAGCATGAAGAGACAGAAGGCGCTTTGATCTGAGAGGCAGAAGATGCCAGCCTGAGTCCTGGCTTTACTATTCCCATCCACCCTCTGCATCTCAATTTTCTTCTTATCTAAAGTGGGGGAAATAATAAAAGGCTATCTTGCATTCAACAATGGCTGGATAAATACCTACCATGTGCCAGACAACATGTGGGCACTTCGCACATACGTGAACTCAGTGCATCCTCACATACAGTTCTGTTGGGTGGAGATGATGCCCGTTTTACAGGTAAGTGTATGGAAGTTAGTTCTAGGGATTTTTGTGGAGTGTTGTAAGTAAGTAGCAGACTGGAACTCCTGGCTCATACCTCGCTGCTGCACCACGGTGGCCGAGTTTTGTACTGAAGATTGAGAAGGAAGGTTATTCACCATCTATTCATCCATTCCCTCACTGATTCAAGAGACACTTGCTGAGTGCTTACAACATTCCAGGCACTGTTCTAAGCTGGGCATATGTCAGTGAATGAAATAAATAAGCTCCTTGCTGTTGTCAAATTCCTCCCTTGTCTGGAGAAGGAGGCAGATGACAGACAATGAGGTATATAAGGTAATAAGTGCTGTGAATGAACTAAAACTGGGCAAAATGATGGGAGTAATTCAGGACCATTACTTTGCTGGGGCATGACCACTTTCAGAACAACACTGTCAAGACACAGACTGGATCCCACTGACGTAAGGAAGATGTATACTTTGCCAAGCACCTGAGTCCTCGGATGCAAAGTGTCCTGTGACTTGGGAAGTTTATCTCTATAAACACTCCAAGCTATTTGGTGCCTATCCTAGGGGTTTTTGTTTATGGTGATGAATGTGTGCCTTAATCTTCAAAAGAAGATCAGGTCATGAGATTAAGAGGGGCCAACGGACAGCACAAAATACATGGTCTTATGCCAATTTGAACTCAATTTAGAAAGTTATGCAAAGCACCATCTAAATAAACCATGCTTTTCCTCAAACAAATAGCTGTGTGTGGTGTGTATGTGCTGTGTGTGTGTGCGTGTGTGTGTGCACACATGTGTATGTATGTGCAGGGGTGTGTGTGTGCATGTGTGTATATGTGTATGCATAGGTGTGTGTATGTGTGTGCATACATGTATGTGTGTATGTGTGTGGTGTGCGGTATGTGTGTGGTGTCTGTATGTGTGTGCACACGTGTGCATGTGTGTGCACATGCATGTGTGCATGTGTGTATGTGTGTATCTATATGTGTGTATGTATGTGTGTTTGCGCATGTGTATGTGTGTATATGTATGTGTGTATATGTATGTGTGTATGTGTGTGCATGTGTGTGTGCACATGTTTGTATATATGCATATGTGTGTGGTATGTGTGTATGTGTAGGTATGTGTGTGTGTATGTGTGTTTGTGTGTGTGTGTGTGTGTGTGTGTGTGTGCTTTGTGTGCAGGTGAGTAGTCTTTCTTCCGGTTGGCAGAAGTTGCTTTGTGGCCAGAAGGCATCACTAAGCTTTGGATGTCACCCACGTTCCCACAGTGTCATGCCTACTGTCATTGAGATGTAGAAAGAACCACTCAAGAGCTGAAGATGGGGGACATTAGGATCTTGGGGAGCAGGGCTCAACTGGACTCTGGTGTCCACCAGCCCCAGCAGCAGGGCTGGCCTCCCCCCGCCTCACAGACCCTCGCCACAGTCGTCGGGCCTTGTCTGTATCACAGGAGCAGAGAACTCTTGGTTACATGCCAAACCCAGGTCTCATCATTCATTGTCTTTGGCCTTATTTATGGTTTCCTGTTATCTCTGTGGCCCTGGAAAATACCAAAGAAGAGTACGGGCAGCGTGGTTCTCATTTTCACTCAGCAGTTCGCATTTTCAGCGTCCACTGCTGATTATGCAAAAAGGGTTTTCACGCTAGGCAGGACCTGAGAAATCAGGTTGTTCAGCAGTTTTATTTAATTGATTTATGCATTTAACTATTTAATTACTTAATGTGTTTTTGGCCGCCAACCCGTTTGTTAAAGCAAAATTTCATGCAGAGCTCTAAGATATAAAACAGATACAAGTGGATCAGGGATCCATCCGGAGTCCCTCCTTATGCCCTTGACCCTCTAGGGGCAACCTCTAGGGAGGCCCTTGAAGTGCCCCAGCTCATCCCAGCCCGGTTTGGAATGTGCCCAACTCATTCAAACCCCCTCCTGTACAACAGGGCTGGCCTTGTTCACGTGGCAAGTTGGTAGAACAATTTCGTGCAAAAAATAAAACACAGGAAAGTAGTAGTAAAACTTGGAAATGGCTACCGAGGTGGTGGGGGGTCATGGCAGGACCCAGAGGTTGGCCTGGGAAATGTGATCACCTGGGTGAGAGGGAAGCAGCCGTCCCAACTGCCAAGGAGCTCCATGTGCACAGCACACGAGCTCCTGGAACTCTTGGAGTGAGAGCGTGATGACAGCTCAGTACTGCATTTATCCCCAGGTGCTCTTATGAATGTGATAGGTTTTGATACTTTTATTTAACTGGAAGCAGTCAGTCTGGTGCACATGAAGCAAGGATGATGGGTCAGCTGTCAGACCCCCAGGGCCACATCTCCTTTTCCCACCAAGAGCGCTCCTGGCCTCCCCAAGGTGTGGGGGCAGAGTGCCAGCCTCACTCTCAGGGCCCATCTCGAGATGCTCTGGGAGTCATCTGAGAGTAACAACTTTTTGGAAAGGTTTTAGTCACCCCAAAAGGCCAACTGGGAGAACGTGCTCTGGGCTGGGAGGCTGGGGGCAGAGAGGTGACAAACTGGGGTAGAACAGCTGTGTGCCCAGGGTCAGTTGCTTAACCTCTCTGGGTCTTAGTTTTCTCATTTGTAAAATGAAGTTGGCAGCAATAGGGTCTACCTTTCAGGGTCAATGTGAGGAATAGATGAGGCAAATCCTATAAAGTGCTTACGATAGTGGCCAGCCTGTGCATAGTAAGTCCCTACGTGCCAGTGGCTGTTACTGTCCCTGCCCTGTAGGCATCGTAACCCCAGACCTGGAGAGGCTCCTCCCCAACATCTCACTAAAGGAAGCCACATTGCACTAGCTGCATGGAGAGCATCTTCTGAAGACTTTCCACTAAGAAGCCTTGAATTCTTCCTAAGTGCCAGGCACTTTCTGCTGAACCTGCTGTCTGCATCTGTCACTGAATCTCACACAGTCTTGTGAGATGGGCACTGTTTTTGCCCTGTTGTTGATGAGAAACCCAAAGCTTGGGCAATTTTAGGAACTTGCCCAAGGCCACACAGCCAGTAAACAGGGGAGCCAGGACTAAAACCCCGGGATCTGATTCCTCTCTATTTTTGTTTGCTTGTTGTATTTGTTTTCTTTTGCTTCATTTTTTCAGATCCAGGACACAGGCACCAGTAGAGAACAGCGGATGCTGCTCAACATGAGATGCCAAAATGCAACATGGGGACAACCTGGCAGCCACAGAGGGGCATGCAATTCAGATGGGCAGAAGCCTGCATACACCCCCCAGGGGTACCAGGAACCACTCCAGTAGGCCTGAGTCCAGTGGCCGGAAGAAGGCCACAGCCACAATGGGCGGGGCTGGGGAACTTCTTTTTTCGGTGCAATTTACCAAACTCTTCCTCCTACAGATTCTGGCGTGGACACCCTGCTTCCTTGTGAACCAACAGCCCTCTTAACCTCTCTGCAATTTAGAATCGTCCTCTACAAAATGGGAATGCTACTTCCTGGCATACGGTTTTATGCCATCCAGAATTTAATGAGATGCCGAATGTCTGCTGCATGTTTTTGTAATGTACATGTAGTATACGTTCCGTGTGCCATACAGCACTATAAGGACTGCAAATACAATGACAGGGGAAGGCTACATTCTTACCATCTTAGCTGAACAGAGTTTTTGCTGTGTCGCCAGAGGAACTTGAGAAAAGATAGAAAACTCTCATTTGTTTTTTAGTAGAAATAATGATTGTGCTGAATGCTGATTCATAATGACCCTTTGGACAGAAGAGAGGGAAGCTCAGAGAGGTTAGGTGTCGTGCTGAGGGTCACTGGCTCTGCTTGTAAGTGACAGAGCTCAGATTTAGCCCAGATCTGCAGAGGAGCCTCCAGAAGACTCCACTACACCCCATGATCCCACGGAGCTCTGGATATTTACAAAAAGAAATAGCAAAGGTGATTGGATGGCTTGGTGCTTGTCCATCCTTTTCACCCTTGGATTGCCTTGGCTTATCAAGGTGCTTGGTGCGCAGTAGCCATGAAGAGGATCTGTTAACTGGTACCGAAGCATGAGACACCTCGGCCTGCCCATTGTTCTGTGCCCTCTGCCCTCCAACCAGGACTCACACCTCCGGAGTGGTTCCTGGGACTCCCCGAGGAGACAGTTGTCAGGTTCCTTCTGCTCAGCTGAACTGCATACCCATCTTTAGCAGCCAAGATGATGGTGACCTGGGAATCCTCCTGCTTACAGCGGCAGTGCCTGTGGAAAGTACTACAGAAAGGCATCTCTCTCCCTGGCTTAGCCCTGTGGATGGGCTCATTTTCCAGCTCTCTCTGCCAACGGGCTGACTCTATGGTTGATTAGGGTAATGAGGCTTATGCAGGCTTCCTCTGTCCCTCCCCATGTCCTTGGCTCTGAAAGTTAGCCCTCTGTCTATCAATACTGTCTGGCACCAGAAGAAAGCCCCTCTCCCTTCCTGTACCCAGCATCTGGTTGCCTGGAAACCAGGACAGAAGCCTAGAGCATCTTGGTTTTCTTTTTTATTTCCCTGCCAGGTCCCAAAAGCAAGCAGTATTTGTTTTAAGCAGAACCTTTGCACCACGGAGGCTTGACTTAACCTTGCCCAGAATGATTTCATCAACCTGCGTAAATGTGATGCGGAGAGACAAGGGACAGCCACTCCAGGCTCAGTGTCATTTGGTTATCAGTATGCAAAGTCGTAATTAACAGCAAAGGCTGAAGATGGATTGTTTCAGAGGGAGCCAGGACTAGAATCAACTTGTGTGTGCGTGAGTGTGCGTGTGTATGCATGTGTGTGTGCCCATGCACATGTGTTAAAATTGGCAGCTTTGTAAATTGAAGCTTGCTGTAGCCACATGCAGAAAGGACGAGAGATTTTTCTTTTTCCAAAAGAATAAAAGCCTGTCTTGAAAATAAATGTCCTTCTGACTTTGCTTGACAAAAGCCACACAATTCAGGGTAAAAGTGCTAAGACTCCGCTTGGCTTATTCCCTACTGTGCCTCAACAGGAAGGGTGATCATCTTCAGACAGACCCATAGAAGAAGCAAGGATTTTAAAAGTCACAGATAGGGAGGGAACTCCTCACCCCCGCCCGCATCCTTTGGCCTAACACTGAGAGGGTCAGCCAGATTTAGACCCAAACCACGCACCTGTTGCCTCCAATGTGTCCTTGCTCATGCCACTTGGCTGTTGTATGTTCCCAGACTGAAAGGCATTACATTTGTGGTGCATGGATTGGATTTTCTCTCTTTTCAAGATTCCCCAAATATAAAATCTTCTGAGAAGCTGTCAAATCAGGCCTCATAGAGAAAGCCACTTCCTAGGGTTTATGAGCTACACATCCAGCCCTTCACTGCACCTTGGTACCATAAGTGATCCCCCATTGTAAGGATGAGAATAGAGAGGCGCTGAGTGGCTGAGCATGTTGCCTGAGGCTGCACAGCTAGTGAACAGTGGAGCTAAAAACCTTAATTACATAGCTTACTCAGAAATCATTCTAAAAAATACTTTATCTGACTTCCCGCACCTAAAGATCTTTCCAGGAGATACTGACTTTTAGAGCTAACAGTCTGTTGGAAAATTCTTATCCCTCAGTGAATAGATTGCAATGGAGCTAATAATAGAGTGGTATGCAGCATATCTGAAAAGATCTGTTTGCTATGTCTTCTTGGTAGAGTTTTCTAAGAAGTACTTTGATGCACTTCTTATCAAGAAGCTGAAGTGCGGAATATTTTCTATATGGCCGAATCCTTGTTCCACATTCCATTACTTCCCTGGACCTCCTTTGCCTCTCTTTGTGCTTCTGGGAGTCTTGTGTGTTTAGTGGTATTTTCTTCAACAGTGGTTTTTCTCCTTGCCTGAAGGATACTTTAGAGAAAAAGCAACTTGAAGAGAAGGATTTGTATGTTTTCCTCTCATCAATGGAGGCAGAGTGGTTAAGCAGCAAGCAGCTAATATTCAGCCTTAGAACTCACACGCACACTGAGTTCAAATCCTGGCTCCGCCAATTTCTTGCCTATATGACTTGGAGCATATTAATCACCCATATGAGCCTCAGTTTTGAATCTGTGAAATGGGGATGAAAATGGTCTGGAGTTACTGTACAGAATAAAAGAATCAACATGTAAAGTGACGAGCACAGTGCTAATGAATAAGGGCTCAGAAAGGTGCAGCCATTATTAGGATTTTATTACCAATTTGGAGGTTCTAGGGTAGACTAAGGTTGTGGGATAGATCAAAACTAGGAATCAGAAATTCCCGAACCTGAGAGAGGTGCTAAGAAGAGGCTTTCCTAGTATAAAGATGACTTTTTTTCACTAGTCTTTGTCCCAAGCACCCTAAGTTTAAAAAAATTAAATCTTTAAAATAGCACTAGCCTGTAGGGAAATATTGATATACCCACATTAGTCATATAGGAAGACATTGTACACATAAAGTGATTCTTATTCTTTGCTTCAAGGCATGCTATTCTAGATTTCAGTGAAAGAACTGCAAGCTATGGTCTTAAAATAGAAATTCTGCCAGGACTTTTCTGCTATCCTACTTGTTCAAGACAGCAAGTAAAGAAGTGATTTTGTTAAGAACAGGGATGCCGTAACTGCTAAGGGAGACATACTTCTACTGTGTACAAAACAAACCTTTAACGTCCTTGACCATCTTTTTCATCTCTGTAGCTTTGACCATTCCCTGTGTGACCATTCACTGGGCCCCAGTGTGTTTAAGTCAGGGTGTGAAGCATCAAGGGACACAATGTGTGTAAGAAACAGACCCTTTTTCCCAAGTGTTAGTTTCTGGGTCTCATCACCCACGTGTGCATCTCCAAGAATTCTTCTAAGCCTCATCTGGACGAGTTCTCCGTAATCCCCCAGCCTGACACAGCAGAGACTGGAGTAGAATTTACACTTATGTGCTTTTGGCCAGGACAGGATCCTAAGGCTATGAAAAAAACCAGTTTTTCTGCCCCTTGCCTCTCTCCTCCAGTGTCCCCAGTCACCTTGTGAGACCCCACTATACCTATTGTTCATAGCCTTGGTTCATCACTGGGCTCAGTAGAAAAATAACTTTCTTTCTTCAGAGATATAACTCTTACCGCTGTCCTTTCAAATTCTCCCCTTTCTCACCCCAAATCAACCCAGCTCAGCAATTTGCTAAGTGGATAACTTAATGTGTTTCCTTTCTCAGGAAACTGATTTGCATTTTAATGCAAGCTTCCTGGCACCTTGAAGACCATTAGAGACACCTAAAGGATTGAATCTAATGGTGTGAACCCTAGGTGCCAAGACCTAACATCTGGGTTCATAATTTCAAACATATGGTCCATTTCAGATCATGCCATCCACCAGCTGGCTGGGTGGTTCCTGCCAGCCTTTAGGGCAGCCACACACTTAGCATCTTCATTGCATCAACTTATTATTCTTCAAACTAAAAGCAGTTGTCCTCACTGCCGAGTGGGGGAAGGAGCTTTAGATTAGCTGCTAATGGTAACAGCTGTGATTTTCCGAGTGTCACGTGCTGCCATGAGCATGTCATCATTTTGCCACCTCTGTTCCTCACAGCAAACCTGTTTACGGTGGCAGAGTTACTCCCATTTTACAGATGAGAGCAACGAAAGCTCAGAAGGATTATATACCGTGTCCGGAGTCACAAAACTAGAGGTGAAGCGAAATCCAAACTCAGTTTCCCAAGATTTTATCCATCACACTATATCCCCGACCTGGGCAGAAGGAGACTCTGAGATCTACTTCCAATGACTCAAAGTCATGACGATAAGTTCCAACCAACAATATTTACTAAGCAGTTACTATGAACCAGGCAATAGGCTTTTCATGCATTTGATCTCCCCAAGAACCTAACATGGAAGGTCCTAACCTTACGCTCATTATATGATGAAGAGACTGAGAACTATGTAACTTGCCCAAGCTCCAGAGCAATAGAGCTGGAGCTCAAGCCCAGCTGTGGTCTCAGCCACCACTTTTTATTGCATTGCGATTGATTCACTATGTGACTTTTGGCAAGTCCCTTAACCCCTAGGAGGGGGAGGGGGATTTTCTCATCTGACAAATGAAGTTGTTGGCCTGGAAAATCGCTAAGGTGCCTCCCAGGGTTTCCACACGGACTGCCCCCCGTGATGAGATCAAAAAGTGGAGCCAGCCTGGCTGGCCTCCCATCTGTAGTCCCAGGGTTTATTTACCCTTGGTGTCTCTGGCGATGCAACAGCTCAACCATATGGGCTGCCCCACCCTGGGACAGGCTCAGTGACAGGCTGGGGAGCCAAGGTTCTGGTGTCTCTGAAGGAGGGAATTAGCCCTGGGCCACCGAGGCCTGGCTGTTTGGTCCTCTGCCTTGCTAGTCTGCTGGAGGCCTGCAGTCCTTGGATGGACTCTGAGCAGGCACCCACAAGCAGCTGCTCTCACACAGACAACCCTGTGGAGCAGAGCCCTTACTGGCTGCCTCTGCTGCTTTTATTGCTTCATTATCTCTCAAGTCAGAAAACGTGAGGGCTGCAGCTTTGGCTGCAATCTGTTAGTTCCCCAGCTCTCAGGGGCCCAGCTCCTGCTGAATCCAGCATATTCTGCTGTTCCTTGCCTTTTTTTATCATCATCGTTTTGCACACACCCTGAGCTCCCCGATTACAGATGCCCTTCTCTTCTTTGTCCCCAGTTTCACAGTAGCACTGCTCTGTGGCATTGAGGTGGAAAGTTAGAAAAGAGTTTACAAACTTGAATGTGCTGTGCTCAGATTCATTGCTTTTTTCTTTCTGTTGTTGATCCTCAGGAGGAGATGCCCTCCTGGGTACCCCAAAGCTGGAAGCTTGCAACTTTAATCTGCAGTCCCCTTTCAGTCATACTTAACAGATTGCTTTTAGGCATGTGTTAGCTATCCCAGATCCCAAGTGAGAGGAAGTGGCCCTACTTTCTCAGTACTGTACATAGATAGAGCTGGTTTTTCTGTTGCAGCAAGTTCTGAGGGCATGATCATTTATAGGATGATGAAGCTTGCCTATTTTCCTGCACTGGGTTAAAGGGCTACTTCTTTATTTCCAAATCTTCCAGCAATACCTGGAAAAACTACTGGAAATTTGTTTCAAAGACTTGTGATTGTACCAATCCTTCTATTCTTTAAAAAACTGAAGATACTAGGAGAATTGTTATTTCTTTATGCAGAGGAGGCATTCCATCTTGTAATGATGATATCGAAAGACAGACAAGAAAGCGATATCCTTTCAAAGGTATCTGGTCTGAAGAGGTACCTAAACTAGACATTATCTGGGCCCTATTTCTCTCTCAGGGGAGAGGTGGCTCTCCTGCTCCCACAGGGTATGTGGCTTACCCCCAAGAGGCGCTGAGCAGCTGCGCCCAGGGCTCTTTCTGGACTTTATCAAGTACAAGGGGCAAAGTATGTAAACAGCACATGTAATTGCAACTGCGGTTATTACCCCAAGTCAACCTGATCTTGCAGCAACCTGATCACTGGAGCCTTCCTTCACACAATCCAGAGACTCGGTCACCCCATGTCACCTCAGGCTGTGGGCCTAGGCTTGATGATGATGATGAGATTAACGCCATTTGCTTAGTTTAACGTAGGATTTGTGCTGGCTCTTATTAGATCAGCACCACTTGATGGTTACAAGGCTTTTTTCCAATGATGATTCTTGGAAATCACTTGAAACGGCTGACTCCGAGGCTGTATGAGGCTGTATGAGGCTGGACCTGAGAGGGCAGTGAGGAGGAGAGAAGCAGGCAGCATCCTTCAAAGCAGCTGAACTAGCCTGCTCCCTGGGCAGGGTGTGAGGGGCCACGCCTAGACGGGACGGGGTGAATCAGCTTGCTGCTTCTCAAGCCTCAGAGGTCCTGGAGCAGGGCCAGCAAAAGGAATGAAAATGATGGAGAGGTTGTCAAGGTGTGGGGTGAGCACTGGCAGGCAAGACAGATCAGGTCTTTGCGTCTGGAATGATGAAGACCCAGGGAATGTGGATCTAAGCCCAGGAATGTGCGAAGGGGGCAGGTATGGCCCTGCTCAAATGCCAGAAAACTACTAGGAAGAAGGAGCAGCCTGTGAAACTGGAAAGAGTAAACTGTGAGATAGTTAACTCACATAGCTGCCTTCATGCCGGGCATGTGTCACATCTGGGAAATACCCGAAAGAAAGGCCGAGGTCCTCAATGCTGAGAGCCCTGAGCCCAAGACAAGGTGTGGTGCGTAAGATCCTACATAAGCAAAGAAGCTCATGAGTGACAGCTTCCTTCTTCCAGCATCTACGGAGCGCTCCTCCCACCTAGGTGCTGTGATCAGTGCTGGGGACAGACAGGTGAAAGGATTCAGTGCTATGATCAGTGCTGGGGACAGACAGGTGAAAGGATTCAGTCCACACCATCAAAGAGCTGGCAGATGATCAAAAAACATTATTATCCTTGCTACTGTGGAGTTGTGTATAAGATATAGTGGGAGTATAGGAGAATGAGCGTCTGAATGAATCCAGGGTAGAGAGAATCACAGGGGGTGCAGGAAAGCACCCGATTGAGATTTGCTAGATGGAGATTTGCCAGGTGAGTTTGGCTTATTCAGTAAACCAACATCATTTGCATTCCGTTCTCTGGCCCTGCTCCAGGACCTTTGAAGCTTCCCTGAGGAACATCAAGCTGATTCACCCCCTCCCCTCTAGGCATGGCCCCTCACACCCTGCCCGGGGAGCAGGCTGGTTCAGCTGCTTTGAAGGATGCTACCCGCTTCTCTCCTTCTCCTCGCCTCCCTCTCAGGTCCAGCCTCACACAGAACCTCAGATTTGGCCGTTTCAAGTGATTTCCAAGACGGCATCCTAAACTTATTCAATAATGGGAATAACTCTCATTTTTCTGTGTACTTACTAAGTGCCAGGCACAGTGCTGGGTAGTATAACAAAGGATAGAATAGAATGCTAATAGATAGTATAATAGGGGTGTAGTGTGGTGGATAGTATTAGATAGTACAATAGAGAGTGGTGTAGTGTAGCATAGCGTAGTGTAGTGTTGTGTCATATAGTATGCTATAGTATAATAGGAGGTTGGAGACAAGATTTGAGCCAGGACTTATCTGTTCTCAAAGCCTGACCCTTCACCACGATAGCACATGCCTTTTCTATGTATAGCATTAGTCCCAAAGACAGCAACAGGAGTTGAGCACGTGCTGGGACATTAGCAATGATTTCA
This sequence comes from Homo sapiens, assembly GCF_000001405.40. NCBI lineage: Eukaryota > Metazoa > Chordata > Mammalia > Primates > Hominidae > Homo > Homo sapiens. The sequence goes on along the minus strand of NC_000010.11, from coordinate 121,077,663 downwards.
GGACATCTGAGCGTTTTTCCCAGGGTTTGGGGCTGGCATCCTAAACTACAGCTGCGTCCTCCAATGAACTGTCTTCACTGCCATGGGTAAGAAAACCCAGCAGGGGTGTCTAGGCCCTGGCTACGCAGACCTCACATTCCAAACTTTACGAAACCTCCCCAGGCAGTTGGGCTTGTGCAATCCCCTTCTTCACATGCAATCAGCGTTGCTGAAAGCAGCTGTCCAGGTCTCTTGTCGCTTAAATTCCACTTCTCCTTGGAGCGGGGTGAGCAATTTTCTCCTTTCTCATCCTTAAACCCAAGTAGTGAATGGTGGGGTGGAGTTGGAGGTGGGGAGGGGTCCACCTCCACATCTTGCTTTCCTCCAATATCGAGACTTGGCCATTGAAACATTTTTGCTACTGGCTCCTCCAGGGATTTAGAAACTGGAGAAGATGAGGCTGTTAGAAAATGAAAAATGATGAGCAGAAGCAATTTTCCTCATGGGCTCTGGCCCCAAAAGGAGCATCAGTCTGTGCTTTGGATGCAGATCCTTGTCTGTTCTGTTCTTGATTTATTCCTGCAAATCTGCCCAAGTGCAGTTAAAGTTAATGAAAAAGAGGAGAGCAGAGAGCAGGGATCCACAGGGCTGAGACACTGACAGTGCGAGGCACTCAGGCTGGAGCTCCTGGGCAGCCTGGGCTGGAGGTCACAGTCTGCATAGAACATGCCATTCTTATTGGGAATACCATGTCTGTGCCAAGGCCCGTCACAAGGACCTGTCGGGTAAATAAAGCTGCACCTGCCCAGGCCTCAGGGAAAACTCTGTGAACTCTCTCTCCCTGACTTTATCATGGGTCATTCAAAATGGGAAGAGGATTTTGGAAACTGTGTCCAAGGTTGAAGGGGGAGGAGCAGCAGACAGCGATGTTCGTGTCTGCTGGAGAGGCAATCATGCCTCTCCAGTTATGTCCATCTTTGAACAGATTTGGATTTTCCCTTGAAGCTGGGCTGGATCCTGACTTCCTCATATTGCCAGAGTTAGACAAATAATGAGTGTGATTAGAGAAGACTGGAAGATTAGAGCTCGCACACCTGGGCTCTGACTGCAGGCCCTTTGCATCTCTCACCTGGTCTCCTTACTGCATCTCGGCCCCCCAGCTGCCTTCACTTGGGCTCCCTCAAAGCCACCACCTGAAGGCAGTAGCCAATGCAAGTACCCACGTGACTGTGTGGCTCAAAATCCTGTGCTCCTCATGCCACAGGATGAAGTCTGAGATCTCGAATGTGGCCTCTGAGGCCCCATAAGATCAGGCCCTGCTTTGTGTCCTGATGCCAAGGTCCTCAATGCTGAGAGCCCTGAGCCCAAGACAAGGTGTGGTGAGTAAGATCCTACATAAGCAAAGAAGCTCATGAGTGATGGCTTCCTTCTTCCAGCATCTACGGAGCGCTCCTCCCAGCTAGGTGTTGTGATCAGTGTGGGGGACAGTTGAGGCCTCTCTGTCACCTCCCTCCCACCTGGTCCTCCCTCCAGCCTAGCCCAAATGTTGGAGCTTCCTGCCTCTTCCCTCTGGCCATGTCTCTGGCTTCAGCCCATGCCTTCCCCTACACCTGAAGTGCTTCTTATACCTCTGCTCCTGCCCAGCCCTTCTTCATCCTTGCATATCTGGCTCCCAATGACTCTTCCCCTAAGAAGCCCTCTGAGTCTCTGCCCAGGCCTTCATCCTTGCATATCTGGCTCCCAATGACTCTTTCCCTAAGAAGCCCTCTGAGTCTCTGCCCAGGCCCCTCTTCTGTTCCCACAGGGCTCCTTCGTCTGTGCCTCCATAACGTGCTGTGCACAACTTTATAACAACTCAGCACAGTGAATTCAAACATCCCTTGATTACCTGCCCAGAACTGGCACTCTGCAAATGTTTATGAAAGGACTAAGGGAAGGAAGGGAGAGAAGGAAGGAGAGAAGAAGGGAGGAAGAGAGGGAGTAAAGGGGAGAGAGAAGGGAGAAAGGGAGAGAGGAACAGAGGCGGGAAGGAGAGGAAAAAGAGAGCGCCGTCTCTTCACTCTACCGTAACCTTATTTAAGACAGGGATTATTGCCATCCGTTTCTATATTCCCACAGTGGCCAGAGCAATCCTAATAAAACACGAGTCAAACCGGGTTGCTCAGAGTGAAGGGTCCTGGTGATAAGCTACAAGGCCCTGACTGGGCTGGGCTGGCCCTGGCCCTGGGATGTTTCTCCTCTGCAGCTCTGGCCTCCCTGCTTCAGCCTCACTGGCCTCCTGCTGAGCAGAAGTTCTGCCTTCTCAGTGGAGACCATGCCACTCCCAAGGGTACACAAGTTGGCTCTTGAGGGCAAAAAGTATCTTACTTTTTAACATTTATAAAGCACAGATATACACACAGTAAATGAACGGATATATGATGTATCTACGGCTTTAAAATGTCATGAGGGGGCAATTAGCGAAAATAAAAACGTGTAAAAGAACTCCATAAGAGGGCAATAAGAAAAAGATTGAGAAACATTGCTTAGGAATGCCGGAAACCAACTGACCTCAGGGTCTTTGCACTCGCGGCATCCTTGCTTAGATGTCTCTTTCTTCGAATCCTTGCCTGGCTCACTCTCTCACCTCCTTCACTCCCATTTACAAATAGGATTCTTGGCTGGGCGTGATGGCTCATGCCTGTAATTCCAGCACTTTGGGAGGCCAAGACGGGCGGATCACCTGAGGTCAGGAGTTCGAGACCAGCCTGGCCAACATGGCAAAAACCCCATCTCTACTAAAAATACAAAAATTAGCCAGATGTCATGGCGCATGCCTGTAATCCCAGCTACTTCGGAAGCTGAGGCAGGAGAATCACTTGAACCTGGGAAGTGGAGGTTGCAGCAACCCAAGATCGTGCCACTGCACTCCAGCCTGGGAGACAGAGCATGACTCCATCTCAAACCAAACAAAAAACCCAAATAGCATTCTTTGGCAAGGCCTTCCCTGGTCACTGTGTCTGAATAGCAACCTTTCAGATTTCTTGCCCCTATTGTCTCTACTTCATTTTCATTCTTAGCTCTAAACCATCTGGCATACTATATGCTTTATGTATTTTTCTTGTTTATTGTCTTCTTACTGTTTATTTTCTGGAAGGAAAACTTTGTTTTGTTCACTGCTATATCTTTAGTACCTAGAATAGGCTCCAGTGCAGAGCAGGTGCTCAATAAATACCGGTTAGATGCATGCTGAGGATGAAGCCAACACGTAAGAGGTTCTTAGTGTGCCAGGGACCAGAAAGCCCCGGACAGTGATCATCTCCCATTCTTGGCAGGAGCTTCAACTTTCTCCTCAGCCATGATGTGCGGAAATGCTAGGAGCCATCTCAGCTAACCAAAGATCGGGGAGAGGAAGGCAATCAGTGCCTGAAATCATAACTGGACTACACAGCCCTGGACAACTGAGAATTAACTGAGTGTGTTCTGTAGGATGTGTGTGCTGTTCTAAATGCCCCGTGCCATGGGTCTGTTTTGGAAAAGGCAAGAAGGGGTCAGAGAGGGAAGGAGTTCTGGGGACCCCCCCTGCCCGAACTGTGCCCTCCTCTGCCATCCTCTTCCCCAAAGCCCCAGCAAAAGCTGCAGAACCAGGGACTAGGACAATAGGCAGGTGACACCACCATCCTGATGACAGAGGCCACACTGGCCAGTGTCCCCAAGAAACACATTGCTTTAAGCTTCATTTGCTTGTAGGCCAGTAGCTGTCACCAGGAGCTGCATGTTTTTCTTTTCACGTTGAACACAGACAGTAATTTCTGAGTGGCCTGGAAAACTTCATGGGGAGAGTTTTATCCAACTTTGTCATCACATTTTAGTGAGCAGCAGTCCCCTAGGCAGACCCTTTTTAGCTAATAAATTGTGAAACTCGATACCGGGTTCTTAATTGATTGAACGGCTACCTTATGACCATTCAGTAAAATTATATAAATTCATTTCTACAGTATTATAAATTACTTATTATCCTCACAACCTAAAAAGTCAAGATTCATTATTATGTTAGTCTTTTGTTATGTATTTTTTTTTTTTCATATTTTATAAGCACTTTTTTTTTTATTATACTTTAAGTTTTAGGGTACATGTGCACATTGTGCAGGTTAGTTACATATGTATACATGTGCCGTGCTGGTGCGCTGCACCCACATGCACACGTATGTTTATGTTAGTCTTATAAAGGAAGGAAGCCACACTCTCCAAAGAAAATTTTGGCCTGAGGTTGTCCAGTCAATGTATATGTGCCAACAACTTATTTAAAAATTACTTAGACCTTCTAAATCTTTATTTTGTTTCCTTTTCTTCTTTTGTAACAGAATTTTTTTAACCCTAAATGAACTTTCTAAAACTGCTCTTAAATCTCATGGGCCCAGGTTACTTTTCTTTTCTGTTTCTTTCTCTCCCTTTTCTTTTCTGTTTGCACTTTACCTTCTCTTCCCCTCCCTGTCTCTCCCATTCTTTCCTTCCTCCTTTCCTTTTGCCTCTTTGTTACATTTACTATTATTAATATAAAAATTAGGCTGGGCACAGTGGCTCATAACTGTAATCCCAGTGCTTTGAGAGGATGAGGCTAGAGGATCTCTCGAGTCCAGGAGTTCAAGACCAGCCTGGGCAACATAGTGAGACCCTATTGCTAAAATTTTTTTTTTTACAAAAATTAGCCCGGTGTAGTGGTGAGTCCCTATAATCCCAGCTACTCAGGAGATTGAAGCAAGAGGATCACTTGAGCCCAGGAAGTCAAAGCTGCACTGAACCAAGACTATGCCACTGCATTCCAGCCTGGGTGATAGAGTGAAACTCTGTCTCAAAATAAATAAATAAGGAAATAAAATAAAAATTTTATATTACAAGTTGACGGGTGTTCATCGTAAGAAATTTGAAAAGTAATGTCAAAAATTTTATCACTTAGTGAAAAAACTATATATATTTTAAGAAACATTTTAATTATAGACTTCTCAGTCCCTCCCTCATTTCTTTTTCTTTTAATTTTTAAAAAATGAGAAAATGAGACTGACATCAGACTGATTTTTTATAACCTCTTTTTTCTTCCACTTAATATATTGTGGACATTTTTCTGTATCTTTGAATATTTTTTCAAAACATGTTTTGAATGGATGCTTAGTGTTCCCTTATAGCAATGAGCTATAATTTATTAAACCAATTCTGCATCATTGAGTCTTAAGGCAATCCTCCCAGCTCTTTTTATTGCTATAAAGAGCTTAAGGGACATTCTCAAACAAAATAAATCTTTGTGCAAACTCTGGCTTTTTCTCAACAAATTCCTAGAGGTGGGGTTGCTGGGTCAGAAGGTAAGAATGCTTCTCACTCTTCTTAGATTTGTCTGTTCGTGGGAGTCAGATGTACCCCCGACCAACCCCCATGTAGTCAAGAGAAGTTTTCCATGTCTCTTCTTAGCTTTCACATTTGCTACTAACCTTGGCCCTCAAGATCCCCTCTCCTACTTCCTTGGGGAAGCCATGCCAGGGAGCAGCTGTATATCTGTAAATCCACGTTCCTGCTCATTGTGACCTAGGGGTAGCAGGCTCCACAATCCACCAGAAAACCCTAGCAAGGCCAAGTCCTGGCTGGAGTTGTCATGGTGACAGACAAGGACAGCAACACTTTATCCACATCCCACCCAAAATCTTCAGAATTCAGAAGACACTGGGGAAAATGCCTGCTTTATAAGCTGGGACAGTTTAATCCTATCCTAAGCAGTGGGGATCCTATATGAGCAAAGGTGACAGCCAGCAAAATGTCACATAGATCTTATAAAAATACCACTTCCATGTTTTCCTTTTCACTGCTTTGTCTTTTTTTTTTCTTCCCTCTCTTCTGCTTTCAATAAATACCAAATAATCTTAGATTTCCAAAAGTCAATCTAAGCATGCACCCAGGGGACTTACGACACAAGGGTATTAACAATGAGAACACACAACAAATGCAAAAGACCCTTTGAGACAATCAGGGAAATCTGATAATGGGTTAGGTACTGGAGGTTGGAGGATGCCCAAAACAAAAACAAACAGAACATACCCAACTCATTAAGGTATGATACTGGCTTTATGGTTATATGAGAATATGTCCATAATTTTCATGGATTATACCAAGGTATGTGCAGATGAAATGACATGATGCCTTGGATTTGCTTCCAAATAGTTTAACCAAGAAAAAGAGCAAAAAGATCAACAAGGCAGATGTGGCAGAATTTTAATAATATTGTACCCAGATGAGAGGTTCAAAAATCCTACTCTTCTGAGTGTGTTTAAAAGTTTTCGTAACAAAAAAATTTAATGAGAACAATGTCATGTGCTTTACGTACATACTTTCTAACAAAGCATTGAAATGGGTGTTATAGAAAAACATCAGAGCTCTTACATTTATTTCGTGACTTAACATTTTCTTCTGAGTTACATGTGGGGTTGCACCAGCATTGTTTCAGGGCTAAGGGTCCCTAAAGGGATTAACTGAGGCCTGGTGCCCTGTGTTCCATTCCTGAAGCTACAGCGGAGACTCCCCCTCCCTCAATACCAGTCAGCAGGGACAAAGACCAAGGAGACCCCTGCCCCTCCCATTCAGGGTGGGGCCAGCTCTCTCTGTTGGGTCTCAGCCTTAGCATTCCTTACACCTTCTATAATTTAACGCTCAAAAATATATTATTCACACAGAGAAGACTTTTACTGCAGTTTATACACAAGGGCCTGCGAAAGTCAACCTTCTTCCTCCAGCCCTCCCTTGTTCTTGGTTGCTAGGCATTCTGTTGCTTATGAGTACAATATTTACTTTTATTTATTTTATTTGCCTTTGTATTTGAAGAGGTTGGGCAGCACCCAGGATGCTGGGGTTGGGGATTTTCTAGGGGATAAAATGCTCTGTGAAGCAGTTTGTCTCTGTCTGCATCTTGGTGATAGATTATTCCCACACAAGGTCAAGACCCTGAGGTGGTGCTTGGGTCTCTGCTTGAAGCCGTAACTATGGGTTTCCCACAGGAGAGACAGGAGCAAGAGGCTTTAGAACACTGCACGGAAGAGCTGGCCGATCCACCACTCCTCAGTTATTCACACTAAGGGTTTGCTTTGCAAGATAGAGATTTGTAAAATAAATGCTCATACAAGACTCGAATGATAGCATAGATGTAAAATGCAGAAGTCCTGCTTATTGCCCATACCCAGAGCCCTCTAGTGGTAACTACCATGTGCAGTCTGGCATGTTTGACAGTCCCTGCCCTTGTAGAGCTACAGGTCCTCAGCTGTTATTCTATGGACCTGTGGGTGGGGGGCAGTGCATATACAAGATAGAGAAGCCCTGATTCCTACCCTTAGGCATCAAAAAGATCTCTAAGAAGTCTCTAAGGAAAGTGCTAAGGGATTGGTTAGATGCAAAGTTATAGGTTATCATCCTAGCAGTTTAAGAAGTAAATGGTCAGTGAGAACTGAAGTCTTGGGAAACTCCAGGTAACATTTGAGAAATACTCTGAATGACCCAGGAGGTTTACATGATAGAGAAGGAAAGCTTGCCTGCTCAGGGGAGGGGAAAGGAGAGCAGGACCGCAATTGCCATGGTTATAGATGTGCAGAAGACCTGAGACTTTAGGAATCTTCTGAATGCCAATGATACTAATCCACATTGACTCAGGCAAAAGGAGGATTTATTCATGTAATTGAAAAGTTCAAGGGATAAATTGAGTTCAGGCATGGTTTGATCCAGGAGCTCCTAGAATGTCAATAACTTTATCCCTCAGCACCTTCATTCTCCTTCGTGTTGACTTCATTCTTGGACCACATATGGCAGATCAAGATGTGGCCAGCAGCTCCAGGGTCCAACGCTCTTCAGGATAGAGGCTGTGGAAAAAAGAATACATCTCCTTCTGTCAGCTTATAAATAAGTCCCAGGATTTATTCTAGTAGGACAAACTTGGGTTATGTGCCAATCCCTGAAGCAATAACTGTCACCAGAGATTGGAATTATGTCAATTGGCCGGCCTGAGTCAGCTCAGAGAGAAGGGGAGTAGTTGTTATTCAAAGGAGCTTGGAGTTCTGTTCCCAGAAGAGGATGCGCTGGTGTCCCAAGGCCGCCTGCAGAGCATGGCCTCATGGGGACTCTAAACATAATGCGATCTTGCATGCTCTACTTGTAAGAGCCTGTTCAGAAAGGAGCAAAAGCCTACAATAAAGAGGTTCAGTTGAGCAAAGGCTCTTCAACAAACCCGGAGGAGCCTATTGTGCTCCAAGAGTTCCAGGCCAGGATGGTGACTTAGGAGGGCCACACCTACTTCAGCCAGTGCTCCCAGAGCCTGCCGAGGAGAAGCTGGTTGCCTTGTGCACAAATTCAAGCCTGGGGCTTGAGATGACTCAATTGTTCATGCTCTGGAGATGATTAGTCATCCAGAGACACAGGATGTAGAAACCCAGAAAAGTGGTTATTAGAGTTTCTGCCTGGTGTCTGGGTGGGCCGGGAAGTGAAACTGGGGTCCTTGCCATTTGCCATGGCTGAGGCAGCCACAATCTGAGCAGTGGAGGACACAGAGAAAGAAGATGACATGCCTTGGAGGTCCCGAGACCCAAGGCCCAGCAAAGAGGCTGAGGCCCAGCAAAGAAGGAGGCAGCGCCTTCAGGGGCCGCTATGGGGCACATCCAGGAGTGGTCTGGGGGCCACAAGTCCTAGTCCTGGGTGATCCTGTCAGCTGCCAGCCTCCCTCATGGGAACTCCTTTAGTCCAGCAGGGACACGGGAGGAGAAGGGGATCAGGGAGGCTCATCCTCACTGCAGCTTCAATCTCCTGAAACACTGAAATCTCCTGAAACATCTTCAAATCTCCTGAAACACTGAAGCATTTTCATTCCTTTCGTTTTTCTGCTCTTCCCCATGGGCCAATTCCTGTATTCCACTGGAATTGAACAATGTGGAAATAAGAAGATAATGGAGGGAGACTTGCAATTAGTGGGGATAAAGGAAGAAGAACTAAAGGACTTGGAAGATAACCAGTTGCAGGCTTGAGAGGGACCTGTTTCCTCATCGGGTGATAAAAGGAATGTGTTGATTTTAACTGACATGGAGAAGGAAACAGAGCAAGCAGCGCAGGACTTCACTGGGGAACCGGGTGGGCAGGGGAGTTCACCTTTTGAGCAGTAATACTCTTCACTTTATTTAAACCACTTTTTTTTTTTTTTTTTTTTTTTTTTTTTGAGACGGAGTCCCGCTCTTTAGCCCAGGCCGGATTGCAGTGGCACAATCTCGGCTCACTGCAAGCTCCGCCTCCCAGGTTCACGCCATTCTCCTGCCTCAACCTCCTGAGTAGCTGGGACTACAGGCACCCGCCACCGCGCCCGGCTAATTTTTTGTATTTTTAGTAGAGACGGGGTTTCACCGTGTTAGCCAAGATGGTCTCAATCTCCTGACCTTGTGATCCGCCCGCCTCGGCCTCCCAAAGTGCTGGGATTACAGGCGTGAGCCACCGCGCCCAGCCTTAAACCACTTTTTAAACTTTTACTAGTTATTATAAGTAATATTTAAACCACTTTGGACAGAAATATTTCAAAGTGTTTTATATAGTGCTGTGCCTCCTGAAACTTGGGATATCACAGAATTTTTAGTCTTTGAGTTGTCACTGTGAGCATCAGATATGACAATACCTTCTTGAATGTACAAAACGAGACATTCAGACAGCTCTAAGCTGGAATTGAATGATATGGAAATAAGATAATGGAGGGGGACATAATTATGCCCTAAGCTGGGCATAATTTTTGTTTTTTAAAGAAACAGGGAACACTCAGAAAGTAGGAATAGGAGGGAACTTCCTCAACCTGAGAAAGGGTGCTGTGGTCTGAATGTGTCCCCCCGAAATTCATATGTTGAAATCCTAACCTGCAAGGGGATGGTGTTAGAAGGTGGACATTTGGGGGATGATTAGGCTGTGAGGGTGAAGCCCTCATGAATGGGATTAGTGCCCTTATGGAAGAGGCTCGAGAGATCTCCCTTACTCATTTCACCATGTGAGGACACAGAGAAAAGATCAATCAGAAGGTTGGCCCTCACCAGACACTGAATCCGCCAGCACCTTGATCTTGGACCTCCCAGTTTCCAGAATTGTGAAAAATACATGTCTATTGTTCATAAGCCACCCCGTTTATTATATTTTGTTACAGCAGCCTGAATGAACTAACACAAAGGGTATCTATAATAAGCCCATAGCCAAAAAGAGGTAAAAGACTGAATGCTTTCCCCCTAAAAATCAGGTACAAGAAAAAAATGTTCATTTTTGGCACTTCTAATCAATATTGCACTGGAGGTTTTAGCCAGGAAAATTAGCCAGGAAAAAGAAATAAAAATCATCCTGACTAGAAATGAAGACACAAAACTACTTCCATTTGCAGATGACATAATATTGTAGACTGTATAATCTTGTAGAAAATCCTAAGGAATCCACTAAAATATATTAGAACTACTAAATCAGTTCAGCAAGGTTGCAGAACACAAGATAAGTATATAAAATCAATTATATTTCTATACAATAGCAAAGAATGATCTGAAAATGAAATTGAGAAAACAATTCCATTTACAATAGTATAAAAAAGAATAAAATGCTTGGGAATCGATTTAAACAAAGTCGTATAAGATATACACACTGAAAACTATAAAACATTGTTGAAGAATTTCAAAAGATTAAATATAAAGAATTTATGAATTGGAAGACTTAATAGTGTTAAGATGGCAATACTTCCCCAAATGGTCTATGAATTCAATATTCAATACAAGTTCTATCAAAACTCCAGCTGCCTTTGTATATGTATGTGCATGTGTAAATTGACAAGTGATTCCAAAGTATTTATGGAAATTCAAAGGACCCAGAATAGCCAAAACAATCTTGAAAAATAAAAAGAATAAAGTTGGAGGATTCATGCAAAGATTTCAAAAACTACTATAAAACTACAGTAACCAAGACTGTGTGGTACTGGCATAAAGATAGACATATAGATTAATGGAACAGAATTGTGAGTCCAATAATACACCCATATATCTGTAGTCAATTGATTTTCAAGAAAAGTGCCAAGACCATTCAATGGGGGAAAGAACAGTCTTTTCAACAAATTATACTGAAACAACTATATATTCACATGCAAACAAATGAAGTTGGATCCCTGCCCCACACAGTATACAAAAATTAATTTAAAATAGATCATAGACCTAAATATAGAACTAAAACAACAAATCTTTTAGAAGGAAATATGTGTAAATCTTGATGACTTTAGGTTAGGCAATGACTTCTTAGATATGACACCTAAAGCACAAGGAACAAAAAATATCCAGATAATCAAATTTAATCAAAATTTAAAACGTTTGTGCTTCAAAGTATGCTATTACGAAAGTAAAAAGACAACCCACCCAATGGGAGAAAATATTTGCCAATCATATATCTGATAAGGAAATTATATCCAGAATATATAAAGAACTCTTACAACTCAACAACAAAAAGACAGACAAACCAATTTAAAAATAGGCAAACGGTCTGAATAGACATTTCTCTGATGAAGATATTCAAATAAATGATTAACACATGAAAGGATATTCAACATCATTGGTCATTAGGGAAGTGCAAGTCAAAACCACAATGAAATATCACTTCACACCCATTAGAATAGCTATAATCAAAAAGGCAGACAGTAACAAGTATTGACAAAGATGTGGAGGAACTGGACAACTCATAGATTGCTGGTGGGAATGTAATAGGGTGTCATGATCTTGGAAAGTTGTCTGGCAATTCCTTAAAAAGTTAAACATAGAGTTACCATATGATCCAGCAATTTTATGCCAGGTACAGTATGCCCATGATAGTTGAAAATATATGTCCATATGAAAATTCATACATGTCAATATTATATATAATAGCCCAAAAGTCTATCAGCTGATGAATGGATAAAGCATGGTATATCCATACAATGGAATAGTAGCCTTAACAAGGAATGAAGTACTGATACTGATAAACATGGATGAACCTTAAAAACTTTATGCTAACTGAAAGAAGCCAGACCCAAAGGCCACATATTGTATGATTCCATTTACATAAAATGTCTAGAATGGGTTAGTCTATAGAGACAGGAAGTAGATTAATGATTGCCTAGGGATGAGGGCTGTGGTAACATGGGGAGTGACTACCAATGCACATGAGCTTTCTTTTTAGGGTGATGAAAATGTTCTGGAGTTAGATAATGGGGATGGTTGCAAAATTTTGTAAATATACTGAACACTACTGCATTGTATACTTTAAAGTATGTGAATTATAAGGTATGTGAAATAGATCTCAATCAAGCCATTGAAGAAAAAGGTGGAAAAAATTAACTGAGGAAGTTGAAAATGTGGGCCACCAAGAGATATGGAGGCCAGTCAGAATTTTTCTGTTGTTCCTTTTTTCTCGATACAAAATGATATTACATTAAAAATGGTATTATACACTGGGTGCAGTGCCTCATGCCTGTAATTCCAGCACTTTGGGAGTCTGAGGCGGGCAGATCACCTGAGGTCAGGAGTTCGAGACCCGTCTGGCCAACAGGATGAAACCCTGTCTCTATTAGAAATACAAAAATTAACTGGGCATGGTAGCGCTTGCCTGTAATCCCAACTACTCAGGAGGCTGAGGCAGGGGAATCACTTGAACTCGGGAGGTGGAGGTTGCAATGAGCCAAGATCATGCCACTGCACTCCAGCCTGGGCAACAGAGTGACTTTGTCTTAAAAAAAAAAAAAAACAGATATTATACATTCTCTAAATGTTGCTACACTAGCTTTAGCCCTCTAACTGATAAGTGTATGGTGATCAGTTTCTGAATGGATCATGAATTATTTTTTCACATGTCTGACCAACACTGAACACTTCCCTCTACCCTTTCAATGTTTGGTTGGTTACTTCAGGAGGCTCCCAGGGAGAACTGTTTCTTGCCTTTTTCAGCTTCTAGCAGCCACCTGTATTCCTTGGCACATGACTCCTTCCTCCATCTTCAAAGCCAGTAGAAAAGCATCTTCCAACCTCCCACCATCTGTCCCAGAATTCTGCCACCATATTGCCTTTTCTTCTTCTATAGTCATCTCTCTTCCCCCTCCTCATATTTATAAGTATCTTATAAGGATCCTTGTGATTACATTTAGAGCCCACCTAGATAATCCAAGATAATCTCCCCATCTCAAAATCCTTACCTTAATCACATCTGCAAAACCCGTTTTGTAATGTAAGGTATTAATAACAACTACAAGTTGTTCCAGAGTATAACCCTGAAAATCTATGAGAGTCATTATTCAGGCACCCGCAGAGGTGATGACATCCAGTTGTAAGTCCAAAACCCCACTGGAGCCCTGTGGAATGAGTGAGTCCCTCTCTGAACTTTAGTTGCAATGCTACAACCAGCTGGCATTACCTCTGGACAAAAGTTTTCCTAGGAATTTTGCTTGCACTATTGTTCTGTTTGTTGCAATCACATGAAATTCATTTTTGTGTGGCAGGTGCACACAGACCTTGCCTGGATCTTTTCGAAACCAGTGGTGGATGGCCAAGATTCATTTCCACTTATTTCCCATGCAAAAGGCAAAGTTGTCAGCTGTTTGGTGAATATGTCAGAGCTCTGGCCTAGAAGAATCTCCTGGAACCCTGGCTGCCTGGGTAAGCCACAGTTGCGCTGCTTCTCCACCCAGTGACTCCAGCTGCTGCCCTTTGATCTCTGATGTTTACCCTGTGCTGATTTTCTCTTGCCTCACTCGCTTTCTGCTGTCCACACATCTCGATGAGCCGGCTGCGCCTGCCTCTGTGAGGTCCCCACGTTCCTCAGGTTTGCACCTTTTATTGTGCTTGTCAGGACAGGGAAGCAGCTTGTACCGCTGTGGGGAAAATAGAAACAGATAAGCCTTACTGAGGGCTCAGGGAAAGGGCCTCTCCTCTTCTCTCCTTGCATATTGTGAGTATACTTTGATATTTCTCTTTTGACACCTGAGATGTTTTGCAGACTTACTTCCACATTTTCTATAACATCCCGGATACACGAGGTTACCAGATTGCTGGATTCTGAATAACTGAAGCATCTCAGCATCAATCATCCTCTAAGTGAACCCAATGCCCCGAGGCCTGCTTCTGTTTTCAGCTTGTTCTGGCTACAGAGGTAGTAAGTCTCCTACTGCCTCTTCATTGTCAAGATCATTCTGAGCCAGGAAAAGAGAGACAAGAAGGGAATGGGAACAGTTCTGTAGAATTTGATCCTCACTTTTCTTGAGCTCTTTGCTCTGAACAAAACTAAAGCAGATGTTTTGCCATCTCTGTCATCTGTTGTGGCTCCAGGTGACACATCTCAGAGGTTCCTGTGACATTTTCATGTTTGCGGAGCTCCTGCCTCCCATTGCCTGTCAAGGTCCTTCCACAGCAACACCCCTGGGCAGCAGCACACACTTCTGCAACCACCATCCAAATTGGTGTGTCCAAGACTTCATGGTCGGAACGCATTGCTGCAAATTTCCAAACCCTTTTCACAGTAACTCTCATCATAACAGCTGCCATCTCTGTAGTGCCCAGCATTGGGCTGAGGGTTAACCACTTATTGTCTCTTCTACATGTGAAAATAACCTTATGAAGATGTTAGTAATATTCCCATTTTAAAGATCAAAAAACTGAGGCTCAGAGAGGTTACCTTGTCAAGAATCCTAGTTACTGAGTGGCAGAACTGGGATGTGAATACACCTCTGTCTGGTTTCAAAGCTCATGCTCTAATATAAGCTGTATATTTGGGTGAGACTGCTTCTTGGGACCAAGGGTAACTCTGGAGAGGCGTTCAGCAGAGGCTACAGTATTTACCTCTTGTAGCAGTTAGGGGAAGCAGCTATTACCTACTATTTCATGCCCAGCAGGTGTAATCCTGCCATTTGTATGGTGAGGTTTGCCATCCTAAATCTAGAACCCATGATTGCCTTCATTAGACTGCCTTTGCCAGCCCGGTATACCTACTCAGAAGACATATCTGAGCTGACTGTGAACTGAATTTTGTTCAGGACTTTATTTATTATCTGGGTCTTATGTTCACCCCCTCTAATGGAGTGTTCATTCTTGTTTCAGGTCCCCAGGTATCAATGTCAACAACAATCCGTGTCCAACATCTTCAAAATGTTTGGGCATTTACCCTCCCCAGAGTCCAGTTACCCAAGGAAATGGCTGCAGGTCCCTTTGGAGGAAGGTCTGGGAGATTAGCTTCTTCTTCAGTCCGTCTTGCCCTCAGCTTCCTGATGAGCCATCCTTGGTTTATTTTAGTTGTAGAGGTTGAGCAATAATACTTTGTTGGCTGCCTGTTTTTCCCCTCGAATGCAAATTTCTTTTTACCATTTCCGTAGCTCTTTGTGGGTTAGATCCCACTAGCTGTCACACCCACTTTGCTGCCCCTTATGATAATTACATTATGATGACTACAAACACCTTGCATTGGACAGTAAGTGCTACCTCTATCAGTCCCATTGTTACTAGGGAGCCCAGGCCTATATCATCTACCTTTGGATATCCTGTAATAGTCTTGACCTTCAGAGAAGAGCACCCACTGAGCTTCTTCATGACACTTGCCCTCTCACCGGCGTATTCTTCTTGCTTTGGCAAATACAGCATTCTTCTAGGCCCTCTTGTGAAAAAAAAACCTATCAGCTGTTCGGTTCTCTGGCCTTGTATGGTATATCCACTCTAGCTTGCCTATTTTCTGAGCCTTTCATCCCTTCCTTCCCCATCCTCCATGATCTGACATCTCCATTTGACTTGGCATCACATTTTCTAAGCGTCCAACTCCTGGGGTCCTTACCAGGATGTTAAATGTTGCATCAAAGGAGAGTGCTTCCATAGCAATACATTTTCCCCATCCAGCTTTGCATTTCATCCCACTTTGTCCAGCAGTCTCTCTATTCCCTCCTGCACATGTGCTTGTGGCACTTGTAGGACATATTGGCTGGGTCCCACAGCTCTCTGGGCTATAGTTCGTTTCTTCCCTTAGCACGTTTACACTTTTCTGGCTAGAATATGTTGTGGCTTGACCTTACCTATGGGTCTGGTGGCCAAGAGTAGATTTTTGAGGGGAGAAGGAGGGAGTTGTCATGCATTGTCTTGCAAAGCAGAACCTCATCATCATCTTCATGCAAAAGCAGGCATTAGCCTTTAAGGAGAAGAGTAGGATACTATTCCAGGCCTAGAGAATTCCAGAGGATCTGGGAACTTGAGAACTTGAGATGTTTTAATATATGAACCCAAATGTCCCCATCCCACTCTTTCCTAATCATAGAACTGACTTTGGCCTAGCCGACCTGCCAGGACTAAACTTCAGTGTTGCTTTCAGTATTTCTACTCTTATAATTAAACCTGGGGCCTGCTTCTCAGCTGTATCTGCCCTGCAGTTGCAGAGGATAATAGTCTTTTCATAGGCTTCATATAAAAGCCAAGAGGTCCTCTGGTATGTGTACCTTGCCTTATATTGGTGTTTAATCACTTAGTCTTTTATTAAATTTCTCCAATGAATTAACAGCTTCTAGCAACAACCATCTGATTCCATAGTTCTTATAATTACTATTTCCCCCAAAACTCTTAAACACCTGAGATCTCGCATCTGCCAGAGCAGTTTCTTCCCAAGTATCATGTCCTAGTTCACCACCAGTGAAAATTTTAACAAGTGAATCATAACTGCAAGTGCCTACCACCAGTGATGAGGTCTTCACTGAAGCAGCTAGCAGATGACAGCTCCAACATGCTGCTGGGACCAACGTTCATAGGTCAAGTTCCCCAGAAAACAGACTGTGTGCAGGAGGTTTCCTATGAGTGGTCTCAGGACCAGCCCCTGCGAGGGGTGAGGGAAGCAGAAGTGGGCAGGGGGAATAAACTATGATCCAGTTGCAACAGCAGACTCAGCCAATCCTGTGGGGAGCTCTGGAACTGGACTCTTTCCAGTTGAGGCAAGACGGCTGGAACCCTGTGCCCCTTCATCAGTGAGTAATAGGATGCAGGCTGCCTCCAGGTAAGGGATGTATCTTTGGGTGAGACTGCTTCTTAGGACCAATGGTAATTCTGGAGAGGGGCTCAGCAAGAGGCTACAATATCTACATCTTGCAGCAGCTAGGGGAAGTAGTGCTCCCATCCTGATGGCACATCTGGGCAGCATGTCCCTTCACTTTTTCTCTCCAATGAGAGAGAAGAAAAGAGATTAAAAATAAAATAGCCCCTTTGTTTTATATTTGAAATGATTGCTCTTGTGATTATAATTTGCAACCTTAATATAAAATGCACTGAATTAACCTTCTACCACGTCAGATACGAGGTTTGTTGTTGTTGTTGTTGTTGATGATGATGTTGTTTTTGAGACGGAGTCTCGCTCTGTCACCCAGGCTGCGGTGCAGTGGCATGATCTTGGCTCACTGCAAGCTCTGCCTCCTGGGTTCATGCCATTCACCTGCCTCAGCCTCCCGAGTAGCTGGGAATACAGGCATCTACCACCGCGCCCAGCTAATTTTTTTTTTTTTTTATTTTTAGTAGAGATGGGGTTTCACCGTGTTAGCCAGGATGGTCTCAATCTCCTGACCTCATGATCCACCCACCTTGGCCTCCCAAAATGCTGGGATTACAGGCATGAGCCACTGCATCTGGCCCAGATACAAGGTTTTAATGGTATATTCACATTTACCTGCTTCTCCATCTTTGGTGCTATGATGCCATATATTTTACTTCTACATATGTTATAAACCCCATAAATCCCATAGCATATTGCTATTATTTGTGCCTTGAACAATTACCTTTTAAAGCAATGATGAAAAGCAGCCTTTCATAGTGACTCGCATATTTGCCCTTTTGGGTGCTCTGCATTTCAGTATCAGTGGAGATACCTTGCTGATCTTGTCAGTATTTCAGGTAAGAAGGGGTTAAGCTGCGATTCCAGATGCCCTTGGTTCCTCGTGAGGTAAACTCTGGGCTTCTGAATCCAAGCACCACGGGGCATGTTTTCCAGTTTCTCTTCCACTGCCACCTCCTCAACAAAATTTGGGACTGGGTGTGGTCTAGGCAGGCTGAATTACTGGGCTGAGTGCTTTGTTTGGGGCTCCTCCAGATGCCATCCACCCTGCCAGCTGGCACAGTCAGGCTCAGCTGAGTTCTCCCCATCCCTGCAGAGTCTCCCTGGCTCCAGCAGGACCCTCCTCCATCTTGTAATTCAGGGATCTGACTCCCTCCCGCAGGTGTGGAAGCTGCTCACCATAAAGGTCTCACTTCTCTCTGGAGTTCAGGTCATCCAAGATTTCTTGCATCCCACTGCTCTTAACTAGCCTGGTAGAGAAGCACACTTTTTATTTTGTCCCAGCTTTTCTTGTAGTTCTCTCAGAAACAAAGGTCTTTCCCGTTCTCTTACGTTCTAACCAGAAGCAGAGGTCCTCTGCCTGCTTGCCTGGCCTTTGCTCTCTTTCCTCCTGCATCAGTGGATTGCTGTGAGGAGCTGATGTGGATCATATTATATTATGAGCCAGGAAGATCACAGGGCTCTGGTTTACCCAAAGCCAGTAGCTGGGCTGCTCGATGGGTCACTCCCACTTGGAATGATCACTGCATCTCCCTTTATCTCAAGGAAACACTAGTGGAATCACCAGAGCACATACAGCATTGCAGGTGAGGACAGCTGGGTCTTACCTGTATGTGTTGCTGTCAAACCACTGCAAGGTCTAGAGCTCATCACAGACTCTTTAGACTTCCATGTTCTCATTTGCAAAGTGAGGAGTTCTGCCTTGCTACCTTAGGAAAGAATTCAGCTGGAGAACTTTAGGATTCCAGTTCAGCTTTTGCATGAAAAAAAATGAAAAGGGGCCGGGCACAGTGGCTCACGCCTGTAATCTCAGCACTTTGGGAGGCCAAGGCAGACAGATCACTTGAGGTCAGGAGTTTGAGACCAGCCTGGCCAACATGGCGAAACCCTGTCTCTACTAAAAATACAAAAATTAGCTGGGGGTAGTGGTGCAAGCCTGTAGTCCCAGCTACTCAGGAGGCTGAGGCAGGAGAACCACTTGAACCCAGGAGGCAGAGGTTGCAATGAGCTGAGATCATGTCACTGTTCTCCAGCCTGGATGACAGAGAAATACTCTGTCTCAAAAAAAAAAAAAAAAAAAAAAAAGAAAAGAAAAAGAAAAAGAAAAAAGAAAAGGGCATTTGGTGATATCTGAATTCCGGTAACGTGAGCAGTTTCAGTCATGCTACGTCCCTCATTAACTTGTGATGAAAATGTACACACAAGGCACTAATTCTTTATTTTCACAAAATAAGATGGTGGCTAATTTGATTTGAATGCTCCAGTCTGTGAGAGCGCTTAGTGATTTTTAATCCAATTAGTGTTGGAGATACTTCTGATTCTAAGGGTATCCGGTTTCTGCTTATGGTATAAGTTCTATTTCCCAATGACTCATGTTTCAAGAAGGGAGAAGTTGGGGCCTCTAGTCAATAAAAGGGGTCTGTTTATGTGATTGCTTTGTTTTCTGTTATTAAACCCGAGTGGCAGAAATCATAGGTTTTGCTTTTAGTTCAGATTTCAATAAGCAGCAGAAAACCCACAGACAATTTCGACTTGAAAGTTTGCCATACAAATTAGCATCATTTCTCAACCGGCTCTCAAAACATCCTGCTTGAAGGTAAACAAAAACTGCCACCATGACCACCATGCTGGGGAACATTCTGGAAGTCTCAGTCCAGAGGTCAGCGGTCAATAAGCAGTGGGCCAGCTCTTGATTTGATCTGAGTTGTACAGCCAGATAAACTTCAGGGCCTGATTCACCCCATCCTTGCAGCTTTTCTCCTTCTGTTAGACTTCAAAGTTGGCCTGGACCACTCTCCAAATAAGTAATATTTTCACTGAGAAAATCATGCCCCAAATCAAATAGTCAGCTCTGTTTTAGTTGGCACTACGTCCATTTAATACTCTGAAACTTCTGAAAAGAAAATGTGTTTGTAGTAACATCGTGGTACAATTTTCACACTTAAATTTTTGTAATCAATAAAACTCTTCATCACTTTCAGGGTAATTTAGTAACAAGAAACTTTCTTCTGTCCTTGGCTGTTGTTGATAAAAGTCGCACGAAACCATCTTAGACATAACACAAGTTGTGCCCTATTGCCCCTGAGATAAATCAGCCTATGATCCAATTTTTATGTGACAGGAAAGTGAAAAGAAAACAGAGAAAAGTGAAAATGATCTATAGGAAAACACTTTGCAAGAGCCCATCTGTTTGAGGACATGTTTTTTTGAGCTGTGATCTGGCTCATATGATTGGGGAATAAAGTTTGTCATGAAGTGCAGTCTCGTTGAGCATTGTTCAGGGGAGGATGTCGCTAAATGCTTTTGGTGTTATGTCACAAGATGGAATTTAATATCTCTGCTGCGTAGGCTCTCAGGTGATCAGGAAAAAATTGGGAAGATGAATCTTTCATATTTCCAGCAGGAAAAAAATTCCTGGGATGTCTTTACTCACATTGCTCTCTATAATGAATCTGGCTATGTATGTTCAATTAATTATGAAACACACAAGAACCAATCATAATACTATACAGAAATTAAAAACAAATACTGTCCTATCAGTGAAGAGTTGTTGTGGAGCATGGACAACATACCTCTGTTAAGAATGTGGAAAACGGTGACAGGGAGTGGCCTTGAAATAATTTTTATTTTGGAAGGCTCTAGGAAAATAAAAAGAATATTGAACATTGGATCTGGGCTCATGACAAGGGGGTGCTGACAAGATTATGTCTTTTTGGTGCTTCCAGGAAAGGGAGTTAATTGGATCTGTGGTTTTTAGATTTAGTTGGTGCTTCTGGCATGGCTGCTGGATGGAGCGGGTTCTTGGGTTCATTTTCTTGCTGGGTCCTATGCCCGGTTCCACAGTATGAGAGGAAAAGATTCTGCAGTTCATCAGTGCCCAGCATGTTTTGACAGCCTGATGCAGTGAGACACACATTTATTTCAGCAACACAGAAAATGTAGATGCCACCAGGCACCAGGGGAAAGGTCCTTTGTGAAAACCCAGATTATCTATGCTATTATCTCAAGTCCAAAAGGCAAAGTGAGGAGGAGAGAAGATATGGTTAGAAAATGAAGAATACAGGCCGGGCACAGTGGCTCACGCCTGTAATCCCAGCACTGTGGGAGGCCGAGGTGGGCGGATTACCTGAGGTCAGGAGTTCAAGACCAGTCTGGCCAACAGGGTGAAACCCTGTCTCTACTAAAAATACAAAAATTAGCCGGGCGTGGTGGCACACACCTATAATCCCAGCTACTTGGGAGGCTGAGGCAGGAGAATTGCTTGAGTCCGGGAAGTGGAGGTTGCAGTGAGCTGAGATCGTGCCACTGCACTCCAGCCTGGCCCACAGAGTGAGACACTGTCTCAAAAAAAGAAAAAAAAAAGAAGAAGAAGAATATAAACTCCAACCACATAAGTCAGGTGATCCGGACTGGATCTTCATTTCCTTACTAATAAAGGGATCATCTCATCAGCTACAACAGATCATCTCAAAAATTACAATCTCCCCCTTCTACAAATCTCCTAGTCTAGAAATTGATGAAAAAAAAATTTTATTACAAAGTTAAAGTCCATGTTTATAAAATACCCTAATGTGCTAGCACACCTGTATTTATAAATTGTAGACTTTAATTTCCCTTTATAGGGCTAATGCAAAATTCATTATTCCAAAAAAAAATTTATAATCCATTGAAAATATAAATGCCTAATGGGCATCCTGATTGCATCCAAATTCTTGGGTTAGTCGGAGAAATGAGAAAATTCTATTCGTATTGCTAGTTTACAATTTGCACCATTAGTACACTCTCTCCTAGGTGTGAGTGACTAAGTTATCCAAACAGTTCAACCCTCTAAATTTCCAACACAAACCAAAGCAACCAAATATAAGAAAAGAAACAAACAAAAACAAGAAAGCAAAACAAGAGGGAAATAGAACTGAAATTCTTGCTTCTTACATCATCCTTAAACAAGAGTATGCCTTCAGCTGTTTCCTTTAAAAAACCAGACATTCCTAGTGTTTTGCATTTGATCACTCCAGACATTGGGGAAGAATGAGAATGGGAAAAATGGTTTCCCTCCAACTTACCTCTTTCAAGGGAGATTCCAGCAGGGCACCTAGTGGAGTTTCAGCAAGAAGCTGGCTTTCCATGACTCTTTCCCCTTTTTTTCCCTCCCATATCCTTGGCTTTACTGCAGAAAATATAGAGTATAGCATGATTTCTCTTTGAGGCAGCCATGAAGAAAATTTGGAGAAAATTGTAAGACTTCTGATCTAATTCCTGTAAGTTTGGAGTAGTCTTTGGTATATCTCTTCCCCTCATAAATAAAAATCTTTAGAGATAATTATGATTTGAAATAAATTGAGCTAGTTTAGAGTTAATTAAGAAAAAAACATATCGGCACTAAATATTTGCTAATTCCAAGATGACTGAGGTTTTAAATATTTAACTTGTAAATATAGTGATGCAGACAAACATAACTTTATTAACAAGGAAGTTTAGGAGATTAAAATCCAGGAACACCATGCTGCAGTTGGGTCACGTTATGCATTGTGCAACCTCGTGAACTCATATTCATTGTTTGGGACAAAAGATTCCAGTTAAGAATGCACGGCTTTGGATTGTGGTAGCCTGTTTCTTCAGATTGCCCTTCATTATTTTTCCTTCCTTTGCACTTTGAAAATTCTATACCTATCTTTGGAGAAGCTTCCCCAAATATCAACAAGTCCCTTGGTACCGCTTTCAACAGGATTTGGAATATTGATACAGATTCTTTAGTTACCTGAGTACCATGAGACTCACACATTAAGTACAACTGTGTGTCATCCTGTGCCAGTTATTCATGCCTCTCAGCTCCAGATTCACCCTTCGTTGCCTGCCCTTGGAGAATGGAGAGAGCCCTTTAAATATGTTGCCCTTTCCAGCTGGTATAATACCAGGCTGTGTTAGTGGAAGGTGCTGGAGAGATGCTGCAGGAGGAGGGGGTTTTTCTTACCGGTTCTGGGAGCTCACTTGTCTTGTGCACCTGGCAGGGCTTCTTTAGCACCAGGTTTCTGGTGGCCCCAAGGGCTTCAGCAGTGTCCAGCACCTGCAGTAATGGTGACTTTCCCAGCCCCAATCCCCTCAGGGTACATGGTCAGCAGTACCCAGTGGCCAGGAGCTTTGCCTTGTCTCCCCACAGGGCAATCTCATAGTCTAGTGCCTTGTGTCATAGAGACAACGCTCTGTGAACAGCTTTCCCTGGCACTCTCAAGGGCAGGTTTCCAGCAGGTTCTTCTTGTACAGCACCACAGCAGCTTCCCTGCCATCCAGTGAGCCATGGCCATGCCTTCTCCAACAAGGTCTGGAATTCAGCCCCGAGACTGAGGTGGATGGGGCGGAGGCTCTACCTCAGGCTCTCTCCATAAGCCTTAGGTGTGGTAACTGCTCCTTACACCTGCCATTCCTATATTTCTTAGAGTTCTGTTTATCCAGTAGTAGCCCATCCCCCATGACCCTAATCTGATTTTATAGTTAATAAATCTCTATGTTAAACTTTTCCTATTTAAATTACTGTGTGGTTTCTGTTTCCTGATTGGACCCTGACCAATAAACATCCCAAGGTGAAAATTGACTTGTATTTATGGGAAGATTGAAAGAGAGAAATATTTTAAATCATAACAAATATAGTTAAATTAATTGTTCATTTTTTAATGTTGGGTGGTTAGTTTTGGTGTAAGCTCTCTTCATCTTGTATTACTGTCAGTTAGTTTTCTAGGGCTGCCATAACAATAGACCACAGGCTGAAGGGCGGGAGTAGGGGGTGAGTAGGGGGACTTAAACAACAGAAATTTATTCTCTCACAGTTCTGGAAGCTAGAAGTCCAAGGTTAAGGTGTCAGGACGTTGAGTGTCTCCTGAGGCCCCTTTCCTTGGCTTGCAGATGTCTGCCTTCTTGATGTGTCCTCACATGACCTTCTCTGTGTGCACACATCCCTGGTGTCTTTCTGTGTATTCAAGTTTTCTTTTATAAGGACACCAATCAGATTGAGGGCGACTGTTTCAGCCTCATTTTAACTTAATCACATCTTTAAGGGCCCTGTCCAAATACAGTCATATTCTAAAGTACTAGGGGATTAGAGCTTCAACACACAAATGTTGGAGGGACACAATTCAGCCCATATTATACTTTTTTTTTTCTTTTCTAACTTCGGTATTAGATATCAATCATGTAGAAGTAACTCTGCAGTACTGAGAAGATCGTCAGACTTGGCCTTGGAAGACCTGATTTTGGGCCAAAGTTCCACTACACACCAGCTGGGCAAGTGGTTGAATCTCTTGAATCTCTGTTTTCTCATCAGTTAAAGAGGCTTAAAGGGGCATAACAGGGATTCAATGAGGTCATGCCAGTGAAAGTGTTTTAGAACCTACAGAGGACTTTATAAAATGCGAGGCATTCCTTGGTAGGTGTATGAAATCACACATTTTCTAAAAACTCTCCCATTACATTTCATACTTGATACTTATTAAAAGGCATCGCCAACCTATTAAACAAGTGTTAAGTATAAATGATTTGTATAGCCAAAACCTCTTTGGTTTAATGACCATAGGAAAAATTTCTTTGGTCTCACAGTTGTCTCTGTACATTCCAGGTCATCTTAATCAAACCCAAATTTTGAGTTAGTTATTGCATTATCTCTTGTTTTCTCATCTTTTGCAGAAGTAATAAGTAATACTTTTAAAGCCTCATGAACTTATTTAATAGACTTAGCCTTAGTTTTTGGAAAAGATAGAAACTACATGGTCTTTAGAATGACAGCCAGCAAAATTTTTGGCAATTACAATATTCACTATAAGCTGGTGCTCATTTTACCAAATATCATGGCATCCCCCTCACCAAGTAATTCAGTGCCTGCAGTCAGTCATCTTGCACAGCGAGAAACTGAGGCACCAAGTGTCATTGTCTTGTTCAGGTCCCAAAGAGAAGGAAAACTCTTATTTGTTGAGGAGTTTTATGTGCAAGGCACATTGCACAAATATATAATTTAATCCTTACAACAGCCCTAGGAAGCAAGTAGTAGTATTAAACCCATCTTACAGATAAGGAAACTGAGCTTCATAGAGAGTAAACAGTTTGTCCAGAGTCACATGGCTGATAAGTAATAAATCAGAGATTAGAGCTCAGACCTGCCTGACTCTGCTCTATTACTGCGGGTCTTATCTCTTCCTTCTTCCTTTGGTAGCCAGAAGTTATTTACAATGGTCTCAATTTAATAATATTATTAACGGTATAATTGTCACTGGATTCAAAGCAATTAGCAATTTTATCTAATTGAGTTTGAATTATACAATTCTCCAGTGATTAGCTTCATAAGCGTTCTCAGGCTACATCACAAATATTAAAAGTTAAGTGCTGAATCAAAAAAATTTTTGCAAATATTCAATCATGTGCTATAATAGCACTAATTGGCCATTTTCGTCTTGTACATACACAATCATTATCTACAGTGATATTTTTTCTGTTGCCTTTCCAGTTTTCCCTCTGCCATCTGTGTATGTGTTAACTTCATCTGTAGAGCAAGTTGTGTTCATATATTTACCTAGTAAAGGAAAAGGCACTTATGATAACTATTTGTTTTCCTTTTCAACTTTTACATCAGACTCAGCAGCTGAGAAATAGCATACTTTTGAAAAATTTAGTCTCTTTCAAGTTTGTGCTAGATCTTTAAAAGGCTTGACATTTAACCCTCCATAGCTTTACTTTGAAATCTTGTTGGAACAATCTGGAAGAGTGATCTAATTTCAAAAGGAAAACAGGAAAATAAAAGTCAAGTCAAACTTTACTGAAATTGCAGAGACAAGTCATGAGGCTCAAAGAGAAACTGAATGAGATTGTCGTTGCTTTAATAATGAGAGGGAGGAAATGATGTCAATTTAGTAGGACCATTCATGGGGAACCATTCTCCTTTGAGGTGTCTCTCTTGGAGTTCTTCCCTTACAGGGCTTTGCAGTTCAGTTATTTCAACCTTAACTTCACTCCCTGATAGATAGGTTCCTTAAGATCAGGAATTGTTTAACTCAACCGTATCTCCTATTCGTTATCTTGTCTCAATTGCCTTAATATGGGTAATCACTACCTCTAACTGGACTATTACAGTGGCTTCTAGAGGAGCTTCCTGCCTCCAGTCTCTTCAGCATGACCTCTTGTCAACACTGCAATATGATCCAGTCCTAAAACTGCCCCAGCTGATGCCAGATTTCTCCCCATATACCATCTGAACTCCATCACTGACGCTGAAGGCCTTATGAAATTTGGCCCAAACCAAATACTTTGTTAACCATGTTTCCCACCATTTCTACTCTTTTCCTGGTGCTGCCCCCTGCAACATGAGAAGTAAACAAACAAGAGGATGTGATATTGAGGAACATCCAATGGCCTGGTGGGAACTTCTCTGGGCTGAGTGCTCAGAAGAGACCTCTTTGAGGAGGTAGCATTTGTATTGAGATGTTTGGGAGCTAACAACATGCAGAAGTGGGTAAAGAACATAAATAGGCAGATGGAAGCTCAAATGCAGAGGCCATGTGAGAAGACAGAGTCTGGTCTTTTTATATGGACATGATGGAGACCAGTGCTCCTGGAGTATATTAAGAATAGGAGCTGCAGATTAGGCAGGAGGCAGGTTCTGGAGGAGATTTTTAGCCTTAAGGAAAGGACAATGGTGAGCCCTTGAAAGTGGGACAGTGAGATGACACAATCCACATTTAGAAAAGACCATCTTGGCTGCTGGGCAGAGTGAAACAGAGGGGACTCCAGTTCCAAACAACTATTTTCCCAAGTCACCTTCCTGAACATGATCGGTGTATACATGAGGGATTATTTCTTGTTAGTAAATTGTGAGGAGGATCACAATATCTTTCTTTGGGTCTGCATTTTGAAATTTCCATGGAGTAGGCAGGTGTCAAGGTACTTCTTCGAAACATTGTAGTTTTGCTAACATTTTACTTAATAAAGTCATAAAGCCATTTCTAGCACTTGCAATCCAGAATGAAACATGCAGTAAGTACCTACTGTGGACCAGACGTGGTGCTTGGAGGAGAGACAAAGAAAGACAGAGACAAAGAAAGGTGATTCTTATCCTAGAGAGTCTTAGAGTATAGTAGGTTAGCATTGTTCCCAGAGGTCCATGTTAAAAGTTCTGTTGATACCTCATCTTAAGACTCTTAATGAACCATGTATTTTAGCACTTTATAACATTATGACATTGTATTATTTATATCAGCTTATAATATACTATGACTACCAGGTGATATTTTCACAGCACAGTCACATATTTTTCTATATTTTCCAATCCAGTCTATGCAGTTGGTTTTTCCTTTCCCATACTTGGCCTCAATGACTCATTCTTCTTGGTTTTGGTGACATTTCTAAGGATATTCATAAAATTGAATCTTAGCTGAAAACAGCCTAGGATCACTTTAGAGAAGTCTTTCCCCACATAACAAAAAATGGTGTTGATTAAGTAGTTCCAGGAGTGGGGTTGACTGTGGTGTCTCCATAGTAGTATGATAGGTTTCTTCTCAGTCTTTGCAGAAACTATAGTTAGAAAGTGATCAACTTGAGTCTATTTCTTTGAAGTGGGACTGTAGTTGGGTTTGAGAACAGACTCGAGATTTGCAAGGACTTTGGAAATTCTGAGTTATGTGCCCCACAGTTAAAAAACCATACCTTAGATGAATCTTAAATTCAGCTGATTAAAGAAAAATAAATAAATAAAATTATACCTCAGACAAGTAGCCTATTTTTAAGGAGAACACTTAGCCTTCTATTCATAACCACATTTGTTGCATTTGGCTCTAGTAGGAAAAATTAAAATCTTGTGTTTGTCAGCAATGAGGCCAGGATGCCTATACCCCGAGTTTAAATATCCAGGAATCATCCAGTGGTTTGCTTTTATTGTTCATAAAGTCAGCAGAGACAAACCACCTGAGTAGTTCCAGATGTTGAATCAACAAGGCCCTACTTCACAGACCTACATGTAAAAAGTACATTTATAGGCCCAAGAAAAGGCTGGGAGGACTGTGCTGTTTAAGAATAGACAGACGCTTTCATTCTTAAAACAGATTAAATGGGGGATGTCTAGCCTTGCAGATGGCAGGGGTAGGTGACATTTACCTTTCTTTGGTCACTTGAGGCTTCATGTTGTAATCCACTCTCCTCTGCTCTGTTTGTTAAGGAGAAAGCCCAGCAATTGGTGGGTCAACTCCAGAGGACAGGGCTGTTTTAAGATAGCAAGGCTCTCTCAGATTTTAACAAGATTACTTGAGGGTAACAGGGCAAAGGGAAATATCTCCACATTGGCTCAAATGCTGGAGAATATAGAGACATAAATGTGGCTTACAGTTATTAAGGTCTTTTCCATTTCACTGATATTTTGGCATTGAAGCTAACATCATTCCAGGCACCTTGCTTTGTGAGTTGGCTACCGAGGGTAACATTATATAGAGGTAAGAAACATAGCTTGCATGGGCCTGGGGCCAGGAGGTTAGAATTTGATGCCATAAATCTTAAAACCACTGAAGGTATCTTAAATTTAGGTTTACCTGGCACAGCCAAAAAGTGAAAGTTCTGATATCCAGAGTTCCTACATGGCTATAACACATAACCTTACTGAGTGGCAAAGAATTTTTATGGCCACTGGCAAGAATCCAAACAAAGATTCAACTATCTCCCCACAAGATATTTCAGCGGAGTGACCTAAGTTAGTCAAGTAAGGTTCTGGCTCATAAATCTGAGGTTGGAATAATAACATTATTCTATGCCCTAAATATTACGTTACAATTAGCAGAAGATGGAAGCATCTATATTATTTGTACACAGTGTTACTCCATTGTCAATCGATGAGTTATCATGATGATCAGGTAATCTCATGTACTGTGCAGTAGCTAAAATCTAACGTTTCTTGAGAGGTGATTATGCATCAAGCATGGTGGTGAGTGAGCTTTAAACATTATCTTGTTTAAGCCTCCCAAGTCATATTATGAAGTAGGTGCTCTTGACAAATGAGGAACCTAAGGCATAGGCCAGTTTTAAGCAATTGCCCAGGGTAACAATGTGATGGAGTTCTCATTCAGGCCAGCCCCATGTTCTCAACCCACACACTGTATTCCACACTCAAGGCCTCTGTCAACAATGATAGCAATTAAAAAAAAACTTGAGCATTTAGAAATATTAAAGACATTTAAAGAATCTATCAAGAATAATGGAAGGCATCTCACATAGCCACCCTCCAAGGTTAAGAAATAAATATTGCCAGCACAGTTAAATCCATCATGTATACCTTCCTCAATCTCCTTCCCTGCCCTCCCCCTTTTCCAGAGGTAACTCTTAACCTGAACTGGATTCTTATCATTCTCATGCATTGCTTTCTACTTTCACTACATCAATGTATATCCTTACGCTATACATATAGTATGGTTTTATATGTTTGTATGAATGGTATATCATACCTTATGTGTTCTTTTACAACTTTTTTTGCCCAACGTTGTATGTGATAGTTAATTTTATGTGTCAACTTGACTGGATGAAGGATGCCCAGATGGCTGGTTAAACATTATTTCTGAGTGTGTCTGTGAGGATGTTTCCAGATGAGATGAGCATTTACATTGGGGGACTCAGTAAAACAGACTGCCCTCCCCAGAGCTGGTGGTCATCATCTAATCTGTTGAGAGCCTGGATAGAACAAAAGAAGGAGGAAAGAGAAATTTGCTCCTCCTTTTTTCCCCTGCCTCACTGCTTAAGCTAGGACATCTCATCTCATCTTCTGCTCTGGGAGTGGGGTTTACACCATCAGCTCCCCCAGTTCTCAGGCCTTCAGATTCAGACTGATATTATACCACTCTTTTTTTTTCCCCTGGGTCTCCAGCTTGCAGATGGTAGCTGTATTAGTCTGTTCTCATGCTGCTGATGAAGACATACCCAAGACTGGGTATTTATAAAGAAAAACGAGTTTACTGGACTCACAGTTCCACCTGGCTGGGGAGGCCTCACAATCATGACAGAAGGCAAAAGTCACATCTTACATGGTGGCAGGCAAGAGAGAATGAGAGCCAAGTGAAAGGGGAAACGCCTTATAAAACCATCAGATCTCATGAGACTTATTCACTACTATGAGAACAGTATTGGTGAAACCACCCCCATGATTCAGTTATCTCCCACTGGGTCTCACCCACAGCACATGGGAATTATGGTAGCTACAATTCAAGATGAGATTTGGGTGAGGACACAGCCAAACATATCAGTGGTTCATGGGACTTCTCAGCCTCCATAATTGTGTGAGTCAATTTCTCATAATACATTTTATACACACACACACAGACACACACATACACACACACACACTATATGAATATACATATGTAATACATGTATATTATATGTATGTGTGTATATGCTATGTAATATATATGTATGTAATGCATATATGTATTATGTAGGTATGTAATTATACATGTATATATTATATAATTATGTAATTATATATTACATAGCATATATATAATACAATATATGTATTAATAAAGAGAACAATATGTTATATATATGTAATATTACATATATAATACACATATGTAATATTACATACATATATATTATATACATATATGTAATATTACATCCATATATTATATATGTATATAACATATTGGTTCTCTTTCCTTGTTTCCATGGAGAAATCTGATTAATACATTGTATTATTTGTATTTGCAGGGTTTCTTCATGTTGATGTGTGTGGCTGTAGCTCTATTTACTTTCACTATATGAGGACACCCTATTTTTTTCATTTCTCCTATTATAAAAGACACCTTCCAATGAAGCAGGTCAGCGACCGTCACACCACCTTCTGTATTTACCGGGATTGATACCAGTGTCACTGTTTTATTGATAGAGAAACCAAGCTTAGTTCAGTGCCTTCTCCAAGGCTTCATAGCCAGAAAGTGGCAGGACCAACCCTTGAACTCAGTTCTCCATGGTCTGAGGCTTTCTCTTCCACTGAATGCCGACCTTCTCAGATGGTGCTCTAAAAGTCCACGCTAAAGCCCCTCTGCTAGGGCTTTTTCTGGCTGTCTTTGAGTGTATTTTTCTTTCTGAGGTTAGAACAACATAAGGAATCCCACTTGGGGCCCAGGTCCTCACAATGCCTCCTCTCCTATGCTCTTGAAGGATGCTGAAGGTAGAAGCAGCATGTATCTTATCCCGATCATTACACCTGAAGGTCTTAATAGCTGTGCGGCAGTAAAGACAACACCTTCCCACCTTCCCTCGGGTGGGTCTGCAGCAGGGCACTCCATTTGTATTTGTAAAAGATTCCCTTAAAAACATCCAAAAACTATATATATAGTTTATATATATATATATTTTTTTGTGTGTGTATATATATATATACAGTTTTTGTATATATATGTGTGTGTGTATATATATAGTTTTTGTATATATATGTATATATATACACACACATACACATATGGCTAGGACATCTCATTTATCTTCTGCTCTTGGTACTATAATACAATAGTACTAGTCTGAATCTGAAGGCCTGAAAAACAGGGGCACCGACGGTGTAAACCCAGTAAACACACACACACACACACATATATATATATATTGGCAGGGAAGTTCTGCAGAGTGCTTCCAGGAGGCTGTAGTGTCGGGGTGAGGGGTGTGGGGGTGAAGGTTGAGAAATTTGTTACCTTTGGTCCTAATGTTCAATACTTGAGCCTTTGAAGGACATGTAAACCGATCAAAACAACAACAACAACAAGAAGGCACTGACAGCCAGAAAATATCATGGGAGTCTTTGTTTTGAAGAGGGTAGAGACTGATTAATAAAACTACAAGCCAATTATTTCCACCGGTCACTTTCTTTTCTCGCAACGGGTAGCACCTTGGCAATGAGGATCATTTAGAAGCAGAAAGATCATCATTGTTTTGTTTTTCATGGTAAGCATTTCTACAAGAATAAAGTTGAATATTTTGGGAGAAATAAAATTTAAAATGTTTTATTATTTAAAACTTGAGCAAAGTAGTAAAGTCCAAATCAGATTGTAGTTTAATAGTATCATACCAATATCAGTTTTCTGGTTTTGATATTATACTATAGTTATGTAAGATGCTGTCACTGGGGGAAAGCAGGGTGAAGGTACTGTCTACTATGTTAGAAACTACATGTTTAGTTTAACATCATTTCAAAGTAAAAAAGAAAAGTTTTTTATTTTTCTCTTTTAAAAAGAGAAAACTTGAGCAGCCCTGTTTAGATTTTGGGCCAGGCAAGCCTCATCAATAAGGCATTTTATAGCAATGTGCTTAGGATAAATGGAGAGTCAGAATTTTGAAACAATGTTTAGCAGCCAGTAAATTGACTAGAAGGCAAGGTTAGTGTTTGCATAGCACCTTAAAAAGTTTACAGTCATCCAGCCTGTTAGAACATATGCTGTCCCAACCCCTCCTCCCAAATGTACTGTACCTTAGGGTTTCTGAAGCATGGTACTGTTGGCATTTTGGAATGAGCAATTCTTTGTTGAGGGGGGCTGTCCTGTGTATGGAAGGATACATACATAGATATTGGCATCATGATTTCTACCCTCTAGATGCCAATAGTACCCTGCTTCTCCAGTTGTAACAACCAAAAAATATCTCTAGGCATTGCTAAGTGTCCCCTGGGGGGCAAAATTGTCTCAGTTGAGAATCTCTGCTATACTCATAAAACAAATCTTTTATCTGCACTTTTAAAAGTAAATGAAGGCCGGGCATGATGGCTCACACCTGTAATCCCAGCACTTTGGGAGGCCGAGGCGGGTGGATCAAGAGGTCAGGAGTTTGAGACCAGCCTGACCAACATGGTGAAACCCTGTCTCTACTAAAAGTACAAAAATTAGCGGGGCATGGTGGCACATGCCTATAATCCCAGCTATTCAGGAGGCTGAGGTGGGAGAATCGCTTGAACCCGGGAAGCCGAGGTTGCAGTGAGCAGTGAGCTGAGATTGTGCCACTGCACTCCAGCCTGGGCGACAGAGAGACTCTGTCTCAAAAAAAAGAAAAGAAAAGAAAATGAAAACTTGGTGATTTTATAGGAGATTACAATGACAGCACCCTCCCACCCATCCTTCTGTTGGCCTTAAAGCACAAACTCCTTGAGTAGAGATTCTGAATATTTTGTTTTGTTTTGTTTTCCGAGATGTAGTCTTGCTCTGTCACTCAGGCTGGAGTGCATGGCACGATCTCGGCTCACTGCAATCTCGGCCTCCCGAGTTCAAGCAATTCTCCTGCCTCAGCCTCCCAAGTAGCTGGGATTATAGGCACCCATCACCATGCCCAGCTAATTTTGGTATTTTTAGTAGAGACGAGGTTTCACCATGTTGGCCAGGCTGGTCTCGAACTCCTGACCTTGTGATGCGCCCACCTCAGCCTCCCAAAGTGCTGGGATTATAGGCATGAGCCATAGCACCCGGCGGAGACTCTGAATTTCTTTAAATATACAATCTCACTCATTCTTTAGTGTCATGAACATGTATGGTGGTATTGAAATAGAAATATTTTCCGTTCTTAAAAAACTGAAACAGATATGTCAGGATAAATGTACATAAGATCCCAAAAGAACAGAGTGTGTACAATGTTGGCCTTATTGAGTATCATGTAGACTCGTAATTTCACATGTGAAGGTAACTTGTTACATTAAAACCTTCACAGGCTTTAGTTTATTTAAGCCTCTGGGGCTAACACAGCACATTTCTAAATATTATGAGTTTTGTAAAGGTGCATGGCGAACAAGCAGCCTGCCGGTGCACTGGAAAAGTGATAAAAATCTGCGCGGAGCTTAATCACAGCTTTCTCGGGAGTGTATATTTATGTGGTGATGTCAGCATGGTATCCTATAACTGGCTGAAGGTCATGTTCTGTGTTCATCTGCACGGGATTTAGAAACTCTCAAACAGACTTGCTGGAGAAAAATGGCCAGCTGAGTTGGAGCATGGCGGCCCCTTCCCAGTTTGTGTTCTCCTCGAGCAAAGGAAGTGAACAAAGAAATCCATCTTTAAATGAATTCAAAACCACAGAGGCTCCATCTTTTGCCACATGAATTATTTGAGTTATTGAGGCTGGCTCCAGTGTCAAGCCGTGTATGTTGCCTTAATGTATTTATTTAACCCAGGACTGCCGCGGAGAAGGCAGACCCACCTCAGCACGTGAAGGTCTGCGACAAAGGAAACATTCAGACCAGATCCTGTGTAACAAACACATCAGGAACTCTGGACGGGGAAAGATGTTGCAAGCCCAGCACAATGCTGGGCTTTATTCCCCTTGTGGAGTCAGGCTGTAGTCAGCCAAACTGTAAACTGCTGTTGACTGAGCCGACCCAGCCGGATGGCCGACCTGGAGGGAGAGGGGGCTCCAGCTCGGCTGCTCAGAGCCCTGATGGTGGTGCGGACAAGTCTGGGGCTGTCAGCGGCTTTGTATTTCCTGTCAGGGCTCCGTATTGGCTGCAGGCAGGGAGGTGGAGTCTGCACCGAAAGAATCTAGAAGCCCATTATCATCACACTCTGTTCCATAAACCCACACAGCAATCTGGCCCACTCGGCCAGGTCCTGGACTCAGGCAAACCTCGCTCTATATCTGGAAGGGGAGCACTAAGGTCCCCGAAGATTGCTGGCATGTACCACGTTCTGTGGTTATGGTGACTCTATAAATGACACACTCACCAGGCCAGTCACAGATTAGGGTAATTCCCGTGGAAGGTATTGGGTTTATTGTTTCTTGGTTGGTAGATTTGGCAATTGGGATGCAGTTCAGTGCCTTTGGGTGAAAGTAGGAGCCCAGCTCCCATGAGAGACAGCTTTGTCTTTCCATCAAATCCACCTGAGATGCCACCCACGAAATCCAATCTATTGACAGGGACACAATTCAAACTAATGTCAGCAAAAAATAATTACCACACATTTATTAATATATGCCAGGCACTGTTCTAAGTCCTTCCCAATATGAATATATTCGATCTTCACAACAGCTCTGAGAGGTAAGATTATCATTATCCCCATCTTATAGATGAAAAAACTGAGGCACAAAGAAATGAGGCAACTTGCCTCCAAGCCACACAGTTATTCAGCCACAGCTGGAATTTGTACCCAGGTAGACTGGCTGCAGCATTCACTCTTGAGTACCGCCTGATATAGCAAACAGGAAAAAGTACTAGCTCAGGGGCTGGTTTGGGTACTGGAGTGACCTGCAGACACACTGGAAGAGCTTCAGGGACTTTATAGCACCGGGCTCTTTCTTTCTGCATGTGTCTGATCCACCCCTCTCCTCTTCTTTTTGAATACCCATTCCCTCCTGCAGCAAGTAGTGAAAAACATGGCTCCCCGAAGTCTCAGTTGGGCAACCCAGTGGAAAGTGCACTTCCTCCCCACTTTCTAAGCCTAGATCACTGTCCCCTGTGATGAGTTGTGGCACTCACACTTCCCTTACCCACAGCCTTTTCCATGTGATTTTGCAATCCTCCCACAAATTCACCTCTCCACCTTTTCATTCTGAGTGTGGCTATGTGATTCATCTGGTCCATCAGACATTAATAGATATGACACAAACCGAGGTTGAAAAAGGCATCTTCATACCTCTGCTTCTACTCCCGGAGCTGTGCCATACCATGACAACATGCCAGGCCAGCATACTAAAGGCTGAGGGACCTGTGGGACAGGACCAAGATACCCAAATGCCCCTGCAATGGCCAGACAGCCCCTGGATTGGGAGAGAACCCAGCCAAGAATAGAACTGTGAGGCCAAGCTCAGACAGAATGATCTACCTGTAGATGCACGAGCTAAAGGACTGCCCTGTAGCCTCTGCATTTTGGTGTGGTTTGTTGTACAGCAGTATTCAAGGTGGAAGGAATAGGGCATGGTCATTGATATCCCTACCAGGACTATGAAGAGTCAGAGAGTTGGTCCTCGGAGGAAAAGGGGAGCTCTTACCAGACAAAGGGCCCTAGGAAAGCATTCTACATAGACGGCGTCAGAGCTTTGTTCTCCAAAACCCCTACTTTTTCTTTCATTTTAGGAATCTTGTTGAGATACTATCTGGAGTCCCTTCTGCAATAAACCTTATGAATTTCCCTTAGATTTAAAAGCCAAAAATCTTTTGATTTTCTTTTCTTTAACAATGTACATTTTAAAATTGATTACATTTTCCTTTTTGCTTTGACCTCTAAGAAGCTTAAGGCCAAAACAGTGGACCAAAATTAGTAGATTTTTGGACCTGAAGATATGCATTTTGTTTCACTAAACTTCCCTCTTACTTCATTTTACCATTTTGCCTCTACTTTCTGTTGTCTTGATTTTAAAAATGTTGTTTCTATCTCTCTCATTGTTTTGTGTGTTTATTAAGTTATCTCAAGTTCACTTTGAGATTGGCAGTGATATAAAAATGTAACTAATAACACTGTTATTTTTAACTTCTGGTGAACAGTAGTTCAGATAAACTCAAAATTTATGATCGCAGTTCCTTTGACATGACAGGAATTATGGTTTCTTAACATTAAACTGGACTATTAAGAAGTAAATAAGATCTCATAATAAGATAAAGGAACATGAAAATTGCAATGAGATTAGCATAGATCAAAAAAATTTGGTAAGTCAGTCGTCTTGACCATAGGAGAAAATTTCTGTCATGCATTGCTATAGGAGTGCAAATTAGCACAACTGCTGTGTAGAGCAATTAGGCTATGTCATTTACGTTAAATGCATCTTATTTATCTTAAAATGCATATATCCTTTGGCCAGCACTTCTGGGAATGTATTCAATTTTATTTATTATAATAATACATTTTAAATTTAAATTTTAAAAGTGAAATAAATTTATTTACATTTTGCATCTGGGAATTTATCTCACAGCTGTTAGAGTGCAAAATGATATATGGATAAGGAAATTTACTGTGGCTTTGTTAGTAATAAAACAAACATTTGGAAACAACCTGAATGTACCTTAATGAAGGAATGGATAAGATGGTACGATCCGTATAACAGTCATTTAAAAATGAGAATAATATCTATGTCATAACATGAAAAGGTCTTTAGGGCACAGCATTAAATGAACAAAGCAAAGTCTAGAACATTGTGCGAAGTATACCACCTTGTGTGGGGGGCAGTGTGTGCAGACATGCATAGAAGTACACATATTTATTCTTGTGTGCCTACAGAAGATCTCTGGAATAATATTCAAGAAATCTGGTAATAGCCGTGCATTCTAAGGATGAAAGCTGGGTGCCTAGGGCCAGAAGTGGGAGACTTATTTTTAATGTTATATCCTTTTGTAAGTTTTTAAAACTTTCTACCATATTTGTGTGTAATCCAGTTTAAAAAATTTTTTTAAATTAAATTAGTTCTTACTGGTTTATTACATAAGGAATTACTACAATTGCTTCTTAGTGTGAGGAAAGAAAATAAATCTAGCTCCTCTAGCAATTTTCTATATTAAGGCAGTTGTGTCATTTATTGAACGACAGCTCAATGATCTGAAAAAAATAATTAATATGCATGTCCCCAAAAGAATGCCTGTGGCTCATGGAACATAGCTTTATATATAACACTCATCATTACATTAGACACCATATCAATCCAATACAGCCAACACTTACTGAGGGCCTCTCATCAGCCAGGTCTTCTGTTGGGAGCTGGAAACAACCACAAAAATCATACAACTCTCTCTGTCCTTAAGGTAGTCACATAGGCGACTAATATACTGTGATGAATTCTAGTGTCCTTGAAGGCAGGAGCCGTTGGACTCATTTTTGTATCTCTAGCATCTAGCATATGGTAGATACTTCCAGAAAATTTGTGGAATGAATGAATGAATGAATGAATGAATGAATAGGTGCTGCATTGAATAGGCTGAAGGAGACAAACTCTAGAGAGGGAGGCAACTCAGAAGTAGCAAGTTGGGTCATGAAGAGTTGCCCAAGTCCACAGCTTCGTTATGCAGCACCAAGACCATTGCAGTTAAGTGTCCATGTAAAGGGTTAATCTTTATTGACATAATGAACTATATTTAGTGAGTTGGCAGGTGGATGACTTCATGGTTTTCTGGAAAAAGCATGAGCTTTGGGGCCAGAAAGACCTTTGTTAGGAACCAAACTACCATTTATCAGCTAAATGACTATGATAATCTTTCTGAGCCTTAGCCTTCTCATTTATAAATTGGAAATAATCATACCTAACTTCCAGGTTCATTGTGAGTGTTGGGAATCATTTCTTTATTGAAGAACTTCGCTTTAGTGAAGAACTTGTGTGTGCCCGACACCGTGCTAGCCACTGAGTAATGAACAAAATTGAACCCTGTGGTTAGCACCTAGCAGGTATTCATGCATGGAACCCCTTAAGATTACTAATTTTGTTTGGTGTGTGATTGGACAACGCTTCTTCCCTCCAATCAGGGAGAATTAAGAAAGAATGACTGGACACTTCCATTAGGGTGGCATGAATGGAAGGGGGCTTCACAAAGAAGATGAAGATGAGTAGAGGGATAAATCCATGTCTGGACCAATAAGTTCAGAATTACTCGGAGAGATTGTGACTCTCAAAGGATTCAACAGGGCTTCTTGGCAGAGATCTCATGCTCCTGGCGTAAGTTGTGTGTTTTTTTATTTTCCAGAGATAGTAAGAGGCACCAAAGGAAAAATCAGGAAAAGCACAACCAGGAGTAAATGATCATCTTCACCAGCCACACACAGCTTCCTGACCCAAAGCTCTCCCTTCCTTCACCTGGCTGAGGAGGGAAGGGCTTTCTTCACTCAACACTGATCCAGGGAGGCTGTGAGTGCCAAAAGGACAAGCCACTTGCTGACTTTTGCCTGAGGGTGAGAGTAGCCAGAATAAGAAGGGATGTGGGGACATTGTTAGAGGAAAAGAGTTAAACAGGCAGAAGTTCTGGAGGGGAGAAAGTGTAGAGAGGTGTTGGGGCGGGGGGTTCCCTACCAGTAGAGGGAAGGCCTCTGAGATGACATCTTGAAGGCTGGTTGATGATACCTTTCTCTGTGCTATAAATGGAGATAAGACAGACCAAACACCCAACCAGTAGTGTAGGTTTGGATGAATGACTGTAGTCATTAAATAACAATCTGTTTGAAATTTCTGTGTGGAAGCCTGCATGTGTGTGCATGTGCTTTGGAAAGTGTGAAACAGACAGTCATAACATGCAGGGGAAGAGTGTCCACATCCATAGAGACATCTTCAGAGAGTCTACAGCTATGAGGAGACACATGCACAGATGCCTCCCAGTGCTGAGATGCTCCCATGGACCAAAGGTGTGGGACTTATCACAGGGATAACACTATCATAAACCAGCATCGTGCCCTGGCCCCCACAGCCCCTGCAATACATCTCCTATCTCCTGTCTCACTCCTCCACCTTTGTACAGGCTGCTTCTTCTGTCTTAAACGTTTTGCTAACCCCATCGTGTCCTTCAAAGCTCAGATTGGGGTTTCTTCTTACAGGAAGCCATCTTTGGTCATCACTTCCTTCCCTACCCCCAGGCCTATCCCCCAGTGTCCTGAGCATAGCTGA
The DNA here is from genome assembly GCF_000001405.40 of Homo sapiens. NCBI lineage: Eukaryota > Metazoa > Chordata > Mammalia > Primates > Hominidae > Homo > Homo sapiens. The sequence continues at coordinate 121,038,048 of NC_000010.11, read as the reverse complement.
CCACATGGACTTCAAGTTATCTATTTCTCTTCCTCTTCTGCTAGACTGTCGACTTGAGTACAGGTATAGTAGTCCCTCTATCTGTGGTTTTGCTTTCCATGGTTTCAGTTACCTGCAGTCAACCATGGTCTGAAAATACTAAGTGGAAAATTCCAGAAATAAGCAATTCATAAGCTTTAAAGTGCATGCTGTTCTGACTCGGCTCACTGCAACCTCCACCTCCTGGGTTCCAGTGATTCTTCTGTCTCAGCATCCCAAGTAGCTGCAATTACAGGCACCAGCCACCACGCTTGGCTAATTTTTCTATTTTCAGAAGAGATGGGGTTTCACCATGTTGGCCAGGCTGGTCTCAAACTCCTGATCTCAGGTGATCCACCCACCTCGGCCTCCCAAAGTGCTGGGATTACAGGCATGAGCCACCACGCCCAGCCCTATCACTTTATCTTATCATGTAGGCTTTTTATCATCTCACAAGAGCAGTAGGTACATTACAATAAGATACTCTGAGAGGGAGAGAGACTACATTCACAGAGCATTTATTAAAGTGTACTTACAATTATTCTTATTATTGTTGCCAGTTTCTTACTTTGCCTAATTTATAAATTAAGCTATCATGAGTATGAATGTAGAGGAAGAATGTGGTGTATATATAAGATTCGGTGCTGTCTGTGATTTCAGGCATCCACCGGGGGTCTTGGCATGTATTCCTGAGGATGAGGGGGATGATTGTAATGGATCTTATATCTTCAACTCCTCACCCTACAGCAGCATTTGGCATATAGTAGGGACTCAAAAAATGGTTGATTAAATGAATAAACTAGCTATTGAATGAATTTAGAAAACTCAATTACTGTGGGAATGTTGACAATTTTAATAGGTTTTCTTTCTCTTTTTTTTTTTTTTCAAGTTTAAAATGTTCCAGTGAGGTGACAGTGTATCATCTATGCTTAACCTCTAGCAGGGTATAAACGAGGGCACAAAGGGATCCCTCCTGCTTTTCTGAGGAGCTCAGGGGTGTGAGAATGTACCTATCATCTAAAGCAAGGACAGAGCCAAAAGGAGTCCACGGAGTAATTGGTGGTTTTATGAATTGTTCCCTAGAGGTGATATTTTCATATGCCAGTTCCAGATTCTGGTATATCCTCTTTGGAATGCTTCTTGAAAAGCTTTCGTTCAATAAAAAAGAAGTTACCCCACTTAGAAACACAGGACTTCACTGACAGGAAGCGTTTTGTTCTTTTCTTCTCCACATTTAAAGAATAGAAAATTCAACTCCATTCATCTTGAAGATTTAAAAACAGATGTGGCTCTCATGGCTCATCCACAGCCGCTGAGCAAGAGCCAGCTTCTGAGTGGTTCACAAGGAGCAGCTTGTCTATCGGGAACCTACCCCCAGCCCCTCCTAGGGCAAGAGCCCAACCAGTTTTCCTACATGAGGTCATCACTTTACAATGGGGTTTAAAGCTATTTGTTTTTTTAAACAGCTGGTTCAAACCTTTCACTTGCATCAAAATGTAAAATTGCAAAGCAAGTACTAGCATTTCACATCGGATAAGTACAAACAATGGGGTCAGGCCACAGGCTCAGACATAGATTTGACTTGCCCTGGTCATCATCACTGCTGAACTGAGGGGTCAGACAAATACGGGGCAGAGAAGCTCTGATGGAGATTGGGGGGTTTGTTCTTGGAGTGGTTTTGCCCAGACCTCAAGAAAAGGATTCCCATGGATGGGTCTGGAAGGCTGCTGTAGAGTGATTATGCATGGAGAAGGCTGGATTCCTTCTGGTGACCAGTCACCTCAAGGATTCGGCTTGTAATGCCACTGAGGCTGCTTAATTTAGGAATAACAGATAAAAATAAAATCAGGCTAAATTTTTTCAAGATCAGGTTGACAAAATTACATTTTAGTCAGCTATTGATAATGAGGAGAAGAAACAAAGTATTTGGCATTGTCAGGCTTAGTTTCCAAACTCCAGTTCTATCACATAGAACTGTATGAACTGGGTAAATTACCTAACAAGACATAGCCTTAGTTTCCTCCCATTTAAAATGGTGACTATGAGACCTACCTTGGAGAGTTATTGTGAGGAGTCAAGATAATGTCCACAATGTACAGCAAGGATGGGGCTGTGCTATTACTGAGAGGTGACAGCGTGCTGGCAGTCCTCAGAGCCCTCGCTTGCTCTCGGCACCTCCCCTGCCTGGGCTCCCACTTTGGTGGCATTTGAGGAGCCCTTCAGCCCCCCCCCCACTGCACTGTGGGAGCCTTTTTCTGGGCTGGCCAAGGCTGGAGCCCACTCCCTCAGCTTGCAGGGAGGTGTGGAGGGAGAGGCGTGAGCGGGAACGGGGGCTGCCTGCGGCACTTGCGGGCCAGCTGGAGTTCCGGGTGCGCGTGGGCTTGGCAGGCCCCGCACTCGGAGCAGCCGGCCAGCCCTGCTGGCCCCGGGCAATGAGGGACTTAGCACCCGGGCCAGCGGCTGCGGAGGGTGTACTGGGTCCCCCAGCAGTGCCAGCCCATCGGCGCTGAGCTCGATTTCTCACCGAGCCTTAGCTGCCTTCCCGCGGGGCAGGGCTCGGGACCTGCAGCCCGCCATGCCTGAGTCTCCCACCCCCTCCATGGGCTCCTGTGCAGCCCGAGCCTCCCCAACGAGCACCACCCCCTGCTCCATGGTGCCCAGTCCCATCGATCACCCAAGGGCTGAGGAATGCGAGTGCACGGCACAGGACTGGCAGGCAGCTCTACCTGCAGCCCCAGTGTGGGATCCACTAGGTGAAGCCAGCTGGGCTCCTGAGTCTGGTGGGGACGTGGAGAGTCTTTATATCTAGCTCAGGGATTGTAAATACACCAATCAGCACCCTGTGTTTAGCTCAAGGTTTGTGAATGCACCAATCCACACTCTGTATCTAGCTGCTCTGGTGGGGATGTGGAGAACCTTTATGTCTAGCTCAGGGATTGTAAATACACCAATCGGCACTCTGTATCTAGCTCAAGGTTTGTAAACACACCAATCAGCACCCTGTGTTTAGCTCAAGGTTTGTGAGTGCACCAATCGACACTGTATCTAGCTGCTCTGGTGGGGCCTTGGAAAACCTTTATGTCTAGCTCAGGGATTGTAAATACACCAATCAGCACCCTGTGTTTAGCTCAAGGTTTGTGAGTGCACCAATCGACACTCTGTATCTAGCTGCTCTGGTGGGGACGTGGAGAACCTTTATGTCTAGCTCAGGGATTGTAAATACACCAATCGGCACTCTGTATCTAGCTCAAGGTTTGTAAACACACCAATCAGCACCCTGTGTTTAGCTCAAGGTTTGTGAATGCACCAATCGACACTCTGTATCTAGCTGCTCTGGTGGGGCCTTGGAGAACCTGTGTGTCAAAACTCTGTATCTAACTAATCTGATGGGGACTTGGAGAACCTTTGTATCTAGCTCAGGGATTGTAAACGCACCAGTCAGCGCCCTGACAAAACAGGCCACTGGGCTCTACCAATCAGCAGGATGTGGGTGGGGCCAGATAAGAGAATAAAAGCAGGCTGCCCAGGTCAGCATTGGCAATCAGCTCGGGTCCCCTTGCACACAGTGGAGGCTTTGTTCTTTCGCTCTTTGCAATAAATCTTGCTACTGCTCACTCTTTGGGTCCACGCTGCTTTTGTGAACTATAACACTCACTGCAAAGATCTGCAGCTTCACTCCTGAGCCCAGAGAGACCACGAGCCCACTGGGAGGAACGAACAACTCCAGATGCGCTGCCTTAAGAGCTGTAACACTCACTGCGAAGGTCTGCAGTTTCATTCCTGAGCCCAGCGAGACCACGAACCCACCAGAAGGAAGAAACTCCGAACACATCTGAACATCAGAAGGGACAGACTCAAGACGTGCCACCTTAAGAGCTGTAACAGTCACGGCGAGGGTCCGCGGCTTCATTCTTGAAGTCAGTGAGACCAAGAACCCACCAATTCCGGACACATTACTATTACTAATAGTGATATTAGTAATAGTAATGCAGTATTTTGCTTTGAAAAACAGTCTCTTTTCAGGTAACCCAGCAACCCCCTCCAAGTGTAAAGAGGCAGAGGCAAGATAAAAATACTGACAGGGCCGAGGTAATGAAATCCCATTTTATTAAAGAAATGACAAGGTGCAGATGGCCTGGTCTAGTGCCTTCTTCTATATGGGTTCCTGCCAGGATTATATACTTTTTCATGTGTTGGCTAAGGTGGGGCTAAAGGTCTGTCCATATTCATAGCCCAAGAAAACTGGATCATTTCACTGTCAGATGGAAGGACAGCCTACACAGAAGGGAGGTTTATTTGATCTATACTCCCTGAAGCTTCAACCTCCCAAGGGAATTCAATTCTATTCCCTTCGTCCCAGAGCATGGAGCTTGGTCCACACAATCAGTCTATCTTTTGGCACCTGAGAGATGCCTGAGCGGCAGGTGTATCTGCTTAGTATCCAACCTGTTTTTATTGCCAATCCCAATGACACAAGGGAGTTCAACTGGCCATGACTTTAGAGGAGTCAGAGGTTGTCATTGTTCCAAGAATACAGTTTCACAACAGCCATAAAATGAGGACTCTGTTTAGCCCAAGGATAATGAAATGGGCTGAGGATCTCCAGCTGTGAAACTAAAAACGATAAACTTTCCAGCAAATTGGCAAGAGTATTGTTATACTCATCTTTTGTCTTTGGGGAGGTCATAAAAGACATCACTGCACTTCAGTTACACAGAAAAGAAGATCTCCCATCCCCTAACCCCTGCCTCAGGGATGCCGTCTCTGTGCCTCCCAATACTCAGACTAATAGTCTCAGAAAGTTTAAAAAGGGCATTTTATAAAATCCTTTTGATGTGAAATGCTGAAAGCACAAACTGAAAGATGTTAACAGTAAGCCTGTGGTCCCAGTGTCCTGAGGACCAGTCATTTGCTGCCTGGTCAGGTCTTGGTTCAGCACAAACCAATACAGCCACCTCTACTGTGGGCGTGAAAACAAATACCCCTAAAACTACTTCAGGAGTGACATGGGTGCTGCAGAGATTCACCCAAAACGTCTGGCAGAGCTGTGGAGCCACCTCCCTTCAGGGACAAAGAGCATCTTTTGTTAATTGCCACCCAGTAGTTCCCATTAGGGAATCACTCTTTTACTTAATGTCACTCCACGTGGTTCTGGGGAAGCTGATTTCATCCTTGATTCTGAAGGTTGAGGGATCCAGGCTTAAACCACTCAACAAGTTGCATTTTCTCTGGCCACTTTGATTGGTTGAGACATGAGCATGTGACTCAACTAGAACCAATGAGATGAGATGAAATTTTCACTGGGGGGAATTCTGGCAAACTCTCACAGCTTGTGAAGCGGGAAGGACGTGAGTGAGGCCTGGGCTACTGCAGGGGGAAATCCAGATAGTGATCTGAGAGACAGAGGGAATGGGGCATGAGGCTCACCATTGGAGCCCTGCCCCAAGCTGAGCCTCGGGCCAGCCCTCTAGTAGTTTTGGCTGTGCAAGTCAATGACTTCTCTTTTCTCTTCCAGTCACTTTGGGTAGGAAATGTTGCCATTTAAACTCCTTTATTGCCCCATTGTGTCTTCTTTTGCTTCTCTGTCACTTCCTCTTTTACTATTTGTAGTTTTTTTATTAGTTTTTTTCTCATTCTAAAAACAATCCATCCTTAGTTTAGAAAATTTCATAAAGACAAAAAAGAAAGCAATGTGATTTTCCCAAGATCAAGCAGTTCTCAGGTGGCTGATGCCAGAGGCAGTGTTCCTGACCCTACAAGCTACTTTTAGCTTCTCACAGACCTTTTCAGCATTCTGATGTAAAGCTTTCAGTCTTTTCCCCCTGTGGCGTTTTTGTTTGTTTATTTGTTTTTTGATTTTTTTTTTTTTTTTTTTTTTAGATGGAGGCTTGCTCTGTTGTGCAGGCTGCAGTGAGTGGCACAGTCTCGGCTCACTGCAACGTCTGCCTCCTGGGTTCAAGCAATTCTCCTGTCTCAGCCTCCCAAGCAGCTGGGACTGCAGGCGCCCACCACCACGCCCGGCTAATTTTTGTATTTTTAGTAGAGACTGAATTTCACCACGTTGGCCAGGCTGGTCTCAAACTCCTGCCCGCCTTGGCCTCCCAAACTGTTGGGATTACAGGTGTGAGGCACGTGCTCGGCCCCTTTGAGTATTTTTTATGAACATATATTATTATTTAAATAATAATAGGCTGGGCGCGGTGTCTCACGCTGGTAATCCCAGCACTTTGGGAGTCCGAGGCGGGCGATCACAAGGTCAGGAGATCGAAACCATCCTGGCTAACACGGTGAAACCCCGTCTCTACTAAAAGTACAAAAAATTAGCCGGGTGTCAAGGCGGGTGCCTGTAGTCCCAGCTACTCGGGAGGCTGAGGTAGGAGAATGGCATGAACCCGGGAGGCGGAGCTTGCAGTGAGCCGAGATCGCGCCACTGCACTCCAGCCTGGGTGACAGAGTGAGACTCTATCTCAAAAATAAATAAATAAAATAAAATAAAATAAATAAATAATAATAAAGCTCAGATGATATTACAAATACAGTTTGTATTCTTTTTTTAAACTTAGTAATATATCATTGACATTTCCCCCAAGTCAATTAAATATTTTGCAGGAACATGATTTTTAATGGTTGCATAATATTTTAGTTGAATTAAATATATCATAGTTTATGTAAACATGCTCATATTGTTGGAACTTTCTATTTTTTTCTATTTAAAAAGACAAATAGTTGGAGCACAAGGGATTTTTAGGACACTATTCTGAATGATGCTGTCATGGTCTGTACATGTCACAGATTTGGGAAAACCCATAGAATGTACAACATAAACAGCGGGTCCTAATATAAACTATGGACTTTAGTTACTAATAATGTATTAAGATTGGGTCGTCAATTGTTACAAATATACCATACTAATACAAGATGTTAGTAATAAGGCAAATGTTGGGGAGGGAGGAGCATATGGGAACACTTTATTTTCTGCTCAATTTTTCCATAAACCGAAAGCTTTTCCAAAAATGTCTATTCATTAAAAACAAATAACAGAGTAAACAAAAAACAATGTAAGTATAATTTTTAAACCAATTCTGATTATTTCCTTAGAATGAATGTCTACAGGTGGAATTATTGAAGCAGAGGCAAAGATATTTTAGACGTATTGCCATAAGTTCTTTTCAGGAAAAAATGTATCACTTTACATTCTCACCACCACTGTATGAGAGTGTCTTGTTCGTTGTATTTTTGCCAACACTGAAAATTATTGAGTTTTTAAATCTTTGCAAATTTAATAGGAAAAACATAATACCGAATTCCAATTTGCCTGCCTTTGATTATTAACTATAAAAATTAAAACAGTGTGACACAGATTAATGGTACAGAATGAATAGTTTATAAAGAGAATTAAGTTATTGAAAAGGGGAGCATCACAAACAAGTGGGACGGGGGAGAGTAATTTTTCAGAACAAAGGAAGACAAAATGAGATCCACATCCCATGCCTTCTCCTAGTGTACTTGAATGTGAGTGTGCATTCTAATCACCCAGAGAGCTTCTGAAAACACAGACTGCTAGTGCCGGCCCCAGTTTCTAATTCACAGGACTGGGGTAGGGCCCAAGATTTTGCATTTCTAAGGAGGTGATGCTGTTGCTTGCTGGTCCAGGGACCACACTTTGAGAACCATTCCCTTGTACAACAAACTAGATCAATGAAAGGGGCAAGTGAGAAAAAGAAGCAAATTTGAACCTCTCTCAGTCCTTGACAGATGCTATATATGCATATTACATGTTACATTATCACATTAGAGAATGTATGTTCTTTTCAAGTACTTATGAAACAATTACAGATCTTAACTGTGTACTCAGCATAAAATCCATATCATTCCATGAAGGCAACCTCAACATAGCTTAAAATGTAGGAAGAGGAAAGATCACGTTTTCTGACCAAAATGCAATACAGCTAGAAATTAAGTAGAAACAAGCAAACGGTAACTTGCCAACCATTTGGGAAATATACCAGTCTCTTTAAAATACCTGTTTTGCTAAAACAACAATAACAAGACTACTGTACACTAAAATGTATGTGTTGAAGCTAAACTTGTCCTTAGGCAAAAACTTACATCTGTAAGTTCTGTCATTACTCAACAAAGAGTGAAATAGAATAAACACAAAACTCAATAATGTAGGAAAAGATTATCTAACCTAAAGCAAAAGGAAAGAATAAATATGAAATGTGAAATTGAGTTTAAACTGGAAAAGCCAAAAGCAATAGAATTGTTTAATTAATTCAAGATATTTAAAAAAATAAAATAAGAAAATAAATCATAACCTACCTTAGTCAAAAAAAGGAAAAAGGTGGGAAAATACAAATACCCAAAACTAGTCAAAAGAAAAGATAGATAACCACAGATGCAGGGAAAAGTTTTTAAAGTATTAAAGAAAACTTTGTAAAGCTGGGTATATACCCAAAGGATTATAAATCATGCTGCTATAAAGACACATGCACACGTATGTTTATTGAGGCACTATTCACAATAGCAAAGACTTGGAACCAAACCAAATGTCCAACAATGATAGACTGGATCAAGGAAATGTGGCACATATACACCATGAAATACTAGGCAGCCATAAAAAATGATGAGTTCATGTCCTTTGTAGGGACATGGATGAAGCTGGAAACCATCATTCTCAGCAAACTATCGCAAGGACAAAAAACCAAACACCGCGTGTTCTCACTCATAGGCGGGAATTGAACAATGAGAACACATGGACACTGGAAGGGAAACATCACACACCGGGGCCTGTTGTGGGGTGGGGGGAGGGGGGAGGGATAGCATTAGGAGATATACCTAATGTTAAATGACGAGTTAATGGGTGCAGCACACCAACATGGCACATGTATACATATGTAACTAACCTGCACATTGTTCACATGTACCCTAAAACTTAAAGTATATAAAGAAAAACTGTGCAAATAAATTTTAAAACTTGGGTGATATAGATAATTATTTTAGAAAAATAAGTTCTCTATATGAAGTAGAAATAGGAAACCTAAAATAGGCTATAAGATGATTGTGAAGAACCTTATCCTAAAAGTGGCCAGGCCCATATAGTCCACACAGATCAAACCATCAACGAATAGGTAACACAAGAATTATTTAAATTATTTTAGAACTCAGAGAAAAAAGAGCTACTCCTTTTTGCTTTTCTTGTTTTTATAAAGCCAGCAAAGTATTATAACAAAATCTATCAAAATTATACTAAAAAGAAAACTACAGCCATTTCATTTATAAACCCTAAACAAAATATTAGCAAATAGAACCAGCACTATCAGTGATCATTATAATCACGGTTACATAATGTCTGTCCAAGCCAGCACAATAAACCAAAATAAGTGGTGTAAATACTGGAAATGAGCAAACAAAATTGTCATTATTTGCAGATAAAATGATTATATGCCAGAGAAAATCCAAGACAATAAAACTGAGAAAGCTATTAGAAACTATATGAAACAGTGGTAATATGACTCTAGTTTCAAAATAAATGTACAAAGAAGCAATAACTTTCTTTCATACTAACAATAACCAGTAAGAAAATATAGTGAATAAAAATTCTACTCATAATAACAATTTATATATAGTAACCATAAGACGTGCTATATAGAGAAAACAACAAAATTCTATTCATGGGCAGAAAAAGAGTTTTGAGAAAATGGAGAGCTGTACCTTTTAGATATGCTCTCTTTACGAAGTGCAGGAAAATCATTGTTAGTTTTTGAACTACATTCTTTTATATTCTTCTATAGTCTAAAGGGAAGATAAGCTCTTTTTTTTTGCAGCCTGAGCTGGTTTTGTTTAGCCAAACAAATGATGAGCTGGTTAAGTATTGGAAAGATAAGTCCTCATGCCTTGGAAACTATAATGGACTAATTAAGAGAGTGAGATTTGACTAGAGTTGAAAAACAGGGAGGAGAAGGGACGAGATCAAAGTTAGGGGCCCAGCTGGGGCTTAAAGAGAGAGAGGGAACCTTCCTTTTGTAATAAGACAAGTAGAAGGAGTTTTAAGAATACACTTCCAATATTCAGTTTATAGTCATTTGTTGTGCTGTGTTTTTATGTAACCCATTTCCATAGCCTCCAAACCTTCGATGATAATTATAACAGCTCATATTTATTGAGCACCTACTTGCCAGACACTGCCCTGAGCACTTTAACTCTTTAACACTTTAACTTTCTACATTTAATTATCACAAAAATCCTATTTTCCTACCTTACAGATGAGGAATTAAGGCAGAGAGACATTAAGTAACTTGATCAAGTGCATAGCTTACAAGTGTGAAGTCAAGCTGTTGACCCAGACATTCTGACTCCAGGGCTCAGATTTGTAACACTACCCTGATGTTGCCTATCTACCATGCACATGGCCTTGAGTTAGTGCCAGTGAAAAGATCAGATGGTTTCCAGTGGAGTGTTGTGGACTGGAGAAAGGACAGATGTGCGGGGGTCAGAGCCAGACTGGAGATCAAGAATTCCATGGAAGCAGGAATATGGAACTGACTCCGGGAAAAATAAACACCAACCCCTTTGACTGCCGTGACACCCCAGAGAGCCTGGAAAGCGTGCTGAGACTTCTATCAGGTGTGACTTGGGATGTTGAAACAATTTTATTACATCTTAAAGTAAATGATTACTTCAACTGACTAGATAACTTAGATCCATCCCAGTAGTTGAAATATGGCTTTTAATGCATTAAAATGCTAATGCTCCCTAAATGAATAGAAAAGTAATGCAGGCATACCCAAATTCAAGTGAGATTTTTTTTGATTTGGCCAAACTTCAAAATTTTATTTAATGGAAAAAATTATACCAAGAAATAATTTTAAAAGACTTAAGAAGAACTTAACCTATGAAACAATAAAACCTATTATAAAGCTATACAAATTAACAAAGTGTGTATTTCAAATCAGAAAATTAGTCAATAGCTAATGTTTGAACAAAAAGCTAAACATTTGAAAAGAAATCTAAATTCCGGTATACAACTAACATCATATGGAATTTTAAATGAACCAAAGATGTAAATATTTTAAAAACCCACAAAAGTACTAGAAGAAAATATGGGTGAATAATCTTGGTGTGGCAAAGACCTTTCTAAGTTTTCCATAAACTCCACCTTGCCCTAACCACCAAAAAGGTGGAGGCTTAAATAGTTTAAACTTCAGAACTGGAGGAGAAGGCTGACTAAGCACTTGCAACTATCCCCAGTTCCACCAGAAATCTCATGAAATGTAGGAAAAAATATTTTAATAATAAAACTATAACTGGTATGAATAACAATGAGAAAAAGTGCCATCAGAGGACAAGAATTTTTTTTTAACTCCTGAAAGAATCGAAATGGATCAGATCAACACAGGGAAAAGAAAAAGCTTGCAGAAAACCCATGCCTCAGACATACGCAGGAGGAACATCTGTGGAAGGGGAAAGATTGGAAGATGCTGGGAGCCCAGAGGTCACAGATGTGAGAAGGGAAAGGGGAACCCCAGCTACTGCTTATGTGTGGTTAATTGAGGACTTAGTTTCAAGTATTTACATTCAGACAAAAGCAGTGAGTGGACAAGCGGTCCAGAGGAGCAGGGCAGTGTCCAGATGGCTATGGAACCTACCCAAAGGAGAGGGAGCGACTTCTCAGTAAAGATGGCAGATCAAACACCCACAGTTTCTTACTCTCCCTCCAAAACCCTTCTAAATGAACTGTAAAGAGATTTAATTTTTCTTAACACATAAACCCACAGGGACAAACAGACTGGGGAAAGGGCAACTGTAACAAAATTCTGGATTCTGGAAACAGATGGACCAATGGCAACTGACCCAAGAAAACTGACTCCTAAAGACGAAATGGGAAAAGGCAGGAAACAACCTGACTTACAGGGAAAAATGTGCCAGGCTTGGCAGTGTCAGGTACCTCTGGAAGGAGGGATGAAGGCAGCACAAAACACTGAGTATTTAAGAAGTGATTAGTTTCCTAGAGCCACTGCCACCATCGCTACGGCCATAGCAGAAATCTTGAGCTGTAGCTAGGATGGAATGTGGGGGAACACCAGAGAGAGTTGAGGGTTGGAGTGGCATTCCAGGAAGTTAAATAAACATTTACCTAAATGAATGAAAAATTGTAATCAGTCTCTAGAACTCTGGCGGGCAGAACTATTACCTCCAGGCAGAAGATGGAAGATCCTTCTCTAGAGAGTGTGAGTGGCCCAAGAGAAAAGACCTGAGCACCTTGCAAGAAACCTGTCACTTTCACACCTCATTCCCAGGCTCAGAGCTTCCAATCAACATCTTTTTCCTATTCCCAGAATAGTGCTCTATCTCTCCACTCCCTTCCTCCCCGGCAGCTCCCGGATGCCCCATCAGCTCCCTCCTTTGGAATCACGGACACTGGCCCAGGGGAACTGGCTTTTGGACCCCGAGAGCCTCCCTGCTCCCCTCCTTACACCCACTACCAGCTTGGCAGCAGGTAGCTGTGGGATTTACAGCTGTCTTTCCAGCCTTGGCTTCCGCCCTTGAAGGTGGGGGATGAGTCTGGCCCTGCTGCTGGCCAGTGCTGCTCCATGGGGAGTTCCCGCTGCCTCCCACTCTGCTGCTGAGCCACTTCCTAAAAACCCACAGAAGCTGAGGAGCTGCCAAGTCCTCCAGGAAAGGCTGAGGTACCTGGGCAGGCAGGGTGGCATGGTAGTTGTACACACACGCTTTCGGAGTCCTGGATCCAAATGTCAACATTGCCCTTCCAAGTCTCAGAACCTTGGACAAGTCACTCAGCGTCTCAGAGCCTCCGTTTCCCAGCTGTGAAACTGGGAAAATACTAGCACTGTCTCCCTGGGCTGATGACTGTGGAATGACATGATATTTGTCTGCAGCGCAGTGACTGGCCTATGTCAAGGCACTATAAATGTCTTCTTAAAATGATCAAAACCAAAATCTTAAGGCACACAATTAGACCAAAGCCACTGTTTAAATGGTATTGTGTGTGTGACTGTGGTTTTCAGTTGCTTTTCTCCAGTGACTAATGATCTCAGGGGCTTCCAGGGCCTTCTACTGAGTTTATGGGCTCTTTGTATATCTTCTTTTGAGCAGAGTCTGTTCAGGCCGTTGCTCAATTTTTTTTTCAAATTACTTACATTTCTCTTCATTAAGCATCTATGTCTCAAGTAGAATGTCATTGAGTAATGGTAGAATATATGAAATAAATAAAGTTGCTCAATTTCCATGCTACTGGGTTTCTGGACATCCAGAAAGTGTTATGAAAAAAGCAGAAGCAGTGGCAAGAACACATTATTCCATTTTTTAATTAGATTATTTGTCTTTTTATTACTGACTTGTAAGAATTCTTTATGTATTCTGGATCTAAATCCTTTGTCAGATATATTTATTGTGAATATTTTCTTCTAGTGTATATTTGCATTTTACTTATTAATGATGTTTTTCAAGGAGCTGAAGTTTTTTATTTTGAGGAAATTGATTTATTAACTTATTATGGTTTATGATTTTGGTGTCCTATTTAAGAAGTTTTTCCAAGATCAAAAAGATTTCCTTCTATGATTATAGCAGTTTTATTAAATAATTTTAGATTTTATTATTACATCGATGATCCACTTAAAGTTAGTTTTTGCATATGTGGGCAAGTAAAGGCTGAGGTTCATTCTGTTTTTCTGTATGGATATGTAGTTATTCCAGCATCTTTTTTTGCATAGACTATGCTTTCCCCCTTTGAATTACCTTGGCATTTTGTCAAAAATTAATTGACCCTGTATGTGTGGCTCAATTTCTGTATTAACTTTTTCATTTGTCAGTGTGTCTAACTAATACCACACTGTCTTAATTGCTGTGGCTTTATAGGAAGTTTTGAAATCAGGCTGTGTAGTCCTTCCAATTTGTTGCTCCGTTTCAAAGTTATGTTTTCCAATCAACTTTTTTTTTTTTTTTTTTTTTTGAGACAAAGTTTTGCTCTCATTGCCCAGGCTGGAGTGCAATGGCACAATCTCGGCTCACCGCAACCTCCGCCTCCCAGGTTCAAGCGATTCTCCTTCCTCAGCCTCCCAAGTAGCTGGGATTACAGGTGCATTCTACCACACCCAGCTAATTTTTGTATTTTTAGTAGAGACAGGGTTTTGCCATGTTGGCCAGGCTGGTCTCGAACTGCCGACCTCAGGTTATCCACCCACCTTTGCCTCCCAAAGCCAATCAACTTTTTTATGCCCCACTCTTAGTTATGGGAGGAAAACCAGGATCATCAGACATATAAGGAAAACCTGTAATGAAAAAGAAGTTGATCTCAAGAAGTAGAGAATAAAATGGTGGTTGTCAAAGGCTGGGGAAGGGAGGTAAGGGAGAATAAGGATGGGGAGAGGTTGGTAAACAGGTACAAAGTTACAGTCAGATAGCAGGAATAAGTTCTGGTGTTCTAGTGCAGTAGGGTGACTATGGTTAACAATATTGTACTGTATATTTCACAATAGCTAGAAGAGAGGATTTTGAATGTTCTCATCCCAAATAAATGATAAATCTATGAGGTGATGGATATGCTAAATATCCTGATTTGATTTTTACACAAGGTATACATGTATCAAAACATCACACTATATACTGCAAATATGTACAATTGTTATGTGCCAGTTTTCAAGTCAAAATAAAAAACAACAAAACAAATGAGAGGAAATAGAAAAAATTCAGGTAGAAGACTTCAAAAGTAACATTAATATCCCCAGAGACATGAGAAGATATTGAATCCATGAATGAAAAACAGGAAGAAATTTAAAAAGAATGTTCAGAAAATTAAAAGAGCTCTTGAATATTTACACACACACACACACACACACACACACAAATACACACACAAGGTTTCTGAAACCCAATAGAAAGGTTGGAAAATAAACTTGAGGAAATCTTCCAGAATGTAGAGCAAAAGGCAGGAGTATAGAAAATAGAAAAGAGATTAGAAAATTAAAGACTGGTTCAAAGAATTCATCATCCAAGTTTCAAAAACAGAAAATAAAAGCAAAGAAATTAAATATAAAATAATTCAAGGACATTCCTTATAATAAGGAATATAAATTTCTACATTGTCATGATTTCACAAGTCTCCAACACAATGGTTTAAAATAAGCCCAGACTGATTATTGTGAAATATCAGAACACAAAAAAAATATTCTCTAAGCTTTCAGAAGGGCAAGGAGAATGTTCCTGATAAAGGATCAGGAATCAGAATGGCTTCAGTCTTCCAAATAGCAACATTGGAAACAAGAAGGCAATGTAGCAACACCTTTAAAATCTTGAAGAAAAGCTATGTGCATCCTAAAATCCCATATTCAACCAAAATATCAAACAGATGTGATAATAGAATAAAGAGACTTTTGAGATCTCTGAGATTCCCCAACTATTGACCTGCCATGCATCCTTTCTCAGATACTTACTGGAAGATGTGCTTCACTAAAATGGAGAAGTAAACCAAAAAAAGAGGAATTTATGGGATACAGACAGTGGAATCCAACACAAGAAAGCAGCAAAGGGGATTTCGAGATACAGTTAGAGGGAGGTCCCAGTATGGCAACTGTGTACCGGACTGAAATGCAGCCAGTCCAGATTGGTATAGGTCAGGAGCTCTAGAGGAAATTTCTTCAAGATGAAATTGGTAAAATACCTGATGCATCCATTCATACTGAGGAGATCTTTAGATGGTAGGAAGTCTGGGGTCTGAATAATGATAACTTCTTAGAAGAGCAAACAGAGTATAAAAGAAAAAATTAACAGTAGTGGAAACAAAAGCCACAAAAGATAACAGCAATCATAGTGTACTACTGTTTATGGCTCAGTTGTGCATGGTATTTACACGGTCATAACAATGACAGCACCATATATTTAGCTAAGTAAAATGTAATGAAACCACATTTCAAACAGTGGGGAACAGAGAGGATGTGAGTATATTTGTTGTGTGCATTGTGTTGTGTGTAAATTATGGGACTATAGGTAGGGTGGGTTGAAAGAGAGATTAAGCCCTCATATTTTATAGTGTGAATTCTATAGGTACTGTAATGCCTGAAATTGTGGAGAAAATCAAGAAGTACCAATATAAGCAAGTTACGTAGAGATAAGGTGATAAATGCCGAAAGAATCATCTTAAAATAGTTGCCTCCTACTGGTCAAGAAGTCAAAGGGTGGGACACTGGGCACTGCTCTTTTTGTGACATGGCTTCTAGTCTTATTTGAGTCTTCAAACTATTATATAGATGTAATTTTGATAAAAGTTTAAACTCAAAAAGAACAGAGAACTTGTAAATTGAGATGAAAAGCTACTGGCAGCACATGTCCCTTAATACAATTTGCTCTTCAGTTGACCTGGCCTCCATCACCAGAGGCATGGTGCAGTTCGCAGAAAGAGCATGGAGAGACAGGGGCCTAGTGGATCACAGATACAAAACTTAAATTGCAACCAAGGAACCCATTGAAGAAAACCAATACCATGAAAGAGAAACCACAAACTCAATAACAAAAACGCTAAAAACTAAATAAATTGAGCTAATAGAACAAACAGAAGAAGACTTTTAAAAAATATGTAATATTCAGAGGAGTAAGAGAGGATATTACATCTCTAAAACAAGAACACACTATAGAATAAAACAATTGGAGCTCTTGGGAGTTAAACTATGATGATCATAATTAAAAGGTTTAACTGACATTTTAATCTTAAATAGTAAGCTGGAGGATCAAATGGAAGGACTTTTTTTTTTCAGAACACAGTTCAAAAGGACAAAGAGACAGAAGGCATGAGAAAGGAAAGAGTCTTTGAGGATAGATTCTTAAATCTCCAAAGGAGGTCCACTCTTTCTAATAAGAGACCCACAAAAGAGAGGACAAACTGAAAGGAGGAAATATTTTTATATTTCCCAGAGCTAGAGAAAGACATTAGTCTTCAGACTGAAAGGGCCCATTGATTTCTACTCATGCTATGGTTTCTCTAAAGATTTACATGGCACCTTAAACTCTTTGAAAGAATTGGCCCTATACCTACCCTATTTCTCCATATGTTTAAGTTGTAATTACTAAAATCTTTTATGAGTTCTCTTGTACATCTTCTGTCTCCTGGCCATCCTACTGTCCTCTCTTGTCTTGCTTCCTGACTTCATGTGTATAACTCTGAATTGCTGTGATTTGCCCCTTTGGCTTTGCCTTTCCAGTTACCACTACAGATTGAACAGCTGCAATTTCATGTCTTTGCATTTTAGTCTGTGCAAGGCACACTGATATGAGTTTGAGGAGAGACACATAACCAACAGGATGCTCTATCTAACTGTGTGCCTTTGCACTGGAATGTTCTTCTCGGATCTTAGAGTATCCATTACATGGATCATTTCTGCCAGTCTCTGATGTGCCTCATAGGAAATTATCATTGCCATCTCATGACTGTTGATTTGGCACATAGCAGGTAGGAGTTCATGTGAGTACATATGTACACACGCACCTCTGAAAAACAAGATGGTGTGAGTTGCATCTGCACAGTATACTCATTTCCAAATTCAAACCATACATTCAACTTCTTGCAGGATAGATTTGCTGTATGGGTTCAATACAGGTCCCAGAAGTGTGTTTGTTTGTTTGTTTGTTTATTTTTTTGGCCACCATAGCATTTTAAAAGGGTTTTAATTGGTTGTGGAAAACCAAGGCCAATTGCCTGTAAGACAATAGTAATGACTATTCCCTTTGATAGGGTATATGCTTATCCTAACCTTCATGCACCAACAGAAGTGGGAGCAAAGCAGTTCCAACTACATTTTCTTTATTGAGAATAGCAGCAAACTACCCCACACTCATCTACTCAAGATATTTATTAAGCATCTGCTATGCGTCAAGCACAATGCTTCTCAAAAGAGATGCAAAGATGGATAAGACCACAGGATATTTGAGCAGGAAGGAACTTAAGAGATCACCTTCATCTATTTCCTGATAGAGAAATCAAGGCTCAGAGCTGTCAAAAGCCCTACCCATGGTCAAATATCAAATTATGTTAATGCCAGAACGGAAAGCCAGTGCCCTTAACAGACTCAAATGTTGTTAAATGTGGTGTATTTCTTTGCACTTATTCTAGTCTTGTCTTTAAAAAGCACAGTGGGAAAAAAAGGCGAGCTGATATTATAAAGATAATGTAAAAAGTAAAAGTAAAAAGGTGGGGGCAATTTTTTAATAAATAGTACTTTGTATTACCTCAGTTCCTTGTAAAATGTCTTGTGGAGATTACTATTCTACTGCTGAAAAAGATATTCTATGTACATAGAGACTTGAGTATTTATTTCTTTCAAATTATAACTTTTTTAAAGGACAGGTGAAACTTTACAAACATCAAGGAACTCAATATCGAGGAAAAATTTGAATTCTTTATGGCCCCTTCTCACCACTTGGAAATAGAATACTCCTTCCAGTCCGAGGTTCCCTGGCTCAAGACACCTAGGGCCTCTGCCATGTGTCAAGTCCTTGATTCCTGAGCTCTCTCTTGAGTTACAGAAAACGAAGGAGTTTGTGGAGGTGGCAGCCACTCAAGGATCTAGGAGGTAAGGCTTCAGATTGTGGTAGAGCCCAGTCTACTAACTGGGTATTTGTGTTTCACAGGATAAAGAATTAATGTTAGTTTTCCTTATTCCTTTAACCATAACCTTTTCTTGCAGCCAGACCACTTTGCTCCTGTCCTTCAGAAACATCTTGTAAATCCTCACCTCCACCCCCAATCTTATTTCGCTGCTTCCCTTATTTCAGCCTCACTGGGTATTCATAGTTTCCTAAAGCCATCATGCACACTCATACCTTTCAGCCATTATGCATACTTATCCTTGCTAGTCTTCTTTGTTTGGTGTGGTGTCCCCTGACCCTCTACCTACAGGAAGACTTGATCTTTCCTCACTTTGTGCTTCCACAATGCAAGCTTCCTTCCAGATTACTTATAACACAGCATTCTGGAGTCTGCTGGTCTGTAACTATGCTGGTCTATAACTATAGACCAGAGTAGGAGCTTCTTGAAGCCAGGGACTATTTTATCAATTCTTTTGAATCTTCAGTACTGGCATATATAAAGTCTCATTTTTAAATAAATAAGAATATGATTAGCAAGAAATGAAAATATAGTCTAGAAGTTGTTCATAGGAATTTCCAGTTGACTTGTCTTCCAGTTGACTTCTTTTCTGAAAACTTTTCTGATTTCTAGGGGTCAATCATTAAATTTAAGAGGTATTTCTTACCCCAAATCATTGTCAATTTTCACAATTTCACTAATTTCCCATCATCAGAGCAAAAAGAGGAATTTACAGTTTTACTATCTAGCATCTGCCTCTCACTGGATTTTTTTTTGTTATGGCCTTTTAATTTTTATTCAACAACATTACTCAAGCAGTAGTAGGCAGAACATTGGAGAATATAAAACTAGCTTGAGAGAATGTTCAATTATGTTTTCATCTTGATTTTATTTCACATATGAATGTCTTTCAATATTGCTACTGGTCTCTGATTTAGGATTTCTGGTGGAATTCTAATGCATTCACTTTTAAAAAATACTGGTACATAGAATCACACAGTTTAAGACTTAGTGGGATATTTGAGTTTATCTAGTTCACAATCTTTATTTTGAAAGGAAACTGAGATGGAATGAGGTTAAGATTTGTCCAAAGTTATCTAGATAGTGAAATAACTAAATATAGAATCTGAACTTTGCAAATCACTATCCAGTTTCCTCCCTTTGGTTTTGGTCTTCTCTAGCTATTCTTTAATCAATGACATTTATTTTTAAGAGTAGTGTAAGTCCATAGCAAAACTGGGCAGAAAGTACAGAAGTTCCTATATATTCATTTCCCCCACACATGCATAACCTTCTCAGTATCAACATCCATACCACAGTGGTACATTTATACAATCAGTGAACCTACATTGACATGTCATTATCATCCAAAGTACATAGTTTATATTAGGGTTCACACTTAGTTTTGTACATTCTATGGGTTTTGACAAATGAATGGCATGTGTCCACCACTGTAGTGTCACACATATTAGTTTAACTGACCTAAAAACCTCTGTGCTCTGCCTATTCATCTTCCCTAACCACTGGCAACCACTCATCTTTTCACTGTCTCAATAGGTTTATCTGTTCTGTAATATCATATGGTTGGAATCATAGAGTATGTAGGCTTTCAGATTGGCTTCTTTCATTAGCAATATGCAATAATTATTACTTTGCATTATTGATTAAGTTTTCTCCATGTCTTTACATGGCTTGTTAGCTCATTCCTTTTTAGTGCAAAATAATATTTCATTGTTTAGATGTACCACAATTTACCCATTCACTTACTGAGGAACATTTTGGTTTTGACAGTTATGAATAAAGCTGCTATAAATATCCATGTGCAGGTTTTTGTGTGGGCATATGTTTTAAATTTACTTGGGAAAATACAAGGGAGTACAATCACTGGATTGTATGGTAAGAGTATTTTTAGTTTTCTTAGCAATTGCCAAGCTGTCTTCCAAAATGGCTATACCATTTATACATTCCAACCAACAGTGCATGAGAGTTCCTGTTGCTCCACATCCTCATCACATTTGGTGATGTCAATGTTCTGGATTTTGGCCATTCTAATCAATATGTAGTGGTATATCATTGTTGCTTTAATTTGCAATTCCCTGATGACATATGATGCTGAACAGCTTTTCATAAATTTACTTCCCATCTGAGTATCTTCTTTGGTAAGGTGTCTGTTCAGGTCTTTTGCCTATCATTTAATTGGTTTGTTCATTTTCTTCTTGGTAAGTTTTAGTTGTTCTTTGAATATTTTGGGTAGTATGCCTTTAACACATGTATCCTTTGCAAATATTTTGACCCTGTGGCTTGTCTTCTCATTCTCTTGACATTGTCTTTCACAGAAGTTTTTAATTTTAGTGAAGTCCAGCTTACCATGTATTTCTTTCAAGGATTGTGCCTTTGGTGTTGTGTCTAAAAAGTCATTGTCACACCCAAGGTCATCTAGATTTTCATCTATGTTATGTTTTAGGAGTTTCATAGTTTTGTTTTTAAATTTAGGCGTATATTTTATTTTGAGTTAATTTTTATAAGGGTGTAAGTTCTGTGTCTAGATTCATTATTTTTACATGTGGATATCCAATTGTTCTATCACGATTTGTTGAAAATTCTATCTTTGATCCATTGGTTTTCCTTTGCTTTTGGTCAACTGTATTTATATGGGCCTATTTCTGGATCATTTTTTTCTGCTTCATTGATTGTTTTGACTGTATTTATGTGGATCTATTTCCGGATCTTTTTTTATGTTTCATTGACTGGTTTACCTATTCTTTCACCAATAACACCCTGCCTTGACTACTAGTTTTACAAAAAGTCTTGAAGCCATGTAGTGTCAAAGCCATCTTTGTTCTCTTTCAATATTAAGTTGGCTATTCTGGGTCTTTTGCCTCTTCATATAAACTTTAGCACCAGTTTGTCAATATCCACAAAATAACTAGCTGCAATTTCAATTAGTATTGTGTTGAATCCACAGATAAAACTGGGAAGAACCAACATATCAAAAATATTAAGACTTCCTTTTCATGAACTGAACATCTCCCATTTATTTAATTCTTTGATATCTTTCATCAGAGTTTTGTGGTTTTCTTAATGTAGATCTTATACATATTTTGTTATATTTATACTTAAGTACTTTGCGGGATTGCTAATGTAAACAGTAATGTGTTTTTAATTTCAACTTCTACTTGTTCATTGCTGCTATATAGAAAAGTAATTGACTTTTGTACATTATCTTTGTACCCTGCAACCTTGCTATAACTACTTATTAGTTCCAGGAGTTTTTTTGTCCGTTCTTTTAAATTTTCTGCATAGATGATGATGTCATCTGCAAACAAAAATAGTTTTCTTTCTTCTTTCCTAATCTTTATACCTATTTCCTTTTCTTACCTTATTGCATTAGCTAGAATTTCCAGTATGATGTTGAAAAGCAGGGAAGAGGCAATATCCTTTTCTTGTTCCCGATCTTAGAGGGAAGTTTCTTGTCAGTGTTATTTATTAAGTTAAGGAAGGTTCCCTCTTCCTAGTTTGCTGAGGTTTTGTTTGTTTGTTTGTTTTGTTTTGTTTTGTTTTGTTTTGAGATGGAGTCTCGCTCTGGAGTCACTCCACCCAGGCTGGAGTGCAGTGGCGCAATCTCAACTCACTGCAAGCTCCACCTCCTGGGTTCACGCCATTCTCCTGCCTCAGCCTCCCAAGTAGCTGGGACTACAGGTGCCTGCCACCATGCCCGGCTAATTTTTTTGTATTTTTAGTAGAGACAGGGTTTCACTGTGTTAGCCAGGATGGTCTCTATCTCCTGACCTCATGATCTGCCCGCCTCGGCCTCCCAAAGTGCTGGGATTACAGGTGTGAGCCACCACACCCGGCCATGCTGAGTTTTTATTATAAATGGGTGTCAGGTTTTGTCAAATGCTTTTTCTGTATCTGTTGATATGATTGTGTGATTTTTTTCTTCTTCAGGATGTTCTGTGGTGAATTATGTTAATTGATTTTCAAATGTTGCACCAGCCTTGCATCTCTGAAATAAATCCCACTTGGTCATGGTGCACAATTCTTCGTATAAATATTTGGATTTGATTTTCTAATATTTTGTTAAAGGTTTTGCATCTGTGTTTTAGAGAGATACTGGTATGCAGTTTTCTTTTCTTGTAATGTCTTTGTCTGGTTTTGATATTAAGGTAATGCTGGGCTCACAGAATGAGTTAGGAAGTATTCTCTCTGCTTCCATCCTCTGAAAAATAATGTAGAGAATTAGTATAATTTCTTTCTTAAGTGTTTGGTAAAATTTACCAGTAACCCATCTGGGCCTGGTGCTTTATGTTTTAAAATGTTATTAATTATTGATTTAATTTATGTAACAGTAGCTCTAATCAGATTGTCTATTTTTCTTGTGTGAATTTTGTCAGATTTTGTCTTTCAAGGAATGCTGTGGTTTAGATTTTTGTACCCTTGTACTGTTGTATGAAATTTGATCTCCAGTATTGGAGGTAGGGCCTCATGGGAGGTGTTTGGATCATGGGGTTAGGTCCTTCATAAATAGATAAATGCCTTCCTTCAGGGGTGAGTGAGTTCTCCCTCTATTATTTCCTGTCAGATGGTTGTTAAAAAGAGCCTGGCAACTTTCCCCTCTCTCTTGCTTCCTCTTTCATCATGTGATCTCTGCATATGATCAATCTTGAACTTTCCAGCCATCAGAATGATAAGCCAAATAAATCTTTTCTTTTCTTTTTTTTAACAAATTACCAGTCTCTAGTATTCTGCTATAGCAACACAAAATAGACTGAGACAAAGGAATTACTTCATTTTACATAGGTTATCAAATTTGTGGATATAAAATTATTCATAATATTCCTTTATTATCCTATTAAGATCTATGAGATCTAAGGTGATGTCCCCTCTTTAATTTCTTTTGTATTTTATTATTATTTTTAAATTGTTATTTTATTTAAAGTTCCAGGATACATGTGAAGAATGTGCAGGTTTGTTACATAGGTAATGTTTATTATTATTATTATTTTTTTAGAGACAGGGTCTCACTCTGTTGCCAAGGCTGGAGTTCAATGGCATGATCATAGCTTACTGAAACTTGGAACTCCTGGGCTCAAGTGATCCTCCTGCCTCAGCCTCCCAAGTAGCTGGGACTACAGGCATGTGCCAGCATGCCCAACTTAATTTCTAATATGATTAATTTCTGTCTTCTTTATTTTATTCTTAGTTAGCTTAGCTAGAAATTTATTGATTTTATTGATCTTTTCAAAGAATGAGTTTTGGGTTTTGTTAACTTTCTCTGTTGATTTATTGTTTTCAATTTCATTGATTTCTGCTCTAGTTTTTAGTATTTCTTTTCTTCTGCTTATTGTGGATTTAATTTGTTCTTCATTTCATTTCCTAAGATGGAAGGTTAAATTATTATTAATCTCAGATTTTTCTTCTTTTCTGATATATACATTTAATGGCATTAATTTTCCTCTAAATGCTGCTTGTGGTACATCCCACAAGTTTTGCTAAGTTGTATTTTCTTTTTACTTACTTCAAAATGTTTTTTTAAATTTCTCATGCCATTTCTTCTTTGATCCATGTGTTATTTGAAAGTCTTGCTTCATCTCCAAGTATTTTGGGATTTTTTTAACTTTCCGTTATTGACTTGTAGTTTAATTCCACTGTTGACTGAAAGCAGAGATTGTATGATTTTTATTGCTTTATATACGTTAAGATGGGTTTTATGGCCCCAGAATGTGGTCTATCTCAGTGAAGGCCCCATGTGAGCTTAAGAAAATATATAATTTGCTGGTTTTAGATGAAGTAGTCTATAGCTTTCCATTATATCCAGTGTTTTGATGGTGGTATTATGTTTAGCTATGTCCTTACTGATTTTCTGCCTGCTGTATCTGTCCATTTCTGGTAGAGGAGTGTAGAAGTATGCAACTATAGTAATGGATTCATCTATTTCTCTTTATAGTTCAGTCATTTTTTGCCTCATGGAGTTTGACACTCTTTTTGTTAGGTACATACACATTAAAGATTGTTATGTCTTCCTGGAATATTGACCTTTTATCCCTATGTAATGCTCCTCTTTTTCCTGCTTGATTACTTTTCTTGTTCTAAAGTTGGGTCTGTCTGAAATTAATAAGCTGTTCTTACTTTCTTTTGATTAGTGTTAACATGGTATATCTTTTTCCATTCCTTTACTTTTAATATATATGTGTCTTCATAGCTAAAGTGGGTTTCTTGTAGACATGATATAGTTGAGTTTTGTTTTGGATTCACTCTGACAATCTCTGTCTTTTAATTGCTGTATTAGACACTGATATTTGAAATGATTATTGATATAGTTGAATTATCATCTACCATCTTTATTACTGTTTTCTATTTAGTGCCCTTTTTCTTCACTCCTTTTTTTGTCTTCTACACTTTTTTCTGCCTTTTGTAATTCTAATTGAACATTCCATATGATCCCATTTTCTTTCTTTTCTTAGTATGTCAGTTATGCTTCTTTTTTTTTTTTTTTATGGTTGCCCTAGAGTTTGCCCTATCCCTTTACAGCTAATCCAGGTCGACTTTCGAATAACACTATACCACTTCATAGGTAGTGTAAGTATCTTATAATAACAAAATATTCCTAATTCTTGCTTTCCATCTCTTGTATCATTGCTGTCATTCTTCTCACTTATACATAAGCATACATAGGAATATATATATTACATAACGTAAGCATACATAGGAATACATATTTATATAATGTAAGCATACATTATCGAGTAGATTGGTGATATTATTTTGAATAAACTGTTATCTGTTAGATCAATTAAGAATTAGAGGCTGAGATGGGAGGATCACCTGAGCTCAGGAGTTGGAGACCAGCCTGACCAATATGGAGAAACCCCATCTCTACTAAAAATACAAAATTAGCCAGGCATGGTGGCACATGCCTGTAATCCCAGCTACTTGGGAGGCTAAGGCAGGAGAATCACTTGAACCTGGGAGGCAGAGGTTGTGGTGAGCTGAGATTGCACCATTGCACTCCAGCCTGAGCAACAAGAGCAAAACTCCATCTCAAAAAAAAAAAAAAGAATTAGAAAAACAAAAGTTTTCATTTTACCTTCACTTAATTATTTTCTGATGCCCTTCCTTTATTCAGATCCCTGTTTCTGACTTATATCATTTCCCTTCTCTCTGAAGAATTCCTTTTAACATTTCCTGCAAGGCAGGTCTACTGGCAACAAATTCCCTCAATTTTTGTTTATCTAAGAAAGTCCTTATTTCTCCTTTACTATTGAATAATAATTTTGCAGGATGTAGAATTCTTAGTTGGTGAGTTTTTTCCTTCAACACTTTCAGTTACAATTAGGTTTTCCTATCCTTGCACTTGTTCACAGAGAAGTTTCTGCTTGTGGGTTTCTACTCTGATAAGTTGTGATTCTCTGTATCCACCTGCCTGTCTCTCCAATTTGGGCGACAGCTTTTTGCCCTGTGCACTTACTTTTCTGACAGATCTAAGATTCATTGACTTTTCTAGTTGTTTAGCTTTTTTACGTGTTAGTATCAGGTGGTTTATTCCAATCTCCTTACATGTTAGACTAGAAACCAGAAGTCTTTCATTGCATTTTCAGAGTAATAACTTTATTTAATTTAACCTTAATGACAATGGATTAAACGTGCAAATAGAAGAATACATGGAGTCTCTTATTTATCCTATGAGAAAGAGTGGTCATAATAATTCTCTTATTGTTACTGGGATCTGATTTTCTTTGCCATTTGGGCTACTAAGAACTTGTAAAGTAACAGAACTAAATATTGCTTCACTGAACTAGCTGGTTCAGTGAAGTACGCCAGGTTGTATAATCTATTTGTACTATTGCACAAAATCAGGCAATAATGAGGATATAATTTAGAACACAGCAAACCTCAGGCCAAAGTTATTAAGGTGAAGAGAGGCTATTCAGACTTTCCTCCCCACCACCATTCCTTTGCCCAACCAAGATAGTCCTATAATTGCCACCTCAGTGCAGGGCTGGTGTGAAGAAAAGCACAGAAGACCTATGGAGAGAGAGACGCTCCAGAAACCTAGCAGGTGGGTGGGTGCAGGGAGCTGGTGAGAGAAGAAATTGTTGCTGTAGACTGAATTTGGATCCCTGTCCCAGTTTTGAGGAGGCCTGGTAGGGTTTGGAATTCCTTTTTAATTACTTTTTTGGCCACAAGACTATGGCTTCTTGAATGCAATGCTGCCCTGACATTTAACTATGTGGGTCCTGGGATTTAGAAGGCTTGCAGAAACAACTCTGTTCTATAGCTGGGTTGGCTTGCACGGCTTATCTGCCTCAACATGCCTACTGAACGCTGTGCTAACATTTTCTTAAAGGAAGATAATTACTACAGGAATAAAAAAGAAAGTAGAAAATGACCTGTAATCTATAAAATAGTTTCTGAGGAGAAATATATTCCTGCCTGGCACAAATAAAAGGATTTTTATATTGTCGTGACTAGAAGAGAGTCAAGGCTACTTTTCAAAACTGTGAAAACCTCAAAGTTTTGCCTGGAGAAATTTCCTTTTGCAGGAGGATTTTGAAAACTTTGACTTTGATCTACTTTGTTTGATCCATGGGAAGTAATATTGGTAATATCTCAGGGTTCAGCAAAGTAACCCCATTAACTTGCCATGATCATGAAATGATTACTTCTGCTTAACAGAGGCATATTAAAAATAAGACAGAGCCTCCAGCTAAAGGCATTTCATGTGTCGTAAGTAGCCCCGTATGATGGACACATAACCATTCTCAATAAACCAAATAATCCGGCTTGTCTTTAGAAGTTCAAGCTGATAATAGTATGAGATGAGTCTTATACCATGCTTGGCAGGACTCTGGTGAGGGGTGCAGGCTCTAGGCCACCTCTACCCCCTCTTCCTCAACTGTACTTGCTCATTGCAGAACCTGTTTTATATCTTAGGTTAACATATAAGATGTCATTTGAACAAAGGATTCTGTGCACCCCCTGACCCTGCTGCAAGTGTTTGAAGGCCATGGAGTATTCATAGCTACAAATGGGCTTTGTTTTCAAACAACGTATAAGTCAGTTACTTGGAACTCAGAACACACTTCTACTCCAGTACAAATAATATTAAAGATTATAGGTAGGATCCTAAACTGGTCCACAGATGCCTGATTTGTAACCCAGTGTGTCCTGGAAAAGCAGGACAGCTACTGGAACTTCTACAGCGGGTGGGTATTTTAGAAGCAGGAGGTTCAGTATTGTTCTAATAAAGGTCAGAAAATATTAGTAATAACAAGGAAAATTACTTATTGAACACACCGTATGTGGCAGTCTCTCTTCTTTGTGGTTTATGAGTGCCATCTCATGTAGGATTAATTAAAGTTGACCCTACAGAACTGTGTGTCAGGCACTCTGCAGATTTTCTCGCTTAGACTTCTTAACAACCTATTTTACAAACAGAAAAACTAAGTCAGAGAAAATGATTAAGTTGCTTTCATTTGCTCACATTTTGATCAGATTTTCTGATATCTGGCAGAGTGATTTCTTTCAAGTCATTGGTCCCATCTGGTCCTGATACCTACAGAAGTGCACTTGTGGCCACAGTGGGAGAGGTCATAGGCCAGAGGGTGTGACAAACTGGGCAGCAAGTCAGCAGGACCAGGGGAGAGAACAAGTTTGTAACCTGAGTCTCCACTCATCACCTGTGGGACTCCAGCACATTGAGTTAACTCTCTCAGCCCTGTTGTCCTCATCTGTTTACAGGCATAGTCATAGGATCCACTTCATGGGGTTTCAGTAAGGATTAAGTGGGAACCCATTAAATGTCTGAGCAAAGTGTCAGGTGCCCAGTAGCTGTAACTCATATCTGTTCCATGTTCCCCTGAGTCACTGAACTAAAAGCCAAATGTCTTACTTCTGACTACCATGGACTCCTGACCCACATAAGACTTCAGGTATTTCTGGCAATGTCTAGGGAGACCCAATTATATAATCAAACATTACAATGAGAGAATCCTGTGGTACCCGGGATAATAAAAATGGTAGGTGGCAGACATCTTACCTCAGATTCAGCTCCGTGATAGTATTATTAGCCCTGTACACCTTGAACCTTCTCAGTCTTTTCTAGAAAGGTCTAGAAACTTCTGAAAGAAGTGAGCTGGACCTTGAAGCAAACAATACAGGAGAGGGACAGCCCCTCAGGCTTTCCCAGTGAAAAGTCTGAAAGAAGATGGCAGATGCAGAGGCCCAGGTATGGTGTCTGGGTCACAGTGCCAGTACTCCAGAATTCCCAGCCAATGTACTTCAGAGCCAGGGAAAAATGCTGGCCATGAAGGGCCTGCAGCCACGATGCTTCAGATTTGCTCTTGGCCATGGGGCTTCCCCATTATTTACCTATATTTTCCTTTATTTAAATGTTGTGAGTTTTAAATATTTTAAAAGTGGAGGAGAGGGAAGGCTTACCTTTAAAATGAAAACTGGTTTGTGAACCCATGAAGGAAAATGTTAGAAATGGATAGAGACCTGCCTGGGCAGAGAAGTAGCTCCTCAACATAATTGGGTGGAATTCTCCAAACACTTCAGGCTACAGGAGAGAAAACAGGGCAGAAGGGCTAAGGACAACCCAGTTTTTGAAAAAAGAAAGTATATGTACATATGAACATAAGTTTATCATAAATTGAACTGACATAAAGAATTACAGGCCAGGTGCCGTGGCTCACACCTGTAATCCCAGCACTTTGGGAGGCCGAGGTGGGTGGATCACTTGAGGCCAGGAGTTTGAGACCAGCCTTACCATCATGGCAAAACCCCATCTCTACTAAAAATACAAAAATTAGCTGGGCAGGAAAATCACTTGAACCTGGGAGGTGGAGGTTGCAGTGAGCCAAGATCATGCCACTGTACTCCAGCCTGGGTGAAAGAGCCAGACTCTGTCTCACAAAAAAAAAAAAAAAAAAAAAGAATTGCAGCACAGAATTTATAAACAATAAAAATATCCAATAATCTTAATTGAAAATTCTATATACCTATATAAAGTCATATCTTCAGTGTGACTTCCTATTTCATGGAAAATTTATGGTTTTTATAATTTGCAACTCCATACTGTGACAAAATCAGACTATGAATAAATGCCTGATGACTATTTTAATGAGCAAAATCAGTCACATCATTGAAAAATTCCAATGAATGTACAACTAATGAATGTTGATTGGTTGGTATTTTCATGAGACAAAAATGAAATAGTTAAGATATATGTTGAAACTTCACTCAGTGATGTGAGCAACTTCTTTGCTGAATCCGATAATAGTTGTCTAATGCTAGAAAACTGCTATATAGGACACACTTTTAAGTTTAATTATATAATTTAATTATATTATTAGATTTTTCTCAACACTTTGTTAAATTCAGACAATAAACAAAACAACTTACACCAATTCCTGTGGTATAAATACTCCCATCATGGCCATTTGTAACTATTAAGTTCATGTCACTGAATGCAGAATTGGGAAGAGATGCACAGTACCACTGTTACATATACCACTGTACATATACCATTGTTAAATACTATACAGATACAATAGATGTAAATTTCCTCCAGAACATAAATAATAGGAGTAAAATACTTAGGAAGTAATGAGTTTTGAGTATTTATGACCTTTGACTTTAATAAAATATAGTATGATTTATTTAATTGTATGTCTAACTTAATTTTTAATATAGCTTTGTTTAGCCAGCTCACAAAATCCTTGAAAGCTTAGCAATCAGTGACAAGGTAGTGGACCATGTTCCTGCTTGCTCAGGCTGTGGATCTGGGGTAGCCTCCTTACCCCCACCATGGAGACCTTGGTGCATTTCACCGGGAGCTCCCCCACCACCCCCATCAGGGCTAGTGCTTTTGCTCACCATTGGAGTATCCAAGTGGTAGGCTTGGCAGTCCAGCTCCACTCAGCTTTATTCCCCTCTCCCTGCATCTGGGGCTGAGCAGGCAATTCAGGCCACTTTACATTCCACAGATCAGCCCATTGCCTGAGGCAACAGAGAGACTTTCCCAGTAAACAAAATCAAGCATATACCATCTGCTTCTCTTGAAGCCAGCTCTTACCCACAAAATCTTACCACACACAGAAGCTGCTGACACGTGTGCACTGGAGAACAGGTATACTTCCTGAGACCTCTGCCACCCTGGCTCTGCAGGAGGCTGTGAGCCTGCTTACATGTCCAGTATATTACTACTACAACCAGAATATGAGAAAGCCACCACACAATGGCTATCTATAACCAAGGAACTCATATAGAGTCATGGCCAATGAAAGCACTCAGAACCAAAGCCAAACGACCCTACACAACATCAAGGAGGGAAAAATCCTATCCAGATGAAAGTAAATTAAAAAATAATAAAAAGAGATAGTTTATTCAGATGAGAAGGGCAGAGAAACAATTGTGAAAGTATGAAAAAACTGTTACAACACCCACAAAGGAACACACTGAGTCTTTAGCAATGGATCCTAACCAAAATGAAATATTTGAAATACCAAGTAAATAATTTAAAATACTGATTTTAAAGAAGCTCAGTGAGATCCAAGAGAAAGTTGAAAACAATATAAAGAAATCAGAAAAACAATTCAGAATATAAATGAAAAATTAACCAAAGTCATAGATATTTTAAAAGACAAAAACAAATAGAACTTCTGGAAATGAAAAATTCATTGAAGAAACTACAAAATACAGTTGAAAGCTTTAATAATAGACTAGACCAAGCAGAAAAAAGAATCTCCAAGCTTGAAAACAAGTCTTTTGAATTAACCCAGTCAGACAAAAATAAAAAGTTTTTTTAAAATGAACAAAGCCTTCAAGAAGTATGGGATTATGTAAAACGTCCAAACCTACAAGTCATAGGTATACTTGAGTCAGAAGAAAAAATGTTGGAAAAACCTATTCGAGGAAATAACTGAGGAACATTTCCCTAGTCTTGTTAGAGATTTAGTATCCTGATACAAGAGGCTCAGAAAACTCCAATAAAATACATTGCAAGATATACTTCACCAAGACATATAGTCATCACACTATCTGAAGCCAAAGTAAGGGAAAAATTCTAAAGTCACCAAGAGGAAAGTGTCTAATCACCTATAAAGGAAACTCCATGAGACAGCAGATTTCTCAGCAGAACCCTTACAAACCAGGGGAAATTGGGGTTCAATTTTCAGACTTAAAGGAAAAACTCTCAACCGTGAATTTTGTATTCTGCTAAATTAAGCTTCATAAATGAAGAAGAAATAAAGTATCTCCCAGACAAGCAAACACTAAGAGAATTTGTTATCACTAGACCAGTCCTTCAAGAAATGCTCAAGGAAGTTCTAAACATGTAAACAAAAGGTTGATACTTAACATTACAAAAACACATAAAAGTATAAAAATCACAGGTCTTATAAAACAATTACACAAATGAGACTACAACGCAGTTAGGTGACAACATTATGACGAGCAAATACTCATACATCAGTATTAACTTTGATTGTGAGTGGATCAAATGCACTTAAAATATATAGATTGTTGGAATTGATTTAAAAATATATCTAAACATATGCTGCTTACAAGAGACCCACATAACTGGTAAAGGCATATAGACTCAAAGTAAAGGGGTAGAAAAAGATATTCCATGCAAACAGAAACCAAAATCAATCAGGAGAAGCTATACTTACATCAGATAAAATAAAAATAAACCTTAAATCAACAACAGTAAGAAAAAAAAAAGACAGTCATTATATAATGATAAAAGAATGTATTCACCAGGAAGTTATAACAATCATAGATATATGTGAACCCAACACCAATGCAGCCAGATTCATAAAACAAATACTATTAAATATTAAACCTAAGAAAAGAGACAGACAGAAATACAATAATAGTGGGGCACTTCAACACCCCACTGACAACACTAGACAGATCAATGAGATAGAAATTCAACAAAGAAACACTGGACTTAATTAGGCATCTAGACCAAATAGACCTAGCAGACATTTACAGAACATTTTACCCAATGACTGCAGAATATACAGTGCATAGAACTGTATAGATAGAGCATATGTTAGGCCACAAAACAAGTCTCAATAAATTTCAAAAAATTGAAATCTTATCAAGTATCTTCTCAGACCACAGTGGAATAAAACTAGAAATCAATTCCCAGAGAAACTATGAAAACAATAAAAATACATGGAAATTAAACAACCTGCTCCTGAATGATCTTTGTGTTAACAATGAAATTAAGATGAAAATTTAAAAATTTTTGAAACAAATGGAAATGGAGACACGACATATCACAACCTCTGGGATACAACAAAGGCAGTGCTTAGGGGAAAGTTTATAGCGGTAAATGCCTACAGAACAAAAATAAAAAGAACACAAATTAACAGCCTAATGTCACACCACAAGGAACAAAAACAAACAAACAAACAAACCAAACACAATGCTAGCAGAAGGAAAGGAATTACAAAGAGAAGAAATAAATGAAATTGAGACAAAAAATACAAAGGATCAATGAAACAAAAAGTTGGTTATTTGAAAAAATAAACAAAATTGATAGACCACTAGCTAGACTAATCAGGAGGAGAGAAGATTCAAATAAGTAAAATCAGAGATGAAAAGGAGACATTACAACTGATACCACAGGAATACAAAAGAGCATCAGGGACTGTTACGAGCATCTCTATCTTCACAAACTGGAAAACTAGGGGAAATGGATAAACATCTACAAACACACAACCTCACAAGAACGAATCAGGAAGAAATAGAGAGCAAATAACAGGCCGATAACAAGTAGTCAGATTGAATCAGTAATAATAATAAAAAAATCCCTCAACCAAAAAAAAAAAAAAGGCCGAGGGCCAGATGGATTCACAGCTGAATTCTACCATGTATACAAAGAACTGATACCAATGCTACTGAAACTGTCCCAAAAAAATCAAGGAGGAGGGAATTATCTTTAACTCATTCTATGAAGCCAGTATCACCATGATACCTAAATGAGGCAAGGACACAACAAAAAAAGAAAACTACAGACCAATATCCCTGATTAACACAGATCCTCAAAAATACTCAACAAAACAACAACAACAACAAAAAACTAACAAACTGAATCCAACAGCACATCAAAAAGATAATAAGCCACAATCAAGTGGGTTTTATTTCAGGGATGCAAGGATGGTTCAACATACACAAATCAATACATGTGATTCATCACATAAACAGAATAAGAGGAAAAACCATATGATCATCTCAAAACATATGGAAAAAGCATTTGATGCAATTCTGCATCCCTTCATTATAAAAACTCAACAAAGTAGGCATCAAAGGAACATAACCTAAAATAAGCAAAGTCATATACAACAAACCCGTAGCCAACATCATACACACACACGCCACAAAATACTATGCAGCTATAAAAAGAATGAAATCATGTCTTTTGCAGCAATGTGGATGGAACTGGAGTCCATTATCTTAAGTGAAATAACTAAGAAACAGAAAGTAAAATACTGCATGTTCTCACCTATAAGTGGGAGCTAAACTGTGTACACATGGACATATAAAGTGGAATAATACACATTGGAAACTCAGAAAGGTGGGAGGTGGTGGGGAATGAGAAACTACCTAATAGCTACAATGTACACTATTTGGGTGATGGTTACACTAATAGCCCACACTTCATTCACTACACACTATCTCCATGTAACAAAACTGCACGTGTACTTTCGAACTCTATAAAAATAATTTTCACAAAAAAGAAAAAAAAGTTTAGAAATCAACTGCCTAGGCCGCTACAAGGGGGCTTCGGCAGACACTGGCTGAAGGCAGCTGGGAGAGGCAGCAGGAGGCCTGAGTGAAAAGTGCAGGGCTTGGCCATTATTGCTGGAGGAAAAACCCTGGTAATGCAGGAGAGTAGAAGCAGAGAGAAAGCAAAGCTTGACCATGGGTAATCGCCTGTGGAAAGCCATTTTGAGCAGGGGCAAGAAACACAAAAGCAAGCACCTTTTTGCTCTGGGATAGTTGTGATGTGAAGAGCGGTAGGTGGCTCCCCTAGCTTCAAGAACTGGCTAGCTCCTCATTGCTCAGCTCCCAGCCTACAGGGTGTGTCCTCAGGAAGGTTTGCTGTGACTGCCTGGCCTCATACTTCTTCCTTTCTGTATCACTCATCCCATTCGTAATTATTTCTTCAACACCCACTTTCCTTCCCCAGTAGATTGTAAGACATTCAAGGGCAGGGACTGCCTGGTTTCCTGCGTTATCCTTGGGGCCTGGCACAGAGCTTGGCACTTAGGAGGTGCTCAATAGATTACTTATGGCAACAAACTAATTCCAGCCTTGTAATGATTCCAGGCGTTGCCTTCCTCGATCTTATCTCAGCCTTGGCTTCCTGTTTGGATTCAGGTTGCTGATAACAGGTGCAGGTGAGCTGCATGGCCTTATCAACGGGGCAAATTTAGTGGAGTCACCTTTCAGATTAAAGAAACAGTGGGAGAGGAAGTTTGAGCATGAGGTCACAGAGGGAACCTCTTGGGCTACTTTCCATGATCTCAAAGCAGTTTTATTATTTCATTTTCTCATTCATTCACTCGTTCTTCATTCATCTAGCAGGTATGTTTTGAAAGCTGACTCTGTGCCCAGCCCTGTATAAAAGCATCCGGTAGCTGGTACCTTCTGAGTCATCAGTGGGGCAAGGCAGGTTGTGAAAGCTTCTGGAATCAGGCAGATGTAGCTTCAAATTCCAGGTCTTTACTGACAGTCCATGAAAACTTGGGTATGTCTCTTAACCTCCTTGGACTTTTGCTTCCTTCTTTTGTGAAAAGGGCAAATAAGGTGTCTGTTGCAAGGCTGTTGTAGGGCCCAAAGGTGATGAGATATCAAAAGTAACCAGCTCCTAGCCGGAGCTCCATGTATGTTAATTCCCGGCACCCTCCCACCCCCAGCATCCCTTCCCACCGCCACCACCTCTCTAAGTATATTTTCCACCTCCTTTTTCACTTAAAAAGTTTGCATTCATTCTGCAATGGTTTCATTCAGAGCTTCTCCAAGTGCAATGCCCAGACCACCAGCATCAGAATTCCCTGGGGAGCCTGTTAAGATGCAAATTCCTGGGCCCTGATATAGTTCCCAAGAATCACAACCTCTGGGGTTAGAGCTCAGCAGACATGATTGCAGACATGTTCCTGAGGCAAAGACATCACACTTGGTGCTTCCAGTCTCTGAGAAGCCCCCTGGCAGCAACGATTGGTGCCAGAGCCCTAAATTTGGCTTGAAGACAACCAGAATTGAGAGAGTATCTAGAAACATGTGTGTAATTAGCAAGGAGAACAGAAGGGAGGGAGGATATATGTGAATGATGTTGGCAGTAATGAGTGGGGGTGAGATGGGAATGAAGGAGATGTCAGCTAGCAATGTCCTGGCTGGGCAAAAGCTAGGAGATGCCACCTGAGCCTGATGGAGGAAATCTGCCCCACCCTGTAGATGGCTCGAGGTGCTGGCTGCTCCAGAAGTCACAGGGAGGTTCAGGACCTCCACCAATCCCTACAGGTGGCCTCCTGACACTGAAATTCTCCAGGTCAGTCCTGGTTTCAAATATTTTGTCGCCTTACTAGATTTTGTGTCCTGATGACATTAATAGCTGCTAGCATTGCAGACAGCTTCCTGTCAAATGCTTGGGAAAGAGAAGCAGTGTTAGGGTCAAAACTACTCAAATCCTGCCTCTGTCCCTGGTAAGGAGGATGGCATTGGGAAAGTCATGTGACTTCTTGGAGCATCTGCTTGTTCATCTGTAAAGTGGGGATAACAGAGTCTGCCTTTCAGGATGGTGGTGAGGGATCAACGACATAGATGATGTGTTTAAAGCTCGGAATGAAAAGGCACAGAATACACACTCATTCCCTTTTCCCCACCCATTGTCCCAGAGCAGGAGCCCAGGAGGGAGCCTGCTCCTCACCCGAGTGGAGGTTCACAGTCTCCACTGACTCAGGCAGCTCTGGCAGCCACACAGTTCTGAAGCCACCCACTGCGGTGATTCTTTTGTCTGTGAGTTGCACTTTGATTGACAGGCCTTTGCTCTACACAGAAGGTTTGCATTTTCCATGGAATGGGAAGAAGAGACAGGAAGTAGAGAGGCTTGGGAGGCGAATGATCTAGAGCTGATGGCCAGGAGGCCAGCCCAGAAATGTTCAAGCAGGGAGTCAGAAAACCCGAGTTGGAAGTGCAAGTTGCCAGTGAAGGACAAGGGGAACTTGTTTAAGACCAGCTCCTTGGCATTTCTCTTGGAACTAGCTAAACCTTCAGTCATTGCAAGCTATAAAAAGGGTTGTGTGGATGGGAAGGACCCTAGTGGGTTAAGCAGTGATATGTGAGTCCATGTAATTCCACACTCAGAGGAGGGTCTGCTACTCACAGAGTGGGGGCACATTACAGATTCCTGAAAGGGGCCAGCCTGAAGGCTGTGGGCTCTTCTCTAAGTGGATTCAGTGGCTCTATGGACAGCACTCCTTGTTGTCCCTGTCTCTGAACTCACTCCCCTTTCATCCCCTTTCCCTGCCTTTATCATCATCTTTGACACGAACAGCAGCAGAAGGCAGTGCAGGGGGAGTACAGGAGCTCTCCCCCATTCCGCTGGGCTTCCTAGAGGTGCTGGTGGGAACTGAAAGCTAACAAGGTTCAGCTTTCTGTGGGTCTTGCAGGGACTTGCTGTGGCCTCCAGTGGCAGGGAGGTGTGTGCTCTGCTGACAGTGAACACAAAGCCACTGGAGGGGAGACTGACTGGACCCCCAAAGGCACCGAGGGCATTTGGCCAGCGTCCTTCTCCTCTATGTTTCTGCTTTGGGTGATCAGAATCTGGGCCAAATTGGAACTCCAGAGTGGTAGAATGAAAGTCTATGGTGAAAATCTGTTTCTCCAATTTGTTTTAGAATTGCAGTAGCTTCAAGCACACGTTCCTTATGATGACCACTCCATGTCTCCATCCCTGCAGCCCCACTCCCTCCTGGATGATGGCACTACCCCGTTAATGAATGGACACGTGCTCTGACTTCCCGCTGTATCTCCTGTCTGCATGAACTGGCTCTTCTCTGTTGGCTTTAGGGTCTGGAAGATTCTCCTATCTCCTCTCTGGTGGGCCATGCCCCACTCTCCAAGTCCCCTCCCTGTTTCAGCTAACCCATGGCAGTGGCCTCCAAACTTGTCTCCTGGTCTCCAGTCTCTCCCCTGCTCTGTGCCAGGTTACACTTTGCATGACATAACTCTTCCCGTGCCTAGAAATTGCTGTTGCCTTCTCCCCCACCACCTCAGCCCAAATGTCAAATGCTTTCAGCAACGCATGTCTAGGCCTTTCTCTGAAGCCCTTTTGTCCTCTTTGCCCCCTAGTGGCATGTCAAGTATACCATAGAGAATAGGTACACCAGGCCCCTTTCTTCCAGAAGCTTCTATTCTAGAGAACAAAGGAGCAAATTGATACGTAATTACAAATGGTAATTTGCACCGTGGAAGAAACAGAGAGCACAGGTCATAGAGAAACCTGGCGCGGGGAGGCTTCTATAAGGAGGCAGCATTCAGTAGTGACTCAAAGAGTAAGGAGGCCATAGCCCTCTCAATCTTGGAGCCTCACAACTCCCGGACGTCCTGTTGGCCTCCTGTGCCAGCAGCACACTTTCTGTCACTCAGAATCATGTCTGTGGTGGAAGCAAATTGGCCAAGACCTGGGATGTGAAACCCCTGCAGCCTTCACCAGCTGTTCTCCCGCTCCATGATCACGGGATCCAGAGGGAGTTGTGCAGGGGGTCCCTCCCAGGGGCTTCATCCTAAGACCCTTGGGTGGTCCCTAAGAACCGAGGCTTCCTTTCTACCCTCGTTCTTTCTTGACCTTCAGGTTCCAGTCGAGAAGGCCAGTGTCTACTCACCACAAAAAATCACAGGAAAGAGGAAAAGAGCATCTCCCCCGGTGTGAAAGCCCAAACAGAGGAGTTGCCTTGTGGAGGGAAGCAGTTCTAATCACTCCGGTGCTCCAGAAAACACTTCATGCCCAGCAAGGCAGCCCCTGGGTTCCCCCCGCCATTTCAGCCATGTTTCCTCCCTTTACCCCCTGGAGTCCAACCGAATGGCAGCTCCAGCCACAGTGCACTCAATACCAATCTGGCTTCTGGCAAGTTGTTCCTAGGCACTCCACAGGCCAGCTGAGCCCCCAGCTACATCACTCAGATAAGAAGGTGCCATCGGGCCACCCTCAGCGCCCCTTTGCTCTGCACCGCTGCAGGGCTGAGCATCAGGGATCCCCCCACCCAAGGGAAACCCACTGCCAGGGCCTTTCTCTGTGCTGAGTGCACAGACTCCCTCTGCAGGGCCCGCCCAGGAGTGGGTATTTCCCCTCCTCCCCTCCCTGGGTCCTTTGGGACCTGCACCCTACATTTGCACCCCTTGCTCCTCCTGCAGGCCCAGGTAGCATCTCCTCCGGTCTGTTTACTGTCTCTCACCTTCCTGGGTCCCCAAGTCAAGCTGTAAAGGCGGCCACTTGTGATTCAGGAGATGCCCATTTTGTGCACTGTTTGCTTCTGGAACTTGATTGGCAGCTTTAGGCTAATAGCACATTCTTTTTTAAGAAGACATCTATTGTTCCTTGACATAGGCACTAGGCTGAGGGCAAATATCATGTAATTCCACAATCATCAGCCCAAAGGGAGAGCACTGGTATTTTCCCATTTTTATAGCTGGGAAACAGCGGCTCTGAGTGACTGAGTGACTTGTCCAAGGTTCTGGGACTTGGAAGGGCAATGCTGAAATTTGGATCCAAGACTCCAAAAGCACGTGTGTACAGCCACCATGCCACCCTGCCTGCCCAGGTACCACTTGCCTCAGCCTTTCCTGGAGGACTTGGCAGCTCCTCAGCCTCTGTGGGTTTTAGGAAGTGGCTCAGCAGCAAAGTGGGAGGCAGCAGGAACTCCCCATGGAGCAGCGCTGGCCAGCAGCAGGGCCAGGCTCATCCCCCACCTTCAAGGGCAGAGGCCAAGGCTGGACAGACAGTTGTAAATTCTACAGCTGCCTGCTGCCAAGCTGGGAGTCAGTGTGTGGAGGGGGCCAGAGAGGCTCTCGGGGCACAGAGGCCAGTCCCCCTGGGCCAGTGTCCACGACTCCAAAGCAGGGAACTGATGGGAGATCTGGGAGCTATGGTCAGTCGTTGGGGGAGGAGGGCAGTGGGGAGTTAGATCGTTGTTCTGGGAAAGTTCCAAGAGCCTTAGTCGGCCACTTCACAGGAGACCCGGGTCCTCCTAGGCACCAACCTGAGGTTGCATAGCCAGGGCAGGACTCACCCCCAAGACCTGGCCTTTAAATGGGAGCTTTTATTCACTGTGCCCTGGGGCCTCCAGAATGCCAGCCAGGGCATTGGCACAGTGGCTGTGGGAGCTTTAGAATACCACCAAGAATAATAATAGCTACCATTTATTTAACACTTTCTGTGTGCCAGGCACTTGCTGAATGCTCTGCACGTATGCATCACTTGACATAGTCACCACAAGAACCCTGGAGGCTGATGCCATGATTAGCTACATCTCACGGTTGAAGAAGCACAGCTGGGAAGGGGCAGAGCCTGCGCTGGACCCCAGGCTTGGGATGAAGCATGAGGCTTCAATGGCTGTGCTGGAGATGTTGTCATTGATATTTGCTCAACAAGCTTTAATGGAGAGTGTTCTGGGGACAGCACAGAGGGTAGAAGGAGAGTATAAATCTCTCCCTCTCTCTTCACACAAACACACACACACACACGCACACACACACACACAGTCTGGTCATGCCAAGCAGCCAGATGAACACACTGCTACACAGAGCAGCATACACCAGGGGCCACACCAGTGGGTGGTACAGAGAAATTTGTGTTGAGATTGGAGGTGAGAAGGTGCAGGGAAGAAGGATCTCCTCAAGGTGGTGTTGCATCCATCCCCTCTGCTGACAATGCCCTCAAGTTCCTCTGCTTGGCCAACTCTCCACTCTGCTCAGGTCTCTCCTCCTTCAGGAAACCTTCCCTGATTGCCTCCCTACTCTCCAGGCTGTTTATCAGGCTGTGTCCCATTGTTTGGGCTCTTAGTGCCTTGAATCATATTAGTCTGTATAAGTCCCTGACTTCTCCCTTGGAATGTGAGGTCTGGGGGTGCTGGCACTCCGTCTTCCTTATCTCAGGGTCCCCATTGCCCAGCATTGGACCAGGAAGACCACAGTGTCAGGGGGCCAGCAGGGGTTGTGGAACTGCACAGACAGGAAGGGGTCAGCAGAGCCAAAGGAAAGGGAGAAGGTCAGGCTTGTGGGTGGTGACAGGTGCCTGTCTGCTTGGAGGTTTGCTTTTAAACAGGTTTGCTTGGAGCTGAGGGTCCCTACAGGAGCAAGGTGGCAGGTGGCTCTGGAGAGGTGGCTTGTCCCCATCCCAGTCCTCACAGCCATGAATGCTGTGTTTGCAGGAACTCTGGGGAGAGTGCCGTGGCTTCTCCCACATTTCTTCAAATAAAATCTGGGCCCAAATGCCCCTAGGCAGCTCTTCTCTGCAGAATTGCCCTGTGTGTTTGTTTTGCCACCGTGGGCTGAGCTGACTGCAAGGGCTCAGAACACAGCCCAGGCAGACGCTGGGTGTGCAAGGGCAGGGCATGTTTGTGTATGGTTAGGGGACAAACACAACCTGATATCACGGTCAGAGCTGAGCTGTTGGCTTTAATTCTGCATTTCTTGCTCCTGAGGCTTTGAAAAACAAAGCACGCTTGGGGCGGGCTCACTTGGGGAAAAGACGGGAGCTCTGGTCTTATCCTGAAGCATCACAGTCTGCTCAGAGGAGAGTTATGGACTCTTCCAATGCTGGTGAGTTCTGGAGTTCGTGCTATCCTCCAAGCCTGGGAGGTGGCAGTGTTGTGGTCCTTAGCTTCTTAGCTCAGCTAGGTCCGAGGTCTTGTCTTAAAACCAGGAAGAATTAGGTGTGTGGACACCAGAGATTAAGTGGAGTAGAATTTATTAAGCAAAATGAAAGCTTTGAGCAAAGAAGGGATGGTGGGGCGGGGGTGGTTCCCCTACCTGAAGGTGGGAAAGTCCCCACCAAGTGGCTGGGTCTTGGGCCTTTTATGGACTCAGAATGGAGACTGCATGCTGATTGGTTTGTGAGTATGCAGAAAAGGTTAAAGTGAAGACACCACTCAAAGCTGGGTATGGCAGTGTAGAAAACCAGTTAGGAAAGAGCAGGTATACGTAAAATAGGTGAAGGGTGGGGATCAATCAGAGGAAAGCATGCCAAACAGGAAGACAAGTTCTCAATCTGATCTGAGGGGTTGACTTGTAGCTTGGCTTTCAGGCTTTAAACTGTCTTTGGCTTGGAGGTGGGGATTCACGGGGACCTGCACCTGTCGGCCTAGGCATTTGGCTGCCTCCTGCCACTCTTATGTCCCCCCTCTGAAGAGGTATATCTCACTGCCATTAGCATAGGGATGAAGACCAATCTTAACTGCTTCCTGCTGACAGGGGGCGATGTTTTGGGAAAACAGCAGTCAGATCTCCCTCAGAGGCTTATCTAAAGGAACTTGGTGAATGGGAGCCATTATCCAAGGCTCCAATTGCATGACCTTTTGGAGTCTGACAGCCTGAAGTCAAGAAGAGACAAACCGGGTTATTAGAAGAGATGT